>NC_000005.10:39478123-40110648 GCF_000001405.40 Homo sapiens
AAAAGAAAAGATGTTTATATCTACACATGCTGTTATGCTCCAGTGGGCCACATGACAGCATCAACACCTTCAGATGCTGGGTGACCAGCAGAATGCACAGAAAGACGATCCAGTCTCATAGCAGGATTCTTGATGGTGAATGACCTCTGGATGTATTTTTTCTGAGTAGTTCACATTTTAATATAATAGAAAATCCTTGTAAAGAGAAAATAAATATCTGCATTATGATCATATGCATTATAAAGATTGGTAAAACATGAACAAAAAAAAAAAGATGGGAAATACTAGGAATCTACCAAAAACTGGAACCATTTAAGCTGAAGTAGCCAAGGCTGAGAATGTTGCATTAATAAAAGCAACCGAAGAGATATATATCTATATATATATATATATAGATATATATAGATATATATATATATCTTCAGTTATATATATCTCTCTTCAGTTTGTATATATATTAATAAATCATCTAGCTTTTACTAATTAATGTATTAATTAAAACATCTAGATGCTATTATTGATATATAAATATCTTCATATACATCTTCAGTTTATATGTCTATATCTTCAGTTTTTATATATGTAAAACTTCAGTTTCTTTTATTAATATTGCAACATTGCAACATCTTGTATATGTATCTTGCCCATTTCCATCTTTTGTGAAGAAATACCAGATTAAATAGAAACACAGATAAATTAGGTGAACTATGCAAAATAATAGACTGTTGATGGAAATAAGGAAAAAAAGAAATAATGAACTAAGGTTGCAGGTGAATATTCAGGTGGGTGATTCATATGCAGGAACCAGAGAGTGAGTCTTTCACTTTTCAAAGATCCATTTGATTGTCCTGCATTATTACTGGCCTTAGAGAAAAGTTACTTATTATGAAATGAGTAACTTGTTTAGCCATTTTTAACAGGGTAACTTGTTACCCTCTACATAGTTGGGCACCCACAGACAGTTTAGATCTCTGAATTCCTTTCCAAAGAAAGTAAAAGTAAGATAAGATAAAAGGAGCATTTTTGGCTCACAGTTTGCTTGTTCTGGTGAATAAAAACGCTCCTAATTTTAGTAGTAGGTTTCCTAATTTTGGAAATTTTCTACATCAGATCTTTGACTCCCATACCTTTCATTCAGATTCAATCAGCAATGGTTTGCTGCCACAGTATTGATTCTAATTTTCACATATCATCTGCTAATCTTTTTCCTTCTTTCCCTTCTTTTGAACATTTTAAATTGTGACATAATGCACATTCAGAAAAGAAGAGAAAACCAATAAGTAGGGTTTAGCAAAGTAGTTACAAAGAGAACATCCATGTCACTCTCACCCAGGGCAGGAAATACAAAATATCACCCTCTCTAGAAACCCCTGTGTCCTTCTCTCATCGCAACATCCTTTCTTCCTCAACACAATCACTCTTACGGTGTTTGATTTTTTCTTTGATTTTTTTTCTTTATAGTTTTACTACCACTGTATGCGTCCTCCAAAAATATAGTTTTATTTTTCCTGTTGTAAAATTTTATATCAAGGGAATATAGTATAAAAATTCATTTGTGTGTTGGCTCCTTTACTCAGTGTGTTGCTCATCCAAGTTGGTGGTTAGCTACAGCCTTTTCATTTGCTTTGTTCTATAGTATCCCAGGGTATAAAGACATCCATGTTGGTTAACATGTGGGTCGTTTCCAGCTTGTGGCTATTCCGAGCATGCTTGTTCACGTGCCCTGGAACATAGCCATGCATTTCTCTAAGGTGTATCTCTCGTGGTATAAATGCTGGGTTACTGTGCTGGATTATAGATGTCAGATTTACTGTACGAAGTTGCACTGTTTTCCAGAGTTGCTGTACAAATTTGCCTTCCCACCTAGAGTGTACTAATGTTTCTCTTGCTGCAGATCCTCAATCATCACTTGACATTGTGACACTTTTTAGCTTTGCCATTCTATCTATTACCTCACTGTGGTTTTAGTTTACACTTCCCAGATTATCAAAGACATTGAACATCTTTTCATATGTTTATTGGCCACTGAATTGTCCTTTTGTGTGTGTGTGTGTGATATGCCTTTTCAAGTCTTTTGATCATGTTTCTATAAACCTGTTTTCTTTTCTCTAGTAATTTGTAGTTTTGTTTTTACATATTTTGAAAGCTAATGCTTTGTTGGATATGTGTGTGTGTTTATATGTGTGTGTGTGTGTAGTATATTTTAATCTAAACATATACAAATAATCATATGTAATATATAAAATTTTTATATGTATATAAATCTTTTCTTCAGTGAAGTTTAAGAAAGGGAAGATGGGTATCTTCACCAACATAATGACTGATACGGATTTAGAGGAGAAAAGAATGTTAAAATCTATGCCTCCTTGATGTTAACGTTGCACTGCCTTCTTTACTACTATACTATGAAACTCAGTGCATATGAAATCATTAGCAGAATAGTATTGTGCTTCAGAAGAACAAAAGAAGATTCTAAACCCAAAAGGGATCCTAAAGGTAAATATATCCTATCACAAACCTCGCATTGCAGATTAAGTCCTTGAGTTCCAGTACTCAAGGATTTGCAGTAGTGAAACATAGGTCAGGACTCCCTCTCTATACATTTCCTCCCACATTTTTAGTTAGCATGGGTCTCCTCTTTCAGGCTTGTTCCATAGAAATGGTATTTAACATTTTTTAAGACACAAGTCTGGAGGAGATGGCAGAGAATTTAGTTGTTCTACTACTTCTTAAAACACGAAACACCTAGAAAATGTCCTTTAGTTATTTCCTCCTGAACACTGGTTTTTCAAGCTTTCCTAATCAGACTTCCTGCCTTGAGGGCTGGGAATCTTAATTCCACAAATCTACATTTGCTGCTCAGATCCAGAATCCATCTGTAGTTGGTGGCTGCTTTGAGGCCCAGTGTCCCTGACCTATACAAGCACCTTCTCTTTGTAACTCCCAGGACTCCAGGCAGTGTATTCATTCAAGCCATTGGCATTTACTTTCACTTGGCACATTTAGCTAAATGGAATCTTTTTTTTTTTTTTTTTTTTTTTTGAGACGGAGTCTCGCTGTCGCCCAGGTTGGAGTGCAGTGGCGCGATCTCGGCTCACTGCAGGCTCCGCCCCCCGGGGTTCACGCCATTCTCCTGCCTCAGCCTCCCGAGTAGCTGGGACTACAGGTGCCCGCCACCTCGCCCGGCTAATATTTTTTTGTATTTTTAGTAGAGACGGGGTTTCACCGTGTTAGCCAGGATGGTCTCGATCTCCTGACGTCGTGATCCGCCCGCCTCGGCCTCCCAAAGTGCTGGGATTACAGGCGTGAGCCACGGCGCCCAGCCTAAATGGAATCTTTAATGGCCATTCTGCTCAGTGCCAAATTCAAAGGTGGACTTCAAAGGACAGCAATAGGGAAAAGGAGCAGAACTTGGTAGGGAGAAAGAAAGCTCAGAGGAAAGCGCATTTTTAATTTTTTCTGTTTCTTCTATTCTTTCAGTGGTATTTCTGTTTTCATGATGGTGCGGGTAGAAGCACTTGTCTTATACTTGTGAGTCTTTGTAAACTAAATTTTCTATTATATTGAACATTAAAAAGAGTAATAAAATTGATTTTAAACTTGTGTCTCCTCGGAGCAGGAAAAAGATCTGGCACTCATCATAACTAAACAATAAAGCTGTGTCATTTAAAACAGCAAGCTTGCTCTTAGGACACATAAATAGACATAAAACGGCAGCAGTCAAAGTGGTCTGATGACCACTGGTGGGCCTTAAGGATTCTCCAGGTGGTCTTTTAGCTGGCCTCTTGTAACGCTAGCATTTACATACAACCACATTTATGCTGTCTTTGTAGTTTAGAATGAATCAGTTTATGGCCCTCATTAATGTCTGTTTAAAAACAGCATGTCTCAATAATTTTGGTTAGAATATGTGGTCTATGATGTTCTGTGTCATATGGAAATGATCTGTGGGTCACATATACTTATGAAACTCTGGAATCACATATCTAGGCCCTTTAAGTCATAAGTTAACATTTATTGCATGCACAATATGTGGCAGAGATTGCCCATTCTCCTAGTTCCCTAGAAATCAGTGAGGCAGCTGTGGGCTCTTTGCCTAGAAATACACCTCTCTTGGGGGCTGAAAGTCAGCCTTGGGCATGTCCAATGAAACAAAAGAAATCTGCTTGCAGAGAGAAACTAAGAATGGAAAGAAGCAGGTGCACAGAGAGAATGAAAGAAAATGAGGGTTTAGCCCAGCGGAGCTGAGACTGGGCCACTGCATTCCAGCCTGGGTGACAGAGTGAGACTCCATCTCAATTAAAAATAATAATAATAATAATTAAATTAAATTAAAAAAAAAGAAAATGAGAGTTTAGAAAAGAGAGAGGGGACAGATGAGCTGCTTTGGCTTTTGGTGACTTTGCCCTCCCTGGTTTTGGCTCAAGTGCCAAACCTTGAAGAACCCAAGGTTTATGTCCTTGGGTTCTAAGGAATGGTCCTCCCACTTTCACTAGATTACTTTTCTCTTGCTCTTTCCATTTGATTAGCCAGAGTAAGAGAATGTCTGTTTTTTGCAATTCAATTTCTGTCTACACTAGAAGGATCAGGAAGGTGGACTTTAATTTTTTTAAATCTTATATTCTTTAGAATGTTTCAAATATTTCTCAGAAAGCATGCATTTGTTTACTACTTAGAAGAAAAAATTTTTAAATGCTATCTAAAATTGATTGTGGACACAATTCTAAAGCCTTACATATATTTACTCATTTATCCTAATTTTTTAAAAGTACTGGGTTTAGTGCTATTATTCACCCTCCAACTCCCCCACCCCCAATTTTGTACCTGAGAAAACTGAGGCACATGGAAATTTTCAGGGTTATGCAATTAGTAAGTGATGGAGTCAGAATTTAATTTTAAGTCATCTGACTCTAGAGCCCATATTCAACAGAGACTTTGTACTGACTTGATTCTCTAAGGATTTCATATTTGGAGAAAAAAACCAGCAATATAGAAACGAACAACCAAACAAAAAAAAAATCCCCAAAGAACAACAACAAAAAAATTACAAAGCAAAATAAAAAACAAAACAACTACAGAAATGTATAAATCTACCATAATCAGCACTGGGTTCTGGAAAGTCTGTGCAGACTGTAGCTGGTAATTGAGAACAATAATGTTATACTTTCGCAGGTCCATTTGGACACAAGACTGTGTTCAAACGCTTACATCTAAATGTAACCCTGATATCACTCTAACTTTGTTACATCAAAATGTCTTGGGAGCAGTCTTCTAGGACTCCACGAACTGCTTGGAAATGAGCAGCATTTCAATACCCATAAGAGGGATTTATGTCACTGGCAAAGGCAAAAAATGGAATGCAATGGAGGTCTGAACATGATCCCTGGGCAAATAGGAATGTCCAGTCAAGGGCTGCCTGAATGTGAAGGCCCATTAGGTGGTGAGGCCTTCAATTGTGCTCCATAGCTTCACTAGGAAAGACTGGCACCAGTGCAGAATTTATTGTGGGGCTTGTTCATTCTTTGGGGTTCTCCTGTATCCCCTGGACTTCTCAGGTGTCTAGTTATTCACATATGCCAGTTCTCTAGTTTAATGTTCTAGAAAGGGTTTTAAAGAGTAATCTAGGAACTTAGAAGCATCTACCTGTGCTGTTGCGAGGAATTCCTGGACCTAGATGTCCATTTTCTCATTCATGCATGAGTAGCAGAACAAAACATCAAGGGGTCCATTAAAAAGCTTCCATAGTACGGACAAGAGCATTTCAATAAAGGTGCTGTGGGAAATACAGGCATTTGCAGAAATGAAATTTAACTTTACAAATGTCTGCTTGGATTCTTATTGAAAATCAGGAACACATAAACTCCAGGAACTAAGAGATTAAACATGAGATAATAAAACAGCAGACTGAGGTTTACAAACACACACAAACACACACACTTCTCTGGCTTGGAGGCAGGCAGAAAAAAATAGAGAACTGTAAATGTGATAGAGAAAGGATAAGATAAAAACCAAACTGTGATCATAGGATTACACTTGTGTTAGAAGAATAACTAGTGCAATTGAAACTGGAAAATAAATGAAGTGAGTTGGAGGACACAGTTGAAATGTATTCCAGAATCTAAAGGAGTGAAGAGACAGAAATGATTTCAGAAAAGATTAGATATTACAGACATAGGAGGCATCTCCAGATAGGAATAATGTCTGTCCCTGAGGAAGAGATCAGAGTAAATGAGAGGAAACAATAACAAATATAATAGAATAAAAAGTGCTGAAAAAACAGCCATTTTTATTCTCAGTTTCTTGTAACCTACTTTTACAAGAAACCTCAGTTTCTTGTAAAACAAATTGTTTGCCTGTCTTATCCAGTTTCTTGTAAAACAAATTCAGAGACCAATTTTTTAAAAGAGTGTCTCTTGTTTCTATAGCTCAGGATTCATTCCCTTTCTCTAATTCTTCTCAGCTAGAAACTGGGATGACCTCTTAATAGGATTAAGGGTGGGAGTTAGGTAAAAATAGAAACATAGAGGTGAGCTCTTGGACATGCTTTCGCTCCAGGAAACTAAAAAGGAATATAATCTACATATAAAATAGGTGGGTCACCGTGTATTTGTAACTATATTAATAATCTCAGCATAAAAATTAACCAGAAGCTTCCATTTAGTTAAGTGAAGAGTAAAGGCCATAGATTCAAAGGAGTGAGTGTGCATACAGCCCTGAGTCCACTGCTGACTAAATGCACAGTACACATTTCCATTTATCTTCTCTTTGTCTCATTTTCTTCCCCTGTTAAACTGGAAGACAACTAATAACTGTCTAACCTACTGCAAAATGGCAATATGAGCATGGGAATAAAACCATACAAATAAAATTTCATGCAAATGTAGATGTTATTGGGGGCACAGGGACCATGATGTCAAATCTGGTAACTGGACTGCATCCCTCAAGCTGAAAGAGTCACACCAGCTGGTTTTCTAAGGGCAACTTAGCTTTAAAAGTGAGATCTCTGCTTTGCAGATAAAACAATTCTCACTTGTGAAGAAAGAAGCATACACTAGCCCAAGCATTTGCAATTTTGCAGTTCCCGGACACAGCAGATAAAAATCATTAAACATGCATCAATCATGTGGAATAATAGAAACAATCACAATAGCTGAAAGTTATGGTAGGAGCCATGCCTCCTGCTTTGAAAATAAACTTGTCAGCTTTGCTTCATCATTTATCTTCTGTAATGTTTTCCCTTTGCTTAATCAGCATTCACATGCCATCGGGAGACTATTATCTTGGAATAAATATGTCCCTTGAGAAATTCTCTTCATTGGACTCTAATATTTTATACTTACAGGAGCACTTCATAGAAAAACTCAATACAAGAACAGAAAAATAATGTAATAGAGAATGTGTCTTTAGGCTATGCTCAAAAGTTCCCTAGAAGATTCTTAGAATAATCCCATGGAAGCAAAGTTGCAGGGAAGAAAGACAGACAAGCTATTGCCTTGCTGGGTTTCAGAATACTGGCTCTACTTCTAAGGAATTCGTTATTGGAACTCCACGTCTTCATGGATGTATTAATACTTCCAAAGAGTTTTAACTCTTGACCATGACCGAGGGAAGGCAGTGGTTGGTATACCAGTCTCAGAAAATAACTCTACTCATCAGGGTCAAGACTAGGGCAATGCCAGTGAGTAACTTGCTTCAGGAGCAAAATTTACAATATACAGCAGTGCTGAATAACCTCAGTAATTAAGATAAATGATATTTGAATGCAATATTTTTAAAAATAAAAATTATTGCAAAAATCCCATGATGAACAAAATCTGGAGGGGGTCTAAAGTAGTCACTGTATCAAAAGTTTGAATAAAGACAAGATCAGAACATGATTTTATGCAGCTGAAATGAGATCCCAAGGAACACAAGGACAGTCTAGAAGGGAATTTAAAGGTAGAAAAGGATAGAACAAGATGAGTGTGCTGAAGAGGGCAGGAAAACACTTCTCAGTAAGTGACAGTGAGAGTGTGCTCACATTGATTATTGGCAGGTGCACCACGGGAATTTTTTTTTTTTTTAATCCCTGAGTAGACAGACTATCTTTCTGCTCCAGCCAGGCTACTTTCCTGAACCACTGCCCCATTATGAACCAGTCCCTTTTAAAGCCTAGACTTTGGGAGGAGGCGGCGGGGGCACCTAGCTCCCTCTGCCTTCAAAGCAACTTATACATATTTATTTTGAACTTGCAATGCACCCTCCTCTTTGAGGGAGCAGGTGGATATTTAAGTAGATGTTCACCCAGAAGGCTGAATGTTTATTCTAGAAGAAGCAGCAGTCCTTAGCCACACTTTCCCCAATCCCTGATACATAGATTCCAGCCAGTGAGTGTGGGTGGAGCAATGTTCCTCTTGAGAGGGTACAGTGAGCTCTTCTGGGGGCAGCTCCACTGCCACATGTGTGGTTGCTGGCTATGCCTCAGGCTGTTTCAATAATATATGGGTGGCACAATGCCATACCCAGCGGGTCAGCTGCCAGGTCATGGGGTGTGGGGAGCCATTCTCCCACCCACTCTCAACCTAAAACAGTTAGGATTGCTCTGGGCATTCATTTCCTCCCCTTCCCTCAAAGCAGGAGGAACATTGAGAAGAATATTATTAGTTAAAAAAAATAGATTTTAAGCTGAAACATGAATAGAAAATTCAATAGTCTTCAACATTCTATTGTCCTCTGAAAGTAAATGGCAGGGGTTTATTTTTTATTTATTTTTTTCTGTTAAATTCAGGCGTGGGTTATATGGCTTTCTGGGTAGGCAGTTTATTCTTTGGTTAAGGCTTAGCTTTAGTTTATAGTTTGTATCTTAGTACTGGAATATGTACATGTGCTCTTGAATTAACATCTACTCTAAATATCCTACTAGACCAAAAGGTTTATGACCAAACTCAGTGACAAGAAGAGCCACAGTGAAAGACCAGTCAGCTTTTCAGCAGCTGATGGATAGTGGTAAAATGTAGAATTTGTAACTGGTCCCTTTGCCAGAGGAATAGCTGTGCTGGCCCTCTCATGTGCTAGAAGAATCGACTGCCTCCAAGCATTCATCGAGGCAGCAACCCTGAACATACAGTAACTGCAGCTCCTTTTATCACTCTTCTGTTTTCCTTAAACATAAGGCAATAGATCTGAAGACTGAACAACCCTTTATGGTAGGTTGGGGAAAATAATTAATAATCTTGGTCTAGGAAGGGCTGATGGCAGTCACTGTTCATCACTCCATGTCTGGGATATGTTCTAAGAGCCAACTTGGAACTCTGCTCATCAAAGAAGCTTTCCTGATGGATATTTCATGTGGCATTTTTATACTGCATTGTATTCCAGTTACTTATGAATATGGCAACTGTATAAATACATGTATGTGAATTTCTAGGGGGAATCACTGCATTGTATTCATGTTGGAATTCCTTGCATAGTACCTTGAATATAGTGTTTGCTAAAAGTGTGTTGAATGAACAAACAAATGAATAAGACTACAAAGTTTTATGAATTCAAAATGAATTGGTCAGCATGTCTTTAGGCAGGTACTTTTTTTTTTTTTTTTTTTTAAATTAGGACTTGTGGCTCCCTGATGATCCCCTATGGGCTGATGCTAGCTGGCTTCAAAGAAATCACCTCTGACCTTCGCCAGAGTCCTCTCCTTGACGAATCTGATTTGAGAATTGATTGAAGGGACAGCCAAAATTTTGCATTTTTACAAAAAGATAACCAAATGCCTGATACCCTGTTTTGTTTGTGATTCCCTAGCATGTCTGGCCTGGTATTAAAAACATCCAAACAAAATAATAACCATAAAAGCTACTACTTATGGGTTACTACATACTCAACACTGTTTTGATGGTTTTGCATGTTTTAAATCACTGAATCTTGACAATCACTTGATAAGGTAGAATATTTTTCCTATTCCACAGGTGAGGAAACAGAGGCATGGAAATATAATTTGTATACAGGAGCTGAGATTTGACTCAGAAGGTCTAGCTCAAGTTGTAGTAGTCAGCTATTACACTTGCTGTCCTTTCACTTAGCTTTAGAAGATAGTGGTCTGAGCCTATATTTCACTTTCTCGTCACTCAATATCCTATTGAAATAACTTTTAAAAAATAAGAATGAACTAGATAAAGAGACTTCTGGAATGGCAGTAGAAGGAGCTCTGCAGAACTGTTTCACAGCAAAACAGACACAGCAGGTGAAAATTATACATATTATATTATACACATATAACCATAGCAGGTAAAAATTATATATAATATTATATATTTGGAATATATAATATTATTGTAATGTATTGTAATATAATATAAAATATATTATATATAATATATTTATTGCTATATATTATATATTATATATAATATACTATATATAATAATATATAAACATATTATTGGAATATAATATATAATATATTGGAATATAATATATAATATGTTATATTGGAATATAATATAATATATAATATGTTATATGTTATATAACATATAACATATAATATAATATATTATATATAATGCATAATACATAATATATAATATAATATAACATATAACATATTATAATATATTATTCTATAATATAATATATATATTATATTATAAATAATACATATTATATTATATTATATTATATACAATGTATATTATATTATAAATTATATAATATATACTATAGTATATATTATATTATAGATTATATACTATAGTATATATTATATTATCGATAATATAATATATACTATAGTATATATTATATAATTTATTATATAATATATTATATAATTTATTATATAATATATTATATAATTTATTATATAATATATTATATAATTAGAATATATAATTAATTTAGTCATTATTGTTTATATATTTATATATTATATAATTATATATTACAATATATTACATTTTATATAATAAATTAATATTATATAATATATTATATATAAATAATAATTAAATTTATCATATATTATATAAATATATAAAATATAATTATACAACATATAAATATATATTATATAAAATATAAAATTATTCCCTCAAAGCAGGAGGAAGGTATACTAATAAAATATAATATATCATATTATATTATATTAATATATAATATATTATATAAAATTATATATAATATATAACATATATTGTATATATATATAACTCCAACCACTTAAACTCCAGAAATTGTCTTAGTGGCATACAGAAAAACCTAAAAGAAAAAAAACACTCAAGAAAATCTACTGAATTAATGAGAACAGTGAGAGTCTGTGGCACTTAAGCTATGGCTCTCAAGCTATAGCTCTCTTCTTCTACCCCCCTACCTCAGCTTGAGACAGGCTCTACTGCAGGTGGATTTGGCCAAGAAGAAGGGATCTCTCTCCTCTCGCCTCTCACCAAGGATATGGTGTCTCACCAGAGTGGGAGGCCTCCAGCATTTCTCAGCTCCCCTTCTCCATGCCCTCCAAACAACTCCAGGTTGTACAGATCAAATTCCCACCAAGTGCAGCTGAGTGGTTGGGAGCTCCCTTCCTCCACCCACTTGCCATTTGTCGGTGGAGTCCTTACTTCAAATCAGTTAAGCTGGGAATAATGGGACCCTAATTGCCCTCACCCAGCTCTCTTGTTGAGTTGAGATTCCACATGAGAGGAGGCAAATCAAATATCTGGAGACTACTGTCTCACCCAGAATCCTGTTCATAAAGCAAGGATGTCACTCTGAGAGAAGTGGGCCACAGTTCCTGCCCTCAAGTCAGAGCAGGGGCCCAGAGATCTTGCCCAAGGAGAGAAGTCAATAGAAACAGAGAGGTTTGAATCTCTCCACAAATGAACTGACGTTATTTGCAACAGAGTGTGGGAAAGCTCAAATTTAACTACCAAAAACGATGGAAATTTTGGTGGTAGGCTGTTAAGAGGCAGCTGATAGTTTAATGAGAACAGTAAGCTAAACTATAGGCCAGATAGTTTACCAGAGAGGAGCACGAAAAGAGACAGCTATGAAGAATTCTTCTGGAAACAGAACAAACTTCAAAGCATGGCCTCAAAAACTACCCTTGCAAAGGAACCCAAATCTTAATTGTTTGAGAGTGTGGAATACTTTATGTCATAGGGTATTATTTAAAACAATAAAGCAGAATACAAAGTCTTCTAAAGTGTACATGAAACATTTTTCAGGATAGACCATATTCTTAGTCACAAAAGAAGTCTCAATAAATTTAAAAGGATTGAAATATACAGAATACAATTTCCAACTACAATAAAGTGAAATTAGAAATCAACAAGAAAAGAATTTGTGAAATTCACAAATATGTAGTAATTAAATAACATATTCCTAAATAACCAATGGGTCAAAGAATACACCATAATAGAAAGTAGAAAATATTTTGGAAAGAATGAAATGAAGAAAAAAACATATTAAAACTTATGGGATGCAGCCAAAGCCCTACTTAGAGGAAAATTTATATCTGCGAGCAGCTATATTAAAAAAAGGAAAAAGAAATCAAATTAGTAAGTTAAATTTCTACCATAAGACACTTGAAAAATAACTGCAAGCTAAATCTGAAGCAAGCTGAAAGAAATAATAAAGATTATAGCTAAAATAATAAAATAGAGAGTTTCAAGACAATAAAGATAACTTAAAACAATTTGGTTCTTTGAAAAACTCAACAAAATTGAAAAATCTTTAGACTGATCAACCAACTAACCTTAAGTTCATAAAAATCAGGAAATCCAGAATGAAAGGGAGAATATGCATGCTCACCTTACAAAAATAAAAGGAAATATAGGAAATAGTAGGAACAACTGTGTATCAACAAATTATATAACTTAGATCAAATCAACAAATTCTAGGAAAGACACAAACTACTGAAACTGACTCAAAAAATAGAAAATTTAAATCACCCTATAACCTATAAAGATTAAATTTATGATTAAAAATGTTTCTTTATCCCCTTCACAATATCCCAGTATTTTATGGTTTCACTGGTAAATCTTATGACACATTTAAGAATAATTAATATCAGTTCTTCAAAAACTCTTCCTAAATACTGAAAATGATGGCACACTCTCCAACTAATTTTATGAGGCCAGTATTATTTTAGTACCAAAATCAGATAAAGATATCACAAGAAAAATACAGATCAATATCCTTTATGAATATAGAAAAAAAATATGCCAGACTGAATCCAGCAACATGTGAAAAGATGACACACCATGACCAAATGGGATTCATTATAGGAATGCAAGGTTAGTTTAACATCAGAAAAATGAATATAATTTACTGTGTCAATAGAATTGTCCTTTGTTACAGGACAAAAGCAACCTGATTATCTCCATAAATGTGGAAGAAGATTTTGCCAAAATCCAAAATGTCTTCGTGATAATATTTAACAAACTAAGAATAGAAGGGAAATTTTTCAGCCTGATAAAGGGCATCTACAAAAAACTCACAGCTAATATCATACTTAAAGTGAAAGATTGAATGCTTTCCCCTAATACTAAAAGCAAAAGAAAGATGTCTACTCTTACCACTTATATTGAACATTGTACTGGAAGTTCTACCCAGGGCAATTAGGCAAGAAACTGAAAATAAAAGACATCCAGATTAGAAAGGAAAAAGTAAAACTATCTCTGTTTCAAGATGACATGTTCCTGTATTTAGAAAATTGTAGGGAATCCATTGCAAATCTTTTAGAACTAATAATCTAGTTAAGTACTTCCAATAGACAAAAATCAACTGTAGTTTCATACACTTGAAATGAGAAATCCAAAATAGATATTTAAAATAGCTTCTCTAACAATAGTATCAAAGAAATAAAATACTTAGGTATAAATTTACAAAAGAAGTACAAAACTTATACTCTAAAAACTATAAAATCTTGTTGAAATAAGAACACCTAAATAAATGGAAAAGCATCCCAAGTTCATGAATCAGAAAGCCTAATATTATTAATATTGTAATACTCCCCCAATTGATCTATAGATTTAATGCAATTGTATCAAAATCCCAGATGGTTTCTGTGAAAGTAGATGAAGTGGTCATAAAATTTACATTGAAATATAAGACAGCAAGATAGCCAAAATAATCTTGAAAAAGAGTATAGTTAGATGGCTCACATTTTCCAGTTTCAAAGCTTACTACAAAGCTACAGCAATCAAGACTGTGTGATACTGGCATAAACATTGACTGTATGATCTTAAACATAGATCAATGAAATAGAGTTGGGATTCCTTCACGTTTACTGTCAATTGATTTTTGCCAAGAATGCCAGGCAATCCAATGGAGGAAAGAAGAGTCTTTTTGTCATATAATGTTGGGACGATTGGATATCTGCTTGCAAAAGAATAAAGTTGGACTCCTATCTCACACAATACACAAAATTGCATAATGGGTCAAAGACCTAAGTGTAAGGTCTAAAACTACAAAATTCTTATAAGAAAACATGTATGTATGTATTTTTGAGCTTTGATTAGGCAACGGTTTCTTAAATATGATGCCAAAAACATAAGCCACAAAGATAAAGATAAATTAGACTTCCAAATTGAAAACTTTTGTGCTTGATGTTTTTTACCATCAAGAAAATGAAAAGACAAATAGCACAATTGTTCTTAATGTACTTACAAAGAAATGCATCTTGAAACTAGATACTTTTTTTTCCCAACTAGAACAAAAATGTTTTAATAGTGAGAAAATTTAGACTCAGTGATAGTGTGGGAATATATTCTCTGTTGCTTTTTTTTTACAAAGTAGTTTGGCAGTGTGTATCAAAATTTTAAATGTTCCTTTCTTTATATTCAGAAAGTCTACCTCTACTAATACACCATATCAAAATACAAAAATACACAAAGGTTAAAGAATAAGGATGACTACTGAAGAATCATTTACTATACCAAATAAATGAAAACAACCCAAAAGCTTATCAATAGGGAAGACACTTAATAACGACTGGTATAGTCATTATGTATAGGATGACTGTTTTCTTATTTCTATAGGAGTGAAGTAAATCTGCATACATTAACGTGGAAAGTTGTTCATGCTAGATAAAGACAAGGGAAAAAATTATAATACATGACAATATGTATAAATATAATATCTTATGGTTTAATAAACATAAAACAAGGCTTTTGTGCCCATTATTTCTCAGGAAACACCTAAACATTACTAATTAGATAAATACTTGCTGCAATTATCATAGCTTATGATATAGATTAGTACCCATAAGGGAAATAACTTTATCCCAAGTGAAAATACATGGAATTTGAATATTTGCCTTTTTGATGTTTGATTTAGGGCACAGTTTTGAAGTTACTCTTTGTTTATGCCATCATGACTTCAAACATATACTCCAAAATTGGTGAATATTTATTTAGTCAATTTCATGTAATACAGTAATGCATTAATAGAAATGTAATTCAAATTATATATATGCATATATAATTGCCTGGAAATATATATGTCAAACAATTTTCAGTGGTTACTCAGAGTACAAATTGAAAAAAAAAAAGAAGAATTAAAGGGGGCATACTTTATCTTTTCTTCTCTAATCTTCTATGTTTGAATTTAACACTGGAATTTAATATTTTTATAACTAAAAATAAAGAAAATGTTCAGTTAAATATGTGTTAAAGAAAATTAAACTTAAAGAATAAAAATATTACTACATTTAGAAAATGCTTTTTTTATATAAAGTAGTTTTGCTTACTCTTTACATTTTTTACTTTTTTCTTTTTCTATTCCTGGAACACTCAAAAATTGGCCACTTCCTTGAACTCAGTTTTTCTCTCTATAGATTTCTTTCTTAAGTATTGCTGAGACAGACTAGGTTAAACTTCTAATGTTTAAAAGTTCCCCATCTTGAAGTCTCTGATGCCTTGTTTTCTGTCTTTTTATTAGGATTACATCTCATTTATGTCCCACTTTTAGTACTCACTTTTCATTATTCTCTTGGTTTGACTGACTGTTTGTGCCAAACAGCATAACCCATTATTAAGAGTCTAGAGTATCCAAGTTTTGAGACTTGCACAGAGCGTTTTCAGTATCACTTACTGTTTTATGTGTATGCTTGTCAAAAGCAATTATGCCTGATTCAGCAAAATTCAATGCTTTCTAACAAATGATCAGGAGGGTAAACAACTCATTTACATGGGGAGGTTTATATTTTCAGAATTGCCTCAAGGGAACCTTTCCAAGAGGCCAGAAAGGAATTCAGCAAAAAGGAAACAGCAGGAGGATCCTGTATTTCTCTGCGATTCAGCAGTGTTGGTTGCCAATACCAACATCATAACATTTCAGAGCTCAATTTTCCATATTTTGAAACTTCTTACAGGGATTTCATCAAGCAAGTCAATCGACTATCAAACCCAACTGTGTCTGTTAGTTGCTGAACTTTCTACTTCATGGCACCTGAGCTAAGCTGCAGAAGTTTTACATCCTGATAATAAATCAGAAATGATAGACACTTACATTTGCTTTCTGGTTCTCAAACTTTGGCTTGCATCTGAATTGCTTGGAGGGTCTGTTAAGATGCAGATTCTTGGGCCCAACCACAGAGTTACTGATTCTATGAGTCTGGGATGGAGCCTAAGAATTTGCATTTCTAGTAAGGTCCCAGGTACTGCTACAGCTGCTGTTCTGGGCACTATATTTTGAGAACCACTATATTAACTCTTAAGTCCCCAGGGCCCCCCAGTTAATAACTAGATGCTTTAGCTCACAAAAAGATATGCTCCGGATTCTCAAATATTAAGGAACCCAAACATTAGTGACACAGCCTCTGAGTATGATTATTCCAAGAAGAAGAGAAAAGAATGGTATATGTGGCTAGCATTTTTGTAAAATAACACATCTGAGTGCTTATGAAAAACGGTACATCAGTGCTGAGATGTAGCAGATTGTCTTTTACAAGAGTGTTAATTATTTCAGTGTAAACAACTTATATGATCTTTATCTGACACCTTTGAATTAACTGGGAAGAGTGGACAAACTGAGGTTACATGTAGGTACTGTGCTTTAAGATTTCATGATTCTAAAATTCTCAAAACAGCAGCTTTTAACCATGTGCTTCGCTGGAATTGTCCACATTCACAGGAGAGAGTGTTGTCTAGAGGTAGATGCTTCTAAATAATTTCATTAGGCTTCTGATCATATAAGGAGCTTTCTGGTCTTTAAAGCAAAATTCATTCAGTTCTGGTTTGTAATTAAGCAAAATTACCATGCTTCATATTTGTTTCTTTTGGTTTGGCAACTGTGACAGTTAATTACTAATACTGTTATTAATTAAAAGTGAAAGCTGTTATTATTACAGCATAAACTGGAACTGTGCCAGACAAAGTAGGAACATAAGAACATCCAACTTATTCAGCAAATCCAATGCCAGATGCAGTGCTGTTTCATGTACGCTTAAATGTTTTCCTTTTTTTATGTCATATTGAAATGGGCAGAGCTTTTATTTTATCACCAGTTTGGTCAAATTGATTTTCAACTGAATCATACCCATTGGCATGGATTTCCAGAAAGCTGAGATTTGCCTTATGAGAAGCCAAAGGCAACTTCAATTTTACTAAAAACATCACTTAGGGTGGGAGGAGGCTATATGAGCCTTCCCTTCATATATACTTAGGTTGGAAGAGGAATAATAATTCATCTTTACTGCAAATTTTCATGAGTGTAAAATTGGAGCATGTTATTAAATCAATAATATTTAATATTCATAAATGTTTTGAAAACATTTTTGTAGTCTTATCATTTAAGTAGTTCTGTAAAAGTGTAATTCTCATTCATATTTTATGTTAAGATAGATGAAACATAAAGAGGTAAGGCAGTTTCCTTAGGCCCTAAAACAGCTGCTTTGTAATAGAGAGCGAAAGAGAGAGCACTGGGACTAGACTCCGTTCCCTGACCCATGATAAAAAGAATGGACTTTCGGCTGGGCGCGGTGGCTCATGCCTGTAATCCTAGCATTTTCGGAGGCTGAGGCAGGTGGATCACCCGACGTGAGAAACTCGAGATCAGCCTGACCAACATGGCGAAACCCCGTCTCTACTAAAAATACAAAAAATCAGCCGGGCGTAGTGGCAGGTGCCTGTAATCCCAACTACTCGGGAGCCTGAGGCAAGAGAATCGCTTGAATCCAGGAGGCAGAGCTTACTGTGAGCCGAGATCACGCCATGCACTCCAACCTGGTCAGTAAGAGCGAAACTCCGTCTCAAAAATAATAATAATAATAATAATAATAATAAAATAAAAATAAAAAGAATTGACTTTCTAGTCAAGCACAGGTTGTTTGGATTCCAGCTCTTGTTTTTACTAGCTGCATGACACTGAACAAATGACTCAACCTTTCCAAGCCTCAGGTTGCTTATCTGTAAGATGGGGCTAAGGCTTTTTTTTTTCTTTTTTTTTTCCCGAGATGGGGTCTCACTCTGTCGCCCAGGCTGGAGTGCAATGGCGCAATCACGGCTCACCGCAACCTCCGCCTGCCGGGCTCAAGCAATTCTCCTGCCTCAGCCTCCCGAATAGCTGGGATTACAGGCACGTGCCACCGCACTGGCTAATTTTTGTATTTTTAGTAGAGACGGGGTTTCACTATGTTGGCCAGGCTGGTCTCAAACTCCTGACCTCAGGTGATCCACCTACCTTGGCCTCCCAAAGAGCTAGGATTACAGGCATGAGCCACCGTGCCCAGCCGGGGCTAAGGCCTTCTTACTTCACACGGTTGCAGTTGTTGTAAAGATTACAGCTGATTCTGTGTAAAGTACCAAGCACACAAGTAGTCAATGAATGTAGTTATTATTAGCACATACTGGGTATTGGGATTCTAGATGGTAGGTTCTGTGTGGCCAAAAACCATGTCTCTTTTGATCATCATATCCCCAGAATCTAGCACAGTACATGGCACAGAGAAAACAGTCACTGAATATACATTGAATGAATAAATGCACCAGACATAGTAACTACTTATCATTTAATTAATCACATGGCTTGACATGGCCATCCTTATACAGATGTTAAAGTGTACTGGAGTTTTTTTGGTGTGAACAAAATTACCTAAAATGTTACCCCCAATTGCACAATATGACCCTTACCCATTTTTATCTTTATATTCCTAGGCTCTGTGATACAAAGAACAATGCAAACAATAACATAGCATTTTTATGTCAATTCTTCCTAAAAACTTAGAAACTGCTCCTTATTTTTTCCTTTAAAAATCCATTCGTAATGGCTGCTAGTGGAAGAATATACTGAGGGTAATTTGCATCTGTGTCTCCTGCATTTCAGTCCTCAAGTTTGGCCCAAATAAACTATTTACTTATGTTTTTTAAATGCACAAGAGATTATGCCTGTGCACTGATCTCATCTTCTTGGAAACAAGACAGGTAGATGAGGATAGAGATGGTTAGCCATTGTGATACTTTCTCCCAAACAGAATAATGCATTGTACTTTTTACCGGGGAATGTGATGGGACGGAAATACCGACTCTTGGGAGACAGCATCCTGTAGTATTAGAGAAAACTCAAACAGATCTCCAACTCTGGGATGACCTAGGTTAACTGACATGGAATAAATCCTGTGTTAAGAGTCTCAAGCCTCAGTGAGGACAAGGCAGGGCCTTAGCTTGTGCACAAATGTGGGTATTCACATGCAGAAGCACATGAATTCAGAGCAGCACATCAAGAGAAACCCTTCCATAGAATGGAGTTTAGAATGTGCCTCACACCCACCCCCTGTAAACTGGTGGCCAAAATTGATTGAATCTGAATTAATTTTTGGTGCTTTGATGCCAGAAAAATTTGGATTTGAAACTGAGCTCTTCTACACTCTAGCTCTTTAAGTTGTGCAAGTTACCTAGCCTTCCTTGCCTCAATGTACTTATATATTAAATGACGATAATAATAGAATCTAGATGCCTTAAACACTTGACAGGTACTGGCTGTGATGATGTAGCAAGTTAGAAGACATCCTGAGAGTGGTACCTTTACTGGTGGGAGAGGATTGGGTAGAGCTTAAGATACAGGGTTTTCAGCTGGGTAAACAAAAGAGAATTGGTATGTATCAAAGGCAAAGATGAGGGTAACCCAAACACATTTTCACCTATTTAACAATTTCACTTGAGGATAACATGAGGGGGGTAAATATCAGTGGAAATTGCCCATAGTTATTCAACTTGACAGGCTGGTGTTATCTAGTTTTTCACTGTTCTGCAAAATCAGGATTTTAAATGTGCACTTTTCTGCATATCTTTCCAATGACAGAATTGGAAAAATGCCAGACTATGTTCAAAAACAACTCTCCTGTTGGGTTCTAGCAGATCGAGTTTATCATGACCATTAATCTCACGGATGATGTTGTAACTTCTGCTTTTTTTGCTTTCTCTATCTTGACCACAGGCAAACTTATAGTTTATCAATTCTGATCCTTCTCACTTCCAGGAATCTAGTGATCCCAATGTAAATGCTTTCCACTTGTGCAATAATCAGGAAAAGTGTGCTGATGGCATTATCCACACAGAGGTGTATATTATTTTTCTCAAAAGGTTGGCAATGTGAAAAAAAATGCCTGGAGAGGCTAATTCTTATCTCAAAGGAATTCATATTTTATGATGGAATTTCAGGCTTTGTAGAAATTCATGGGAATGAACATCTATTGAGGTAGGAAAAGAATATGAGTTGGGGAAAAAAACGAGAATTTTTTTTTTTCATCCCTCTTGTAATCGCCCATGTCTACATATCTCTGTCAATCCCCATTCTGTCTAACACATTCAACCATTAGAGAGAAAATCCACAAAACACAGGATTTGTAATGATTGTGAGAACAAACATATTTAAGAAACACTGACGTATACTGTGTATAAATTGTTCAGCCCAATGTATTAAAATTTAAAAATGTAAGAGTAGAGCACAGGCAGGATTATTTTCTATGATTGTAATGAATTTCTGTGCAGATTCTAACAAGTAAATGAAACAAACTTAACTCCAAAGTAGACACTATAGATTAAGAGCTAAAAATAGTCATTTTCTTAACCATTAGAAGTGGGCAGGGTTGGGTGTGGTGGCTCATGTCTATAATCCCAACAATTGGGTGGCTGGGGCAGGAGGACGGCTTGAGTTCAGGAGTTTGAGACCAGACTGGGTGACATAGTGAGATTCCCATCTTTACAAAAAATTAAAAAAACAGCCAGGCATGGTGGCACATGCCTGTGGTCCAAGCTAGTCAAGAAGCTGAGGCAGAAGGATTGCTTGAGCCCGGGACTTGGAGGCTGCAGTGACCTATGATCATGCAACTGCACTTCAGCCTGGGAGACAGAGCAAGACCCTGGCTCTTAAAAAAAGAAAAGAAAACAAAAAGAATTGAGCAGCATGTCTTTAGCCTAAGAGATCCTCAATCCTCAAATTCTCAGGCAGTCTCTTTCTTTCTTTCTTTCTTTCTTTCTTTCTTTCTTTCTTTCTTTCTTTCTTTCTTTCTTTCTTTCTTTCTTTCTTTCTTTCTCTCTCTCTTTCTTTCTCTCTCTCTCTTTCTTTCTCTCTCTCTCTCTCTCTCTCTTTCTTTCTTTCTTTCTTTCTCGCTTTCTTTCTTTTGAGACAGGGTCTCATTCTGTCACCCAGGATGGAGTACAATGGTGTGATAATGGCTCACTGCAGCCTCAACCTCCCCAGCCTCAAGTGATTCTCCCACCTCAGCCTCCCAAGTGGCTGGGACTAAAGGTATATACCACCATACCCCTGGCCAATTTTTGTACTTTTTGTAGAGTTGGGGTCTCACTATGTTGCCCAGGCTGGTCTTGGACTCCTCGGCTCAAGAGATCTGCCTGCTTTGGCCTCCCAAAGTGATGGGATTACAGGCATGAGCCACTGTGTCCCACCTAAGGCAGTATTTTTCAAAAGAATTAATTATACAGTATATTCCATGAGGACAAAGACCTTATTTCCCATAGAGTCTTAGTACTGATCATGGTAGCTGACACAGAGCAGAGGCTCTATAAAGATACGTTGAATAAATGAATGAATACATGTATTCCATATACTTTGGTTGTAATAATGTTTATACTGAGAGAGTGGTGATCAGTAAGATGGATTCCTTATGTCACCTGTTGTAGGGAACCCAACTGACTGACAGCTTCAGGGGCTGTCCTTCCGGATCCATCATTGTATTTGTGCCGGGGTCATGCCTCCCAAGAACTACTCCTAGCCAATGACTGAGCACAGTGTGGGGTGGGGATGGAGGAAATTAATGAGGGCTAATTTCTGTGAGACATGGGACTTTCCAACAGTCCCAGATAGTTCCCATTGCCTGGCCAAACCTTACTTGGAATTATGCTGCCATCTGAGACTCTTCTACCAAATCCTTCTTCTTTCCCTCTCTCCTTCCACTGGTGTCAGACTGACATTACCATCTTAAATATCTCCTTGTCTTCTCCTGCTTTCTCTCCCAGTACATTTCTTGCAAATCTTATTCTGTCTTTTAAGCAGTCTAATCCTGCTTTTAAGTAGTCCTGAAATAACAGGCAGATATACAGTGGCTAAGTCAGGGAGAGGCATGGGAAAGTCTATGCCATGAGCAGTTTATATTTAACTTGTGTTAATCCGGCCCAGCACATTTAAAAAAAATTAGTAAAGAAATTTTCATCACATCAGCAAAGTTATCATTAGTCTCACTCAAATGTACTTAGTAACA
The DNA here is from genome assembly GCF_000001405.40 of Homo sapiens. Taxonomy (NCBI): domain Eukaryota; kingdom Metazoa; phylum Chordata; class Mammalia; order Primates; family Hominidae; genus Homo; species Homo sapiens. Next base: position 39,500,817 of record NC_000005.10, read on the forward strand.
ATGACTTTACTCCTTAAAAACACCCTCTCCCACTACTGGTATCACCAGGGAGTCATCCATAGACATGAAATGAGAACATTCCTAATCTGAGTATACACTGAGAAGCAACAAAGGTATTTACAGTACCACCATGATTACAGATTTAGATTAAAAACCGTGAGTTTAAAAAAAAGTGTGGAATTACTTACATGGTATACATGTTAGGCTTACTGCCTAATATTTCTTCATAGAATCCAGTATTATTTGAAGCTCTGGGCATGTGAACCAAAGCTTATTTTTACAGCTGGGCTTAACATCCTCACTTTGGATGATTTGTGACACAGTGACACCTCATGTGTCTAATAAACTATAAAAAATGGTAAATCTTTTGGAATTTGAATGTCTACTTAATTTTACACTTAATCATATATTTAATCTTCAAAGAAGCAAAAGTTGTCAGCTGCATATAAGTCTTATAATTGCAACAGAATGCTTATTTCCATATAATGTTTGTGCAGTGCTGAGAGCAAGGTGGGCATTCAATACCTACCCATGGATGAAAATATTTTGAAAAAAATGATTACTAAGATACAGAAACAGATTCAAATGGACATTTTAGTATTTAAGTCAAGATATCTTCAGCAGACACATTTGGTTAATAAAAACCAACAACTGAAATGCAAAAGATGATATTAGTTCTTAAAGTCAAGCTGGATTCTTTCCAGCAGGCAGGGAAAGGCCATTACCCAAAGGGCCAAGTCATTCCCAGCGAGCTCTCCGCAGCCAGCAAGCACAGCCGTGAACTGGAATAACATTTACTGGAATGGGATGCGGAGGCCTCCTTTTGGATGACTCTAGAGTGATTCACAGGAACAATTTATAAAATTTTCACAGGGTTTCAAACTTTTTCCTGCTTTTTGAAAAATATATGCATTTCTACAAGCAGGGCAGAAGGGGCAAATGCGGGAATGTGGATGGTTCCAGTTCATTGTCCCTCTCATTTCAGTGCAGACCCTGTGATTGCTCTTTTATTTTATTTTATTTTTAATGTAGCTCAAAAGGCTAAAGGGAAAAAAAATCCATCAGCTGTGAAGAATGACTAAGTGCCACCTGTTTGCACAAGTAGTAACCATGCGACTCCTACATTCTGATAGTTTTTAAAAAATTAACATGTGTTTCGTGTGTGTGTGTGTGTGTGTGTGTGTGTGTGTGTGTGTCTTGGGCATGGTTAGGTTTGCTCTTGCCCTAGGTCGGCATATCTAGTTTCAGTTCTAGGCAGCCATGGACAATTTGCCTTTTTATTCTACTTGGAAACTCTGCTGATAAAGCTGTTTAAGGGGCTCAGGTGCTGACAGGCTGGGCACTGTCAGTATCTGGGATTACAGGAAGTCCATCAGATTACTGAGCTGCGTTTGCTCCACACGTGGTAGCAAGGAAATGAAAGTCATTCATTGTGCTTTTTCCTTGCTCCCTGTCACTGGCAGTTTAAGACCCTTCTTCAAACTCTTTGACTGAATCATAATTTTATATGCCAATGTTTTAGCAAAATTACACACTGGTGTTACTATAAGTGATAAATAACAATGCTTTTCATGTTTCTTTTACATTTAAATTTTACAAATTTAAGCTCTTATTTTAAAAATTATATCACCTTCTCCCACTTCGCTGTATCCTGACCCCAGAGCAAATACATAGTCACACACAGGCTACAAAAGCCTGGGATATAAACTGGGTCATTTTTGTATTCACATGCAGTGATGGATCGCTAATTTTGGTGTGAATCATGGAGTTAGGTGGGACTTGTTAAAAATATATGTTCCTGAGTCCCTATGCTGAAGGCCCTAAATCAGGACCTTTGGGAATGGCTCTCTGGGTCTCCTACACAGTAGTCTGAGAACAATCGCTACATTAATTCCCTAATGTGGTCTCAATTCAGTGGAAATAAGACTTTCAACTCCTTTTTAAAGCCTTTTCTCCTATCACCTTACCCATGTCACAAGCTACTTCTATGAGCCCCTGAACACCGGCTCACTGTGTGTCTGAGAGCAGTCACCTTGGCTGCCCTGGGACTCCATGGTGTTTCTCCTGCTTCCCTCAGCCCCCTTTGGGCAAGTCTTGTGCAAGACTAGAGAGTAGCAAGCACTCTCTAGAGCTAACGCCTGCCCCATATCTGTGCCGAGAGTAGTCATTTACTCTCCTTTTGCTGTGAAAGCCACCCTTGTTGATTCCTCTCTATCAAACCGGCTGCCCTGAACGTACTGCAAAGTTCTACCACGAAAAGTGGAAACTGCAGCACCAATAGGCTTGCTCTTCAAATTACCAGCTCGGTGCTTATGATGAAATTGAAGATCTGTTTCTCTACCTATAAAATAAGAGTTGTATTAAATAAATTTTTGAAGTGCTTTTCTACTTTAAAATTGTATGCTTCTAGATGGCTAGTAATTTTTGTACTTGTAGCACGTTAGAGTTATGGAACTCTCCAACAGCAGCTGTTTTGGCTCATATGATTTCCCAATCTGTCTGTGGGCTCCCTGCTTGGGAGGTGTCCTCTCTCATGAGACAGAACTTAGCAGAAATAGTGTCTTGGGTGTGGCTAGTCAGCTACAGGAGGCCAAAGAGAAGGACACTAATCTAGAGATGGGAGGGTAGAGCCATGTAAGGAACCACATAGCTAATCAAGTAGTCCAGGCTAGTGATAGGTATATAAAGAACTAAATTCAAGAGGCAAAAGAATTTGAAATATTATAAACAAAAATTGGGGGTGGGGTTTGCAAGAGAGATGTTTGGGAAGTCTAGGTTACTGGCAGGCATACTCAGATCAAAAATCAAATCTCTTTTAAGAACATAGAGAATGTTAGAAATTATCATTGAAATCTTGGGGTGGACTGGGGTTTGCAAGAAGGTGTTAAGAAAAGAAATGCAAACTTGACATTGGCTGGCAACAGCCTCTGATTCAGCCTTCTCCATAAGATACCAACAGGTTGGTTGCTACCTTTCCCTACAGCCAAAAGGGGTTCCAGCCTATGTTCTCAGCCTCCTTAGGCCTTGAATTAGTTTGGCCAAGTATTTAGTAGAGGAGAAGGTTGGGGCCACTAGCTGGTAGTGTGTGAGATCAGGCTTGCTCTATTTCCAGTATCCAGGATTTGCAAGGTGGGACTGAGATGACTTGGCTGAGTTGCAGCCATCCCTTCCTTACTTCTGCCCCATTTTCTTTGTCCCCATGACTATCTTTCTGCCTTGCTGTCTCCATCTTTTATCCCAGTTCTCTGGAGCTTTGCCAGTTTAACTGGGGTTTGCATTTGTTTCCTAGGGTTGTCCTAACAATGTATCACCAATCTGGTGGTTTAAATAACAGAAATGTATTGTTTCACAGTTTTGCAAACTGGAAGTCTGAGATCTAAGTGTCTACAGGGTTGGCTTCTACTCAGGGCTGAGGGAGAAATATGTTCCATGTCTCTCTCTAGCTTCTGGTGTGTTGCTGGCAATCTTTGATGTTTCTTGGCTCCTGTTAGTTACCCTGATTTACTCCTTTATCTTTATAAGGTGTTCTCCCTGTGGGCATGTCTATGTCCAGTTTTTCCCTTTTCATGAGGAGATCAGTTATATTGGATTAGGGGCCCACCGTCTTCCAGTATGAGTATGTTCTTATTTTAATTAATTATATCTACAATAACTGTGTTTCCAAATAAAGCCACTGTCTGAGGCTCTACAGGATTGGACCTCAATATATAAACTTTTTTTTTGAAGAGGGAAGCAATTCAACCTATAGCAAGGTTATTGCCTGTTTTTGTTTTCAATTTTTAAAAATTTGAGACAGTCTCACTCTGTCACCCAGGCTGGAGTGTAGTGGTGCGATCTCAGCTTACTGCAACCTCTGCTTCCCTGGCTCAAGCAATCCTCCCACCTCAGCCTCCCAAGTAGCTGGGACTACAGGTGTATGCCACCACACCCAGCTAATTTTTGTATTTTTTGTAGAAACTGGGTTTTGCCATGTTGCCCAGGCTGGTCTCAAACTCCTAATCTCAAGTGATCCTCCCAAAGTGCTGTGATTACAGGCATGATCCACCACACCTGGCCAATTGCCTAGTTTTTAATCAAACTGTTTTTCTTACACTGGAAACTTCCTACCTGCATTTCCCAGTTATTCCCAGGAATTGAGCTTTAAGCTAGAGAGACCAATCAGAATCACTGTACTGATTGTAGCTCACCCGATGAAAACCACTCAGCCTAGAATCCTGTTACCATGCCTTAGCTACCTGATCAGACTCCCATGGCTAGCACTGCTGACCCTGGAAACTTCAAATCTGTGCTTTGAGCTGTTTATGTTGCCATTTTGCTTTTTGAGACCTGTCCTATATACAGGTTAGCACTCTCCACCTTCTTCTACTTCTCAGTGCCTCCTCTTCTTATCCGTATGGTACTTCTCCAGGCAAGTGCATGTAGCCAATAGCTTGGAAAGCCTCATAGCAATAACAGTACTTCCACAGGCTGTAGGAACTATTAGTTCAATTAGTAAGTCATGTAGATTCAAACAACATCTTTGCACTTTAGAATTCACAAAATACTGCCAAGAATACTACCACCAAATCACATATAGTCTATGGGTATTTCAACTATGAGTGGCCTATGGAAAATCTATAGGTAATGTAGCTTAAATGGTGGGTCAAAATATGAGAAAGTTGTGAGCCATCTATATAGTACAATGCTTCCTTCACTTTCAAGTTTAACTTGCTGGAATATTTCTGAGGAAATCCTCATGAATCACTCATTTGGCAAAACTTCTGTTTTGAGCATTAGCTCTGTACCTACTGTACTAGATTTTGGAGGTAAAGACATGAGTGAGAGGTGATTTCTGATGTAGGGGTCATGAGCCCCCTTCCAAAGGATTATTCAAAGGACCAATAATTTGACTAGATGATAGAAGTTACTGAATTTGTCAAGTCCATAAGACAAGTATGAAAAGATTAATTTCTTATATCTGGGAATGGAATAAGCAACAGAGGTGGGAAGTTTGGCCTGTGACTTTTGTTCTAACACCAAGACTGTTGCATTCTCTGGGGATGGTTTTTTATTAGAGGCTAATTAGTTCTCTTGGCATGAACTTGGACATCTCCGCCCTCTGACATAACTGTGAATCCTCTCCAGGGGCCCCATAAGGCTCCAACATAGCAGCGCCAATTTCTGTGGTTGGTTGACAAGTCAAAGAACATCTCCAAAAGAAATAAGGCAAGTCCAGAGAAAGAGAAGCGTAGGAATGGGTGGTAGGGGTGTAGGGGTGGGAAGCTGAAAGGAGCTAAAATCGGGGGGGGCGGGGGTGAAAAGCTGCTAGATTTTCATAAAAACACAGTAGTAATAGATTCTGCCAAAGCAGCTGCCCTGAATTCTCTCCTGTTTACAGTAAAATAGTAATGAAGGGAAATTGTAGATGAATATTACCCAAGGAACAACTTTTCTCGGAAACATAAGTTCATACAAATAAATTGGCCTTAAGGCAAGTTAAGAAGCAAAGAAAAGTTCCTATATGGGACAAAAGGAAATTTGTTGTCAGTTCTGGCTGCACGGCTGGATCCACCTCATCTGCTGGGCGGAGGCTGCTCTGTAACTTGTTCTCCATTGGCTGCAGGCTTGGATGGTTCATCCCTGCAAGCTTCTCACATGGCGTTCCAGAGTCTCTCCTATAACAAATCATCAGGACACCACCATGACCTCAGGACAGCTGTGTGAAGCAGGCCAGAGACGGAGACTGCAAACCAATGTAGCAAGCCAGCTATATAGGATAGACACAGATTTTGGAAGTCATTCCTACTGATTTACCTTGTTTTGAGTAGCTCTGAATGTTGATATTATACTCTTAATCTGAACTTTACAGCAGAGGTTCCTCCATGGTTTTAGTTTGAGCTTAGCTGGCCCTCCATCAGCTGCATAGAAGCCCTCTCTCAGCAGTCCTAGTGTGCTGAACAAATGTGTTTTACCTCCAACTCTTCTTCTTCCTTTCCTTCACTTTCCCCCAAACTTCTCTTCAACTCCTCATCTGTGTTTGTTCTCATAATGGTTATTTACCTGTGCTCCTTTGATTCTGTGTAAAAAGCACTGCTATTGCATTTCTTGCCTTTCTTAGAGTTGTGCCTATGAAACTCTTCCCCCTGTTCGGTGGCCCATCCTGCCTGTCACTACCTGGACTTTTCTGATGGCAGAGACTACGCCTCAGACACCCAAGCACTCTTGCATAATGTTTGGCAAGGATGGCCCCATCTATCCTAATCTGGAGGCAACAGAGGGACAATTCAGATTTCCTCACAAACGTTTCTTGGTGATGTACCACTGGCATTTCACATCAAACCAAACTTCACTTCTTAATGAGGGGAAAACACCATGTGCAGGGCAGTATGCAAAGAGCATTGTCATAGCTCCTGACCTCAGTGACCTTGCAATCCAGTGAGAGCGGTGGGGCACAGACTTATGGAAGGATATATAATAACTCTAGGCAAGGCTGTGGTGGGTAAGTGCATAAAACTCAAAGTCAAGAGACCCAAAGACTAGTCTCCTCTCTACCAGGAACAAGGTGTCTAAACCCAATTTCCAGGGCTCAATTCTCTATTAGTAAATTGAAGGGAATAAGCTAGATCAGTGTTTCTCAAAGCATGAGATGTGATTTTTTTTTTAAGGTAACACATAGACCCTGAATTAAATAAGATTAAATCACATGGTAAGAAAGTTATTTCCTTTTAAATTCTCTTTCTGGTCACAAAGGGATGCAGCCACTAGCTGTTTCAGACTCAGGGTCTTTGCATACTGTAGAAGCTATGACTGATAAATAATGCTTTTTAAAAATTGTATTCATTTTCACACAATATTTTGTTAGTACTATTTCATTTATGCAAATTTATTTTTAATATATTTTAGCAAAATAAATGAGTTGATTTAAAGAAATATATCAAGAAAATCATAGACCATGTTATGTGAATATAATAAAAATTATGAATGTTGTGCTAAAAATGTGAAGCTTAAGAAATAAGTCAACTCTGAGGTTCTTTACAGTCTCAAATGTCTTTGATTTTTGTAATATTTCCGAGGGAATAGTGTGGCTAGTAGGAGAAAAATTAACATATCAAGACAACGTACTGACAACTCAATATGTCAAATTATCCATTAAGAAATTATCTGTGATATAGGTAGAAAGAGAGAGAGAGACAGATGATGATATAAAGATATATATATATTTATATGGTGTATAGAGAAGTATATAGATACGGATAATGTCTGCAAATATAATTATCTGTGATACAGAAAAAAATGGGAGATCTGTTTCCAGCTTCCTCTTAAGGGAAAAGATGAACCTTTGAATTCATGAGTCGGGATTTCTCTTGACTCAGGGGAAAAGTCATTTTTTCTTCATTTTTCTAAGTGTTAACCTCTAGAGGTGTTAAAACTGCCCTCTCTAACATGGAAAAGGTTCCTGAGGCTTTAAAGAGGAGTGGTCTCACTACAGGAAGGTGGACAGATGATGGGGACTAGAGAAAGAGAGAGCTGCTATTCTCCCAAATGTAGTAGACCCTCAGGTAGGGTGACTGTACTGAAAAAAAACAAGGATTAAGAGCAAGGGCTCCCATGATTCCAGTGACTCCCCACCCTCCACAATGGCCTGGGTAAGCATCTGGGCAATGACCATGGAGTGAGAGCCATGGGCAAAAGATACATAACTAATTACACCTGAGACATAACATTTTAAGAGTCAAGTGGACGATTTATTCCACATCCAGCACTTGGAAATGACATGACCACATACACTAATGAAATGCTATGAGCATATCCTGTGATTATTATCATCCTCATCTTGTGAATACAAATTTCACTAAACCCAACCTAGGATTGGATTTTCATGGTTTAGGTCATTTCTGTTTTGATATCCAAAAGTATTGTTCACATTTTTTTGAATGTGTCATATAAGTGTTCTTTTTAATTATAAATAATTACTTTTGAAAAGTTTCCCCATAGCATTTTGCAGACTGCCATGTATGTAACACCTATTTGTGGGAAAAAAAAATGGATGGATGGATACTGAATAAATTGTTTATAGTCAGATTTTCTCTACAGTCAAAATTTTCCACCCCATTAAAAACTTAAGGAAGCTTTTCCTCTGTTGCTTGGCTTCCAGTTCTGTGAAGTGGAAAACCATGATGAATATGGCAGTTTATTGCACCATATTATGTAATTAGTCCACCTCTAAGAAAAGAGACTTTTTGAAATGTGGTATCATCTTCATACATACAACTGGAATGTAGTGTGTGTGAGTTAGAGACTATAGCAGGAGAAAAAACCCTGGAATAGAGTCTAGCCATGAGCAAAAGGTTAACGGGCTCTTCGACCTCACTGGGCACTAATCTTTAGCCTTCCTCTATTTTTGAGGATGCCACAGGAATATTTAGAGCCTCCAAGAAGAATCCACAATTCTTTCCAACAAAGTTCTAGTTAAAGGCACATTTTGATGAAATGGATTCATATATCCAGCTCCTGCCTGGTTTCTATTAAATATTCCAGTCTTTCCTGTGAAAAATGGGGAGTGATTTCATGCTTTCATTATTCAAACTGATCTGGTTTCACAGCGTACTCCATGGCTATAGTCAGTTCAAAAAGAAGGAATATTTTGTTTTCTTGATTTTGCATGCAGTTCAGAAACCTGCTGGCTGCTGGACTCACAGTGGTGGCCATTCTAAGGGAGGCTTGATGGCAGGAACAGGTGACAACAGAAGCTCAAAGATTATTTGTCTATACTGAGCATGTTGTACTTTACCTCAGTTCTCCCATTTAGTCAAATGAATTTTATTCAGTTGAGAACACTTGCTTTAAAGGCCTCAGATGCAATATCTTTATGTTCCTACAACATCTGCAATTGCATTATAAGGAGTAATTTAAATGAAATATGGACAATGTCATCAACCGTTCCAATTTTCTGCCCCATTTCCATCCACTGTCACCTGGAACCTTATGCCCTAAGGTTGCCAACCCAATCTTGGCTCCTTGTTTTTCCTTCACAGCTCTTCTAGTTGGGGTTTCCTCCAGATTAATGGACACCAAAAGATTATTACTTCATTCTGACTAAAAACTAGAACTAAGAATAGAGAAAGGTTATAAACTCTTTCAGAATGAGAGAATTCTGGATTCTTCCTGCAGAAAACAACATTCGCATAATATCCTTAGAGAATGCATGAAATGAGCCTATTTAAGCTACAGTTTGCACATCAGTAAAATGGAAATAATAATACTTTTCTCATGGGACTGTTTTGAGAATGAAAGAGAGCACACAGACACCACATGTGGTGTGATATGTCCTTTATAAAGGAAAGTTGCTAATTTTTTTTAAAATGATAGTTTTCAAAACAATACTTTCTGTGTGTTCTATTAAACCTACTGTATTAGTCTGTTCTCATGCTGCTAATAAAGACATACCTGAGACTGGGTAATTTACAAAGGAAAGAGGTTTAATGGACTCAGAGTTCCACATGGCTGGGGAGGCCTCAAAATCATGGCAGAAGGCAAAGGAGGAGAAATGTCATATCTTACATGGTGGCAGGCAAGAGGGCGTGGGCAGGGGAACTGCTTTTTATAAAACCACCAGATCTTGTGAGACTTATACACTATCATGAGAACAGCATGAGAAAAACCCACCCTCATAATTCAATTATGTCCCAGTGGGTCCCTCCCATGACACATGGGGATTATGGGAGCTACAATTCAAGACAAGGCTTGGGTGGGGACACAGCCAAACCATATTACGTACCCTATTGTGTACTTCCTGACAAATCATTTGAAGACTCTTTGTGAAAGAAAAGCAAAAATCAAACATGATTCCTTCAAAGGTACTGTAGGTCAGATGGATGAATCACAGGCAAATGTGTCTGAGAAAAGGAAAGGCCAACGATGAAAGGTGAGAGAAAAAGATTCTAATGCAGGTTTCATTGCTTCTCCTGGGTCTATTTTAATGGTCTTCAAATAAGTTTTGCACGGTCAGTTTATCTTCCTGCTTCAGCCCTTCCTGGTTATTTCTGCTAGATGAACAGTTTTGCCACACTATGACAATTCCTTGTTCAGAAACCTTCAATGATCTCCTGTCTGAATTACATCCTAACCCACATGATCAGGTTACAAATTCCTTTAAAATCTCGAGAACACATGGACACAGGGAGGGGAACATCACACACCGGGGCCTGACGGGGGTGGAGGACCAGGGGAGGGATAGCATTAGGGGAAATACCTAATGTGGGTGACAGGTTGATGGGTGCAGCAAACCACCATGGCACATGTATACCTATGTAACAAAACTGCACATTTTGCACATGTACCCCAGAACTTAAAGTATAATTTAAAAAAAGAAAATAATTCCTTTAAAACCTCATCTCTCCTAGTTCTTCTTCATACACTCCAGCCACATTGGACATGTTTTATACTTATTGCATGTCTTATTCTTTTCCTGCCCTGGGACTTTTTGTATGTGGCTTGCCTCTCTGTAGATCTCTGTAGAAGACAAATTCAAAATATGATCCTTTTCCTAATATTCTTCCATGATCCTTCCAGTAAGAAGAACTCTGTGGGACTTTTGAATTTCCACATTCTTTTAATGCATATCTGTAATGACACTTAACCTGATCTATACTATAGTGTGCTTATTTTTCTGAGTTTTATCTAACAGATTAATAGCTACTTAAGGTACCAATGACATTTCAATTCTACTCCATGCAAGACCTAACACATTGCTGGAGTTCAGTAAATGTTTGCTGAATAGATGAATAAAGGACAGTGCTGTTATTAAAATTTCTTAGTGGGGTTGAGAGGCACGATAAAGGCCTCAGAATAAATAGCAATGAAATATAGGTAGAGCTAGTGCCAAATAGGAGTGTAAGCAATGGTTCAAAATTTCAGAGGAGAAATAATGAAATTGACAGGGAGATTTAGTCTTGGCCACTGAAAGTTTTAGTGGTCTCTCACAGGACATTAACATCTGAGAGCAATTCCAAGACCTTCTCATTCCCCACAAAGTAAATTAAAGCCAAATAGGAAAATGATCTTGTTCCATATACTAAAATGTTTTGTATTTTTCTATATGTAAATAGAGTTGTGTAAAATAGACAAATTTTTCCCCCATAGGACAAAGAAGCATTCTAAAACTCACATGAAGAACCCATAGGCTATCTTTGCTGAAGATAAGCTCCCTCTTTTGGACTATGATTTAGGTTACAAAATCTCCAAATTCTATTTCATGAGAAGAAATCAGTAGCAATGGCTTAAGGCTTAATAGTTTTGAAAAAGCAATAACATGATGACGTTTGAATGAATTATAAACATATGGATTAAATTTTTCCTTACGGAAATAATATGAAAATAATGAGGGTTCTTTTTTCTACATATCTGGATTTTACTGAAACTTTAAAAAAACCAACCCAAGAACTGAATAAATAAACCCATAAGACACTGAGCAGGAATGCTCTTATTTGCAATTATCATGTGTTGATTTGGGATTATAATGGAGTTAGGAAGATCTGTGAAAGGGAAAACACATCCTCCCTATCATAGCTTAGGTCCAACACCAAGTATTAGAAACCCAGATATAGACATTGTTCACTCCCACGGAATTGGGAGCTTAGAATTCATCTTTTGTCAGTGGTGGTTCCCATCCACAGTATCTCTGAAGATACATCCAACAAACTTCTGTAACTGTGAGGCAGGTTGAAACAGAGCATAGGATGCGCTAACTGAAAGCAAAAAATACTCACTGACCCCTGCAGAGAGAGCACAGCACAGTAGTCCTGCCCAGTACTTGTCTGGTTTTCACACTGAAAGTCCCATATCCCAAACAACCCTCAGTCCTCAGTGATCTGGGACAACTGGTCACCCTACCCCCAGTCAAGGATACACTTCAATGTGTATCCTCAGCACCTGCAGATCTTGTTAAAATACAAATTTGCATTTAGTTTGTCTATGTGAGTCCTAGGATTGTGCATTTCTAACAAGTTCTCAGATGATGCCATGCTACTGGTCCACAGACCACACTTTAAGTATCAGGGTTTAGAGTGTGCCTTGTGGACTCAGAGGTAGACTGAGACCCAGCTTCACCATTTACTAATTTTGTGTCCTTGGTCAAGCGACTTAACTTCACTAAACCTCAATTTCCTCATCTCTAATAGAGAGTACTAATAGTACCTTCCTCTCAAGATTGTTGTGAGGATTAATTGAGGTAATTCTGGGCACAGAATAAGCACTAAAGAAGTATTGATTACTTTTTTTATCATTGGAATTTGTATCATGTGTAATCTTCCAATAGATGGCTGAGACTGAAAATACAAATAAGTTGAGGAAGGTTTCAGGTAAATTCATGGTTGAAGGATTCATAAGCACTGATGTTTTCAAGGTGAATTAGAATGTTTGAGGCAGAGGCATTTTATCGGGTTGAGGGGGAATTAAGTCTGACTCAGCTGTATCATAAAGTTTATGTTCACTATAAAATACTAGTTTTTTATACTGTGTGCTATACAATCTACCTCCCTATTTTGAGTTCCCTAGAACACAAAAGGAAGATAGAAATATAAGTGTGTGTTGTCCCAGCTGCTGGAACAATAGGCCTTTTGCAGAAGTTTAAATATCTGACTCATAAAGAGGGAATTAGATCCACTGATAAGTTATGCCCAAGTCCCACCCTCAGTTCCAGTTGGCCTTTATGACCCACACTGCCGCTATGTGAACTTGCAGAAGTTATATAACATCATCTTTAAGCTTCAGCCTCCTTACTGCAAACAGAAATGATAATACCTACTTCATAGACTCATAAGAGAATCAAATATAAAGTGCCAATACAGGGCTGGCCTATGTTAAGTGCTCAATAAATACTGGCTAGTGTTCTAATTATCCTGTTGGTATAGTAATAGAACTATTTCTGTTTAACATTCATTTAGAATGGAGAGCCACTAGATTGATTATATCTTGGTTGTGCTGGTTCTTGAAATGTGATAATAGCTTAGACCTTCACCTTCAGATTTCCCCTGACCACATGGTGAGGAGCCATTAAATGTTAATTCCCTGTAACTTTTGTGACCTTTAAACCCATCTTCATTCTTCTTCACTGGAGCAGAGCTAGAGTTTGATTATTTTGCCTATAAATAATAACCACTGTTTAGCCAATGAGCTGTGTTTGAAGCTTGTCAGTGGCTAATTTGACATGTTGTATTTCTAGAGATGAAAACTTGGGTTTGAAAAGGGAAAACTCACCAAAATCAATGTTAGGGAACAGCAATTCCTGGTGGCCAGGGAAGACAAAAGAAAGTTCTAGGTTGGAAAGATGTGAAACAGTGATGGTTATGTCAGCAGTTAGGACAACACATATTTATATTTCAATCCTCCCTTTATGGGCAAGACACTTTTTCTAGCCCCAGGCTTCATCTCTGATGCTGCATTTGAAGGAAGGGTAAAAAACTTTAATCCCAGGTCCAAGAAACAACGCTATCATCCAGTTAGAAACTTTGCAAGCCCTTTGGTTTGCCACTTGTCTCAGAATAAATAAATAAATAAAAGTCACTCACAAACCTTTCTTTGGATTTACTTGACCAAACTCATGAATGCTATCTTACTTCTCATGCCTGGATGCCCTCACTGGATATAGAACCAGGTTAGAAGCTCAAGCCTCTTCAAAGGGTATTGGGAGAATAAATGCTATAATGTCCACGTGACTCCAACAAAGCTTAGCTCATAGAAAGCATTTGATGAATATTCATTGTCTTCCTCTCTTCCCCTATGTTTGACACCTTAATGTGTGTATACCTGTTCCAAACATTAATGTCTATTGTCTACTCCACTTTTGAGATATCGACAAAGTCTAACATCTCACTGTAGATGTTCATGACTGATATGGAACACCTTGAATTTCTGTGTCATTTAGATCCACTATTAAACGCTGGATACCGTAGGCCCCACAATAAAATTACCCTGGGTAATTACATCGCTACCATTAGCCCCATTAGCCCTATTGTATTTCAAAAATCCATTTCACAGTTTGGCAAAAAAAAAAAAAAAAAAAAAAAAAAGTAGGGTCCTAGTTTTGAAATCCCTTCAAAAACTCATGAATTTACCTGAAAGCGTCTTTGACTTATTTGTGTTTTTAATCTCAAACACCTTTTACAAGATTACTTCACTGATACACACTATGAATTCCAATAATTATGAAAGCAGTTAATACTTCCTTAGTGCTTATTCTGTGCCCCAAATTATCTCAATTAATCCTCCCAACAATCCTTTGAGGAAGATACTATTATGACTCTCTATTACAGATGAGGAAATTGAGGCTCAATGAGTTTAAGTCACTTGAACAGAGACACAAAATTGGTAAATGGTGAAGCAAGCACTCCATCCTGATATAAAGCCCTTGCGCTGTAACCCCATGGAAGACTTCAGTAGGTAATTGCCATAGCCTTTCACAGGTTTAAAATAGGTGAATCTGCTACAATTACGACCTGAGAACTGAGATCTGCACTCATATTTACTCCAACCCCCTCTAAATCTTTGCTCCAAACTCCTCTAAATATTTATTCCAAACCCCTTTGCAAAGTAAGCATACACATTTAGTCTTTATTTTTCATATTTTAGGACTACTAAAATATGAAAATGCATTGAAAATGAAGCCCATGTTGTTGGAAGCGTGGATCAATAAGGATTATTTGGTCTTGGCTAAAGGTTTAGTAAAATGTACTTAGATAATAATAATTAAATGAATGACTTAATTTGTTTTTCTTTCAAGCTTTATTCTTTATAAGAATTCAGTTTTCTTCACACACAGCAAACATATGTGATCCTGTGTTTTTATTTATAGAAAGAGCAAAAGCCAGGAAAATTAGGTAATTTGAATTTTAGTTAGAATCCTGTCTTTTTGATCTAAGTGATTATGTGAAAGTGGCTTGCTTTGAGTTTATCTTCATTTCTGTAATGATGGTTTGGACTGGTAAACTTCAATGGCACTTTCCAATTCTGAAATTTCATAATCCTGTGAAAACTCTTCATTTTTAATCTAAAATGATACAGTTGATATTTCTGCTGTCTAATGTGCCTCATTTATAGAAATGTATAGAAATTATTCCTGAGAATATATATGTCATTGCTCACTATACTAGAAAGCAGCATTCCTTATGGTAGATCACAAAGTTCTCATAATTGAGTAGGTAGTGACTTAAAAGCTTGGGCAATTCAGCTAGAAAGCTAAACAGCCGTCAATAACCGAACATAATTACTTCTAAAAACAGGGAAGGAAGTTGAGCATGAAATTCTAACTAAATAAGCATTTTATGATTTCTTCCCTCACTGACAGGCCACTGGGTACATTCCCTGTTCTGGGTTTAAAAAAAAATCCATTGGTATTTTTCTTAGAAAATGAAATATCAGATACAAGCAGCGATTTTCTAAATACGTAACAAAAGATATGTTATGAGCTCCCACCAATCAGAATAGAGGCCAAACACAAATAATTTCTACCCTGAACATAAGCCTTAAGAAACTAAACCAAAGAAAACACAACTTAAAAGTACTTTCCCTCCCCCTACCCTCAAATGAGAATGTATATTTTTAATCCTTTAAAATACAAATATGTTTGTCTCCAATTTATTTTATTTTTTTTTGAGATGAGGTCTTGCTTTGTCGCCCAGGCTGGAGTACGGTGGCACGATCTTGGCTCACTGCCACCTCCAACTCTTGGGTTCAGGAGAGTCTCCTGTCTTAGCCTCCCAAGTAGCTGGGACTACAGGCCAGTGCCACCACATCTGACTAATTTTTGTATTTTTAGTAGAGACAGGGTTTCACCATGTTGGCCAGGCTGGTCTTGAACTCCTGACCTCAAGTGATCCACCTAGCTTGGCCTCCCAAAGTGTCGGGATTACAGGCATGAGCCACCGTGCCTGGCCAGTCTCCAATTTTGAAAGAAATAATTAAATAGGGAAGCATCCACCTGATCCTTGCCCTACTTCTTATTCCATCGTATCCCACCAGGCCACCAGGTCCATCCACACAGGCCTTCTTTACATTTATTGTAAACAATACACACATGCCCACCTCCATCCAGAATGCCTCTTCAGATCATGAACAACAGCTTCCTCTTCAGATCATGAACAACAGCTTCCTTTTCATCATTCAGTATCAAGAGAGTGTCATATCACCTCCTTGAACAGGTTATCTCTGGCCATTAATGTTGCCAACACCTTGTTAACTCAAAACCTTACTCTGTTTTATTTTCTTTTTAACATTTAGTGACATTTGAAACTATTTTCTATTTACATTCAGTACTTGTTTATTTTCTGTCCACCCTACTAGGATTTCCATAGCTCAGGGAACTTGGACTATCTTGTACATGCCCAACCAATAGTAGTCCATCAATTAATATTTTCATAATAATTTTAGTGCTAATAACAAACCTAGTAATTTATGGTCACCTACTACATGTCAGGCTCTTTATAGATTATCTCCCTAATTATCAAATTAGTTCTATTAATCTTTTAACAGATGAAGAAAAAGGGGCTTCTGAGAGTTTAGAGAAGATAACAGGCCCAAGATCTCAATGTTCTTAAGGATGTAGCTGCAATTATAATTTAAAGTTCTGACTTCATTCCTGGCTATAATGACTCCTTATGCATTCCATATTTAATAAATCAAGTAAAAAATTTCCATTGCTTTATACTATCAGACATCACTGGATTGTATTACTCTTCAATAATTCTTAACATTTTATTTTTAAGTTCTTTGTACCTTTTCCTTAATAAACTACGTCTGTAAGAAAATATGCTACCATGGTGAATCTTTTCTTACCATGAATAATAATTTTAAAATTTAGTTCAGCCAAACACTCACATCACTGTATATAATGTCTTCTGTAAGCAGAAAGATATTGAAACAATGAGAAAGATCAGATGAACAAATATAAATGAGATTTTAGCATAGGAATAGATTGCATGAAAGTAATACAGAAGCCAATAAATGTAAAGAAAAATGGTTAGGAAGAATAGATTTGATGACAATATACAGATATAGTATTAGCTATTGGCTGTTTTCATACTGGGTCCTAAGAAACACTTGAGGTAATTTTTAAAAATAGAAATTCCAGGGCCCAATTCCAGATCTACTAAATCAAAATCCTGGGGTGGAGGTGGGGGAAGAAGAGTCATCCCAAGTGAATGTTACATTTAAGCAAATTTGAGAAGCACTGGGAGAAAGAATGCTTATTTGTTATGAGTAATACAGGAGGCATGGAGATGATAATGTTAGGCAGTTGGAGGTCTTCAAGTAATTATTTACCCAGAGACAGTAGCACTAAAACTTACTGTATACTCATGATTGCATTTTTGTCATTTTCTATTGTTTCTTGTATGTCTGTGTGTGTGTGTATGTGTATATATGTATGTGTATATATATATACTATCAGAGACCACTGGATTGCATTACTCTTCAATAATTCTTAACATTTTATTTTTAAGTTCTTTGTACCTCTTCCTTTATAAGCTACGTCAGTAAGAAAATACATATATATATATAATATATATACATAAATATATATATACACACACATATATGTATATATACATATACACACACACAAAATGTGTATGCTTATGATCAGAATTCAACACCTACATTAGATGAAAGGTTTAAAAGTTTAAATATTTTAAAAGTCCCACCATTGAGATTTTTTGTTAATTTATTGACTCTAAGGGCCTGTTTCTTTTACTTATGTGCACACACACACACACATTCACATGGTTCCATGGCAGCAAAGAAATTCTCACATTCCAAATATGTCTTAGTGAAGCATGATAGTTAAGAATTCTCAATATTTTAACGTTACTTAGAGCACCAGTAGGTAGGTTACCCTGGCCCCATTCCCAGAATTTAACAGTAGGGGCCTTGTGAAATGCTAAACGATGTGTATAACAGTATTCAGGCTCTCCAAGAGCCAATCCGTCAAAACATTTGCTGCTTTGAAAATGTGTTCTTCAAAAAAATGGGCATATGGAACTTATTACTCTGCTTGGTGGAGTTCAGGCAGCAGGGTCCAAAGTAAGCACAAAAACCTTTTGAGGACATAATCCTACCTAAAGGTAGCAGGGTCTCCAAAACTGTCCTTCCCTGACCCAAGAGGTATAGAAGTCTCATGGGAAATAGCAGAGTTCCAAATACTTTCCTGTAATTCAAGTATTAGAATAGCTCAAAACTAGGTAGAAGCATAAAAAAAGGTAATATTTAAATAGACAGTCTATAAAATATTGGACTTGTTTTGGTAAATGATCCCTCAGTTGGTATCTCTTTATCACCCACTTCTAGCACAACTTTTGGTCCATATTTGATGTTTAATAATTATATGTGAACAAATAAGTCAGTGACATTTTGCTGCTATATACTGAAGTAGAATTTAGAATGCATAGCTACATACTTGTGGAAATTTCACCAATGAAAGGGAAATTGAATTCTCTAATCCCCATGGGAAATAAATATTTTCACAAAGAAGAAAACCATCAAAAGAAGGACAATGATTAGCTTACCCTTACTTTTTCTCTCCCTATTGACACCCATGTCATCTGGATTTAAATGAGTATATATATATATATTTAATTTACATGTTCTTAATATTTAATTGAAATACATTTTAATATTTCAATACAGTATTAAATACAGGAAGCTTATTTTTAAAATATATTTTAATATTTCAATTAAATATTAAACACAGGAAGCCAATTGATAGAATTTGCAAAGAATTAACTTACTTTTCTTTGAAACTGCGTAACATTTGCTGTACTAGCTATTAAAATAACACAATTTTCACTAGTAGAAAGGACAGGAAATGCTAGTATCAGCCCTTGCAGACAAGAACAGAATTTAGTTTTTGAAGCTGAGAAGGCTCAAACTCCTTGCTGTGTTTTATTATGCATAACTGAAATTCTTCACAGTTACAAAAGTGTAAACTTCTCTTGATTGCATCAATATGTACTTGGAACAAGGGGATATGTAGGTCAGTGCTTGTGAAGGAACTCTGTAGCTACATTTAAGTTTGCTTTGAAGGAATAAAAGTAAATACATAAAGTGTGCCTTTTTTTTTTTTTTTGGTAAAAACCATGCAGGCATTCCATTTTTAACTTCTTTCGGATCATAGGATGGATTTATCTTCCTCATTGAAAAATTCCCCTTGCTTGAAACTTCCTGACAGTTACAGATTTTTTTTTCCCCTAGAATGTTTGATCATTTGAATAGCACTGTATGGACCACTCTTTGATGGTTTATATTCTCCCAACGTGATGCTCACTTCTGTTCATTACCTTATTTTTCATTATTTCATAATTTGTCTTTTGTATTTTGTGACTGCTTCCTCTGGGATTTTTTTTTCCTAGAAAAATGACAAGAATGATCCACACAAGTCCATAAGAGAGGCTGTAAAATAAACATTATACCATGTGTGGGGTAAAAAAATAAATAAATAACTGCAAATGGCTGTTCTCACTTTCTGGCATTTACACACATGGCCATCTGTTTGAGGGCTGTTTTAAATGGCTGTTTTCCAACATTTATGTAACTGGCCAATTGAAAGGAAATGACATCATCAAGTTTCCTGAAGGCTATAGCCGGAGCCACGAAAAAGTTCGGAAACAAATTGCTTGGTAAAGAGAAAGATGTTTTTGAAATGTCTCTTTTTAATATGTACTTCTTTCTTATTTCTAGCATTTCTAACATTTTCCCCCTTTTTCTATACATTCTGTGTTTATACCCCTCAATATTTGCACAATCTACTTTGGGGCTTCTCCTCTCTAAATTGTAAGGGAGTTAAAGAGAAAAATATCCTCTTTGTTGGGTCTGTACAATCTGGTCAGAATGTGCTGAAAACCAAAGAGTTTTCTGACCTACTTAATATCCAAGAATGGACTTGATTGACTTTGTCACTGAAATGACGGCAGATTTTGAACTTGTAGACGTAGGCCTTGCAAAGCATGGAAATAATTCCGGACAGACATAGACTGTTCTGCTACCAAGGTGCTGCTGTTGAACTACCCCTCACAGCACAGCCCACAGAGCATGACTGAGTGAAGAGGAACATTTGGAAAGTTTATCATATTTGTTGGAATCACCAAGAAATTAAAGCTAGGAAGGGTAGAGGTTTTTATTTTTATACTTTTAAGCTCAGGGGTACATGTATAGGTTTGTTACATAGGTAAACATGTGTCATGGGGGTTTGCTATACACACTATTTCATTACCCAGGTATTAAGCCTAATATCCATTAGTTATTTTTCTTAAGCCTCTCCCTCCTCCCCACCCACTATCCTCTAATAGACTCCAGTGTGTGTTGTTCCTCTCTATGTGTCCATGTGTTCTGATCATTTAACTCCAACTTGTAAGTGAGAACATGTGGTGTTTGGTTTTCTATTCCTGCCTCAGTTTGCTAAGGAAAATGGCCTCCAGCTCCATCCATGTTCCTGCAAAAGGCATGATCTCATTCTTTTTTATGGCTGCATAGTACTCCATGGTGTATATGTACAACATTTTGTTTATCCAGTGTATCACTGATGGGCTTTTATGCTGACTCCATGTCTCTGCTATTATGAATAGTGCTGCAATCAACATATGCATGCATGTGTCTTTATAATAGAATGATTTATATTCCTTGGGGTATATACCCAGTAATGGGATTGTTGGGTCAAATGGTACTTCTGTTTTTAGGTCTTTGAGGAATCGCCACACTGCCTTCCACATGGAAAGGACACAAATGGTTGAACTGATTTACACTCCCACCAACTGTGTATAAGTGTGCCTTTTTCTCCACAACCAGGTCAGTGTCTGCTATTTTTTGCCTTTTCAATAATAGCCATTCTGACAGGTGTAAGATGGTATCACATTGTGGTTTTGATTTGCATTTCTCTAATGATTGGTGATGTGAGCTTATTTTCATATGATTGTTGGCTGCTTGTATGTCTTCTTTTCAAAAGTGTCTGTTCATGTTCTTTGCCCACGTTTTAATGGGGTTGTTTGTCTTTGTCTTGTAAATTTGTTGAAGTTCCTTCTAGATGCTGCATGTTAGACTTTGTTAGGTGCATAGTTTGCAAAAATTTTCTCCCATTTTGTAGGTTGTCTGTTTACTCTGTTAATAGTTTCTTTCGAGGTGCAGAAGCTCTTTAGTTTAATTAGATCCAATTTGTCAGTTTTTGCTTTTGTTGCAATTGCTTTTGGCATCTTCATCATGTCTTTATAGCATAGTTTACAGATCTCCTTGTCCCTGAGTGTCTCAGTAATTTGGACCACCGGACCAAAGAGTTCTTTCATCAGATTCCAAAATTAAGCCATCTCTTGGGAAAACCTAGCAGCTGCATTTAAGCCTCACATTTGTATGGGAAAAGTATTAGTGTTGGAGGAAATTAAGTGTACCTTCTCTTCAAACTTTCTTGGGAGGTCAGAGCAAATAGAGAGTTCATCTAAGCAGCAATCTACTTAAACTCCTATATTAAAACCATTTTGGAATTTTTAAATGCCTTCATATGATTTCAATCTACTGTGGTATTGTATTCTACCAGAATGTTGCAGTTTCTTGCCTGAATCACCATTCTTCCAAGTTGGGGCGGGGAGCATCACTTAAAAATTGTGTCCTTTCCACATTGCCTGCACTTGTTTGAAATTTTCTTCTCTTCCTGTTTCCTTCTCCTCCTCTTTTCATTATCACGGTGGGTAGGAGACATGGTTGTTGCTCCACCAGATTTCCTTTGCCAGTTGGTGCATCTGTACTCAGGTGTTTTGGGTTCTTTCTGGAGGCTTGCCCTTTGCTGATAGGAGCCACCTGCTGGGGTTACAGCGCCACCTTTCCCCACCCTTCTGGGTCACCAATGGCTGACTGGTTTGGGGGTACAAAAGCCTGGGCACATATCCTCAAGGTGAAACAAGGTTGTTTCTTGGGGGGTGTGATTGTGGGAGGTGTGATTTATGCCCCAGTTTCCTGGGCATCAGCCAAGGCTATACTTTACCTGAGATCACATCTCTCCTTTCCTCTTTCCCCCTCAATGTTCAGCTTAATCTACTGCCTTCTAGGTTTTTCCTAAAGATCACTCCTTCAATACATCACATATATCTGGAGCCCTTTCTCAGTCTCTGCTTTTAAGGACCCCTATCTAAGACATTGTGATCACCAACAATGATATCTGAGTGATGAGTCTACAAAGTCCTATCCTATGTTTCAAGAGTCCAAAGCATGAGGAGAGTCTCTATCAGGGTAGATGGCAAGGGATGGGATGCGCTTGTGAGGTTGTGAGTCAGCAGCAGTATCTAAGGGAAAACATTTAAGGTGAGAGTTTAAGAAAGAAGGAAACATTGGTACTTGTTAGGTTACCTGACAGAATTTAATTAAGTTAGTAAAAATTGCAGAGGTAGATGAAAAATTGTTTCTTAGATAAGAAAAAAAAATTAACACTTGTGATTGAAGAAAATTTGGAAAATACAGAAAAGTGTAAAAATAACATCAAAACCACCTGTAATTCTGCTATCCAAATATCACCCCTGTTTTTGTATGTTTCCTTCCAATTTCGATGTATCTATCTTCCTATCACTGTATTTTATTCATATGTATTTATTTACATTTATAAATTGAGAATTGCTACATATACAATTTAATATCCTTCATTTTCTTCCTGAACATTACATATATTTTTATGCCATGTAGTACTCTTTGAAAATCTGATTTTCAATATCTGCATAATATTAAATTCTATAGGTTTGCCATAATATAAATATATACATATCATCAGAATTTCTTCACTTCATTACAGTCAATCAAATCTTTATTTTAGTTGAATTGTCTTAATATGTTGACATGCTGCATCACAAACACAGCTACTGTATGCTCTTGTCTTAAGGACATTTCATCCCTACATTAACATTACTGCACATCTGAGTGATCCAGAAATTGTGCTCAATATCAGTAGGACTTAGTAAAAGTAAGAGCATAAAAGTAAATATGGTATAAGCAAATTTAATAGAACTCAAAAATATCATGTAGCAAGAAGGAGCATGCAAATGACGGAATGACAGCGAGGGGGACTGAATGGGGAAATACGGAAGGCAAGGAGTGTATAGAGGTGCATGTGAACAGCCATGCAGTGCTGTGCAAGCCACGGGAAAAGGGCATGAACCATCTTCAGATTTTTCCTGTGTCTCCCCAAAGGTTTCTTATGGAATGGGTCTGGTATGTTCCTCATTTTGTAATGCACCAAGTGATGTGCTAAGTAAGAATGTGATGCTGTAATGGTTAATTCACTCATCTAATATGTATGATACTATAAATAACTCCCAAATTCTTTGTTTGAGTTACAATGGTGACTAAAGTATACATGTATTTTTGCTAATATATAATATGAATCTGTGTGCATGTGATTTCAATAAAAAAATTTTCAATTTTTAATGAATTATAGCTTTGTTAACAGCGTGAAGACTAGAAGAAAAAGAATGGAAGAAAGAAGTGAAAGAGAAACAAATAGGGAAGGGGATCCCTCGGATGACTGGGAAGGAAAGGAAAACCAGAAAAAGCAGTCAGGATGAATGCCTGACAAAAAACTCTGCTGCAGTGACACTTTGACATGAAGCAGATTCAAACTTTCTATGACTGAACAGGACATTTTCCATTTATTGCTCCTTTGATACCCAAGCTCCTCAATGGGGGTATTCTTCAATGAGACACTTTTACCAGTGACCATATTCTTGCTTGTTGGTTTCTTTTTTTTTTAAAGTATGTTGCTGCTGTACTTTTAAGAAAGTTGTGTTTTATCTTAGTACTTTGATATTCATAAATGGTATAAAGCATAATTTTACCACATAGCTTTAATGGAATACTTTTTACAAACAAAATAAAACTTGACCTTCTTCCACCCTATCTCCACATCGGAACTAATTTTACTACATTTTATTTTTCAAAAACTATTAATTCAGTCAATGAATATTGACTTTGGACTACATTGGGTCATTTTCAATGGATTGCTCTGGTACAGCTTTACTTTGTCATGTCCTTTGTTCTTGCTCTTTCTTGTCTACCTACCAGTTAAAATATGAAACTCATGAAGCATTTAGCTCCCTGGATAGTGATTCCTGTATCAGGGTGAATCATGCAAACTTTCATATTGTCTAAACTATAATTCAGAAATATAATGTGGCTTAAATGGGAACTTGGGGCTAATGTTTAACAAGTGTGCACCATACTTTATCAGTTCTCTAAGATTTATTTTCTACAAACAAAATTTTTTATGTAACGGGCTACCTTTAAGTGGTAATCCTAAAGGCCCTTTCTGACTTGTTCATTAACTTTTTCAAGTCTTCAGGCCACTGAGTTATCTGGTGCACAGAGTAATACCAAATCATGTCTGAGAAAGGTTCCATGATTCCCAAAGTGCCTGATTTTCCACGTCTTCCTGTAAGAAGTAGTAATAGATATGCTAAATGACTGGGGAAATAAGAATTAAGCCTACGGCTACTTTAAACTTTCCTATGGAAAGATTTTAATGAGTTTCCAAGTAGACTGTTCAGCTGAGACAATTTTATATAATGTGGTATATATGATTTAAAAATCTACATCCAAAAAACACATAAAAGACATACCCTACTTTAGCTATGTGTCACTATACTCAGCTATGTATGCATAATATAATATACATATATACATACACACATGTAGTTTAGACACACCCTACTTTAGTTATGTGATAGTATATATGTTTATGACTTAGAAACCCTACTTTAGCTAGGTGTTAGTTTTTTTCTCTGACTCTAAAATTATGTGTTTTGTTTGTTTGTTTGTTTTTGGAGACAGAGTCTCACTCTGACCTCTGTCGCCCAGGCTGGAGTGAAGTGGTGTGATCTCAGCTCACTGCAACCTCTGCTCCCGGGGTTCAAGCAATTCTTCTGCCTCCGACTTCTGAGTAGCTGGGATTATAGGGGTGTACCACAATGTCTGGCTAATTTTAGTATTTTTAGTAGAGATGGGGTTTCACCATGTTGGCCAGGTTGGTCTCGTACTCCTGACCTCAAGTGATCCACCTGCCTCGGCCTCCCAAATTGCTAGGATTACAGGCGTGAGCCACTGCGCCCAGCCAATTCTGTTTTGACTATGAAGTAATACGACTTAAAATATGAATTACGGAAGCCATGCTTCTGAGTCATGCAGTGACCTTCCTCCACCCATCCCCACGCCAGTGCCTCCCACTGTTATTTTTGTGCATTTGGCATAACCAGTTTTCTTTAATGAAAGAGATTTCCTTTCCAAGATAGGAGTGCAAGCTCCAGACTAAAATTATGAAAATGCAAATGAGTAGTGCTTCCTTTATCCAAGTTGCTTTCTTCAGGTATATGTTGTATGTGTGCTGTTGTTTGCTGGTAGCTAAAAGTCCATTCTTTCAGCAGGATTGTCTTCTGTCTCTAAGGGAACAAGAATGACCATTAAGTAAAAAACATGTATGAAATTATGCGGGTGAGAATCTTTACCCCACTTTTTGTTCTTTTTGATGGTAGAAAAACCTTTGTCTTGCAAAGGCAAAACTAGTAAAAACTTTCTGCCTTCGGCTTAAACATTAAATGAAAATATATCTATTTAAACAATGTTTTAGGCTGGGTGCGGTGGCTCACGCCTGTAATCCCAACACTTTGGGAGGCCAAGGCAGGCGGATCACAAAGTGAGGAGTTCAAGACCAGCCTGGCTTATATGGTGAAACCCCGCATCTCCTAAAAATACAAAAATTAGCTGAGCATAGTAGTCGGCGCCTGTAATCCTAGCTACTCAGGAGGCTGAGGCAGGAAAATTGAGCCGAGATCATGCCACTGCACTCCAACCTGAGTGACAGAGTGAGGCTCCATCTCAAAAAAAAAAAAAATTGTTTTGCCCTGAATGGGTAGACCGGTGGGTTTGAGTTCAGCTTTGGGAAAAGGTAGGATGGTTTTCCTCTAAGCATGAAGTAGGCAGAATGTGCCTGTTTTGTCCTTTCATGAGAGCAATTTGATCTAGAGGAAGTACGAGGCTTTAAACTCCGGGTCTACAGAATTAAAGGAGGGTAAAAGAAGGACAGCAGGACCTGACACTGGGCTTCTTATTGTTCCTGTCACAATTTAAATCATTTGTTCACAGTTGGTCACAAGACCTCAGTCTATTCCGTGCTGCAAGTGTATTCTTTCAAAAAACAGGAAGCAACACTTAAGTAATTGCAGATTTACAGTGACTACCAGGCTGATCCCAGCTCTTTGTCATGGCTTTCCTGTTTGGGTCTGAAGGAAGTGGCGGAGAAAGGAGAGAGAGGGTGGGGGAAGAAACTGTTAGAAGGACGGGTTAGCCTGAGCCTGGCTTTGCCTTAGTGAAAGAGTGATGAAAACACTTTAAACAGTTGCCGACAGGCCGGTAGAAAATATTTGACATCTCACCTACATCAACAAGCAAGAGTTAAAGGTTAAATCACACACAACTCAAGTGCTGGGAAAAAAGGATAGGTTTAGGTCATCAACTTTCTTTGTTCTAGGACCGCCCTATGTCAACAAGGAGACATATTCCCACTCCCTGGTTGGAGACACCAGGACAATAGAGACTGATCCACATTTGCTCTGGGTGGTAAATCCCCTTTTAAGCATTTGTAGCTTGCCTCTAGTCTAGCCTTCTTCATCGTTTTTTACCTGCTTCCAAATACCTATGTATTTAGGGCAATGTGGTTGGTGGCCTTTCTTCTTTCTTCAACCAGTTTCTTGAGATCCCAAGCATGAAGCTTAGTGTAGGAGGAGAACTAGGAAGTGAAAAGTGTTTGCATCCATTTCCTGTGTTGGTTCCAAATTCAGTGAGCATCCAACCTAAATCCTTTGGATGGTGGTAGGGCCAGGGAAAGGTGCTTTACATTGCTGGTTCTCACACACTCTAGGTTTAATGATAGAAGGACCTTTCTGGAGAGGCATTTAGTGCTTTTCACAAGGACTATAACAAAAGGTGGGGCAGATTTCTTCACTGGTTCAAGGAAGATTTGAATTGAAATTTGGGAAGAAAGGAAAATATGCCCAGGGGAGCAATGCAACACTGTTGTGGTGGATGCCAACAGGTGTGTTATAGAATGAAAAAGAAACAGCATAGAAAAGTACATTTTATCATTTGGTGGGCCAAGGTCCATTTTGAGAATCTGGTGAGAGCCATGATTATCTGCCTACACCAAAGTTTGTATCCATGCTTAGGAGGATCAGAAATTTTGATGATTTTTTTTTTTTTTTAAGAATTCCTAGAAGTTCAGCTGGGCTCAGTGTTTCACGCCTGTAATCCCAGCACTTTTGGAAGGCCGAGGAGGGTGGATCACCTGAGGTCAGGAGTCTGAGACCAGCGTGGCCAACATGGTAAAACCCCGTCTTTACTAAAAATACAAAAAATTAGCCGGCGTGGTTGTGGGTGCCTGTAATCCTAGCTACTCAGGAGGCTGAGGCAGGAGAATTGCTTGAACCTGGGAGGCAGAGGTTGCAGTGAGCCAAGATTGTGCCACTGCACTCCAGCCTGGGCAACAACAGTGAAACTCCGTCTCAAAAAAAAAATATATATATATACATATATATGTATGTGTGTATATATATATATGTGTGTGTATATATATGTGTGTGTGTGTATATATATATATATATATATATATAATTCCTAGAGGTTCATGGAGCCCTTTGAAGTGCCCCTAATGTAGAAGGTCCCTGTGGTATAGGGGTACAGCAAGCTGCCCATGCCTCCCCACAGTATTTTGAGAGTTAAACTAGATCTATATGCAATAGATAAGAATAGGTATAGCCAAAGCCCTTTACAACTAAATGGTTTCTACACACAAGATTCAGGACCCTCTTCCCTCGATAATGCTAAATGATCAAGACCAGCTCTTCCCACCTTCACATTTTTTGTGTTTTCTGTAATTTTAAAAAATATTCACCTGCTGGTAGACTCTTCATATGTTAATCCTATCATACGAACCACAACACAGTTTGTTTACTGTTCTTATTCCTGGCCTAGAAAACATTTGCCCAGTTCTATGGACTTGTCTACTTTCTGGTCCCTCTATTAGGAATATGTTTAATTTGAAAATGAATATATTAAGGTATCATCATCTGATGCTGTGAAATATTTGCATCATTTAAAGAGAGAGCATTCCTTTTCTTGATTTGGGGCTCACCAACAATTTGATCAATTTTCATGCAACTTTATAGTTAAGGCATGATATCTCAAAATAAAATATTGACTCAAAAATGCCCCAAAACCCACAGCTTTTAGGTCTTGTTGTTCAATGTTTTTAAAGAGAAGCACACATTTTTATTAAACTGTATTTGAAAATGCCTTCCAATATCATTTTCTTCCTTTGAAACATCATTTTCTAAAAAAATATTTATTTAAAAGCATTATTCTGAGAAGTATTCTACAGACAGAACTATTCTTCAGACAGTGAAAAGGGTCCATGTACAAGAAGTTTAAGAACTCCTAGCAAAGAGATAATGGAAATAATTGGTGCACTGGTACACTGAATGGCGTTCAAAGTTGGTGAATTTGCTGGAAATGCCATAAAGGTACCACTGGCCTTGCATGAATGGGAAGCAGTCTAACAACATTCAACAGAGGATTCTATAAACAAGTCACACTGGAAGGCCAACTGATTGGGCTGCCTTTCTAAGATTAAATCATTCTTACCAGGCACTTCTCAGTACATAAAGCAAACACTGAAATTTCACCAAATTCATGAGGTTGTGTTTTTGTTTTATTTTGTACAAAACTGGCTGGTAGCAACTAAATGTTGTAAAGAGTGTCAGAATTTAAATGAAGACTTTCCTTCATCATGGCATACCCATGTGGCACAGTGTGGTTGTTAGGGAAAAGAATCTATAGCTCCTATCTATATCTGACCATCAGAGGCTATAGATCCTATCAAAAGAACTTGACAGTTTTGAGTAGCCAAATTGTCTTTTGTCAGTTTTCCCCAATTGTTTTTTATTAGTCTTAACATCAAGCTTTGCAGTGTTTTCCATGAGCAACTGTTTTGTTTCTACTTTCAGACACTGTGAGTCTTGTAACTGACTGTTTGCTTTTTTCTTTGTATTGGCTGTTTGATTAAGGGTTAAATCTGTTGACCTACCATAGCAATTGTATGCAATTTCACAGAATAGCCTTTGTATTTATATTTCATTCCTTTTCAGTTTCCTTATCAATCTTCATAGTGGCATCTATGATTGAATAGAATAACACATTCAAAACATTTGAAATAACATCATAGACACAGTAAGAGCAAAACTATGTGTTAGATATTATTCCTGGCTCCATCTTATTTTTCCAAATTACTTTTTCTTTGGCTTATGTCCTGATTACTTTTGTTGCATTGTTGTTGAAATTTTGCTATTATTACCATGTAGAATGATTTTTTTTGTAAATTTTCTTTGTTCTATTTGGAGACCTGATAGCAGTGTGAGGTATGGGTTTGGACAGAATGGGATTTGAAATAGAATGTAAGAATAATTAGTTTGACAGACGATATCAACTAAAATAGTGGCAGTAGGGATGCAGAGAAAGAGAGGTATTTATGAAATCAAATTGAGAGGACCTTTATGTGAAAGCACATTTTATGTGAAAGCTAAATATAGTAATAGGAAATCTGAGTTGATCCTCAACTTGCTAGGTGGGCAAGTGATGATGCCATTAATCAAGATCAGGAATACAGAGGTGTCATGGGGGTGATCAGGGGTGGTGATAAATAGGGATAAATATGTTATGACCATGTTGAGATTGAGATTTTTTTTGCAGGATGATTTAGTAAAATCCAGTAAAACACACAAAATAAGCCATCTAGAGCTCAGGAAAGATTATGAAGCTGGATACACTGGTTTAAAATTTAGCAAAGTATACATATTTAGCTGAAGCAATGATTATGGGTAAAATTGCTCAGTAATAAGAGAAGGCCAAGGGACTTTTGGGAAATGGACTTGGAAGACAAAGGCTGTGACTTGTTTGTCTTTGTATTTCCAGCACCTAGCCCAGTGCCTGGCACATAAGAGTTTTTCAATAAATGTTTATTTCATGACTTACCAAATGAATGAGTGACTGAGTAAGGAGACCCAGTCTCCTCAGAGGAGACTGGGAAGGTGCAGTTGGAAGGATGACAGAAAACAGTAGAGAATGATGTCTTAGAAGATAAGGTAGCAGAAGTTTAAGAATGAGATTACAAAAAAAAAAAAGAATGAGAGCACAGTGAAAATTTCTGAGTGTTGGATGACAGAAAACTGAAACAGAGTTAGTGCACTGGATGATAGAACCAGGACTCAAAAAAATCTCAGGAGTATGGAAATTAGAGTTCGATCTCATTGCTATTTACTAGGGATAAATGTAAAAACCTAATGACAATTGAGAATATCAAATCCATGAGCACTAGAAGCAGATGACCTGGCTTAATCACGTTCCTAGGGTTTAATGGTATGCTGAAGGTTCAAAATAAATTAATATTGGAGCCTAAATGCCAAGGTATGTAATTAGGCAATGTTTATAAAAATATCCAGTGTGGAAATTGGGGATAAGAATACCTTAGTATAGTTTGCAGATACAGGTTGGAACAATGCCTTTCAAGAGGAAAAATACTATAGTAGGGGCAGAGAATGAAAAGAAGAATGAGGAAGTGCTTATTGGGTTCATGCTATAAGATAGACTTATGTATGCCCCAGGGATCTGGGGACAAAGGTCTCTGTTCTCATGATCTCTACAATCTGTGGAGGAAGAACACATGAAGCAAACCCATATATAAATATACAGAAAATTAGAGATGAGATGGCCATTTATGGTGAAGGCCAGAGTCACTGGAGCAAGGCAAACAGGGGAGACAGGGGCATGAGGTGGGCCATGGTCAGTTCAGGCAAGTCTTGGGGGCCTTTGAAAGAACTGGATTTATTCTAAGCACAATGGGAAGCCACTGGACAACTTTAACAAGGGTAGTAATATAATGAAATAAAATACATTAAAGAAAAATGAATTATCTGGATTCTATGTGGAGAATGCATTAAAGAAGGAAAAATTGGATGTCTAGATGAGAGTTGATGGTGTTTTGGACAACGATGGAGGCAGTGAAGATGGCAAGGCATGGCTATATTCAAAGCATATTTCAGGGTAGATTTAATAGTACTTGATGACTTGATTTGAATTACATTGATTTGATACCAGGAGTTAGAATGAGGAGTACAACGCTCAGAATTCTAGCTTCTGGAAGTAGATGAAATGTGGCACTATTTTCTGAGCAGAATCCTTGGAGGAGCGTGATGTTTGTGAAGGTGGGAAATTGATTGTGAATACTATTTCCTTTTGGATATACAAAGTTTGGGATGTCTGTAAACATCCAAGATACATCAGATAGAATTCAATAAAGACCAGAGCCAATAACATGTCCCTTAGGGATACACCAATTATATTGCTTGATGTTCAATGGGGCCACTTGACACTGATCTATTTCCCTTCAGCTTCCCCCTTCAACAGAAATGGAGGGAAATTTGAAGCCCAAATATTATGCTCTTTTTTTGTCAACAGAAAACTGAGTGGTGCTGACTTATCAAGGCTTTTTTTTTTTTCCAAGAAAGAATTCTGACAGAAGCCTTGTACTTGTGTAGATTCAAATCTGAGCTTTAAAAATGCTGGTTTTCAGATTACCTGTGGTCTTATACTTGTGATATTTATATTCCTCATGTTTCTTAGTACTGTGGGTAATCTTAGAGGCTTCTTTCTATAGTTAAGATGTTTTCTAAAGATCTGATTGTTTCCTGGCAATCAGGAAACATTCCTGCAGCAATATAGCTGCAGATAATTCTCCCAAATAATTATATTACATGTGAGTCTCATACCAGAAATTGCCTAAAAGTCTTTAAAGGCCAGTGTTTTCTGATAAGATTGGTGATGGATCTGAGAGAGAAGATCATTAAGTTAGGGAAGATAAGATAAACATTCCTCAGACTTCAGGTCTACTTTAATGACTAAGATTAAGTGCTGAAAGGCCTTTCAAATAAACACTTAAATAAGAAGGAGAAACTCAAAGAAATAATAAATGTTTGAGGTGAGAAGTATGCTAATTATTCTAACTTGATCATTACACACTGTATACATGCATCAAAATATCACTCTGTATACCGTAAACATGTACAATCATTATGTGTCTATTAAAATTAAATAAAAGGATTAGCCATATCATTGAATGATACTGTGTCTCATCATTCTCCTCCCAGCTCAATAACAAACCAATTTTCTTTATATAGTCTCTTAAGCCTCTGCTTCTCCACTTAACCCAACAACGAAGTCTACCACCTTATTTCAGCCCATCATCTGATATGTGGGTTATTGAAATGAAGTCCTATTTTAATCTCCCCTCCCTGCTGCCATTCTGCTCTCTGCCACCAAAGTAAATTTTCTGACATGCTTCTCTCACAATGCCTCTTTTGTGCCCCAATTCTCCACTAAGTCCACATGTTACAATAGTTAAAAAAAAAAAATCCTCTTTCTCTTAGTCAGGTAGTTAAGAACTTCTGCAGGACCCAATCCATCCTATCACATGGATTTTCCCCCATTCATTGTCCTGTAAACACACTCTGCACTTGCTTACATTGTTCTCCACTCCTGGAATGCAGGTCTCCTCCTTGAGTTAACCCTTCTTTTTTTTTTTTTGAGATGGAGTCTTGCTCTGTCACCCAGTCTGGAGTGCAGTGGTGCAATCTTGGCTCACTGCAACCTCTGCCTCTTAGGTTCAAGCCATTCTCCTGCCTCAGGCTCCTGAGAGTAGCTGGGACTAAAGGCGCCCACCACCATGCCTGGCTAATTTTTGTAATCTTAGTAGAGATGGGGCTTTACCATATTGGCCAGACTGGTCTCGAACTCTTGACTTTGTGATCTGCCCGCCTCGGCCTCCCAAAGTGCTGGGATTACAGGTGTGAACCACCGTGCCCAGCCAGAGTTAGCCCTTCTTTTAAGGCCAAGACTGAGCTCTCCCCTCTAGGACAGCTGATTCTTATATCATCATGCACTTTCTATCTTTATGTGATTTGCATCTGTGTCATTCTCTAGACGAGGCCCAGATGCAAACATTTCCTGCCCCAGCTCTTGGCAACCCTCTGCACAGCACAGAGAGCCCGGATGGCTGGCCTCAGGTCAGTGGGACCTTTGAGGTCATCTACATCTAGATTCAAGGCATTTTCCAATAAGAAAAGAACAAAGTCTAATTTGAAAGGCTACTTTTGCAAGTAGGAATGAAGAAAGACTGCTTCTGCCAAATGCTCTGGGAAGTATTCTGTGCAATAAAGTATAAGGCATTTGCCTCTCCTCTCTCTTGCTCTTCTCTCTTTTTCACTGTCTCAATTTTTAAAACCAATTTTCTCATCTTGTGTGCTGAGTCGTATTTTCTAGTTCCTCCCAGAAATGTTTTTTTCATCATTCCTAAGCGTATATCTTTAATCCTCTAAGACCCTTTTGCTCTCCCAAATCATCTCAACAAAATTCCTTATTTCGTTGTCTAACTACTTTTCTCTTCAGTTATAACACTTGATTTCTTTTTACTTATTTAGCTCTTCAATTTTACTTTTATTCATTCCTATTTTTTTGTTGGGTCAAGAGAGACCTCCTTCTTTTCTTTTTCTTCCCCCTGGATAGCTAAGCACTAAAGGCATTGACACTTGGACATACCCTATATTCAGGTTACCACAGAAAGAGAGCCTCATTTTATTCCTATGTTCCCTGGCCAGTAATACTATAACTTTGTGTACATTTTTAAATATTGTTTGAATGTTTATTTGGGAACTGAGGATAAGGTTTTATAATATATTACTTGGGAGTACTCAGATTTGCAGTCAGTTATTCTATATTACACACTAA
This sequence comes from Homo sapiens, assembly GCF_000001405.40. Classification (NCBI taxonomy): domain Eukaryota; kingdom Metazoa; phylum Chordata; class Mammalia; order Primates; family Hominidae; genus Homo; species Homo sapiens. The sequence goes on from NC_000005.10 coordinate 39,534,693, forward strand.
CTTGATTTCTGTTTTTAATGGCTTTGAGCTTTCTGAGAATCAATGAATGTTTTTGTTTTTGCCATTGCAGTTCTGTGATAAAATCTCTTGTGTCAGGTGGTCATTGTTGCAGAAAAATGTTGTCTTGGCGTATTCACATGATACGCAGTAAACAATATTGCCAGATACCTATAGAGGGCGGAGGCCTTTGTCATTTTTAAAGTAAATGGATTATTTTCCTAGCTGTGTAATCACATCAACACATTCTCAGATGAAGTGGTAGTTTCCTTCCTTCTGATTCAAACAAGTTCTTGTCTTAACAGTCCTTGTTCTAATGTCTTAGACACTATTTACTCAGCATATAGGGAGGGATAAACTCAGAATAATTGCCTAAACTCAATCTGTCCTGGGAGAGAAGTGGGGAAATGTGATGCATACAATTTAAGTGAATTTTTTTTTAATGCTAGTACTTAATCTGTTCCTCTCCATCCTGGCAGAAGTTTATCCCTGGGATGAACTGGTACCACAAAAGTCAAAACCCTATTACCTTGAAAGATGCTTAGGCTGCAAACAAAAAATTTATTAACCTAAAAAATACTGCTTTTTGTTTTTTAAGGCATGGTTTGAAATTGTGCTTCTATCCCTCTCACTTCCGTCCAGTACTCAGTCTAATTAGATTTTTGAATGTACTATGTATTGGTGGAGCTTGTGGAGACTTTGGCTTTCTTTAGATGAGTAGCCTGGACTGTCATTTGAAACATGGGAGGCATGAAGATTTCCATACATTTTGACATTCCAGATTTTATTATACCTTGTCTTAGCGTACCTGTAGTTTCAGGAATTGAGTAAAATAATAACAAAAACAATATTAATAGCTTAATGACAGTTAATGTATGCAAAGTACCATTTTAATCACTTTCTATACATCATCTTAATTAATCATCACAGTAATCTTATGATATAGATACAATTATTATAAAATCAATTTTCAGATGAAACTGAGATACAAAACTATGAAACAATATGCCTAAAGTAGCCTAGATCCATCCAGGCAGCCATGATTAAAGATGAACTTAATTTCCTATTATTTTACTTGCTACTCCATAATAAAATCATAGTGATTAAAAAGACAAAATTATGTATATTTGGTGGAAGTAATTGGCTAGATAAAAGATAAAATTGATCTTCCAAATCTAGTTAGTATGATTTCTGGAGTTCCAAGAGTGCTTGTTAAGTAAGGTTAGGAATATCTATTGGATATTAAAATCCCATGCCTCAACTTTATTCAATAATGTCAGGGTTTTAATTTAGACATAATGCAGATAATCCCAAGAGACATAATTCTTTTACTTTAGTAAAAATACAAAATCAAAAGAGAATCCAATGGCAAGGTGTTAGGGAGTCAGTACAAAGTTTGTAGTGAGAATGAGAGTTTTGGAGAGGGAAAAATGAGTCTTTTATGTTAAATACATGGTGAAAGGATTGTATTAATTCCATTGTAGTTGATAATCATTATCCAGTTGAAATCATTATTAAAATGTAGAAGTAATCTTATTGCTTGCTTCTAATGTTTGCCATTATTGCATAGATTTGAAAATGCAAACTTCAGAAATTCAAGCCCTAGATAGATTACATATTTCTTCATAGGATCTTAGGTATTTTAATAACAGATACAATGAAGTGCCTGGTAATGGGTTTATCGGTCCAAGGAACAAGTCATGCCCTTGTGTGAATAATGGAGAGGAACAGGAATGTACATTAAGACTAGTGGCTGAGCATGGTGGCTCACGCCTGTAATCCCAGCACTTTGGGAAGCTGAGGTGAGCAGATCACGAGGTCAGGAGATCGAGACCATCCTGGCCAACATGGTGAAACCCTGTCTCTACTAAAAAAAAAAAATACAAAAATTAGTTGGGTGTAGTGCCACGTGCCTGTAATCCTAGCTACTCAGGATGCTGAGGCACAAGCATCGCTTAAACCCAGGAGGCAGAGGTTGCAGTGAGCTGAGATCACACCACTGCCTGGGTGACAGAGTGAGACTCCGTCTTAAAAAAAAAAAAAAAAAAAAGACTAGCAACCTGCTTGGGCTTTTAATATGAAATTGCCTTGCTCTAAAATAACCTGAATTATGCACTAAACAAGAAACGTGATTTTATTTTACTTCATAACATAAAGAATGAGAATACATAGAACAATATTTAAAATCAATATTGGAAAACTCTTAAATGTCTTCTTTCAATGGTCATAATTACCACTTAAAATAATTCCGATATTTTCCCTAAACTAGGTCATCCTCCTCCCTCTCAAGGACAGAAACCTCCAGCTTCTCAAGGACAGAAACCCTCACTGAAAGAACTTTGTGTTCAATGGCTCTTTAATGGCTTGTTAAATGGTTTCTCCTTCCTATGTCCTTTACATTTATTATGTTATTTAACTTCCCAGCAACCCTATGTTATAACTGAGAAATAGCAAAAGAAAGTAATTGATCCCAGGCAACACAGTGAGCGCGATGATTTAAATTTTGGCTGCTTTACTCCAGAGTCCAGACTTTTAATCACTATCGATCTATTCATTTAATTCTGTTGACTAGTTTTGGAGTACAGTTCCAATGACCTTAGGATAAGAATGACAAAAACAAGCTCTCATCATGACATAAACAAACAAACAAAAACAACACACCATCCTGTAATACAGTTTCACTAACAAGATTCCTTGCACATTCCAGATAATAAGTCAGATGGCTTGAGGGTCAGGTGAGTTATACCCTCCAGCTAACTCCCCCTGCTTTGTCAATATAAATCACAGCTGGATCATTTCTACAACCTGTTCTTAAGGGAAGGAGGCACATTTCAAAAATATTTGAACAGAAAAATCTTTGAATAAGTATGATTGCTTCATTTGATAGGAAAGAATGAAGGAAATTAAATTATGTCACTGGGGGCTTGCATATAACTTAACTTACTTCCATTTAATTTTTTCAAATAATTTATGAAGTAATTATTATTCTCCCCATTTGAAAGATGAGGAGGAAATGGAATCAAAAAGGCTCACTAAATTTCCTAAGACCACAAAAGGCGGAACCAGAATACAGACCCAGTTTTCCTGGTTTTTCAGAATTTATATCTATCATTTTAGAGTGCCAAAAGATTGCTCTGTTGAATGCAAAATAAGGTTTCCAGTTTAACAGATAGATTTGCATTAAGCCATCCACCCTCTTATATTCCAAGATGCTGGCTGTGGTCTTGGAAAAGACACCTTCTCCTGAGGATCTATGTAAGGAAATTGATGTGACAGGCAAGAGAGGACTCAAAGTTTTCTAGCACGGTGTCTGGGGAGATGGTGATGCATTCACTGAAGATGTGATTTACTAGAAAAATTGACTGCAAAAGATTTTAATGAGTCCAATTTGGGACATGTTAAGTTTGAAGTGACTTTGGAACCTATCAATTCTGCTGTCTAGAAGGCAATTGGCGAACAGAGCTCAGGAGTGAAGTCTGGGCTAAATTTAGGCACGCTCAGTGTATAGATGGAGATTTGAGTCTGTGAGTGGGTAAGATTTCTCAGGTTTCATATGTATGAAAAGTCAGGGACCAAAGATAGAATTGTATGAATTGCCAGAGGGCTGGGAGCCGAGGAAGAATACCAGTGAAGGAGGCTGTACAGCAATCAGTGAGATAGGGGACAGTTAGAATGTACTGGTGTTTCTGAAGAAGGACACAGAAGAAACTTTCAAATAAAAGGGAACTATCAACTGTGTGCAATGATAAAGAGAATTTATGGCTGGGCGCAGTGCCTGTAATCCCAGCACTTTGGGAAGCCTAGACACGAGGATCACTTGAGCCCAGTTTGAAACCAGCCTGGGCAACAAAGTGAGACCCCTGTCTCTACAAAAACTCAAAAAATTAGCCAGATGTGATGTCATGCACCTGTGGTCCCAGCTACATTGGAGGCTGAAGCAAGAGGATCGCTTGAGCCCAGGAGGTCAAGACTGAGTGAGTGAAGATCATGCCATTGCACTCCTGCGTGTGCGACAGAGTGAGACACTGTCTCAGAAAAAAGAGAGAATTTAAGTAGGGCGAAAGCTGAAAAGGGGTCACATGATAAAAAAAAATATAGTAAGTCATTTGGAATACTTTGAAAAGAAAAATAATTGTGTTTTATTTATGGAGTTTCTAGACAGTGTTTTCAAATGACAAAGTCAATTTTCCACTGTTAACCAACTCTAGAGATCACGCTAATTTTTCATGTACATCAAGCAATACAATCATACGAAAAAATGAAAGCTTGCTACTAGGTAATTAGGCATATGTCACATCATCATTTGAGCTGAATGGAGTCACCTGGCAAGCTTGATGCATGGAAAGACAGCTTGTATGGCTGAAACAGAGTGAGAAGAGAGGACAGATTTAAGAGATGGCATCAGATAGGACTTTGAGGAGAGAGTGCAGGTCTTGAAAAATGATTGTATGGACTAGGATTTCACTCTGAATGAGATGGGTAACTTAAGGAGATTTGGAGTAGAGGAATGACATGCTGTGACTTATGTTTTCACAGGATCACTCCAGATACACTGTTGAGAAAAAAGTATGGGGCAAGGGGAGATGAAAGCAGACAGACCAGTCTGGAGGCTACTGGGATCCAAAATCGACATAAGAGTTGCTTGGACTAGGGTGGTAACTGCAACTATGGAGATAAGAATTCAGATAGTAGATGTGTTTTGAAGGCAAAGCTCACAGAGAAAATACTAGAAAGAAATTAGAAACTGTGCATACACACATTTGTTTTTCCTAGGGCTTTTTTTTTTCTCTTTCAGTAAAAACCAGCTGATTGGAGATGGAAGCAATGTTGAGATGAATTGTTTTCCACACTGAAAGAAACACAACGTAGTTGGATGATAATGAGAAAACTGTAGTGGTAAGGAAAAACTTAAAACAGGGGCAAATGGCCAGAGCAATGTCCTTGAATAGATAAGAGGGGAAGGGAGCTATGCCAAGGGGAAGGAATGGCCCACTCCTGCTTAGCCCTCTGTACTCTGACCTGATACCTCCCAAACGCTTGAGTAGATCCCTTTTTAATGCTAATAACTCTGAAGGACGATCTATGTTAGTGGTTGTACTCTGAGTACTCACTGATGAAGAAAACACAGAATTATGACTTTTTTTTTTTTTTTTTTTTTTTTGAGATGGAGTTTTGCTCTTGTTGCCCAGGCTGTAGTGCAGTGGTGCGATCTTGGCTCAATGCAACCTCTGCCTCCTGGGTTCAAGCGATTCTCCTGCCTCAGCCTCCTGAGTAGCTGGGATTACAAGGGCCTGCCACTATGCCCAGCTCGACCTCCTGGGTTCAAGCTATCCCCTTGCTTCAGCCTCCAATATAGCTGGGACCACAGGTGCATGACATCACGTCTGGCTAATTTTTTGAGTTTTTGTAGAGACAGGGGTCTCACTTTGTTGCCCAGGCTGGTTTCAAACTGGGCTCAAGTGATCCTCGTGTCTAGGCTTCCCAAAGTGCTGGGATTACAGGCACCGTGCCCAGCCATAAATTCTCTTTATCATTGCACACAATCGATAGTTCCCTTTTATTTGAAAGTTTCTTCTGTGTTCTTCTTCAGAAACACCAGTACATTCTAAATGTCTCCTATCTCATTGATTGCTGTACAGCTATCAATGTATAGATATATAGCTCAGATATATATATATATATACACATATACATATATATATATATATAGAGAGAGAGAGAGAGAGAGAGAGAGCTGGGCATGGTGTTCCATATATACAGATATATATTCGTATTTTTAGTAGAGACGGGGTTTCACCATGTTGGTCAGGCTGGTCTCAAACACTTGACCTCAGGTGATCCACCTGCTTCGGCCTCCCAAAGTGCTGGGATTACAGGCATGAGCCACTGTGCCCAGCCTGACTTTATTATCAATACTAACAAGCATTAAATTACATTTAAGAAAAGTCATGCCATAGGCATTTTGTTATTGCGATTCAGACCATACCCAATGTCTGGTGCATATATAGACGAACATATCCCTTGAAACTCTAAAGATTTACGCCTACAGTTCACAATTTGGAAAGCTTGCTTTAGTAAAACTGCAAAGCCCTTGGTTTTCTGAATATGCCTGGGTTATTTTGTACATGCTGTTTCCTCCAGGAGGCCCTTTCATCTTACCCATCCTTAAGGGCATAGTATAGTTTCTCCTCCACTCAATCACAGTTAGACTTCACATTTTCCTTTGTGTTCCAATAACCATTTATTCTTTCTTTTTTTTTTTATTTTGAGACGGAGTCTCACTCTGTCACCCAGGCTGGAGTGCAGTGGCGTGATCTCGGCTCACTGCAAGCTCCACTTCCCGGGTTCACGCCATTCTCCTGCCTCAGCCTCCCGAGTAGCTGGGACTACAGGCGCCCACCACCACGCCTGGCTAATTTAACCATTTATTCTTGCACTTTGAAATACTCGTACTCCATTTATGTAATAATTGAATATACAACTTAAACCTTTGCACCCTTAAACACTAAATATATGTCATGTGCAAATACATATGTGTATACATATGTTTTCTCTTCTATCGTCTAAGGTTATTTCAGAATGAAACTATGTCGTGTTCATTTTTGTTTTCCAAGAGCGGATAGTTCAGACTAAATGGAACAGAAAAATGTGAGAGATTGGATTTATTTTGTGGTGTTCCAGAGGACAGAATTTAGATTAGTGGGCAAAGTGGAGAACAAGATAGACTTGGCTTAATAAAAGGAAAGACTGAATGACGTTTTGAAATTTTAAAAATGGGATAGACTGTTATTGAAGACAATGAGTAACTGAAACTAGCCAAGTAATTTTTCTCCCTACGACTATTTAAGTTCCTAGCACTATACCAAGTATATAACATATAGTATCACATTTAGTCTTTATAATGTTCTAACAAATAGAGGCATTTTAGTCATCCCGGTTTTACTTGAAATGGTCAAGCAACTTGGCTCAGTATGCAGCTTGTAAATGACAGTGCAGGAATTAGAACTTGAGTCTGGGTAATGTTCGGCTCTAGATATTTAACCTGAATGCCTTACTGTGTAGGAGGGATTCTCACGTTGGGTAGAAAGTAAAAGTTACAAAGGTTGCAAAGGAATATAAAATACTAAAAATATGCAAATGACCTAAGTAGCTTCCTATGCTTTGAGTATAGTTGAGCAGGCCTGCTTTCAACAAAAGAGGGGAGAGATAGGCCCTTGAAAGAGAGAGAAACCAGTCTATAGTGAGGGGCTCAAGATAAAAGTCTTTTACTTCTTTTTACCTCCATTTATTCTAAGATCGAAATTATCCTTGATTCAGGATGACAACGGGTCAAAGATCATTGATAACCATATTCTGATGAGATCAACATCCAGTGGGGCTTTGGGTAGCTTCGAAGACTGCTTCAAATGTTGAGAGGACACATGAGCCCTTGGTCACTGGGCATGACTCATAGACTATGTCATTAATATCACCACGATTCTCAGCATATGCCTGAAGTACAGCAAGCACTTTATTAATCTTATCTCCTTTCTCCTGAGTTATCTTTGAGTCCATACATATTCTGAAGTAGTTTTTTATTAGAATTAACATATAAAAGAATCGTTTTTTATTTGATAATGTATTTTCTATGAATATAAGAACTAATACTGTACATTTATATGGTGAGCCACTGATCTAGTTCTTCACAAAAGGAGAATGACATATTTTTGAAAATCTTTTATTCTTGATGTATTTATTCAAGAAAATATACAATTAAGTAGCTATATGGGACTAAGATGTTGAGCAAAAAAAAAAATCCTATATGAACTTTCTCATCATATTTCAAGATGCTTGCTCTTTCAGCAAATAATCTGACTTGACATTGAAAAGCTCGGAGGACTGAGGGAGGTATTACCATCTCATTCTATTGTTTCTGTTAGTTATTTTGATAATCCACTCAGCATAAGTGAAGAAAGCTTTATTCAAGTGAACATCAACTTCACTTTCCATTGAACTGTGACCTTAAAAAACCAATCTCTTAACTTCCTTTGGGGAGACATATGACTGACTGCCTTGTCAGCAAGCTCCTTTTCCTGAATCTAAGTTATTTCCTTTCCTACAGAGAAAAATTGCTGTTATCACTTCCAACTGTTTTAGTAATGGCCCTTTTCATGTACAGTAAATGCTTTTTTTTAAGTGCATGTCTCTTCCTTTTTGCTTATTAGCTCAAAATTTGTTTATCCTAAAGAAAAATGTAAGGATATAAGCACATTTCATGTTCTTTGGAAAAATCAGCATTTACACAGATTTCCGACACAAAAGACAGCTAAGAGTTCTCCAAAAAGTCTATTTTAAAACATACATTTCAAATATCTAAACACAAGAGAAGCATGGTCTAGTTAAATCCAGCATCACCCAAATACTTCCCAATTTCTTTATCTTATGAGTTTTTTTTTTTTCAGTTTTTATTCTATGTGGCTTTTCTCTAACACTTCACACTGGAACTGCTTCAGTCGGGCTGGACATTTCCTCTTTCCTTGGCTTTTGAGACACTGGTCCATCCTGATTTTTTTCTCTTGATATCTTTATCTCCAGCTTCTTCACTACCTCCTCTCCATCCTTTTTCAGTTCTTTAAGTGCTCTGTCCCAAGCTCCCTGCTCCCTTTACATACTCTAACTGGACATTCTCTCGTGCACTCACCTAGCTTCAAGCCTCCTCTATTCACTGATTGTTCCCTCATTTAGCCAGTCTGCTTTGAACTCCAGGCCCAAATGACTCCTGGGAAGCTCCTCCTAGATGTTCTTCATCACCTTAAAGTATTGCATCTCCAAATGAACTCATTCTCTTCTTCTCAGCCAGTTCTTCCTGTGTTTCCTATCTCAGCAAGAATATCTGCATATCTTACACGTCCAGACACCAAAGCTTAAAATCCCTTAGTCATTCTCAATTTAATTCTACTATTAAAGATTTCTCATCTCTGTTCCTTCTCTTCCTTCCTCATTGTTATATACTGAGTTCATGCACTCACCAGCTCTCCAGATCATGTCGTCTCCCAACTCCCTAGTTGCTCATCTATTTCATATTGATATTGAGACTTACTGTTAAAATGGTATTCCATGCATCATTATTTCACTTTAAAACCTTTAACAATTCTCCATTTTATATACAGAAAAATTCCAAACTCCTTAACCGGTTTGGAATTTCCCATTTTCAATTGGAATTTTCACTCCTTACCAGTTAAGGAGCTTGGAATTTGAATCAATTGATTTGGTGAGGCCCAGCCCTCACTATATTCTCACCACCCCGCTGACAGAGGCATAGGCATTAACTGCCTCACAATCTTTGTATCTTTTTGTCTTTGCTCATGCCATTATTATCTCTACTTGATATTATTTCCTCTATTTTTTTTTCCTGCCCGATGATCGATGCCATTCATTTTTTAAGAGCCCTTTCAAATGCCATCTCTTCTTTAAGTCTACCTTGCCTTCTCCAGCTTTGTATGTTCTCCCTCTGCCCTGACTGCCCTCAGCCCCTACCTTCACACTGGCATCCACAGTCCTGGATTTTAAATACTATACAGTAGGAAATGGCATTTAGAGAGCAGGGAATACATTTTCTTCTTCTCTGAATTATAAGAGTCTATCATTTTGTTCAACTTGTGGTAGGCATTTAGTTCTTATTTGCTAAATATGTTGAATTAATGGATGATGATGAAAAAATCTTAACAGCGGCCCAACTGAGGCCAAATACCTATTCTAAATATCCGTATGTTATCTGTATTTTTTTTTTTTTCTTCCAAGGAACTTTGTTTACCTTCCACATGTAAGAAGCTCTTAGTGGGACTTCTGAGGTTGGTAATTAGGACCAAGGCTGAGGACAGGAAAGTATTTAATATCTGAACTGACAGTCACCAGAGTCAGAGCCAAAGCTTCTTAAGAGGTGATGGATGCAGCAAACTGCTGCCAGCCTCCGTCTTCTATATAATAAGACTGGGAACAAGACAGAGAGGAGCAGATCCAAGGGTCATTAGAATGCGGTGCGTTTGAGATAAGAGGAAATTCCCTGCCTTCCCCAAGGGAGGGAAGGGAAATTAGAGTACCTGGTCTTTCTTCCTAAAACCTCCTGAGAGGCTCTAAGAGACTCATTTACAAAGGCTGTCATATAATTTAGTTACCTAATTGGACATCTGCTGAGGAAAAGGACTTGTGGATTTACCTCTTCATCATAGGAGCAGGGGAGAACAGTCTTGGAGAGAGAAGAGATGTAGGGGTAGTGTGGATTCACCCAGTTTCAGAGCCAAGACAGGTGATGCCTGAGGTTCAAGTGGATGCTACTTTGAATGTAGCTGGGCTTGTTCAACCTCCTTTCCAAGACAGATTCCCGGCAACACGAGGCCATGCACTATATGGCCAGCAGTGAGAGCTCAGGGGCTTGAAAAAGTTGGCTTAAAATCACTGAAGCTCCAAAAACTCATACCTTTATTCCCCAGAGCTAGAATTTGAAGGCCTGCCTTGCAGATGATATCAACAGCTAGGCTGTGCTGGCCAGAAAAACAGCAGGAACCAAGAGGGAAAGGTTATGATAGCAGCCTGCTAGCATTACACTCTTTCCTTTCCCTGTTCTACCTCTCAGCTCGATACCATGAAGAGGAATACAACAAGGGGAATGCAAGGTGATGGTGTACCTGAGGCAGACTCCTAATTAGAGAGGGTGCCCGTTCCTACTTGCACTGGGTAAAGTGGAAGAGGAAAGAAGGGGAGAATAAACTAATGTTTGATGTTTTAAATTGGACTAAGCCTTAATATCAGAAAGCAACTGGAAACTATGGAGCTACCTTAGATGCCAGAGGAGAATGAAGTGTTGGTATAAAATAATTGGAAAAGAATGATTTAGAAATACAAAGCCTTCTTATTTCTGATTAAGTTAATACTGCTTAATAAATGAGATGTTTATGTAAAATTATTGAAATTCATTGAACGTCTGCAAAGAAAGAACAATTTCAACCCCAGACTACTATCAATGCAAACCTTCCATTACTGATTTATTGCTGGATCCGACAGGTAATATCTCATTCACTACATCTCTAATGAAGTCTCTGGAGATCAGGGTCCCCTTGGAGGACACACAGAATGCACAGTCTTATTCTAATTAAAAAGAGTTCATTGTGTAAAGAAGAAACAAACATGTTAGCCCCAAGAGACATGTTAGCCCTGCTTGGGCCACAGTTCAGAATGAGTACCTAGCCAGTTACAAGATGCTTCAGAACTTTCTGTATCCAGTGACAGCCCAGCTGATAAGTATATCAGAAAGGATATTACTGTAAGCTAGTCATATTTGAAAATAGCTGATATGTTAGCTCTTTTTTATTGAGAGCAGATATACAAAGTATTTCATGATGCTATAGGATATTAACAATTATTTCTCTCAAAACTCTTCTGAGGGAAGACTCGGCTATTATTGAATGAGTTCTGTTGAATTCTCTCTGTTCCCTCAATTCTTCTACCTCCACTGCATAAATATATATTGCATACTGGCCAAGTGCAATGACTCACACCTGTAATCCCAGTACTGGGAGGCCGAGATGGGCAGATCACCGGAGGTCAAGAGTTCGAGACCAGCCTGTCCAACACGGTGAAATCCCGTCTCTACTAATAATACAAAAATGAGCCTGGCATGGTGGCAGGCACCTGTAATCTCAGTTACTCAGGAGGCTGAAGCAGGAGAATCGCTTGAACCTGGGAGGCGGAGGTTGCAGTGAGCCAAAATTGTGCCATTGCACTCCATCCTGGGCAACAGAGTGAGACTCCATCTCAAAAAAAAAAAAAAAAAAAAGACGTATATTGCATACTGTATTCTTTGCTTGCTGACTCTGTTACTGCCAGCCCTCTATCAGTTTCAGTCTATTTTCTGGACAATTTATTGCCTTCTCATATCCTTTTCCCCATAATATCTCTGAGAATCTGAAATGCTTTGCTGTAATGAAACTCCTTAGCCCATATAATATCAGCCTTTAAGGTGATTGTATTGCTTATACACCTGGTCTGAGAGATCATTGATTTTCAAATTCTTCCTTGAAAATCGTCTCTTCTGTTCTTGAATCCCCTATGTCCCAATCAATTCCCCATGAAGTCCATCTTTTCCAGGACTCAATTCACCTGAACTTCAGCATTCTCTTTGGCCAGCCTTCCCTGGAAGTCTACTTAGGGGGCATAGTTGACAATAATGTATATACAGCAGCCACAGAAATGTCTATGAGAGATATCAATATTTTTCAGATTTTAACTTCTGAAGTTCCTACAGGTAAGTGTTTTGTTGATGCTAGAAGAAAACAAGTTATAAGAGGTGTGTGAGCTTGATAATTGCTTAAGATGTTAATAGTCATTTAATCCTTAACTTGGTGGGAATCACATTGTGTGGCTGTAATGTAGGACTTCAAAACAAACCATCAGAAGTGTAAAGACTGGTTTTAATAAGCAGAGAGTTTGGCCTGCCTACTTTCCTCCCCCTCAATTTTTAAATGGGCCCAAGCAATTTGAAAACCAGAATGTACTAAACAGATAAGTTGATGTTTGTGAAACAGATATGTTGATGGCAGCATCAACATATCTTATGTGGTAAAGGGAGCTAAGTTTTTATGAGGCTATTATAATGGCTCTTTTATATACCCTGGAAATCCCATTTTAGACAACCATTTCCATCAGAGACTTCGGGATTGCAATAGGTAGTATGAGATATGTTACATTACGTGGTGATCGAAGTATCATGAAATACTCTTATGCTCTGCAGGCTTTTTATACAAATATGGCATGTATACAGGCAACTTATACAAATATCTAAGGCTTTTTCCTTCTGATTAAAAATTGTTTACTCTGGAATTTAACATTTATTTAATAACGTTTTAAAATAACACGAAGGGGTTTGCGTTAAAATAAGACGTATAAAAGCTGCTAGTATCTGTCAATATTTCATTCTTTAAGTATTCCCTGGTCCCGAAAATGAAATGTTGAGAACGTTGACAATTTCATTTCACAGGAAGAAACCACATAGTTTCTTTATCATAACAGCTCCCCCTGCTGATACAAAGTGAGAGCTTCGTAACTTCCTTTCAACTTTTCAGGGACTCTGGAAACATGGCTGGAAAACATTATTCTCAACTGAACCGTAGCCAGGAAAGTCTCAGGAGGGAATTCTTTCCTGACATAAAATTAAACCTGGCTTCAGCATATCTTAGGGGGGAAAAAGAAGGAAAACTTACTGTCGATGTTTCTTGGCTTGGCTTGCTTTCTGTTCTTAAAGCAACATTATTTTTAAAATCTGCAACAAAGCTTGTCATCTGCCAAGTCAGCCCAAGTCTCCTAGCCTCTCCAGTTAGGTTTCTGTGCCTTGTTGCCCTTTTATGTCCCTTGACTCCACTCAGACTGTTACCATGAATGGATGCCTTTTAACTTACCTGCAGTAGGAGCAAGTAGATGTCACTCTGTTTCCCATGGAAGGGAACCTGGTGCTAAAAGTCCCACAAAGCTCCAGGCATGGTGGCACCTGTGTGGTGATGGAGCTTCCAGGCCACAGATTATATGACCTGGTGCTACTGGCAAGAAAGTAGTAGGTTATTTATTCACCTGAGGGCTTATGCTGTTAGAATCATTGAGTTAAAAAAAAAAAAAGAATTGCCTCTACCAGGGCACTTGTAGGTGAAAGATTTCTTATATTGCATGCATACTTGCCAAAGCAGTGCTGGTTTCTGGTCACCCCCTTCTCTGGCATGACATTCTTTTCTGTTTCCATCAAATGCAAAGACTTAGAGCTTATTTATGGGTGTGAAAGGACTACGGCAAGAGAACTGATCCCTCCCCACTGCAAGGAGCTTTATAGGATGCAGAAGTGGTCATTGTAGGTCTTTGGAAGTTCAGGCATTGGCGCCTGGCTCTGAAATTATTACCCTCATTAAAATGCTTTTCTAGGATTATGGAATGCTACGTTTGGTATCACATAGTCAATATGAACCCTGTGCAGACAGGTAAACAACACATCACACACTCCATATACCTTGCTAAAAAACACCCAGCAGAGACCCTGACAAACTTCAGCACATGCCTGTGTGATCTGATTTAAAATCTGCTCCTAGCAAGTTGCACTGCTTAAGAAAACATATCTTCTTCAATTAGCCTATATAGTAGATGGCTTTTTGGAAGCTAAAGTGTTATATATCTAAGACATTAACTTAAAATGTAAATATTTCAGGAAAGGAGAATAAAGTTAACATTTACACTGAATTATATTTTTAGAGGGAACACCTAGCCACTTACCTAGCCAGGAGGCCCTGATGATAGAGCTCACATTATTGATCGGGAGTGCAGTGCTTTGAGGAAGATGGGCTGAAGGGAAAGGTCAGGCTGGGGACAGTGGGTGTTACCTGGGAGGCCCTGTGCAGCTTTGCGAGTGAGAGACCCGGGTATACTGGAGACAAAATGAAGGCACTGTGGGATAGGACTTTGTCAATGAGGATGGAAATTGTAGGTTCCTGTGAATAGACAGATGCAAAGAAGAGAGTGGGCTCCAAAGATAAATTCAACTTCTCTTTCACAGTTTTCTGAGAGCAGACTTGAGAATTGGCCCTGCCTTCCCCAATATGCAGATACTTGTAAAGTGATTCAATTGTGCTTAGTCTTAACATGTTATTTTCTTCCCCATTTGCTTATGAAGATTTTATAATAAAGACTGGAATGTTAGGTTCCTGGGGAAAGGGTACAAATAAGTTCCTGCTGTCAGTGCTTTAGCCAGGCCTGCCATCATCTTCTGCCTGAACCACGTAGTAGTAGTATTCTTTCCACTTTCACATTCCAGATTCATCTCTATGTCAAAAGACAACCGCGATGGTGTCACCGGCCTACTAAAAAATATCAAGTGTTCACATTGGTCAACTTCTTACTGGTGGTAGATTGATTTATAGTTACTAATGATTTAGCCCTCTTCCCTAAGAGGAGAATATATCCCCATCCATCACAATGTGACTTTTCTATTGGCAGGTGTATTCTTTTGATGTCAGGCTTGGCCAT
Organism: Homo sapiens; assembly: GCF_000001405.40. Taxonomy (NCBI): domain Eukaryota; kingdom Metazoa; phylum Chordata; class Mammalia; order Primates; family Hominidae; genus Homo; species Homo sapiens. The sequence goes on from NC_000005.10 coordinate 39,549,726, forward strand.
GTGGCCAGTGGATTATGAGCAGATATGACATATGGCTTGTTTCCAGCAGAAGTTTCAAAAACCAGCCCTTTTCCTGTATTTCTGCCAGTCCTTTTCCTTAGGAAACCATGTTTCCCAAATCAGGGACTGCTCCTTCAGCCCGGGTCACAGGCTAAGATGAGAAGTCACATGAAACAGAATCATAGCAGCTGATCCATACTCACCAACATATAATACAAATGAGAAAAAAATATCTTTTGTCATAAACCACTGAGATTTCAGGTTTACTTATTATGATAGCAAAATTGACTAATATAAATCTCCCTCCATAGTCCATCCCCAACCTACTTATCTAGACTTATATGGAACTACAACTGCACATGTACCCTACACTCCAGCCAATCTGGAAGCATTTCTATTACCCCTCCTTCATGTTTCTGCTTTTATTATTCTCCTAGCTGAAATTGCTCCTCCCCGATATTCAATAGACCCCACTTCAGAGATCTTTCCAGCTAGCTCAAAATCTATCTCATACATAAAATCTTTCTGAATGCTTGGTTTGAAATAACATTTTCTTCCTCTGAATTTCTCCAGGCATCCCATGTTTATACCAGCTCTCATTCTATTTGTTAATAATAATAAACAATAGTTTTTATTGAGAACTTATTACATATCAGATGTTGGTTTTACCTATTGTGTTACTTTGGATACATCTTGATGGGACAAAATGAAAAAAAAATGTATTAGGGTTGGATGAAAGCCTGTGGAGAATAAAACAGGAGGGAGTAGCAGAAAGTGTCAGGATGCTTCATACCACAGTGATGGTCTGACACCTGTGGCAGAAGAGAGGGAAGGAAGGAGGATTAGGTAGAAAGAGTCTCCAGCTGCAATGCAATTTCAAGGAATGTTCAGACAAGCCAATGGGGAATCTTCAAGCCAAAGCCATCTTTTGAGGGGCCCCATATCTCACAGCAGCGGTCTGCATTGGTAGCCCCACTATGTTTGATCATTGGCCATGAGCAGCCCTGTGGGAATATGATGGCGAAAAGAACAGTAGTTGGGGTTGTTAATCAATTATGCTCTCACAGCATGGCCACCACACCTACATTAGTTCATTAAATCTTCACAAAAATCCTATGAGGTCAGGACTATTATCATTCTCGTTTTAAAGTAAGGAAACTGAGACCTAGAGAGATTAAGTGACTTTGTTACCATCACTCAGGTAGTAATGGGATAGAGCCAGGGTCCATCCTCTGAACTGTCATGTGACTTTCAAATCGGCATTGGTTGAGTGTATGAATAAGTAAGCATACTATGGTGTTGCTGTGAGAAGGTGAAAATCTGAGATGACAATAATTAATGCCACTCTGTTTTTGTTGGACTCAGAAATTGACAATCTTTTCTGTAGTTCTGGAAGATTCCATGTCTCATAGGAATGGCCTGCATTGCACACAAGTTCTTTTTCTATCTGTGGGCCAAGGAATAGAACTGATTTTTTTTTCCAGATGACTACTATTTATTGTTCTGTTAAAATATTCTAAAATATTTTATGAATAAAATAGTTCATTAGGAGAGCTTCCTAACACCCTAAAGAAACAAGGCTCTCATATATTTTTTTCTATAATCCTTCAGCCATTATTCCAGTTCTATTTCCTGCTGAGTCTAATAGATGATTTGTTTCTAATCATACAGTCGGTCACATTATGCCTATTCTTTTGGTTCTGTAAAGGCATATCCCATTTTCTCCTAAGAAAGTCTTCTTTTTTGGCCAGGTGCAGTGGCTCACACCTGTAATACCAGCACTTTGGGATGCTGAGGTGGGTGGATCATGAGGTCAAGAGATCAAGACCGTCCTGGCCAACACGGTGAAACCCTGTCTCTACTAAAAATACAAAAATTAGCTGGGTGTGGTGGCATACGCCTGTAGTCCCAGCTACTTGGGAGGCTGAGGCAGGAGAATTGCTTGAACCCAGGAGGCGGAGGTTGCAGTGAACTGAGACTGAGTCACTGCACTCCAGCCTGGTGACAGAGTAAGACTCTGTCTCAAAAAAAAAAAAAGATTTTCTTTTTTTTTTCTTACTCTGTAGTGAGAAGTTGTGAATGGATTTACTTAGAGAAGTAAATAAATAGTTAATATTTTGAAAGGAGACTTAAACCAGTCTCCTGTCCCCCAAAAGCACACACACACACACACACACACACACACACACACACACGTACCAGTGGGGGTACAGTGGTACCAATGCAGACCATAACTGTGAGATATGGGGCCCATCAAAAGATGGCTTTGACTTGAAGATTCCCCATTTACTTGGCTGAACATTCCTTGGAATTGCAGTGTAGCCTGAGACTCTTCCTACATCCTCCTTCCTTTCCTCTCACATATATATGTCATGTGTGTGTGTGTGTAGGGAATCAATACTCAAGATGGGCTTCTTTCTACTACTGTGGATGGTGTTTATGTAAAATGCTGGCATGTGGTGAGATCAAAAGACTTTCCAGGGTGAATATAACCTGCAAGAATCTTCTGCAATGGAAAACTAAAAGACACGAACAAACAAGCAGCCATACCTCAAACCCTTTATCATTCCTTTCATTAATCACGCTACTCCTGCCCACAGTATGTGGAATTATACTTTGTAGCTCCAGGTGAAAACCTGCCCTGGACATTGTGGTGGCTGTGGGATCAACTCTGTATCTTAGGAGCAATTGACTGGTACAACAAACAACCATAGTTAATGGACCTGTAATTAAAAAGCATTTCCCTCCCCCACCACTGCTACCTTAAGATTAATTCATTGGAGGATGATTTTTTTTCTGCCTTTGGAAGAGAACTCTGTCAGTCATCATGACATATTTGGTCATTCTTAGGTTTAAGAGACTCCAAATTGCTTGCTATAAAACACAGTCTTGATTTGCATTTCTCTGATGGCCAGTGATGATGAGCATTTTTTCATGTGTTTTTTGGCTGCATAAATGTCTTCTTTTGAGAAGTGTCTGTTCATATCCTTCACCCACTTTTTGATGGGGTTGTTTGTTTTTTCTTGTAAATTTGTTTGAGTTCATTGTAGATTCTGGATATTAGCCCTTTGTCAGATGAGTAGGTTGCAAAAATTTTCTCCCATTCTGTAGGTTGCCTGTTCACTCTGATGGTAGTTTCTTTTGCTGTGCAGAAGCTCTTTAGTTTAGTTAGATCCCATTTGTCAATTTTGGCTTTTGTTGCCATTGCTTTTTGTGTTTTAGACATGAAGTCCTTGCCCATTCCTATGTCCTGAATGGTATTGCCTAGGTTTTCTTCTAGGGTTTTTATGGTTTTAGGTCTAACATGTAAGTCTTTAATCCATCTTGAATTAATTTTTGTATAAGGTGTAAGGAAGGGATCCAATTTCAGCTTTCTACATATGGCTAGCCAGTTTTCCCAGCAGCATTTATTAAATAGGGAATCCTTTCCCCATTGCTTGTTTTTGTCAGGTTTGTCAAAGATCAGATAGTTGTAGATATGCAGCATTATTTTTGAGGGCTCTGTTCTGTTCCATTGGTCTATATCTCTGTTTTGGTACCAGTACCATGCTGTTTTGGTTACTGTAGCCTTGTAGTATAAGGATTATAAATCATGCTGCTATAAAGACACATGCACATGTATGTTTATTGCGGCACTATTCACAATAGCAAAAACTTGGAACCAACCCAAATGTCCAACAAGGATAGACTGGGTTAAGAAAATATGGCACATATACACCATGGAATACTATGCAGCCATAAAAAATGATGAGTTCATGTCCTTTGTGGGGACATGGATGAAGCTGGAAACCATCATTCTCAGCAAACTACCGCAAGGACAAAAAAACAAACACCGCATGTTCTCACTCATACGTGGGAATTGAACAATGAGAACACATGGACACAGGAAGGGGAACATCACATACCAGGGACTGTTGTGGGGTAGGGGGAAGGGGGAGGGATAGCATTAGGAGATATAACTAATGCTAAATGATGAGTTAATGGGTGCATCACACCAACATGGCACGTGCATACATATGTAACAAACCTGCATGTTGTGCACATGTACCCTAAAACTTAAAGTATAATAATAATAAAATTTTAAAAAAAACACAGTCTTACTTCCGAAATTTGGATATTCAACCATAGTGTCTTAAATAACACTGTAAGTGGCATTCAGAAAAAAAGATCTGCCTCGCACCTGTAAGAGCTGGCACTGGACAAGTCTGTCTTTGGTAAAGCGGGTGTCATGGGCTTCTTGCCAACTTTTCTTGCCACTCACCTTTCTGACTTCAGGGCTGAAGAAGGGAGAGGCAAGGGAAAGGCAAGGCAGATACAAGAAAGAGAAACAGTCTACTTGCCATGCCTGTAGTTGGCATCTTGCTCTCACAGCCTTGCAGATGATGGTCTTCCAAGACTCCCAACCTGTGTAGCCCCTCAGCCAATAACAGACAACTCTCCTGATGGTGCCTGGGGCTGGCCTTTGGCTCATTGCTCTGATCAGTCCTCAGATTCTGCTTTCCCAGTAATTCATTTTACACAGATATCCTGTCCTGATCTCCATGTCTTCCAGCGGCTTTTAGACAAATCTTTGGAATCTCATATAAAAGGGCTTCAGGCTGGCATTCCTTCCTCGGAGCCTCCACCTGGCCCCAGGCATCGCGGATCTTGCCTTGCAGTTGGAGGAATATGAAGTTGTTTTCTTGTTGCAGCTCTCTCTGCTCTCACAGAACACCAGAGGGTCTCTTGCTTCGGTCTGGAGCAGAGAAACTTCCTGAACTCCAAGCAACAAATGCACATTTTCTGAGTGGGCTCCTTTGAAATCCCTCTCCCTAGACTCAAAGTGAGGAGCCAGGTCTTAACCTCAACCTCTCCTTTGAGTGGAGGGTAGAACTCACACTATAGCTTCCAACCAAAGCTTTCTTAGAAACCTTCCTTTACATGTCCAGTGTGGGGAAGCTTTAGGATCCTTGAAGTGGGTGAGAGGCCCAAAGTCATGTAATTGATTCTGAGTGATTTCCTTTGAAATTTGTGTCTTAATTTTAGGCATCTCCACTCACTTGATATCTGACATTTTTTTAATATGGCATTTTACTTGGATCTTCCATTTAATATTGTGTATCATCTCCTTCAATATTTTCTGCTGCTTTTAGGCTCTTCTGTGCAAATGTAATTTTTTAAAATGCTATGTATTCTACCAAGTATGTAAAATGTGTCATCTCCCTCAGGCTTAGCCTTCCTTCACCCTCCTCATCTCACTTTTTTTGTTTATTTGAGGCAGAGTCTCACTCTGTCACCCAGGCTGCAGTGCAGCGGCATGATCTTGGCTCAGTGCAATCTCCACTTGCTGGGTTCAAATGATTCTCCTGCCTCAGCCTCCTGAGTAGCTGGGATTATAGGCGCCCGCCACCATGCCTGGCTAATTTTTGTACTTTTCGTAGAGATGGGGTTTCGCCATGTTGGCCAGCCTGGTCTTGAACTCCTGACCTCAGGTGAGCCGCCTGCCTTGGCCTCCCAAAGTGCTGGGATTACAGGCATTAGCCACCACCCGCCAGGCCCCTCATCTCTTTTTGACATCTGGTTCTGGTGCTTCCCACACCCTCCCACTCTCCATCCTATTTCAGATTTGGGGCTTGCACTCCTTAGAGCCTTACCCTTTGCTAATGTAATGACTGCTGCAAATGCATTGCAATTGTGTTCTTCCACACTGCACTGGGGCATTTTAATACGCAACCAACAGAAAGTGATGACTTGACTCAGTAATTTTCTAAATTTGTGGATAGTTTTTTATTGTTATTCTTTTTCTTGGCCTTTTGTTTTACTTTTTCGGAAAACTCCTTTTATGAACTAAATATTTCTATCCATGTGTTAGTAAAGATTTTAAACAAAAAACAATGCATAACTGGAGATATAACTACAGTGGAATTCTGGAGACCACCTATCAGCTTCTTTGGTAGTCCCTTAGGCACCAATAAAAAAAATCCTGGGACTTTGATAAGCACTTTGAAAATCCTTGCTTTAGAACAAAAGGAAACTTCTAAAATGGGAGCAAAGCATGGAGGAGTGATTTCAGGAAAGGATGTGAGTACTATAATCCTTCAGAAATCATAACAGTGGCCAGGCATGGTGACACTCACCTGGAGTCTCACCAGCTGTGGGAGGCCGAGTTGGGGGATCACTTGAGCCCAGGAGTTGGAGGCTGCCGTTAGTCTAGGTCTAGGTCATGCCACTGCACTCTAGCCTGCTGAGACAGAAAGACCCTGTCCCTGGCAGCTGCCTCCTTAACGTGACAATGAGTGAATACTAATGGCCACATATCTGATTCCTGTTCCTGTCTTGCACAATCAGTATCTAAATGACCGCCTCTGGGTGAGACCTCAGTGTGCCTTGGAATTTGTTTCATTTCTCTAAAACCTAAAACAGAACTCTGATACAGAATCCCTGTGAAGAAACTCACAAAGTTATGACCCCTTTTTCTTTAAAACTACAAAACAAAAACAAACAGCTCTAAACATTTTATTCTGTGGATATGATGTTTGTGGCATTTGGGTGCCATTTCTTAAAACTCTAAACCATATATGCACTGCTGAGACTTTAACAGAATAATAATGCTCCTGGCCTTTTGAACTTTGACTGCCAGCCACTATGTTATTGCTTTGAGTTTTCAAAAGGAGAGCCAAAATTTCCCTTTACTCTTTCTATGTCGATTTTCACCTGTAAGTGTATTAACGCTCTGTGATAGTGACTTTGCCTGAGCAATATAGAAGAATGGACCTTACCCCCCCTTTTTTTTTTTTTTGAGATGGAGTCTCGCTCAACTGCCCAGGATGGAGTGGTGTGATCTCGGCTCACTGCAACCACCATCTCCCGGGTTCAAGTGATTCTCCCGTCTCAGCCTCCCGAGTAGCTGGGATTACAGTCACCCGCCATCATGCCTAGCTAATTTTTTGTATTTTACTAGAGACAGGGTTTCACCATGTTGTCCAGGCTGATCTGTAACCCCTGACCGCAGGTGATCCGCCCGCCTTGGCCTCCCAAAGTGCTGGGATTACAGGCTCGAACCACCTTACTCTTTAACTGCTCCATTGCCAGCCGAGTGAGTATTAATATTTCAGCGTTCTCATACATATTCAGATTTCTTGGCCAGGCATGTGGAGTAAATCAAATGGTGGCTACTTCGTGAGGAATTGGCAGGATGCCTCTACTTTTTGGGTGAGCGTAAGAATTATGAAGAACAGAGGGGAAAAGATTCGTAAGTAACAGCAGAAAAAGAAAACGGTCTCTCTTTCTCTGCCCTTATCTTCTTCCGATTGGTGACCCCATTAGAGAATGTATGTGCTCTGTGGAACTCTTAGGACTGCACAGCAAGTAAAGTATCCTAGCAAGATATTGACACACCAGGCATGATTAAGGTCTGAACGTCCTGGACCCTCAAAGATTTCAGGCTGATTATTTTGCATTGCCTGAACTTTATCCCTGAAGGTACTATTAATAAATCCCTATCTGAGGTGGGGGGCAGGTGAGGCAAGAAGTCTTGCTTGAGGATCTGGAGTGCTTTTCTTAGAGTTTGTTGACTACAGAAATAACACATGCTCAGCGTGAGCTGCAGGAAAATCTCTCAGGAGCAACCTGTTGTGATTCACCTCGTTTGGACATTGGGAGTGGCAAGAACCTTCTATAATAATTGGAAAACATTGTTCAAAATAATTACTACTTTTTGAAATTAGCCATTTTTACTTAAAATGTATTTCAAGAGAATCCTAGACTGAAGGGTTGAAATCTAATAATTAACATCTAGTAATTAATATCTTGAAATCAGAAGGGGCGGAATCAAAGCTGTATCAACCAGGGTGTTAGCCTGCCTCTTCCGTGAACACTCCTGACCACTCTGGCTCTTTTCTCTCTTTGATATTTTTATTTACACATACAGCTTGGCATATCAGTATGTATTCTCTTACACAGCAAATGATTGTTTTACAGTTCTGTTTTAACTCTCCAACTACATATTCTCAGAGAATGAGATTATGGGTTTTATTTTTAATACTCTATATAGCACTTCCTGGCTTAGTGCTGGGCACAGGCAGGTCCTCAGAAAATCTTGGTTTGTTGATTATCGCTTGACAAATGTCACATGCATTCAAGAGTCTGATGGCTACACCTTGGTCAGCTTCTGTCAAACCCATATTGACCAGGTTGACCACAGAGGCAAATTAGCACGCAATGTGCATGGACGCTCAGGAAGCTGTTGTCAGTTCTATTGTATTCTTGGTAAATAAGTATAACCTGTTCAAAATGCTTAAACCTAACATGTATATTAAATATAACTATAATTGTTCCTTTTTGCCAATGATAAAAAAAATATTTTTGTGCCTACAATATTCTGATTACAATATAACATAAAAGTTTTTAAACACAGACTTTGGAACATTCACACCCTGGCTCTGCTATTTATTGGTTGTGACACTGAGAAATTCTTAAACTCTAGGCTTTAAAAAAATCTCTAAAATGGTGATAATGATAGGGTTAGAGTAAGCATCAAATGAGCTAATGCTTATGAAATGCTTAGCATATAAGAAAAAATTAAAATTATTTTAAATATATTTCAAATTTATGTATTTATAACTTTATAACTCCTGTGACTATAGTTACAATTGATTAGAATTAATTTTGTTTTGCAATTTAGTGAAACAATTAGGAGTACAGGCTTTGAAGGCAGACAAACCTGGGTTTAAATCCTGAGTTTGTCCTTCTGTGTGAATACAGGATTACCTTTCTTTTCTTGTTAGTAAAATGGGGATTATACCCATATCAGGAGTGGAGAGGGCTAATGAGCCAGCATTCTCATTAGCAGGGTCCCAGTGGAAAACGATGACACACTTGAGGAGAGTTTAAGAAAGGGGTGACACAAAGTTGTGGGTAGGTAGTAGAGGAAGCAGCAGAACGGCCAGTATTGTAATAAAGCCACACACTTTCTCCCATCCCCTGCTCCTCTATGCTGGAAGGGATGAGTGGAAAGAATGATGACCGGAATCTGGAAGGAGAGAGTGGTGTGGAATAGAGAATGAGGGAGCCACTGGATGCAGTCCACAGTGATCAGTATTTCTGGGCACAGAGTGGAAGGAAAGGGGCAGGATGAAGGGTGGATATGGAGAGGAACTGGAAAGTACCCAGCACCAAAATGATTAGCAAAGTACCTGGCATAGTATGCTCAATAAATGATGGTGGCTATTAAATAGAGTAGGATATGTAATGCTTATGATCTTGAAACTATAACTGGTTTTATTTTATACCCCAAGAAATCAAAAGAATATTTGCGGTTATATGTCTAGTGGAATCAGTGTGATTAAAATATTGGTTCTTGCCAATTTAGTGTTCATTACAGTCCTCTCCTAAGTACCTGGTGCTCTGGGGGCAGGAGAACTGTTTCCAGATCCTCAGCAAACATGCCTCTCTTGTGACAAGAGTATAAATATGCTATGTGATGAAGAACTTCACTGGCTATGATAAAGGACTCTGACTTGCTCAATTTCCAACCATGCTACCTGAATATTCCTTGCCAAGAAATAAAATGGCCATTGTATAAAAATGGTCTTCTAAGTGCTGGCATACCCCAAGACTCCATCTTCTGTCCTTTTCCTCCTCTCTGTCTAAACTCCAGTCTTGGGTAATCTCATCTAGTCCCATGGATTTAAGTATCATTTATGAGCAGATGACACCATGCTTAGAGTCTAGCCTGAGCATAATATTAATATATCCAATGGCCTGCATACCACCTCCATTTGGCTGTTAAAAGACATCTTAAACTCAATTCCCATATCCATTTACTCCATCCATATTGTCCCACAAAAAAAAAGAAATGTTGCACCTACATAATCATTCCATCTCATCTAATGTCATCCAAGCATTTGTCTAGATGCTTAACTTTAAACCTCACATTCATTCTTGACTCTTCTCTTTCTCTCACACTTCCCTTACTGTCTCTCAGGCCAATTCTGTTGGCTCTGTCTTCAAAACACAGTTACACTTTTCACCACCTCTACAACTGCAGCCCTGGTCGGTAGTCATCATCATCTCTAAATTGGAATAATCTGGATTCAGACTCGAATTGGTCTTCCTACTGCCACAGTTTCTCCTCTGCCACACCATCGTCATATTTTCTGCATGGAAGATATTTATAATATCAGTCAGATCATATTACTTCTCTGCTCAAAACTTTAAGTTGCTTCTCAACTCATTGCAAATAAAAATTAAATTCTTGCCATGTCCTGTGAAGTCCCTACATGATCTGTGCCCTCAATCCCACTCTCAACTGCCTGACATCATCTCATATTTCTCCACCCTCAATTACTATGTTCCAGCCTCACGGGGCTTCCTTGCTGTTCCAGGAATATGCTAAGTATTCTCTCATCACAGGCAGGTCATTTGCATTTGCTCTTTCCTTAGCCTGATACTCTCTTCTCTTCCTTCAGATATCCTGACTATTCATACATTTTCATAGGGTTCTGCTCAATTCCCTTGCTCAGTGAGGCCTTCCCTGATCATGCATATGAAATAACACACTCACTTCCCTCTTTATTCTGCTTTCCTGCTTAATTTTTCTCCACAATAATATCATCGCCATATAAATATTTATACTCATTTCTTTGTATTTATTCTCCTTTCTCTAATATACAAGCTATGGAAGATCAGAAACTATATTTGTTATATTTGGTGCTATCTTCTCACAGCTAGAACAATGGCGAATTAACTCATCTCTCAGAATTCTTAGGACAGTTAACAGTTGAGAGTCCACTGAGACTTTCTGGTTTGTCTAACATAAAATATGAATAATCAGGGATTCTGAACTTGGTTGTTAAATACTTATTTTGTTTTTTTGCCAATAAAATATTAATAAAAATGTAGTTTTAAGTTGTTTTTGTCACTAAAGAAAATATATTTTCATATAGAAATATCTTTGTCACATATAAGTTTTAATATACAAAGATTAAGACCACGAATATTTCTATGAAATGATGTAACGTTTGTGAAATTGTCTGTCCTGGGTCTCAGAACACTAACAGTTGTTAGTTTTCTTCCTGCCACCCTTCTGGAGGCAGAGGAACTCTTGTTGTTCCTGGACTTGGGAACAGAGTAGGCATTTGATAAAAGCTGTTACTACATTTACACAGCTTTTCCAATTCTATTCAGCAGAAGCCATGTGGGCGATATGTAAGAACAGGAATGCTGCCATGAAGACATATGGATGATTTCTGCAGATATGCCAAGTGTCCCTCATTTATTCCTATATAAATAATTCCTAGCATATATTCCCAAGAACCAGAGTTCTTATGATGACATAATGTCGTATTTTCCAAACTGTTCTCCAAAGGAATACCTGCATCCACAAAATATTAATTGAAGTCCCACAAAGGAAATATTCCATGGTCAAATAAATTTGAAGACTGGGTGAAGTAAGGCTAAATAGATTCCAAACTGTATGTCATTTTTGTGCCTTTTGTATAATAGCCTGTGTTGTGTGTCTCCTGCAGAGAAGTCATACATATAGGATTTTTTGAAACCTACTTCATTACAGAACTTATAAACCCTCAAGTTCCATTGAACACACTTTGGAATACCTATTATAGCTTGATTTAATTTTTATATCATCCTCTGAATTGGTAGGAAAAATGTTATTATTCCCATTTTACAGATAAGACAAATGAAACTCTCATCATAATAATTGTTCTTCTTCATGGCTGGCAAAGGGATAGAAGGAGTTAAACTAAGATCTTTTGTCGAGATTTTTAATTTTCATTCCATTGCACCATATTGCTATTTATATTCCCTAGGGTTGCTGTAACAAGTTACCACAAGTTGAGTTGCTTAAACAAAGACATTGATTATCTCAGTTCTGGAGGTTCTGAGAGAGACTCTATTCCATGCCCCTTTCCTTGCTCCTAGTGGCTGCCAGCAATTCCTGGAGGTTCTTGGCTTCTAGCTGCATCACTCCAATCTCTGCCTCTGTCATCACACGGCTTTCTTCCTTTTGTGTCTGTCTCTGTGTCTCTCTCCTTGTAAAAAAGACACCAGTCATTGGATTTAGGGACCTTCCTAATCTAGTATGAGCTCATCTTAATCTGACTACATCTGCAAAGACCCTGTTTCCAAATAAGGTCAGATTTACAGATACCAGAAGTGAAGACTTCAACATATTTTTTGGACACAATTTAACACCGACACCATCCAATATGATGCTATTCTGAAAATATCATGTAAAACAATTGTCCATGGAAAGTTTTATAGAAATGTCCAATTTTACTCCTTTTTCTTGATCAAAAAGAAATGAAGACTTCAGAGTTAAAGACTAGGATCATAACTTCTACGGAAAGTAAAATATGAATGCTACTTATATCACCTAGCAAGAGTTTCCCATGTAGTGGCTAGTAAACCTTTACCTGTTAAGTGAACAATGCTATCAGGCTTTTGATCATATTTATGTCCTGCCCTATTCATGTTTTATAGAAGGAGTTGTTCAGTGCCTACCCATGAAAGGCACTGAATGAATTTGTATAGTCTATGACCTTGAGACTCACACACATAAACTAATTATATAGACAGGATAGGACATTCTCTATTTCAATAAATTTTAAAAAGAGCAGTAAGCCTTGCTCAGTGTGTTACTTTTAGCCTTTGGTAGCCAAGAAATAGGTCTTAGGAGGGATAACACTTAGGAAGAAAACTCTTATGTTTATCTTATGCCTGAATTGCAGTGTAGTGAAGCAACTAACAGGTCAGTCTTAAATCAGGTGGCTTTCATTAAATTCCTGCTTCTATTACTTTCTTAATTTGTGACCTTAGCCATTTAATTAACCTCCCAGCACTTTGGGAGGCTGAGATGGGTGGATCACCTGAGGTCAGGAGTTTGAGACTAGCCTGGCGAACATGGTGAAACCCATCTCTACTAAAAACACAAAAATTAGCTGAGTATGGTGGCAGGTGGCTTTAATCCCAGCTACTCGGGAGGCTGAGGCAAGAGAATTGCTTGAACCCAGGAAGTGGAGGTTGCAGTGAGCTGAGATTGTGCCCCTGCACTCCAGCCTGGGTAACAGAGTGATACTCCACCTCACAAAAAATAAATAAATAAAAATAAAAAATGAACCTCTATAAACTTTAATTTTTCTTATCTGCAAAATGGGAATATCAGTAGTATCTACCTCATAAGTGAGATTATAAAAGTAAGAAACTTTGTACAGAGTTAACATATGCTAAAATATTAATATGTCTTGGCTGTTATTATCCCCTAATTATAATATTTATTCAGGAACAGAACCATAGCATATTTATCACATGTAATTAGGTTAAATATATGACCCCTAAATCTCAGAGATAAGTAATGAAAATAATTTCCAAACCTGGAAATATAGGGACACTTTTTAAAAATACGTTTACAATATCTAACACTGTCTTTCATTTGACAATAATTTGATAAATATTAGAAAACTAATATGTTGAGTTGCAGAGATTTTAGGTAGAAAACAGATAAGACAAATGTTCCTCTAAGATGTCAAATATGAAGAGGAGCACTGTCTATCCTATATTTAATTTCCAGAACTACTTCTCATCCAGCTTCTGCAGTTTAGCTATTTGTTTTGTAGTTTTTAACATTCTTGAAATCCAAGACAATCTACCCAAAACTCTAATGTTTTTTTTCAGGAAGATTGGAACTTGATAGAGCAGAAGATCAGCTGAACGCTGGAAGACTCTCCAGTGTGAAATGTTTATTTCTAGGATCTTCTGTTCAACCTTGGAGCCTTCAGAGTCCTATGTATAGTCTTAAACTGCTGATCTAAAAATGGTGCTCTGTTTCAGCAGGTAATTAATGATGTTACACATTTTAATAAAATTTTTCAGCTAGATTGCTACCTATTTGCCAGATATTGTCTCCGTTTCTTTCCCCAAAGTTAATATACTCATATTTGTAGAATCACCTAAAATGTAGCTCCATCAAGTAAGTTTAATATTAGATTATTGTAATATAGGGAATGCCATGGTGGGTGAAAGTAATATTTACTCATGACTAATCTTCCAACATCTGGCATAAAGTACCCATTCTACTGTTTAATTAATAGTTTTCTTTAAATCAACACATACTTTCTTAATTTAAATAAACTGGTGTTTGGTAAAGAAATCCTAACATCACCATCTTAAGTGGAAAACCAGCATGACTTGTTCTGATAAGAAGTCAAGGGCAAAAGTCAAAATGTCGAACTTTTTATTGGCTAAGACTTTTAAAAACACATAAATACATAATAGACAATGAAATATAAACAATAATTCAACTCATCTATTTATAAAATCATATATCTTCATCAGTAGACTGAAACTGTGCATTATCACTCATTAAGAAAGAGATTTTTGGCTCAGTCTTCCTTAGCTGAAGATGAAGACTGGAGAAGATTCTGATTTCACATGCTGATATTAACTTGCACTAACTGCAACACTGGAAATGGTGATTGCTTTATCAGCCCGTGTTCCTGAATACAGAGATGGTGGCAACTTGCAATGGACATGTTGCAAGAAATAAGTCTTTATTGTTTTATGTACTGATATTTTCTGGTTATTTCTTACAGCAGCATAGATCAGCTTACCTGACTACTATCGCAGTTGTCTTTAATAGAATTGTGTGCTGAAAATCAATTTCTAATTTGCATACATTTGTAAAAGTTTTGGATTAAAAAAAAACCTGTCTGACATGACTTCTAGAATGGGTTCTTCTGAAGCTGTCAAGTTCCTCAGTAGGGCCCCACGACTGATTAGAACAAGTTTTCTTTCTGCTTCACTGTTGTCATCCAGTTGAGAAAAATACTTTTGAAGACATTTTATGAAGTCATTAATGTGTCTTTTTATGATGTTCAGGATATTGTCAGCAGGTTTCTGAAATGCTAACATAATTTAGTTGTTCAGCTCTAGCAAGGTTTTCAATATTTGCTGGTTGAATATTCGTTAAATGAAGTTAGAGAACTCCTTCCAAGGACCCTAGATTTACTGTACAATAATATTAACAGCTACTGTTTATTAGGTATTTACTGAGTGCTAGCTACTGTGCTTCATGCTTTATCAACTTTATTAAATTATTTCCCACAGCATCCATATAAAGGTAGGTACTCTTACTATCTCCCATTTACAACAAAGAATAAGGGCAGATAACTAGAAGGTAAAAGAATGCAGACTTGGGCCAGGCACAGTGGCTCACGCCTGTAATCCCAGCACTTTGGGAGGCCGAGGCGGGTGGATCACGAGGTCAGGAGTTCAAGACCAGCCTGGCCAATATGGTGAAACCCCGTTTCTACTAAAAAAAAAAAAAATACAAAAATTAGCCAAGTGCAGTGGTAGGTGCCTGTAATCCCAGCTACTCAGGAGGCTGAGGCAGGAGAATCACTTGAACCTGGGTGGCAGAGGTTGCAGTAAGCTGAGATCGTGCCACTGTACTCCAGCCTGGGTGACAGAGTGAGACCAAAAAAAAAAAAAAAAAACAAAAAAACAAAAACAAACAAACAAAAAATCCAAAATGCAGACTTGAATCCAAGTCTGTGCTTGTAACCTCTGATTTCCATGTGTTGGTGGCAGCTGAGTCAGAATTAGGAACCATATTCCTGTTTTAAACTGTCTAAGGGATGTACAGCTGAATCCTTTCAATGGGGCCCTGTCTTGGGATGGACTTTCCTCAGGTGATGTGGCTGACGGCTGCTTGAAGAGTGCCTCATTTCTGGAGATACCTACCCCTATTGTTCCAGCTGTGTCTTGGAAACCCTTTAGTAGTATTTTAGGTGGGAGAGTCCAACACATAGTTGTATATGTGAGTGTGGTTAACAAGAGGAAAATGGACCATCACCATTGCTCTCCCCGTCTTCTTCCTCCTCTTTTCTTCCTTTCACCTGGCCCAAGTGCCTGCAAGTCATAGACTACCTCCACCCCTTCTGTGTACCACCAGTAATCCTCTAGGTACTTACAGGGGTATAAATAACTCACTTTGGATACAATGGGTCAAAGCAATGGTCCTGATGACAATACCAAAAAATGTATAGAAGGATCTGATCACTGTGATGTCATCTGTCATCACAGGTGAGTTACATTGGACTCCCACTCAACTTTTGGTGAGTTTATGAAGTTATGTTCATATGCAAAAACATAATAACCCATTTTATGTCAAACTAGATACATACCCCTGTAGCTGCTTGAGTTTATTAATCTTAATTCTTTTCAAACTATTTAATATGTTAGCATGTACCATATCAAGAAAATATATTCTGCAAGTTTACTCCCATCTGTTGTGGAAAGTAAAAATTTGCCAGAAACTTACATATATTTATAACAATGTATGCTCACCTAGTTCTAATAATCAAGGGTTTGGCAATGAAAATTGGTTTGTATTTAAACTCACTAATTCATAAAGCAAGTACCGGATGATGTGTTGTATGTTCTCTTAGCCAGAGCAGCTGGCTATGTTTATGTAGGTAGTGCCTCTCCAAAGGTGGCTGAACAAGGGCGCAATGAAAGGCTGAAGTCCATCCCAAGTCTCCTGGCTGAGCCCTCTCTCTGGAACACGGCTATGTCTGTCTGGAGGAAGGCACACATTTTCTTTTTTAAAAAATGTACTTATTTTTATTTTTATTTTTTTGTGCAGATAGACAAATTTGACTGAATATTCTTTTTTTATTTTTTGTTTTACTTTAAGTTCTGGGATACATGTGCAGAATGTGCAGGCTTGTTACGTAGATATGCATGTGCTGTGGTGGTTTGCTGCACCTATCAATCTGTCATCTAGGTTTTAAGCCCACATGTATTAGGTATTTGTCCTAATGCTCTCCCTCCCTTTGCCCCCCACTCCCCGACAGGCCCCGGTATGTGTAGAAAACAAAACACCACATTTTCTCACTCATAAGTGGGAGATGAACAATAAGAACACATTTTCTTCTTACAAACACACTACCAATTTGCCAGGTCATATTCCCAAGAGGCTAAGATGCCTTTTTTTTTTTTTTCCTTATTTATTCTCCTATGCCCAGGCTTGTTATGTGCAAGCTTCAGGCCCTTATTTTTCTGGGTTTGAGTCAAATCTTTATTTCATGGCCCAATATGGAAACTTCTTTATACTCTGGGTCAGAGTAATTGCCTTTAGTTGAATATTTGTCAGCTTTCTTTTTCCTGATTTGAATTTACCAGAATTCCATGCAGTATTCTAGGCATAATGTACCCATTGTGATTATAATTTTCTAATGATTTTCAGGATTTCTATTTCTTTTAGGTTATGCCAGCCTTTTGGGATATTCTTGATGAAGCTATTGGAAAGAAATGTTTTCTATTTTGAAATTGCTTAGCTGGTGAAGTTTAAGTCTAGAGCTGCTGGCAGCCATCCTAGCCACTCTTGAGGATAAGCTTCCTGAGTATCTAGCCAGTACTGAGGAAGGAAGAGGAAGGAAGGAAGAAAAGAAAGAAGAGGAGGGAGGAGAATGAAAGATTTGATATATTTAATCCAATCCAGGACCTGGCTTTAGCCATTTCTGAACTTCCTTTTACAAAAGCCAAAAAAGTTCCTTTTTTATTTAAGATAGTTTGAAGTAGACTTCTATTTTTTGCCTGATACTGTCCAGTCAAATATAGTATGAAATTTATGATGTCCATTTCTAATCTGCTAGAAGTGAGGAGGGTGGAGTTATGAGCAAGTGTCTGCTTTGGTTAGGCTGTGTTAAGTACATTATATGTTATTATTATTTAAGCCTTAAAACAACTCTGTCGATCAGGTATTGCTAATGCACAGGATAAAATTTAAAACATTAACAGTATTTCCCTTAAATTTGTAGGAGTAAAGTTTAAAAATTAAGTCAATATATATGTGTATATATGTCTGTGTATGTATATATACCTGTATATATACATACATATCTATATATATGTATGCATGTATATATAGATACACATATATATCTATATGTACATGTACATTTATTAGTGTGAAACAAACAGTACTGACCTGTTAGTGGTAAAGAGACTTCAGCTCCCTATTTACAATCAGTGCAAAGGTTTCCAAGGTTATCAACTTACTTGTATCAAAGAAGTCAACACTTGATTGAAACCATGAATTGTGCAGATAAATACTGAGAAATGTGTTTTGATTGCACCACAGACAAGTAGCTTGAAAAAGGAGACAACTGAGATGCTCTAAATTACTTGAAATAAGGTAGAGGAAGGAATGTAGCAATAGCAAATTAAGTAGAAAACATTCTCTTCTATGTTTAGTACCTCGGAGGGAAATGTGTGGGCTGTTACAGGTAACTTGCTCTTTTCACTTAATGCCCTCTGCCTGCATGAGTTCCTCTGAGATGGCCCTAACTGCTTTATGTTAAAATTAAGGGGAGTGACTCTCTTGTGGAAAATAATATAGTGGATTTCTGTTTTCAGTTTCTTAGCCTTGCTACAGCAACCTATGCCACCACCACCAGCACTCACACATCACAAGCCTAGAATCTTTCAGTTAGTTGGTGTCATCCATAGGATAAAACCTCCAAACCTCTGAGAATACATCACACTGAAGCCCCATGTGATCAGATCTAAATCTTGCCTAATTGGCCAGCTTTATTTCCTTGCCTATGGCTTACATTCCAACTAAACCATTCTGCTGCCAGTTACACAAACACTTCATGCTATTCAGTGCTGCTGGCCTTTGCACACGCTGCTCCTTCTGCCTGGACCCTCTTCTCTAGTCCTATGTGTCTGACACACATCTCATTCATTTTCTTGCAGGTATGTCCTTGACGAGGTACCTAAATTACCTTGAACAGAGTTAATCATCTTGTCCTCTGTGCTACTTATACCTTTGCTTCTGTAACATGTGGTTTTTTGTTTGTTTTTGTTTGTTTATTTGTTTTGACTATCTGATATGGTTAGAATAACATTTCCATCCAACACCCATTGATATAAATGAGGGATTTTACTTTGGGAATTAGTCAATTATAGTGGATACAGTCATAAGTTTTTGAGTCAAACTGCTTGGGCTTAAATCCTAGTGCTACTTTTTATTAGCTGTGGGACCTTGGGTACTTACCTTCCCTGGGACTGTTTTCTCACCTGTAAAATGGAGTAATATTAGCATTTCATAGGATTACTGTGAAGTTAAATAAAAATAATCTATGTCAAGTGACTGGCGCAAGGAATGTTCTCAACAAATAATGTATTATTTTGCCTATTAACTCAAGAAAGAAAGGTGACCATTGTCAGGAATTGGCAAAACGTATGCAGGGAGCATAAGTAGGCCATTTTCTGGACATGGCGTGGCGTCTCCTCTATTTTCCTCACTTGCTTGTGCACAGCAGCTGTCCACAAAGCTGACTGAGAAAAAGGAACCACCGTCACTGCCAATCACCCAGGAAGACACTCATGCCTTTCTGTCTCCAGACATCTCCAAAAGTTTCAATCAGGTAATCAGCATATATTATTGCTGATTTGGGGACATAGTGAACAGCCTTCTCCCAAATTCTCTACCATACTTTGCTGCCTGAGCTTTAAAAGCTCTGGTCTTTCTAAGTCTCTGTTGAGTAGGTCTAGCTGCTTCTGATTCTGTTCCAAAAATCTTCTTTGGGATGAGTGAATGAAACCCAGTTCTGGCAGGTTCTAGCACTCCTCCTGTAGTCTAAGGGTCTCAGACAAACCACCAGTCCTGCCTCTTCTTTCCAAGAAAAGGCACAACAATAAGCAATCTCATAGTGGGAATTCTGGAAGCATCAGTGTCCCATCCTAGCCCAGCCAGCCAAAAATGCTCATTTAAACTGACTATATTCTTGTGGCTACCTAACTAGTGTCTTTACCAGTGAATACGATTCCATGCTTTGGGCAAGTCCAGGTTGCAGACAACTGCAGAAAGAAGCATGGCCAACCTGTGCTTGTAAAACCTGGTTAACCAGGAGAACTGCACCAAGGGATATCACTCCTACTTATAGGTCAGTATGTCTCTCACAAACTGCTTTATTTACAAAACCAAATACTGTTTACTTGGTTAGATAATCTAAGACATACTTTCATTTAATCTGAGTCACTATATCTTTTTGCTCCAAAATGAAGCATGTATTGAAGTTCTCTGAGTTTCTGTTCAGTGTCGAATGAAGGCAATTTTAAAAACTGATTAAAAAGAATTCCTCTTGGATTCTTTTTAATTCTTCCACCTTCCTCCGAGGGTAGTACTAAAGACGAACCAACATCATACTGGATTGAGCAAGTCACCAGACTGTATTTTAACAAAGCTAATGTGAACGTTGACTTTTGACCCTTGAAAAGTGGTCACAGTGAGCAGTTTCCTCTTACCTATTAGCATCCACAAAAGAGTTCCAGGCATTTACACTTAGAGAAAATCACCTGGCTATTTCAGTGGAATAAGGTGGACAGCCAAGGTCAATGAAGCATTGCAAGTTTCCCAGCACTTCCTGGAGGCAGAATAGGGACTGACTTTTGTCTCTCTCTCCCTCTTACTGTCTCTCTCTCTCTCTTTTAATGGCATTTAACAAATAGCAAAATAGCATCTGAGAAAAACTTTAAATAAAAACCCCAGATGATAAACTCTTGGAGGAAGAACCTATTTTTTTTAAGCATAGTGTCTTCTCCCCACCCCGCCACCCCTTCCTGATATCTATTCTCACTTTCTGAAATAAACATTTTACTTTGCTAATGCTGTGAGGTGTGGGCTGGGAAGTTACTCGTTCTCTCCTTCACTCATAGAACAATTTCTTAAGGCCTAAGTGAGAATTTTACCTACCTCTTTCAAATGAGGGGATCCTTACTAAATTTAACATGCAATAAAAATTCAGATCTGGAAATCTCAGAGTCACCTCATAAGAGTTTTGCTTTGCTTTTCTTAGGCGGAGGAACTATATCAAGTCCTCCATCTAGCGGTATCACTTGGAATTGTTTGTAAAAGTGTTCTAATGTGAATTTTGGGAGCAGAAGATATTTATTGAATTTCAAATTTTAACTGACTAGCATGATAAAAGTGGATAAGAGAGAATTAAAAGATAAAGTGCCTAGTCTCAAAGAGCTTATAATGTAATGAGAAAGAAGTAAAACTTTATAAAATCAAAAATCTAATAAATAGTTTTCAAACCTAAGTATAGGTGCTTGACTCCTTTCTTCTCCTAAGGTCATCACTGGGCAGATGTGTCAGTTTGCATATGCTTGGGGCAGAAAAGAGGAAAGGAGTTGTTTGCCAATCATAGAGTCAGAAAAGAGAGGAGATCCTATCTGCAAACCAAAGCTCCAAGTGCTCCTGAGACAGTCTAGGAGCAGCGAAATGATTTTCCTTATAAGGCTCTGGGATAGGGGAGCTGAAACATCCTAGACCTGACAAGAGACCAGTACATCTGGGGGAGCCTGGTGGAAAATCCAAGGATACTCCAGATGCTTGAGAAGGTCAACCAGCTGCCCAGGCCAGCACCTCAGTGACCCTAGGAGGGTCTTCCATAGTCTAAAGAGTTGTGACATGCTGAGGTGAACCTTTCTTTTATCTCAAGATCTGGGAGGAGCCCGAGAATCTTGTGACTCCTCTCCCCATCCATTAATTCCAGGATTGCAGCTGGTTGGCTTGTTGTCATCAACAAAATGAAACATATCTTCTTTGTCTGACAATTTACAATTGCCTGGGAGATAGGCCTGCCAATTCTAAGGTATCTCCCTCCTAATAATAATAGTACCAGACAGCCTGTGGGACCACACCAGGATGAGGAAAAATATATTAATGTTCAAGAAACTATGCTGGAAGCCTATTAGGGCATACTTCCCACATAAAATGAGTATTTCTGGATAGCACTTGATAGGTGCTTGGTATCTCCTGAATTTTGTCCTGGCAAATCCTGTTTGCTGTTATCCCTGCTTCAAACACTCAGTGTTCCTCTTTCTTCTCTGCTTCCCGGGCCTGCTGCTGGTGGAATATTTGCGTTTGCAGTTGTCTCTTATACTCCTAAGCTAAACCACTGCATCTCCAAAATTCTCCTCTTCATCCTTAAGTTCTTTAAAACCTTCATTTATGCAATCCTGTTCCATAGCATATCTTTTCTATTATTTTGCTTTTCTTTGCAATGTTTCTTGAACTTGAACTTTTCCTGTACACATAACCTCATTCACAAGTTGTTTCCTTGCCTCCTTTTCGAATCTTACCTTCCTGTCCTTGGCCAACTTTTTTTTTCCTTCTCTGCCTCTACTATTTTGTCTAATGATTTCTTCTGTTTCCTTCTCCTGTCTCACCTTTGTTCTTTTTTAATCAGCTTCTTCCTGTAAGTCTTGAAGGGCCCTTCCACAAAATTCATGTTCAAGTCCTGCTCTTTTCTGTATTTCTGTCAAATACGTTCCACCTTCTCTTGGAAGACTTTTTGCAAGACGGTTTCAATTTTCTGCTTTGTCTCCTCTTTTTACAGCTTATCCTGTTCATTCTCAAGTTTAATCTGTGCATTTTCTATTTCCATAAGGTGCGCCTCCTCTTCCTCTAGCTGTTGCACTACCTGCTTTTGCACCTGGATGCTGGTGACCTGGGCATTCTGACCCAGTTGCGTGTTCTCCTCCAGCTCTTCCTGAAGCTCTTGAGTTTCTCATGTTTCCTTGGCTGATTAGTCTTCTGCTCGGAATTCTGAGAACATCTTCTCTTTCACCAGTTTCTGCCTCTTCAGCTTTTCATTAAATTCTACCTCTGCTTTCTGCTCTTCACTTGTCTTTTGATGGATACAAAGCAATTGACCACAGAGCTGCTTGCGGCATGCCCTGAATCACTGTCTAGCTTTTCATCCACAAAATTGTATCCCTGTTTTCCTTCTGTTTTAATGATCTGGCTTTCTCTCTCAGTCTATCTTGTTTTTCTCCTCCATTATTGCTTCTTTCAATTGCATTTCATTCAGTAAAATACTCATTTTCTTCCGAGGCTAGCTTATTTTATCTTTCTTCAGTGTTGATGGAATACTTACTTTTAACAGGTGTGAGCAGGCTGAAAGAGAGCCATCCCTCTAAATGATTAGGACAGATGACTTTCCTCAAGCTGGATTTTGAATTTAGTAGCAGAAATCATATTAAAAAACCTTAAAACACAAAAGACTGTAAATTTGAAGCAAGAAATGTAACATTTAAAAATGAAGATTGTGAAAAACAGGATAGACACTGCTGAATATTGTCAGCAATGACCCAAAATGTTAGTGTAAGGAATCATAGCAGTAAACAGAAGAAAAAATAAGTGAAAATTAGAAATGAAAAATGACAGGGTAGTATACACTCATGAAATAAACCATTTCAATTAGTAAGACTTTCAGAAGGAGAGAAAGAAAAAGAGGAATAACAAAAATCAAAGAATTAATATTAAAAAATCCCTGTGAGCTGGATGAAGACTTGAGTTTTTAGATGATAAAGACCATGTAAGTGCTGGAGGTGTTTAAAGAAAAAAGAAATACTTCTGGCCACATTCTAGGGTGCTTAACAGACCTGTACGATCAGTAGTACTTCTTATTAAGCTTCCAGACAGAGAAAACAAGTTACAAAGAAAATATTGACAACACTATCGATCTTTTTATCTGCAATACAGTAAAATAGAAGACAATGAAGTGATATTATGGACTTTTGAGTGAAAAGAGCTGTGATTCTAGAATCCTGTTCTCAGGCTTTGTTTATGAATTGGGGTGAAGATGTGACATTCTGAGATCTACAAGGACCTAGTAAGTAAACAACCCATACACATTCTTTGAAAATGTTACTGTAAAACTTCAACAAAAATTAAATCAGCATTTGATTTTACGTTGAGGAAGAATAAAGTATGTCAGGGAGAAAGATAAGTGATAAATCACATATATGTAATTGATGTGTAAAATTATCAGAAACCTATAGGGTACAGTAAGAAAACACTATTCATTCCTCTGCCTCCAAATGAAATCTAAGACAGGTCTAATATTGGTCATTCTCAGATAAAAACAGTATTCTCTAGTCACTTAAAAAAATCAGAATAATTTTATCCATCAGTTAAAATGTCAATATCGTGTAAGAGTCAACCTTCTAAACTCCATTCTAAATTAAAACTTTTTTGCTTCCCCTGCTCGGAATTATCTGACAAAGAATTTAAAGCAGCTATTACAAAAATTATCAAATGAGTAATTGTGGGCACTCTTGAAACAAATATTAAAATAGAAAGTATCAGGCAAGAAATAACATAAAGAAGAACCAAATGAAAATTTTAGAACTGTAAAATATAGTATCTAAAATTTAAGAGAAAACCCAACAGCTCACTGAATAGACTCAAAAGTAGAATAGAGATTATAGAAGAAAGAGCAAACTTGAATATAGAACAATATAAATTATCCGGTCTGAACAGCAGAAAGAAAAATGTTTGAGGAAAGAAAGAACAAAGTCTTAGGGACCTATGATAGTACACAAAAGCTATAATATACATGTAATTGGAGTTATAGAAGAGGAGGGGAATAAACATAGTGCTGAAAAAAAAATTTGAAAAAATAATGGCTGAAAACTTCTCAAATACAATGAAAGACATAAACCTAAAAATTTAAGAAGCTAAGTGAACTGCAAACAAAATAAGTCTGAAGAACTCTAGCCCCAGAGTCATAATAACAAAACTGCTGAAAATTAAAGACAGATAAACTCTTGAAAGCAACCAGGAGGCCGGGCGCGGTGGCTCACGCTTATAATCCCAGCACTTTGGGAGGCTGACGCGGGCGGATCACGAGGTCAGGAGATCGAGACCACCCTGGCTAACATGGTGAAACCCCGTTTCTACTAAAAATACAAAAAAACTAGCTGGGCTTGGTGGCGGGCACCTGTAGTCCCAGCTACTCGGGAGGCTGAGGCAGAAGAATGGCGTGAACCCAGAAGGTGGAGCTTGCACTGAGTCTGGGCAACAGAGCCAGACACAAACACACACACACACACACGCACACACAAAAGCAACCAGGAAAAAACATGGCACATTACCCATAGAGAAACAATGATTCAAATAATTGTGGATTTTTCATCAGAACCTATAGAAGCCAGAAGTAATTAGCACATTTTAAAGGTGCTAAAAGAAAATACCTGTCACACCAGAATTTTATGTTCAGTGAAAATATCCTTCAGTAACAAAGGGAAAGCCAGTGAAACAGAAAATAAGCAAATAATAGAGAAAGGTAATAAACTAAGAATGATTCTTTGAAAAGTCAATAAAATGTAGAAACTTCCAGCTAAATTGGTCAATTAAAAGAGGAGAGGAATAATCAATATTAGTAATGAAAAAATAAACATTACCACATGTTCTACTGACATTAAAAGGATAAGAAAAATGTCTTAAAAGACTTTATGCCAATTAATTCAACAACTTCGATAAAATGAATCATTTTTTTTAAAGAACAGCAACTACCAAAGCACACTGAAGAAGAAACAGATAACTTATTTAGAGAAATTGAATTTATAATCTATCTTTCTTACATAGGAAACTTCCAGATAGCTTCACTCATGAATTCTACCAAATATTTATGGAAGAAAATTATAAAATTCTACATTAACTGTTTTTTTTTTTCTTTTTCTTTTTCTTTTGAGACAGAGTCTCACTCTGTCACCCAGGCTGGAGTGCAGTGGTGCGATCTCGGCTCACTGCAAGCTCTGCCTCCCGGGTTCACGTCATTCTCCTGCCTCAGCCTCCCGAGTAGCTAGGACTACAGGCGCCTGCCACCACGCCCGACTAATTTTTTTGTATTTTTAGTAGAGACGGGGTTTCGCCGTGTTAGCCAGGATGGTCTCGATCTCCTGACTTCGTGATCCACCTGCCTCGGCCTCCCAAAGTGCTGGGATTACAGGCGTGAGCCACCGCGCCCGGCCTACATTAACTCTTAGAAAATTCAGAAGAGGAAATATTTCACAACTCATTTTATCAAGCAACACATTTCTAGAAAGAAAACTCCAGAATAATATCCCTCATAAACAGTCAAAATTGCTTAAGAAAATTTTGGCAAATTGAATCCAGTGAATAATAAAAAGTAATAATGCTTCATTACCAAGTGAGGCTCATGACAATAATACAATGTTGGCTTAACATTTGAAAATGAATCAATGTAACTCCCTAGATTGACTTACACAAAATACCAAACAATATGATTGATATAGAAGAAGCACTTGGCGAAATTCAGCTTACCTTATGATAAAAACTCTCAACAAACTAGGAATAAAATGAAATGTCATCAAATTATTAAAAGGCTATGTATTAAAATCATATAGTATTGAATGACTTAATATTTTCTACCTAACATTGGGAAAAAGGTAAGAATGGCCTTTTCACTATATCCATTGAATGTCATATTAGGGTAGCTAATACTAAATAAAGCAAGAAAAAGAAATGAAAGACATAGATATTGGAAGGAAAGAAAACTGTTTGCAGACAACAAGATCGGGTACATAGAAAACTCTAAGGAATCTACAAAAACTAATATACAACTAATAGGCACATTCAGCAATGTTGCAAGTTACAAAGTCAATATATAAAAATTAGTTGTAGTTTTACATATTTGCAATAAACAATTGAAAATAGAAGTAGAAATACCATTCATTATAGCATCAAAGAACAAGAGATACTACGGAATAAATTTAATAAAAAACATATCAGACATGGGCTGGGCGTGATGGCTCACGCCTGTAATCCCAGCACTTTGGGAGGCCGAGGCGGGTGGATCACGACGTCAGGAGATCGAGACCATCCTGGCTAACACGGCGAAACCCCGTGTCTACTAAATATACAAAAAAATTAGCCGGGCGTGGTGGCAGGCGCCTGTAGTCCCAGCTACTCGGGAGGCTGAGGCAGGAGAATGACGTGAACCCGGGAGGCGGAGCTTGCAGTGAGCCGAGATCGCGCCACTGCACTCCAGCCTGGTGACAGAAAGAGACTCTGTCTCGAAAAAAAAAAAAAAAAGGAAAAAAAATCACACATGGATAACAAAAACTACAAAATATTGCTAAGAGAAACTAAAGAAAGCCTGAACAAATGTATAGAAATATCATGTAATGAATAAGAACATGGAATACTGTTGAGCTTTAAATTTTCCTAAAATTGGTACATAGATTTAATGCAACCTCAATCAAAATTCCAGCAGCATTTTTTATAGAAATTGATATGATAACTCTCAAATTTACATGAACGTAAAATCTTGAAAAAACCCAAAACACAGTTGTAGGACATACAGTGCCTAATCCTAGGACTATAAAACTATAGTAATCTAGACTGTTTAAGAAAAGACTTATAGATCAAAGGGACAAAAATAGAGTTCAGAATTCAAACTTCACATATGTGTTCAATGACTTTTGACATAAATGTAAAAATAATACCATGGGGAAAGGAGAGTTTTTTTCAACAAAAATTGCTGCATCAGTTGTATATTTTTGTGTGAAATTTTTGAATCTCAAGCCTTATCTCACACTATACATCTAAATTAACTCAAGATAAATCGTAGTCCTAAACAGAAAATCCGAAGCTAAAAATATCATATCAGAAAAGATAGACACACAAATATTTGTGATCTTGGATTACAAAAATATTTCTGAGATAGGACACAAAGGAAAAAATAATAAATTTGACTTCATCAAAATTAAAAATTTGCTCTTAAAGAAACAATTAAGAAAATAGAAGGGAAAGCCATTGACTGGAAGAAAACTTTTGCAAAACGCATGTCTGATAAAGGATTTGTACTCAAAAACTCAATAGTAAGAAGATAATTGCAAAATAGGCAAAAGCTGTATCAATGTCAGGGAAGATGTAAGAACAGCAAATACGCAAGTGAAAAAATATTCAACATTATTAGTCATTAGAGTGATTAAAATCACCAGAGTTGAATAGATCAAGTATTTGCAAGAAGATGGGGCCATTGGAGCTCATCTTTGTTGGTGGGAATACAAAATAATACAATCAGTTTGGGAGTTTGTAATGATAAACATTGACTTTACCATCCAACCTAGCAACTCTCTGGCTGTTTATCCTAGCAACCCTTTTTCTAGGTATTTATCCCAGGGAAATGAAAACACGTGTCTGCACAAAGCCTTGTATGCATACTTACAGCAGCTTTATTCCCAGTAGCCAAAACCTAGAAGCAAGTCAAGTATCCATGAAATACTAATCCACAATAAAAACGAATGAACTGCTGCTATACAGAATAACATGGATGGATCTCAAAATTATTATGCTAAGTAACAGAATCCAGACACAGAAGACTACATCATGGTATGGTTTCCTTTACATAAAATTCTAAAATGAAAACCTATAGTGGCTAAAAGTTGATCAGTGGTCTTTAGGAGTTAGAGGTTACTAGGGTTTGGGAGTGGGGACAAGAGACGTATGAAAATGGGCACATAACACGTTAGGGTGATAGAAATATTCTGATTGTGACTATGGTTAACCAACTGTATACAGTTGTCAAACTTATAAAATTGTACCTTTAAAAATGATAAATTTTACTGCATGTAAATTATACATAAAAATCTAATTAATTTAAAAATAGCTAATAAAAAGTCTTTAATAATACTGTTGTAAGCCTATGTGGGACTCACTGCTACCTGTTGTATGAGTTACACAATTTTAACAATCTGCTCAGGTCACTGCTATTAGCTAGTAATTGTTATGTGCTTACTACATAGCAGGTACTGCTTTGAGTGATTTTACAGTTTTTGCTAATTTAATCTTACCAACAACCCTATGAAGGAAATAGTGTTATCTCTCTTTGACAGATAAGGAAAATGATTACAAAAATTTTAATTAACAGCTAGTAAGTGGAAAATGTATATTTTGAAAGAGGCATTAGAGACCAGATTCTTAACCACTATTATATATTGAGAGGTAAACATAGAAAATGTTACCTGTCAATATAATGCACTATGACTAATCTTAGGTGAAGGGTATATGCAAATAAGTTCACAAATTCAGGGAGGGGGAGGCTTGGCTTGGGAAGACCTTATTGGAAAAAGTAATTCTAGTTCTGAGTCTCACGAGATGGTAAGAATTTGAATTGTTAATTAGTGTTAAAAATGTGATGTCACTGAAAGTCACCTGACATTAGATAACACACTTTACTCCCCATCACACCAATTGTTTTATTCTTGGGCTCAATGATATAAATGATGTTAGTAATAAGGGATGAAGCACCATAGTCTCTTATAAGCAAAGGCTGTATCAATTTGTTAATTGTAATTTTGTGTGCTTTAAAATCAAAGATCATTCTTACATGAAGCTCTAAAATCTCTTATTAGATTCAACATTAAAAGCCATATTTAGAAAGAGTTTTTGAAAAATTGAAAGAAAACACTTCACACTTAAAAAAAAAAAAAGACTTAAAATGCAGTTCTCAATAATTCCAGCAGATGGCAATACAATCATTGTTAAAAAGTTAAGTTTTGCCATCAAAGTGGAAAAAAAGGGCAAATGAAAACAACCTATATCCTTTTTTATTTTGTTTTATTTTATTTTATTTCTTTTGATTTTTCTCCTCTGTGGTCAGCCCTTTTTGGTTGCTAAAACAATTCTATACCTAATGTTTTTAAAGCTACATAGCCTGCTAAGGACCTAATTATGACCTCCCTTAAATGCCAAGATAGAGATACTAATCTGTTTTTTTAGTATTTTTAAGTGTTAAGAACACTTAACATGAGTTTTACCCTTTTAACAAATTTTACAGTGTACTACACAGTATTGTTAACTAGAGGGATAATGTCGTAGACATATCTTTATTCTGTAGAGATAGATGGCTTTGAGTAAGGGATGACTTGGTCAAAATTGTTCGTTAGAAAAATAACTCTGACAGGGAAAGGACAAGTGGAAGGATGTAAAAGAGAGGAGTGTTTGTTAGAAAACAGGAAGAAGGCAAGGGGAAGATCCCGAAGAGTGGTAATGGGAAAACTATGGCTTAGATGAGGAAAATAACTGTAGACACAGAAGGGAAAGAACTGAGCAACTAATTGGATGTCAGACATTCAAAAGAACAAATAGCCAAAGATAACTCCAGTATTTTAATCTGGTTTAGGGGAAAGCTAACCAGAGTATAACAGGAGAAAGACTGAGCTTGGACCAAAGGGAGTATTTTCAGGTGCCCTTGTGCATCTACACAGATTTAACTTAGCAGTTGACAATTGGGTCTCCTGTTTAGATTAAGAAGTAAAATTTAAGAGAGACATAAACACAGAGTGGATATTTGTGGCCTTAGGAGTAGATAAGAAAGTCACAGAGAGATAAAGGCCAAAGTCCTAAGAAACGTCTAGATAACGCTTGCATTTAGGAGAAACCAATGATATGGTTAAGTTTAACAGAATTCTCAGGTGGCTGTAGTGTCTTAGGAGGCTGCAGAGAAGGATACGTGGAACAAGAGTAAGGAATATTTCAATAAGTTTGAGAAGATGATTGGAACAGAGGCCATTGGACTTTAAGAAAATTAATGGGGTAGAAAGCAGATTACCATGAGAAAGGAGTGGAGAGATTGTAAGAAAGTCTGAAATCTCTTTTTAAAAGTTTGATAGTCAAGGGAAGAGAAAGGAAGAAATCATTCCCTTCCAGTAGTTTGACTAGACAGCAGGAAAGGGGAAATCTTTTTTTTTTTTGAAACGGAGTCTTGCTCTGTCACCAGGCTGGAGTGCAGTGGCATGATCTCGGCTCATTGCAACCTCTGCCTCCCAGGTTAAAGCAATAACTCCTGCCTCAGCCTCCCCAGTAGCTGGGACTACAGGTGCGCCCCACCATGCCCAGCTAATTTTTGTATTTTTAGCAGAGACAGGGTTTCACTATGTTGGCCAGGAAGGTCTTGATTACTTGACCTTGTGATCCGCCTGCCTCGGCCTCCCAAAGCACTGGGATTACAGGCGTGAGCCACCGCACCCGGCCTGGAACGGGGAAATCTTTATACAACAGAGGGCCATGAGCATGATTGTGTCTGTGTGAAGGAGACATTTGAAATTATACTAAAGTTGTTTTCTTTTTTTTTTCTTAAATAACATGTAGATAATTTAATGAAATGGCATAGCTTCATTTAACAGAAGTTTTGTGGATTTAAGAAAAATTAGACATATAATTTTAAAGCATATTTTGCAACCTTTCTCATTATTCATTATTCATCCTGTGTCTGCTTGGCTCCTCTCTGCTGCTGATGTCTGAAGCTTTGGGACTATAAGAGTTAGTCATGCTAATTACATCTGTTCTCAGCATCCAAGATCTTCTGATATTGTGGCAAGTGATAAGTCTGAGGGGGCTGTTGTAGAGTCAACCAAGCATTAAAAATCATAGAAAGCTCTAAAGCCTATTGCTCTCTTATGATATGTGAGTATGTTTTCTTGTCAAGGCTTATAGAGAGCTTTTCATTCTATCCTTTCTGCTTTTTTTCCTTAAGGAAAAGAAAAATTAGCTTGCAATGCTGTATCTTGTTGGCAGAATTACCAAGGTATAGAATTTGCTGCTTGCTCCTAGAGCTTTGGTGTTGTGGTGTCATTTGTGTGCAAAGGAATCTGCAAAGGCTGCCAATTGAATCTGTCTAGGGAAAAAATTACATGACTTTGAGAAGCAAACAACCGAGTCTGTCATGAAATGTGATAAACATATGGGTTTCATTAAAAACTCATGGCAAGACAAAGTCTTCAAACACAGAGGAAAGTGGAGAAAAAACAGGAAGAAGGCAAGGGGAATCCCCAAGGAAATTGTATCTATTCTTTATTGCACAATTAAACAGCTTGTTTATATATGCCTAAACATCTATCTCTGTCTTTAATTCTTTGAAATCCTGTGCCATATCTGTCAATAGTTTCATCAAGTGAAAGATGAAATTAACCCCTACCTTCATGTATCCCCACTGACATGTTAGAAGGGCTGTAAATTCTGAGAGCTGCACAATACAAATTTTCATGCAAATCAAAACCCAATTACAGAGGAAGAGCAGGAATCAACTTTTTCTTAAATCTTTAACAATCAGGAATATAATTTTATAAACTGGAACTTATTGCTATTAGGCAGGACATGCCACTTGTTTGCTCCTTTTTATATTTTTACAGAACTGATTGATTGGATGGTAATCACATTATACATCTATTATCCTGATCATTGCTTTGGAAATCATAGGAAGTCAAACTCACAGGGAACATATTCTCAGAATAAACCTTCTTTCAATGAAGCTTGTTTGCTTTGTGGTTTCCTTGGGTTGGATTTTAAGATCCTCAAGGACAAAAAGTTGTTCTTATTCTTTTTTTTTTCTTTTTCGAGACAGAGTCGTGCTCTGTCGCCCAGGCTGGAGTGCAGTGGCACAATCTCAGCTCACTGCAAGCTCCGCCTCCCGGGTTCACACCATTCTCCTGCCTTGGCCTCCCGAGTAGCTGGGAGTACAGGCGCCCACCACCATGGCTGGCTAATTTTTGTATTTTTAGTAGAGACGGGGTTTCACCATATTGGCCAGGCTGGTCTCAAAATCCTGACCTTGTGATCTGCCCACCTCAGCCTCCCAAAGTATTCATTTCTTTTAAACCCTCTAAATCTTTTT
Organism: Homo sapiens; assembly: GCF_000001405.40. NCBI lineage: Eukaryota > Metazoa > Chordata > Mammalia > Primates > Hominidae > Homo > Homo sapiens. Next base: position 39,582,227 of record NC_000005.10, read on the forward strand.
ATACGGTGTGTTAAAAAAATACTATCTGTTTAACACTTTTTAATTTTAGCAGTCACTTTGGTTTCCTAGCCAACAGCCATTCTCCACTTCAGTCCCAACAGAACCCTGATTGTGTTTGGTGACAAGGGACTATAGGGAGAGAGAGGAGTCCTCCCTTAGACCAAGGGATAAGTGCTTTAAACCAGTTTGGGCAATCCTATCCCCTCACCTATGGTTGGTTTGGAGTGGGACATGTATTGTAAGCCAGTTCTGGCCAATGAGATCTGAGGGGAGGTTTGTTGGGCCTTTGGGATATTTTTCTTCCTCTGCTGTAAAGAGGAAAACATAGAAGAAGTCCCTTCCCCAAACTACTTTTTAATACAATTGTGTGAGGACATCGTGTTTATAGCTGTGGCAAACTCAAGGGGAATCCAAAATAACTGTGGAAAGCTAACACAAACTGATGATACTGTTTAGCTACAGAATTCACCAATGCTGGAAATTACTTCTGGACCTCTGGTGACGAGAGATAATAAATGCCTTCATAATTTTGGATTCTTTGTACCTTGTAGCCGGAAACATTCTAACTGAGGCAGCAATTTAAAAAGGTTTCTCACATTATCTCCTTGGATTCTGCTAACAATTTTTTATTTTAGTCCACAGAAGACATTGAGACTCAAAATGTCTGAATGATATGACTGACGTGACACAACTCTTAGGTAGCAGACTTAACACTGAAATCATAATTTTGATGACCACTGCCATAAGCTTTTTAATGCACTTTTAATTTGTACAAGTCAGGACTAGGAAAGGGTGGCTGAAACGAGGGATGCTGCAATTTTGTGGAAATTTCCTTTGTTCCTCAGGCAGATTCTCCAAAATATTTATGTCTATTGAAGCCTGAACTGCTCCTAACACCTGTCAGAACTCAGAGCGCCCAGACCTCAAGATTTGTAAGGAAGTTCTTCTTCACATTTGTTCTTCTTCTTCCTTGCTTCCCCGATTCTTTCTGAAAGCGTGGTCTGTTCTTATTTCTAATAAAATGCACCTGTTCAGAGTTACTTGAGCGCTTAAACGTACCACAACCTCTCAGGAGAACACCTGCCCGTTCTCTCTCTGGTCTGTCTTAATAGGGCATGGCAAAATGTGATTCTCATTTCCACCTACATTTTCGTAGGATGGGGGTTAGCCTATTTACTTCACACTGGCTCAGACTTAGACCTCCTTAGAATCCATGGGTTCTGCCAGACTCATTCCCACGCTGTTTAGACTTCAGGAATGCCTACCATTAAAGCCCTGCCCCTCCGCCACCTCATAAACGATTACTGGGAGCAAATATGATTATTATTTCTTTTTTTTTAATTGTTACTTTTTTTATTATACTTTAAGTTCTAGGGTACATGTGCACAATGTGCAGGTTTGTTACATATGTATACTTTGTATCAACATGGATTCCTCAGGAAATGAAGCATGACAAGAACTTACAAGCTAGTGCTTTCATGAGGATGGGGGTGCAGTCTCAGGAAACCTAGAGTCAAAGACAGCAGATACATTACAGAACTGGCCATAGCTTTCCAATATACATGGCTGGTTGCTTATCTTGCAGAACATCTTTAGGAAAGTTGTACAGAACTCCTGTGCATCAGAATTGTCTATAGAGGAAGAAAAATGGTGAAACCACTTATCTGCTGGATTTTTCCTCATCTCAGGTCGTGCATGACTCCAAGTTCACTGGCTAAGGGAATGGCTTTCTTGCAGTTTCAGGTTGTATTCTGCTTGCCAGGAAGCCTTGAGGGGAACCAAAGGCTAAATGGATCCTGTAAGGCCAGAGCACGGTTGAACTTTCTCATCCTGGCAGTTGCTGCCACACATGAGATCTATGGGGGTGGCTCTGCTGGAGTTTGATACCTGTCTCTGGGGCTACTCTTGCTGGCTAGAAATCAAAGCAAGTGGTCAAGTGTCAGCGTGGGGGTGTTATGAGCCAAGTTCATTGGATATGAGTGATGCATAAACTGGGTTTAAATCCAATCTTTGTTCTAAACAGGCTGAAAATAGTTCTCTTCTTTTTAATTTTTTTAAAACAGTTGTTATACCTCAAAGATTTCTTTTGTCTTCATTTTGAAGGAGCTGAATCTCCCTCAGGGGTTGGTATCCTCATTCCTGCTTCACCAGGCTTCAGAGCCACAGGTAAATGGACCAGTGCTTATTTTCATGGATGAATAAATTCAGTAATTCCTATTATCCTAAGCATATACAAATTATAAAATCCTATTTTGTATTTTTACTGTGCAGAACATTCTTTCACTGCAGGTGAATGGATTATTTTTAAGAATTTTTTATCTTCTTGCTGTTGGTTAACTTGTGTTCCTACAACCATTACATTTGATTAGAGCGAAATACAAATCTCAAATGTGTTTTGTCTTGCACAATACGTTTTGTTGAATAGGCTGAATTTTTAATTTTCTCCATTGCTTTCATAAAACACAAGTAAACTGATGAGTTTAAATTATATAAATCCAACAAGGATATAAAGCACTAGATTAGTTCAAGGGGAAGGAGATGAGGTTGAAGAAGATACAATTCAGATTATAAAAAAATTATTTTAGTTCTGGGACAGACTTTTGAATTACATTGTTTCTTCTTAGCTAAATTTTCCTATGTTTGTGGAAACTTTTGATAAAAGATTTGCCTTCTTTCAGTGATAAGCCAACTTCCACCAATGGAATTTCTTCTCTGTAAAAAAATCTCTCAGCAATATATCTGGAAACTCATGTCTGAAAGGGCAGATCTGAAGACATAAAGCTGATATAATTCCTGATGTCAGCTTCAAATAATTGAGCTGCATTCCTGCTAGTGCTTGTCACCGACAAATACAATTTATCCAATGATTCTTAGTGAAAAGGATAACATTTGCTGTAAGAAGTCCAGGAATCCCACTCACTATGGCAGGGGCAAGGCTTGTTGTGTCACATTCCCATTTTAACTGCATATTGCATTTTGTTAACCAGGCCCTGCATCTCATGACGTTTGTGATGGAACTAAGGCATTTCAGCTACTCCCATAGCCACAGCCCTGGAGTGATTTATGATTTTGGTGAAGTGCTCTGAGTTTTGGTGAACACTGTTAGAATAAAATATCTTCGGAAGAAGAGTGGCTGCTAGGGGAAAAAGTCAACTAGGAATGACCTCCTAGGTCTAATAATAATCATTTTGGAATACTAGAAAGAGCATGGTGTTAGGATTTTGAAACATTTAAATTTTATTCCTCTCTTCATCGTTCAGTAGACCTTTGTACTAGAATGTGACTTCAAAATTTTCTGAACCTCAGTTTTCTTCTCTGCAAAAATGGAAAAGCTGATAGTAACCTCAAAGGGCTATTGGGAAGATGAAATGAGAAGATGTATGGAACTAGCAGTCTCACTGCCTCACATATAGTAGGCGCCCAATAAGAGCTTCTCTTTCCTCCTTCACCCAAATCATCATCCCTTCAACATTCTTACAGACCAGGTATCTGTAGACTGCTGGTTGGTTTATGTGACAGTTATTTCTGATCTCCTATCTGAATGCCTTCTGCTCTCCATGCTGGTAAAGCTACATATTGCTTTTCAAGCTTCCCTTGCATCTGGCGATGGAGGACATATTAGGTTGTTGCAAAAGTAATTGTGTTTGTTGCCATTAAAAGTAATAGCAAAATTACTTTTAATGGCAAAAACTGCCATTACTTTTGCACCAACCTAATACTTCTGGCCAATAGAACAAAAAAGAAAGTCTCCTGAAAGTTTTCAAAGACTGTTTTTGCTTTTCTGATAAACAGACAGAAGCAACTGGAAACACTCTATTTTCTTCCTACATTGAATTCTTGGGTCTATGATAACAAGTTAAGCAGCCACAAGAAATTAATACAGTTAGCTATTGAAAGGTCTTATTGATACAGGAGGGGGACAGGGAACTGCTGGGTAGACAAGGGCAGGGTTTCTGGTGAGGGCTCCACCCTCAGGCCTGTGCCCACGGACCTAAGTGAGAATAGGCACTCCTGTTTTCGCGTCCAAATGTTGCATCTTCCAACACCACTCTGGTCCACCATGCCCCCCTGTCCTGTGCCCATATAAGCCCGCGACCTCATGGGCACAGACACAAGTGGCTGAATGTCGAGAGGAGCAGAGGAACACACCCACAGATAGCAGCAGACACCGGCAGACCAGTGACAGTGAAATGACCCAGACACCAAGGAGAGTTTGGCTGGGGGCGGTCAGAGGAGAGTCCGGCCACTGGGTGGTCCAACTCCAGGGGAAGACCACCTTTCCACTCCATCCCCACTTCTGGCTCCCCATACATCTCACTGAGACCCAGCTCCATTACTCAGTAAAACCTTGCACTATCCTTCAAGCCCACGTGTGATCTGATTTTTCTGGTACTGTGGGCAAGAACTCGGGATACAGAAAGCTGTCACACTGGCCCTCTGCCTTTGCAATAAGGAAGAGGGTCTAATTGAGCCGATTAACACAAGCTGTCTGCAGATGGCAAAGCTGAAAGAGCACACTGTTAACACGTGCTCACTTGGGCTTTGAGAGTCATAGACATCCACCCCTAGACACCGCCATAGGGCCGGAGCCCAAAAAACACTCCACACGGCCTCTGTACCTGCCTGTCTGCATGCTCCCCCTTGGTGTTTGAGCAGCGGGGCTACTAAAGGAGCAAACCACACTCCTGTTGAACATCCAGTGAGAGGGATAAGGGAACTCTCCCGTTTCATTATGATTTTATTTTGGGATATGAGTAATAATGATCACTGATATTTATTGAATGCTCTCTGTGGACAGGCAAGCACACTAACCTCTGTGTGGATGATCTCATTTAATCCCCACAACAACCTCAGGAGCAGACACTCCTATTACATCCATTTCATAGCAAGAAGAGCAGTCCCTCTAGTCACTGTGTCTCATCATTCCTTCATGATTCCATCCCATGTGGCAACCTTAGCCATTATATCCAAAATTCCATACCAAAATAGAACTCCTTACAGACTTCATAAAACCAAATCTAATTCGATTTTCTTTAACTTGGAATTATTTACATTCTTATTTTTCTCCACATGCCTATATAATGGAAAAGAAATAGAATAATTGAAATCTTTCTTTTCAGTAACCTCCATAGCAGGGTTACTAATTACCTCCTACCTCTGCTGAACATTTCATTGGCTAGTCTTTCGAATTGGCATCTCGATGTTCTTCATGTGATAGTTTCATAGTTTCTAATGATAAAGCATGTGTTTTAGAAGCACAAAAACCAGTTACTATAAAGCCTAAGATTTCCTTACGCCTATTATTTCTTATTTTTAATTAGTCTACGTGTTTCCTCTTCTGTCTAAAAAGTGAATAGCTGAAGAATTCGATTACCTACTCGAGTTCTACAGGAAGGCTATATGATAGATTAAATTATCAACATCTTAATTTGTGCATTTTATTTTTCTTCAGGCTTTTTCTTCTTTCCTGTCTGATCCAATGAGGTAGGTTTTTATAGCTCCTTACCCTAGGGAAAGTAGAAATATTTTCATGACCACAGTTCTTCCTACTTTTGCAAAAGGCTAAACTACTTGTCTATAAACCCAGGTTAGATCCCCAGCATGGAAACTTCCTAATAAGAGTGAAAAAGGAACTGATATTAGCAGGCGTTAGTCAGGTAACTTAGCAACACAGTGTTAGTTAACATAGATAATACGTATAGTTAGCATAGATGTTAGAATATTTGCAGTAAAAGGGTATTTACATCATGTGTTCAAACAGACAATCATTAAGACAAAAATTTTTATTTACAGCTGGATCAAAGGTTTCTTCTTAAATGATAATGCTGCCAATACTTCATGAAAATAGAGATAATAAAAATGGAAGCTTTTCACAAACATTCATTTGGAGCCCCATACCTTAATTATTTCAGCTTTTTACTTGTATGAATTTAAGTTTACTGTTTTCCTCTTTTTTTAAGTTATGAAATGATTTTTTTAAAATTATGGGATAAAGGGACTTACTTTGTTTAAAATTCTTATTTGTTTAAGTGAACAAATAACTAGTCATTGGCCTATTAAAAAAAAACTTTTCCAAAATGTTGCCTTAGGAAACAAATCTGGGTTTAATTTTTGAGAAATGCACACACAAATTGAAAAAAATGGAAATTCTATCCTCTGCACTCTTTCATGCGCTTAAAAAAACTGCTGACACTACTTTAAAAAATCAACCACTGAAAAGTGTTTTTTAACCTACACTCTCAATCTATGTTAATAATCTTGAAAATCTCTCTGTAAAATTCCATATTCATTGGTTGTGGTGGACCTATATAATTCCGTTTCCTTAAGCCTTAAAAAACAAAGATGCTTTTAAAATGGATTAAACTAAAAACAGCTTGAATTCTGGATGATTAGATTTGAAAGATTCCAGATCTTTGTGTCATATTGACATTCTCTTTTGTTGAACTACCTCAAATATCACAAAACAGCCATTTAATAAAGCAAAGCCAAATATATTTGTTAGAACTCACTGCAGTGAGGTAGAACACCACCTTGCCAGGGTATCAGCTGTACCTCCCAAGGGGGAGTGCATGTTCACAGGATGTTGGGGTCTAAGGCATTTCATGATGGAAGGAAGATAGAGATTGGGTAAAATTTGTGATATGGTAGTTTAGTGTTGGTGGACAGAGTAAGGTGAGTATCTTATGGGAAGAATTGATTAACTATTATTTGACAGGTGAGCTCTTTGTCCAAGTAATCAAACTACTGTCTCAGATAAATTGATTTGCATGAATATCTTGAAGCAAACAATATTTAGTGGTTTATAGTCTTTGTCTTTCCTGGGTAAAGTTTCCATGGGAGAACTAAATCGTGTTAATACAGGTTATCTCGGTTTGCATTTTTCGTTTTGATATACATCTAGTTTACTCTTTTTACAGAGATTCTGAGTTGTGAGTCCAAAGTGTTATCACAGTATAGGTAAGCCTATGAGCTTTGGAGAAATTTATCTTGTTAGATTTACTCTACTGTGTTCAGCAAAAAGGGTTGTGGAAGGGTTGCAGTTAGTAGAAGATGGGAAAGATGGGAAAAAGGTATACCATTAAATCTGCGGTGGTGAACTCTTGGCTGTATTTGAGGAGAAGTGATTTTTACCACTCAGAATCATCTTTAGAATATGATATGCTAGGACTATTATCTTCAGGTCCATATTTTACAGAATGCTGTCCTGATGTGGGCCCAGAGAACTTACTCTGAGAAGGAAGCAAAATTTGCTAGCAAAATACTCAATGCTCTTAGAAGAAATGATAATGACAAAACCTTTGTGCAAGAGGCAAGGTAGTTGTGACTATATATATCTGCATGACAAGAATGATGTCTACACTTATTTATTTTCAATTAATAAATCATTTTAGCTGCTTACCAACAAAGCATGCCAGTTTCCAGTTTTTCCATAGTTATAGACTTTGCTTTAGTTATTTTATGTTAGCTAATGATTCTACTATCAGATTTGGTATATTTTGGATGGTGAGATCAATTCTGTGCAGACTGTAAGAGGTAAGTCTTTTTCCAAATTCATAATTATATTTCTGATTGCCTGTGTACAAATATTTGTAGTTGTTCTGTGACTTTACTAGCTTAAATTCTACTCTTGATTCTACTGTTAATTACTTGGGTCTTCTCCCAGGCTGCTAGTTTGGCCATTCTTCGATATTCTGAAATAAGCATAAAGGGAAGTGGGCTCCATTTTCCCTGCTAAGCTGAGAAATGCACCTCAGAGGTAGTAAGTTAGAAGTGACCAGCAAGAGTAAAACAGCCAATCAACAGCTGATATTGAAGTGTGACCCCAGGCAGGTCACTTAAACCAACTGAACCTTTTCATCTGTATATGAAAAAAACATAATGCTCATCTCTTAATGTTGTTATGAGAATTAAATAGAGAAAATATACATCAAGCATTGAGCAGAATGCTTGATACATAATTAATGATTGCTGCTATTGTATTTATTAAATATTTTTCATAAATATGTTACATATTTACTATATTAAAAATACATGGGATAGAGCAAAATAATTGGTATTTTATCTCTGTATTCTCCAAATGAAGAGTTAGATGGATTGGTATCATCTGTACTAGGAAATCATTGGGGGGGGAATATCAATAACAGGGAATGATTGGTATGTGGTATCTCTTTATAGTTACTAGTATTTTGAATACCTACAATATATGCCTTAGGGATTTTTTGCTATTGTTTTTCTGATTGTTATTTCCATCTTACAGCTTTATTTTCTTCCTGACTACTGGTGGTATTCTAAATATGTTAGTAAATGTATTCTTTTTATGGAGCATTCGTTTTCAACCAGAAAACTAATAGAATTTGAAGTATTCACTAAGTATGCCAGGGTTTCTCTGAAAAATACTTGATCATAGTGATGATGTTTGAGTTTTGTTTGCTCAAGTCTTACCTAACAAAACCTATTCCACTACCCCCTTATTGTTCAAATGATGAGATGTGGAAAACAGAGGAGAATAAATGCAAGAGTTTCAGCATTAGAAATAAAGTGTCAAGTTGGGAGCCCACGAATCTGCCCTATTAAGACTTGCTCTATAGAAAATGATTTTTTTCCTTACAACTTTGTTAAATCATCAAGTATAAATGAAAAATTAAACAGATGTGAAATTGCAGTTCTTTAGAATGAAACACTACAAAAGTCAAAGTGAATAATTTTTTGTAATAATCAAACTCTAAAGGTAGAACAAATGTTATTTTAAAATATCACAACTTTGAGTTTGCTTTGATCATGTTAGTTTTCTTAAAACAACATGCTAAATGAATTTATTCTCAAAATTCTCAGTGACACATACTTTCTATTTTGTCTTACTTCCCACAAGTTTGAATGAATTAATACTACTTTGGTATTTTGGATCAGATTTTTGGTGTTTGGTGGAAGACTATCAAAGTAAAGAGAGAATTGTTTTTCTTTTCTTGTTAAGTATACAGCCAGTAAGAACAACAATATTTTCAAGTTAAAGAGCCATTGCAATCTAATTGAAAACTTCAGGCTAAATGCTGGAAACACTGTGTTTGACCATTCTAAAACAAAAATTGAGAACCGATTCTAGTTAGCTTTAAAAAGTAATCTGGCAAATAATCAAGATAGATAATGAGCAGACACAGAAAGGACAATTAAGGAAGGAAATATTCTGAAATGAATAGAAAGAAGAAACAAGTTAAATAAATAAGGTTTAACAAATACATTCATTTGGCCGAAACATTAAAAACATATTCCTTTGTGTAGAGCAACTTGATTTTCTAAAGATAACATTGAAGGAATGTTTGCAGCAAACTCTAATGTCTCTGGATTTTGCCCAGATCTAAATAAGGATTAACACCAACCATGCACATGTCTGCTGTGAACCCAAGTGATCTGTTAGATCTGTTGCATCTTTCCTCCTATTCTTTGAGGACCAGAAAATAAATAAAAGATGTACACTTTGAAACTAATAGATTGCTTGAAACTCACTGAATTGAATTGGCAACTTCTGTAAGATTTGTGCTACTGATGGAACATTGGTAGAACATATGTTTTCAGTTATTTTCTCAGTTTGGGAAATAATTTAGGTGACATTTCTTACTCTTTTGGTTGTTGTTCATTGGTAAAACTGTATATACATATTATATGTTTTTAAAATATACAAATTATATATAGCATTTATATATAATACATATGATGCCAGATGTATATATGATTTAAAATAGAATTACTGAGATTGAATATTGAATCCTGGCTCTATCACTTTCTAACTGTATGCTGTTGGGTAAAAGATTTAACTTCTGTAAACCTGATATAATACTTATAAAATGAGGATAATCATATAATCGACTCTATAATATTATTGTGAGAATTAAATGAGAATATGCAAAGCTCCTAGTATTCTGACTGGCACATAAATATATTGCATATGCCAGTCACTGTGCTAAAAGCTTTACATATATTCTCATGTAATAAAATATATTATTTTATATATATTATATATGTAAAAAGCTTTACATACATTCTTTTTTGTTTTTTTTTTTTTTTTTTTTGAGACAGAGTCCCACTCTTGTCACCCAGACTGAAGTGCAATGGCACAATCTCGGCTCACGGCAACCTCTGCCTCCTGGGTTCAAGCGATTCTCCTGCCTCAGCCTCCTGTGTAGCTGGGATTACAGGTGCCCACCAACAGTCCTGGCTAATTTTTGTATTTTTAGTAGAGATGGGGTTTTGCCATGTTGGCCAGGCTGGTCTTGAACTCCTGACCTCAGGTGATCTGCCTACCTCGGCCTCCCAAAGCATACATTCTTACCTAATGTAAAACAGTATTTAATCCACATACACACAGGAAGGAAGGAAGGAAGGAAGGAAGGAAGGAAGGAAGGAAGGAAGGAAGGAAGGGGACAGAGAGAGAGAGAGAAGAGAGAGAGAGAGAGACAGGAAAGATGTCTGTTTTTTCAAGTAAAATGATCTATGGATCCTACTCAGGCAAATATTGTCATATTCTGTATTTGACGTTAGTACCATGAACACCATGTTCTAAGCAACTGAACTAATAAACTATGACTTGAGACTAGTCATCTTTGAACCATGGTATGCAGCCTTTCATGTATAGGACACGGTAAAATTTGTTAACCCAGTATGCAGGGTGGTGTTGGGGAGCAGCTGCCTGCCATAGTAGTCATAGACAGCTGGCAACAGTGGCTTGGAAAAGCCATGGAAAATAGTTCTTTTATTAAATGACAAATGGACGAAGGTAAATAATAATCACCCAGTTGCCACTCTTGGCCCATGTACCATAAACCACCTATGTTCTCTAGCAAAAATGATAGGATCCAGGAGAGGCAATTGCCCATGCATGGAATAGGGGAACTGTTTCATTTTTGGCATGCCTTGGAATGTGTTTCATAGGCTTTGGATCATTGAAAAGTCTCAGTAAATCTCTAGCAAATTGAACTAATTTGAAATTGCAACTGATTCCTAGTTGTTGTTGTTTTTTCCTAATTTTATTTTATTTTAAGTTCTGGGGTACATGTGCATGAGGTGCAGGTGTGTTACATAGGTAAATGTGTGCCATGGTGGTTTGCTGCACCTGACAACCCATCACCTAGGTATTAAGCTCAGCATGTATTAGCTATTTATCCTGATGCTATCCCTCTCCCAGCCTCCCCTCTGATAGGCCCCAGTGTGTGTTGTTCTCCTCCCTTTGTCCACGTGTTCTCATTGTTCAGCTCCCACTTATAAGTGAGAACATGTGGTATTTGGTTTTCTGTTCCTGCATTAGTTTGCTAAGGATAATGGCTTCCAGCTTCATCTATGTCCCTGCAAATGACATGATCTTGTTCCTTTTTGTGGCTGCATAGTATTCCATGGTGTATATGTACCACATTTTCTTTATCCAGTCTATCACTGATGGGCATTTGAGTTGATTTCATGTCTTTTCCATTGTGAATAATACTGCATTGAACATATGCTTGCATGTATCTTTATAACAGAAAGATTTATATTCCTTTGGGTATGTACGCAGTAATGGGATTACTGGGTCACATGGTATTTTTGGTTCTAGGTCTTTGAGAAATCACCACACTGTCTTCCACAACAGTTGAACTAATTTACATTCTCACCAACAGTGTACAAGCACTCCTATTTCTCCACAGCCTCGCCAGCATCTGTTGTTTCTTGACTTTTTAATAATCACTATTCTGACTGACATGAGATGGTATTTCATTGTGGTTTTGACTTGCATTTCTCTAATGATCAGTGATGTTGAACTTTTTTTCATATGTTTGTTGGTTCCATAAATGTCTTCTTTTGAGAAGTGTCTGTTCATCCCTTTGCCCACTTTTTAATGGGGTTGTTTTTTTCTTGTAAATTTAAGTTCCTTGTAGATTCTGGATATTGGATCTTTGTCAGCTGGATACATTGCAAAAATTTTCTCCCATTCTGCAGGTTGCCTGCTCACTCTGATGATAGTTTCTTTTGCTGTGCAGAAGCTCTTTATTTTAATTAGATCCCATTTGCCATGTTTTGCTTTTGTTGCAATAGCTTTTTCTGTTCTCATCATGAAATCTTTGCCTGTGCCTATGTCCTGAATGATATTACCTAGATTTTCTTACAGGGATTTTATAGTTTTTGATTTTACATTTAATTTTTTAATCCATCTTGAGGTACTTTTTGTATAAAGTGTAAGGAAGGAGTCCAGTTTCAATTTTCTGCATACAGCTAGCCAGTTCTCCCAGTACCATTTATTAAATAGGGAACCCTTTCCCCATTGCTTGTTTGTGTCAGATTTGTCAAAGATGAGATGGTTATAGATATGCAGTAATATTTCTAGGTTCTCTATTCTGCTCCATTGGTCTATGTGTCTGTTTTTGTACCAGCACCATGCTATTTTGGTTCCTGTAGCCTTGTAGTATAGTTTGAAGTCAGGTAGCATGATGCTTCCAGCTTCGTTCTTTTTGCTTAGGCCTGTCTTGGCTATACCAGCTCTTTTTTGGTATCATATGAATTTTAAAGTAATCTTTTCTAATTCTGTAAGAATGTCAATGGTAGTTTAATGGGAATAGCATTGAATTTATAAATTACTTTGAGCAGTATGGCCATTTTCACAATATTGATTCTTCCTATCCGTGAGCATGAACTGTTTCCTTGTGCAGTGGGTTGTAGTCCTTATTGAAGAGGACATTCAATTCATATGTTAGCTGTATTTCTAGGTATTTTATTCTCTTTGTAGCTATTGCAAATGGGAGTTCATTCATGATTCAGCTCTCTGCTTGTCTATTGTTGATGTATAGGAATGATGATGGGGTTTTCTACATATAGGATCATGTCATCTGTAAATAAAGACAACTTGACTTCTTCTCTTTTTATTTGAATACCCTTTATTTTTTTTTCTTGCTTGATTGCCCTGGTCAGAACTACCAATACTATGTTGAATAGGAGTGTTGAGAGAGGGCAACCTTGCCTTGTGCTGGCTTTCAAGGGGAATGAGCCCAGCCTTTGCCCATTCAGTATGATATTGACTGTGGGTTTGTCATAACTGGCTCTTATTATTTTGAGGTATGTTCCATCAATACCTAGCTTATTGAGAGTTTTTAACATGAAGGGATGTTGAATTTTATCAATAGCTTTTACTGCATCTCTTGAGACAATCATGTGGTTTTTGTCTTTAGTTTTATTTATGTGATGAATCACATTTATTGATTTGCTTATGTTGAACCATCCTTGCATCCCAGGGATGAAGCTGACTTGATTATGGTGGATAAGCTTTTTGATGTGCTGCTGGATTCAGTTTGCCAGTATTTTATTAAGGATCTTTTCACTGATGTTTGTCAGGGTTATTGGCCTGAAGTTTTCTTTTTTTGTTGTATTTCTGCCAGGTTTTGGTATCAGAAAAATGCTGGCCTCATAAAATGAGTTAGGGAGGAGTCCCTCCTTTTCAATTGTTTGGAATAGTTTTAGAAGAAATGGTACAGCTCCTCTTTGTACCTCTGGTAGAATTCAGCTGTAAATTCATCTGGTCCTAGGATTTTTTTTTTTTTTTGGTTAGTAGGTTATTTTTTTGCTGCTTCAATTTCAGAACTTGTTATCGGGCTATTCAGGGATTCAACTTCTTCCTGGGTCAGTCTTGGGGACTGAACCCTTCGGAGGGTGTTTGTGTCCAGGAATTTATCCATTTTTTCTAGATTTTCTAGTTTATGTGCATAAAGGTGTTTATAGTATTCTCTGATGGTTGTTTGTATTTCTGTGGGGTCATTGGTGATATACCCTTTATCATTTTTTATTATGATTATTTGATTCTTCTGTCTTTTCTTCTTTATTAGTGTAGCTAGCAGTTTATCTATCTTATTAATTTTTTTAAAAAACCACCTCCTGGATTCATTGATTTTTTGAAGGGATTTTTGTGTCTCTATCTCCCTCAGTTCTGCTCTGATCTTGGTTATTTCTTGCCTTCTGCTAGCTTTAGGTTTTGCTTGCTCTTGGTTTTCTAGTTCTTTTAGTTGTGATGTTAGGGTGTTGATTTGAGATCTTTCTAGCTTTTTAATGTGGGCATTTAGTGCTGTACATTTCCCTCTTAACACCACTTTAGCTGTGTCCCAGAGATTCTGGTACATTGTCTCTTTGTTCCTATTGGTTTCAAAGAACTTCTTGATTTCTGCCTTAATTTCATCATTTATTCAGGATTAATTCAGGAGCAGGTTGTTCAATTTCCATGTAGTTGTGTGGTTTTGAGTAAGTTTCTTAATCTTGAGTTCTAATTTGATTGTGCTGTGGTCTGAGAAACTGTTTTTTATGATTTTAGGTCTTTTGCATTTGCTGAAGAGTGTTTTGCTTTCAATTATGTGATTGATTTTAGAGTAAGTGTCATGTAGCACTGAGAAAAATGTATATTTTGTTGTTCTTGTGTGGAGAGCTCTGTAGATATCTATCAGGTCCACTTGATCCAGAGCTGAATTCAAGTCCTGAATATCCTTCTCAATTTTCTGTCTTGATGATCTGTCTAATATTGACAATGAGGTATTAAAGTCTCCCACTATTATTGTGTCAGAATCTAAGTCTCTTTATGGGTCTCTAAGAACTTGTTTTATGAATCTGGGTTCTCCTGTATTGAGTGCATATATATTTAGGATAGTTAGCTCTTCTTGTTAAATTGAACCCTTTACCCTTAGGTAATGCCCTTCTTTGTCCTTTTTGATGTTTGCTGATTTAAAGTCTATTTTGTCAGAAACTAGGATTGCAACCCCTGCTTTTTTCTGTTTTCCATTTGCTTGGTAAATTTTCCTCCATCCCTTTATTTTGAGCCTACGTGTGTCCTTTCATGTGAGATGAGTATCTTGAATTCAGCACACTGGTGGGTCTTGTTTTTTTATCCAGCTTGCCGTTCTGTGTCTTTTAATTGGGGTGTTTAGCCCATTTACATTTAAGGTTAATATCGTTATGTGTGAATTTGATCCTATTATGATGCTAGCTGGTTATTTTGCAGACTTGTTGATATAGTTGCTTCATAGCATCATTGGTCTTTGTACTTCAGTGTGTTTTTGTAGTGACTGGTAACGGTTTTTCCTTTCCTTATTTAGTACTTCCCTCAGGAGCTCTTGCAAGGCAGACCTGGTGGTCATGAATTCCCTCAGCATTTGCTTGTCTAAAAAGGATTTTATTTCTCTTTCACTTAGTTTGGCTGGAATTCTGCGTTGGAAATTCTTTTCTTTAAGAATGTTGAATATTTGCCCCCAATCTCTTCTGGCTTGTATGGTTTCTACTGATAGGTCTGTTGTTAGACTGATGGGCTTTCTTTTGTAGGTGACTTCGCCTTTGTCCCTGCTGCCCTTAACATTTTTTCCTTCATTTTGACCTTGAAATATCTGAAGATTATGTGTCTTGGGGTTCATCTACTCATGGCATATCTTACTGGGGTTCTCTGGATTTCCTGAATTTGAATGTTGGCCTGCCTTGTTAGGTTGGGAAGTTCTCCTGGATCATATCCTGAAATATGTTTTCCAACTTGGTTCTTTTCTCCCCATCTCTTTAGGTTCCCCAATCAGTCATAGGGTCAATCTTTTTACATAATCTCACAGTTCTTGGAGGTTTTGTTCATTCCTTTTTATTCTTTTTTCTCTAATCTTCTCTGCTTGTCTTATTTCAACAAGATAGTCTTCGAGCTCTGAAATTCTTTCCTCCACTTGGTCTATTTGGTACTTCCTCCACTTGGTCTATTTGGTACTTCTTTCCTCCACTTGGTCTATTGATACTTGTGGTTGCATCGTGAAGTTCTCGTGTTGTGTTTTTTAGCTCTATCATGTCATTTATGTTCCTCTCTAAACTGGTAATTCTGATTAACACTTCCTGTAATGTTTTATCATAGTTTTTAGCTTCTTTGCACAGGGTTAGATCATGCTCCTTTAGCTCACTGAAGTTCATTTTTATCCATGTTCTGAAGCCTACTTCTCTCAGCTCATCCATCTCATCCTCTGCTCGGTTCTGTTTCCTTGCTGGAGAGTTGTTGTGACCATTTGGAAGAGAAGATGCACTCTGGCTTTTTGAGTTTTCCATGTTTTTTCAGTGATTCTTTCTCATCTTTGTGACTTTATCTAGCTTCGATCTTTGAGGCTCCTGACCTTGGGATGGGGTTTTTGTGGGGTCTTTTTTGTTGATGTTGTTGTTGCTTTCTGTTTGTCTTTTTAATAGTCAGACCCCTCTCCCATAGGGCTGTGCAATTTGCTTAGGATCCACTCCAGACTCAATTCATCTGGGTCCCTCCTGCAACTGGAAGTATCACCAATGGAGGCTGCTGAACAGCAAAGATGGCTGCCTGCTCTTTACTCTGGGAGCTCCTCCCAGAGAGGCTGATGCCAATGGAACGCTTCTGTATAGGTTTCTGGTGACCACTGTATCTGGTGTCTGGTGACCCCTCTTGGGGGAAGGTCTCGCCCAGTCAGGAGGCACGGGTTCAGGGGCCCGTTTAACAAAGCACTTTGATTGCCCCTTGGTGGAGGGAGTGTGCTGTGCTGGGGGGGAATCCCACTAATCCAGACGGCCCAGATTCCTCAAAGCCAGCAGGGGAAAGACTAAGTCTGCTGACCTGTGGAGAACATGGCTGCCCCTCCCCCGCAGGGGCTCCATCCCAGGGAAATCAGAGTTCTGTCCATAAACCCCTGGCTGGAGTTGCTGAAATTCCTGCAGGAAGGCCTCACCCAGTGAGGAGGGATGGGTCAGGGTCCAGCCTAAAGAGGCAGTCCGGCTATTATCTGCCACAGCCACTGTGCTGCGCTCTGGGGAATTCCTCCTGGGTCCAAGTCTCCCCTGCACCAGCAGGGGACGAACAGCAGATGGGAGCTGCAGTGGTGGCACCCGCCCCTCCCCGCGGGAACTTGGTAGTCTTAGGCAGTCTCCAACTGAGTGGCTGCTAAGAATCTACACAGCTCTGTGCTTGAGATCCAAGGCCCTGGTGGCATGGCTTACGATGGGGGTCTCCTCATTAACAGGTTGCACAGATCCGTGGGAAATGCGTGGTTTCCTGGGCAAGGTAGCACAATCACTCACCACCTGCCTTGGCTACAGTGGGAGCTCCTCTTGCCATGCGGCTCCCAGGTGGGCCATTGGTCCACCCCGATTTTCCTCTCTCTCCATGGGTTGCACCAACTGTCTAGTCAGTCCCAATGAGAGAAGTTGCTGGTGTAGGATTCACTCGCCATTTTTGTTTTCAGTGGGAGACTCTGACCACAGCTGTTTCTAGTCAGCCATTTTGGCCCCTCCCGGATTGCTAGTTTTGAATGAACTTGTCAGAGTTAGAAATCATAGTAAGCTAAGTAGTTTACATAAATGTGACTGCAGATAAAATTTTAATTTCAGATTTTCGATGCTAGCAGCATTCTCACAATGATCAAGAATGATATTTGCTACTGGAGTCACATTACTCAAGTTCAATATGAATCGTATTTAGAGAGTAGATTTTGGTACAAGAAAAGACAACCTCTTACTGAGCTTGTAGTGTATTCTAGACGCTGTGCTGAGCGCTTTGCTGTATTCTGTTACTTAACCCCGTGGAGTAAGCACTACTGATAACCTTGCTTACAGATAAAGGAATGGTGGCTCTGAGAAGCACACAGCTAGTAAGTGACAAAGCAAGGGGTCAAAGGTCAGTAGGACGTCAGAACTCTTGCTTTTAATCATGACTCAGTCTTGCCTCTCTAGTGCTTGGGCAATAAAGTTTTAGAGATGAAATATGTACAAATTAAAGAATTTAATGCAAAAACTGAAATCATCTTGCAGTTACCTATTTTTACCCCTAGGTGACACTTTTGCATTTAAAAGGTAAACTACAAATGGCAACTGAGAATTAGATTAATTTGGAAGTAAAACACTTAAAAAAATATGTATATATACATACAAATGTATATGCTCATGGCTGTGTGAATTTCGAGTAATGATAAAAATTGCCCTCAGAAGGTACTTTCTGTTAACTTTCCTATATGTGTTATAACATTAATTGCTCAAGTTTATGTAAAGTGTTTTTTATGGAACATCTGTATCAGAAAAGTTGGGTGTTTAAAATACAGATTTCTGCTTGGGCTTTACCTCAAACTGAAAGAATCAGAATTTGTGGAGGTGCAGGTCCAAGAATTTGTATTTTTGAACAAGCACCAAGTGATTCTTCTACATAATACAATTTAAGAACCATTGCTTAACTGTGTAATATCTAAATCTTCCTGTCATTAGAGTCAGTTGGGGGAAATTTAATAAAATACAGTTACCTCATCCCCACTCAGAAAAATCTCAGAATTTCCAAGGGCACAGCCCAGGAATTTAGGTTAAAAATGCCCTGATTCCAATGTATAACCAGGGTTGCACAGTGGAGAAGCAGGCACGGTGGTATTCACTTTCCTTCAGTGGTCGTGACCACTTTCCTTCAGTTTGCTAGAATTGGAGCCACTGCTGACACAATTTTATCTGATTACACTGTCTACTGCATTTGCTGCTTTCACTTAAAGCTATATCTATATACATCCATACATAATATACCTTTTATGGTGTAGTGTTGTTTCATTATGTTATTCATGTTTATTGCAAAAAAAATCCCATGCATAAATGGAAAGATGATAACAAAGGCTATTTCCCACAATCCAGAAAAAAAACTACTTTCAATTTGATATCCTTCTAGTCCTTATGTTTTCTGTTTATTTTTACTTAAAAGATTTTGTGAAAATATTGGGATCATACCATGTAGACAACTTTATATACTGCTATACAACATCTTTTATGAAAATTTCTTCTGATCGCCAAAAATTCTCTGAAAACAATTTGCACTGGCTGCCTACTCTTCCATTGATTGGATACACCATAATAAAAACATTCATTCTTTTTCACATGGTAAGTCATTTATTTATAATAGTTAAATGGCCAATATTACAGTAAATAATAATTCAATAGCATTTTATATTGTTTAATTTAATTAGTGATGTGCTAGTTTCTTAGAAAATAGCTTTATGCCTTAGGAGAAAGGTCAAGGAAAAGCTGCAACTAGGTCATTTATTTTTTATTTTTTGTTTTTTTTTTGAGATGGAGTCTGGGCTCTGTTGCCCAGGCTGGAATGCAGTGGCGCAATCTTGGCTCGCTGCAACCTTCGCCTCCTGGGTTCAAGCTGTTCTCTGCCTCAACCTCCCGAGTAGCTGGGATTACAGGCGCCTGCCACCACACCTGGCTATTTTTTTTTTTTTTTTGAGATGGAGTCTCTCTCTGTCGCCCAGGCTGGAATGCAGCCGCGCGATCTCGGCTCACTGCAAGCTCCGCTTCCCGGGTTCACGCAGTTCTCCTGCCTCAGCCTCCCGAGTAGCTGGGGCTACAGGCGCCCGCCACCAAGCCCGGCTAATGTTTGTATTTTCAGTAGAGACGGGGTTTCACTGTGTTAACCAGGATGGTCTTGATCTCCTGACCTCGTGATCCGCCCTCCTGGGCCTCCCAAAGTCCTGGGATTACAGGCGTGAGACACCGTGCCTGGCCTTTTTTTTTTTTTTTTTTTTTTTTTTTTTTTTTAGTAGAGATGGGGTTTCACCATCTTGGCCAGGCTGGTCTTGAACTCCTGACCTCGTGATCCACCTGCATTGGCCTCCCAAAGTGCTGGTATTACAGGCGTGAGCCACCGTGCCCAGCCAGCTAGGTCATTTTAGATGTACCCCTGGCTCTGAGTTAGCACTAAATGCACATGTTCTGCTGGTGAAATGTCCAGGGTACCATCTATGTTACTAACTAGCATCATCTTACCAATAAGGGACAACTTTCTCACAACCTCTGATTGAGTTTCTTCTTCCACGCCCTTTGTATATAATTTTCATGACATAATAAAAATAATAATGTAGTTGAGATAGACAAATAGTTGACTACAAAATTTAACTACTGCTACAGAATGTTACCTGAATCCTAACCATAATAGCTTTATGTATTCAGCATTTTTTTTTTTTTTTGAGACAGGGTCTCACTCTGTTGCCCAGACTGGATGCAGTGGTGCAATGTCGGCTCACCACAACCTCTGCCTCCCAGGCTCAGGCAATTCTCCTGCCTCAGCCTCCTTAGTAGCTGGGATTACAGGTGCACGCCACTACTGCCTGGCTAATTTTTGTATTTTTAGTAGAAATGGGGGTTTCACCATGTTGGTCAGGCTGGTCTCAAACTTCTGACCTCAAATGATCCACCTGCCTTGGCTTCCCAAAGTGCTGGGATTATGGGCATGAGCCACTGCACCAGCCTATCAGATCTTTAAACACCTCCAATGACGATCTTTATTTATCATATTATGGATACACGTCTTTTCACACACATGTTGCAAATATTTCCCAGTACATTGTTTTTCTATGAACTTTGTTAATTTTTAAAAATTTTTGACCCAAAAGCTTTTCATTTTGACTCGGCAGATTCAATAATCTTTTTATTTTCAGCTTTTTCCCTTGTTGTCATGAGATAAAAGATTGCTTCCTATCTCATGGTAACCTCCAGTTTCATCTATGTTCTTCTCCAATATTGTATTAGAAAATGGTTCAAACATAGAAAACATGAAGAAATTTTACAGTATAAATCTATATCCCCACCATCTAGATTCTACAGTAATATTATACTATACTGACTTTTTAAATGTATCTGTACATCTTTCCATCCCTTTATCCATCACATCAATCACTTTTATGCATTTTGAAGTGGGCCATAGACATCAGTTATGTCTCTCAACTGCTTCAATGTGCATACCATATGTATTTGGTGTGTGTGTATGTATACATATACAATTATATATAAATATACACACACAGAAAAAACTACATATCTTTCTTTTTGCATATGGTTTTAGTTACCTATGGCTGCTGAAACAAATTACCACAAACTGGGTGGTTTAAAACAACACAATTCTGGAGGCAGGAGGCATGAAATCAGTTTCACTGGGCTGAAGGTGTGGGCAGGTAGGCAAGGCTGGTTCCTTCTGGAGGTTCAGGGGAGAAGTTGTTTCCATGCCTTTTCCAGCTCCTGGAGGCTGCGTGCTTCCTTAGCCTGTGATCCTTTCCTCACAACACTCTGGTCTTTTCCTTCCATTGTCACAGCTCCATCTCTTCTGTAGTCAAATCTTCCTCTGCGTCCCTCTTATAAGAACACTTGTGATTGCATATAGGACATCCCTAGGTATTCCAGGATAATCTCCCCATCTCAAACTCTTTAACTTAATCACCTTGTGAAGTCCCTTTTGCAATATACAGTAACATTCTCAGGTTCCAAAGATTAGAACCTGGGTATATTTAGAGATATTATTCATCCAGTCACACATACAAATACTTACGTCACCTTTTTTAATAGCATGAGGTAAAAAATCTGACTTAATTTTCCCAAATAATTGCCCAAATTATTAAAAATATAAATATAAATTATTTAATATTTAAGAAGTTTCAAGTTTGTTACTTTTATCACACAAAGTTCCTTGCTTTTTCTCCATGCCCTGGACTCTTCTAAAGTCAACAATGACAAAATATTATAATGATTTGATTTATTGAATCTAATTCTAAATGTTTTGTTCAGCAAAATTTATTTAAATTTGGATAAAAGAGGTAATAAAATGGAAGACTATAAGTTGGTTGTTGTAGAAAAATGACTACCGAATTCCCATATACTAATTTATTCTCTGCCAGAATATTTACATCAGAAAATTATTTTATGAGAATGAGCTATTTGAAGTTATATGTGGAATGTAAGAATTAACAATAAGAAAGAGACAGAGAAATAACACCCACTGAACTCTGACAAATATTAAATGATAAGCCACTAAGAAAAATGACAAATCAGGATTAGAAACAAGCCAGAAAAGGTAAAAAATATTTATGTCAAAATCTTCGTGCCAATTTTAACCAGTGTCAGGCACCAAAATTTGAGAATTATCTTTGAGAGTTATCTTCCTTTCAGTAAAGGCAACACTGGCAGTTAAACATCATTTTTACTTGTGGACAACTTATGGAATTAATAATATTCAACTATTTTAATTGAAACAAAACTTTTGGCATTGTAATATAGTTGTTAACCTTTGGTAAATGAACCTATAATTTTGCCAACGGAACACATTACTTGATACATCCTCCACGTTGAGCTTGTCAGGCCCATTTCTAGAGAGTGGGTTGCCAATTAACTGGTTACATAAAGTATACTTTTTTATTTTAAAAAAATAATGCATTTGTTCCTATGGCCACACCCTAAATAAAGGAGTTTCCATTTAAAGATTTCTTTGTAACTGCTAGTCTAAACTGTGGAACTATTTCTTAATGTGCTTGTAAATTAATTTGAATAAATTCTCCACGTCTGTCTTTATAAGTGGGCTTTATTTTTACAGCTGTTTTAGATTCACAGGAAAACTGAGCAGGAAGTACAGAGAGTTCTCATATACACTCTGTCCTTCACCCCACCCCATACGCAGCCTCGCGGAATATCAACACCCTGCACCAGAGTGGTAGATTTGTCTTACTCTGTGACTGTACACTCTCACATCATTATCACTCAAAGCCTAGTGTTTACATGAGAGTTCCCTCTTGCTATTGCACATGCTATGGGTTTTGACAAACATATAATAACAGGCATCCACCATTGTAGTACCACACAGAAGAGCTTCACTGCCCTAAAAATCCTTGCACCCTGTTGATTTATGCCTTCCTTCTCCTAATCTTTAGCAACCACAGATCTTTTTTCCCACCTCCATGGTTTTGTTTTTTTCCAGAATGTCGTATAGTTGGAATCATACAGTATGTAGCTTTTTCAGAGTGGATTTTGTTCACTCAGTAATATGCATTTGAGGTTCCTCCATGTCTTTTCATGGCTTGATAGCTCATTTCTTTTATAGGATTGATGTACATCCAGAACATTGGATAAATAAATAAATATTTATTCATATTTACATGAATAAATGTGTAAAGTATATTTATTCATTCATCTATGGTTTTAGTCTGTTTTGTGTTGTCATAATGGAAAACTGCAGACTGGCCAGTTTATAAAAAAAAAGAGATCTATATTTCTTGTAGTTCTGGAGGCTGGAAAGTCCAAGGTAGATGGACCACATCTGATGACGGCCTTCTTGCTGAGTCATCCCAGGGCAGAAGGCAGAAGGGCAAGAAAGCATAAGAGCAAGAACAAGCACACTCTCGCGATAACTAACCCACTCCGTGATTACAACATTATGAAGGAGTCATAATTGCCTCTTATTGGGCTCCAGCCCCCAATATTGTTGCATTTTGGATTAAGTTTTCAACGTAAGAACTTTGGGTGACACATTTAAACCATAGCACCTGAGGAAGAGAGCATTGGTTGCTTCTGAGTTTTGGCAATTATGAATAAAATTGTTATACATATCGGTGTGTAGGTTTTTGTGTAGACATGTTTTCAACTGATTTGGGTAAATGCCAAGGAGCACAACTGCTGAATTATATGGTAAGAGTATGCTTAGCTTTGTAAGAAACTGCCAAACTATATTGCAAAATGGCTGTGTCATTTTGCATTCACACCAGCAACAGATGATACTTTCTGTTGCTCCACATCCTCATCAGCATTCGGTGTTTTCAGTGTTCTGGATTTTCACCATTCTAATAAGTGTGTAGTGATATCTCACTTAGTTTTGATTTAATTCCCTAATGGCATATGATGATGAGCATCTTTTAATATGCGTTTTTGGGCCATTCATGAATCTTTTTTTGGTGAAGTATCTGTTCACAGCTTCTGCCCATTTCATAATTGGGTTGTTCATTTTCTTATTGTTGAGCTTTAAGAGTTCATTATATACTTTGGAAAACAGTCCTGTATCAGACATGTCTTTTGCAAATATTTTCTTTCAGCCTCTGACTTGTCTTCTCATTCTCTGGAGTGTATGTTTTTGTTTGCTTTGCCTGCTATGTCATAAATCTGACATTATTTAAATATCTCCTTCCATCCTGACTGTTTACTTAATGTTGACTGTGATAATTTTTTAATTCATGTTTACTTTAAGAGGCATTTGAAAGAAGCTCCTGATAAGTTCAGATACTGTTTAATATAATGTTAATGCAAAATTTTCAGTTTATGTAGGTGACAAGGAGTCAAATGTAACAGAGTCACACTGTAATGAATGTTGGGTGGTCACAAAAGGTTTATGTATCAGGCAGTGACTCATTTTGGCACACCAAAGCAAAATTCAAATGGTTACCTCAGCAAAATGACAAAGCACTGCATGCCATGGACTTTCTGGGTTGCTTATGAATAGCTGAAACACGAAATGTTAAGTACACAAATGGTGAGAAAACACTATATTTCAAGTAAAGAAACAAATGTATTTAATCACGTTTGCCAATGTCTGATTTTCTTCTTAAAGTTTTATAACCTGGAGTTTGTGGAGCCTTGGGGGATGAATAAATACAGGAGTAATGCTCTTCAAATGAGCTATTGTAAAGGACTATTGTATTTTTCAATTGGTTGTGGATTGATACATTTGTCTCATAGATAGTTCCCTCTATTAATATGGATATATATGTTATAATATACGTCAGTGGAATGTTTCTCAGCTTTTCAAACCATTTTATTGGCTGTTTTCTCTTGTCTATGGGTACTCGTAGAGAATGCTATTGAAGTTGGTATTCATATTTTAATGGGAGGAAATAATCCCAAGCTGCAGACACAAATTCAGTTCCAAACCCCAGACAGTGGATGGGCTATGCTTATCAAAGCAGACAGAATGCATATAGTAGTAATGAGAGAAATCTGAACATAGGACTGAAATATATACGTAAACCACCAGTGTTAAACTTGATTTCAGTATAACTGAAAGGACTCCAATCTGACCTCCAGAGACCTGACATGAGCTATCATGATATGAAGTCAAAATCTTTCACCCAAAATCCAGACCTAGCATCCCTTCAATTAGAAAGAAGTTGAGCAGGATGGATCATTCACTTCATAAGTACTTTCTGTAAATTTTCTTTGTACTATTCTCTAATGCATCCATTTATCAGAGTAAACACGCACTGGGAAAAGGAACCTACCTTTGGGTTGAATTGGTCACAGACTCTTAATCAATTCTGGTTCCTGAGACCTAGAACAACACAGCCAATCAGGAAAAGTGGAGCCTTGTGAAGTGAGCTGATAGATGTAGGTTAGATCTAATTCTATTTCACAGTAAGCCCAGTAGAATACTGAGTCCATCTCCAAGTCTGCTTGAAACATATTATATATCCTTAGTAGGTAGAATAATCCTGGCCTGAGTTCCTGGCACTGTGGAGTGCCATGATAGTCTTGACAGGATGTCTCCAAACCCTTGAATGTGAGAGAGTAATGAGTTACTAACTTGCTTGAGAAAAATTTATTTTAGGTTTTCCTTTACAGTCAAAACAGATGTCAAATAATGTATCACTTAATATCCTTCCAGTTCTTTTTTTGTGTTAGTTGTTTTTGTTGTTTATTCTTAAAAAACTTAAATGGCTCACACCTGTAATCCCAGCACTTTGGGAGGCCGAGGCAGGAGGATCACCTGAGGTTGGGAGGTCGAGACCAGCCTGACCAACATGGAGAAACCTTGTCTCTACTAAAAATACAAAATTAGCCAGGTGTGGTGGCGCATGCCGGTAATCCCAGCTACTCGGGAGGCTGAGGCAGAAGAATTGCTTGAACCCAGGAGGCAGAGAATGTAGCGAGCCGAGATTGCTCCATTGCCAGACTGGGCAACAAGAGCAAAACTCTGTCTCAAAAACAAAAAACAAAAAAACACTTAAATGGAACACATTTACATGATCTCACTTAATCCTCAAAAATACCAAGATTTTGGCATTACTATTTTCATTTTATAACTTAAGAAACTGGGACTCAGAAAGGTTAAGATATTGCGAAATATCGCAGGAGAGTAAGTGGTATATCCGGAGTTGGAAGCTTCAACTGTTTAATGACAAGGCCAATTCTCTTGGTGCTCATAAAGTGTTACCTCTTAAATCGAGAGTTCTCTGTCTTATGAGGTTTTTTTGTTTTGTTTTGTTTTGTAATTTTTTGTGAAATAAGGAATGAGGTCATTTCCTAAGAGTAATGGGGATGATGCTAGGCTAGTAGAGCGTGAAGAAGAATATTTGAAGTAGAAGTGGAAAGAGTCTTGTAACTGAAAGTGTGGTTATCAGTCAAGTAAATTTGGCATCCCTTTGTAGTAGCTTGATAGAAATGCAGATCTCAGGCCCCCTCCCAGACCTTCTGAATCCAATCTGCATTTATTTATTAATTTTTTTTTTTTTTTTGAGATGGAGTCTCACTCCGTCGCCCAGGCTGGAGTGCAGTGGTGTGATCTCAGCTCACTGCAAGCACCGCCTCCCGGGTTCACGCCATTCTCCTGCTTCAGCCTCCCAAGTAGCTGGGACTACAGGCACCCACCACCATGCCCGGCTAATTTTTTTAGTAGAGACAGGGTTTCACCATGTTAGCCAGGATGGGCTCGATCTCCTGAACTCGTGATCTGCCCGCCTCAGCCTCCCAAAGTGCTGGGATTACCAATCTGCATTTTTAAATATCCACAGGTGATTTGCATGTTCATTAAAGTTTTAGAAGCACTGGGCCAAGCAGAACTACTGTCAGGCAGCATTGAAGGGCCAGTTTAGATGGAGACTATACATTTATAAGCATCAATATTAATTATATCAATGACAAAGCCGAAATCCTACAAAAATGTTAGATCCTTGCTTTCTCAGCCTCCTTTGCATTTGTATCAAGAGCTTATGATCCAAACCTGGCCACTGAAACCCTAGGGGAAATGCCCTGTAGGAATTTTGGAAGAGATTTTCACCTTATTCAAACAGATGAATAGGAGCAAACTCCTGTCTTTTTGTCTGAATATTGTCATAACTGCTTGTGATACATAGAACAGTAGCAGTCACTTTGCAATATTGAAGGCATGAGCCCAAATCAAGCCAAGATAACAATTGATTAACCAACCCTAGAAGCACTATTCCTTTGGACTTCTTGTTATAAGAGATAGTAAACATTCTTATTCAAAGCTTTTCACTTGTATTTTTCATTGCTTGCAGGTAAGAGTATCCTAAGTTAAAAAAAATTATGGTTTTTCTCCTAAAATCCTCACAACATTATATTACAACAAAATGAGGCAAATTACAGAATTACTGGCTGAAAATTTGTAGGGTGAACGTGTCTAAATAAAAGCATTTGAAGGTTTAGGCAAATGTTTTTGCCTATACCTTCAGATTTGCACCTTCAGATACCTATAGATTTGCACCATGGGGTTGACACTTGGCAAGGATGGGATGTGACAATAGCCAGGATGGTGTTAACAGAATAATCAAACACAGAAGGTCAACATTTAATGAGATTAAAATGTTGTTACATTGGGATTGAGAGAGGAGGAAGTAGAGTCAGAAAGAAGATATTAGAATATAAGATTTCAGAGGTGAAGCAAGTAATGTTGCTGCCCTGGATGAGGGTGGATGATATAAAATAAATGTGAATATGATTGGAGTTTAGGAAGTCAAAGAAGCATAAAACTAGCTTGTTGGATGATACAACCAACCACACGGACATTGGAGAGACTTGGAATTATGACAGTTCTTGAGGTAGAGGCAGGACTTAAGGAATATGGACATGCTCGGGACATTGGAGAACAACTAAATTGAGAAAGGTCTCACAGAGGAGGGCACTTTTGGCTTGCACTGTGTAGAATGGGAATAGTCTATACAGTAGAGAGAAATGCAATCGTAGGCGTGCTTGGCAGAGGGAGCGATATGTGCAAAGCTCCTAGACAGGAAAAACCGTTTGAGGAATGGTGGGTAGTTCTTTGCTGCTGGAGCAGAGAAGGAAATAAGTTTTGGGTCAACTTGTGAAGAATTTATAAGTTACAAAAGCAAATTTGGATATATTCTGATCAATACTTATTGCTGATGATAGTTATCTAACCTCAAGGGAATTTAAAAGCTTTTATTCCTTTTTTTTTTTTTTTTTTTTTTTTTTTTTTTTGAGACGGAGTCTCGCTCTGTCGTCCAGGCTGGAGTGCAGTGGCGCAATCTTGGCTCACTGCAAGCTTCACCTCCCAAGTTCATGCCATTCTCCATTCTCCTGCCTCAGCCTCCGGAGTAGCTAGGACTACAAGAGGCCGCCACCACGCCAGGCTAATTTTTTTGTATTTTTAGTAGAGACGGGGTTTCACCGTGTTAGCCAGGATGGTCTCGATCTCCTGATCTTGTGATCCGCCCGCCTCGGCCTCCCAAAGTAGCTTTTATTCTTTTTTATAAAAAAATGCTCCACATGAAAGATGTCCCCTCACTCTGTCTGTCCTTCCTTCCTTCTTTCCTTCCTTCCTTCCCTCCCTGCCTTCCCTGCCTTCCCCTTCCCTTCCCTTCCTTTCCCTCCCTTCCTTCCCTCCCTGCCTTCCCCTTCCCTTCCCTTCCTTTCCCTCCCTTCCTTCCCTCCCTGCCTTCCCTGCCTTCCTCTTCCCTTCCCTTCCTTTCCCTCCCTTCCTTCCCTCCCTGCCTTCCCTGCTTTCCCCTTCCCTTCCCTTCCTTTCCCTCCCTTCCTTCCCTCCCTGCCTTCCCTGCCTTCCCCTTCCCTTCCCTTCCCTCCCTTCCTTCCCTCCTTCCTTCCCTCCCTCCCTTCCCTGGCTTCCCTTCCCTTCCCTTCCCCTCCCTCCCTCCCTTCCTTCCTCCCTTCCTTCCTTCCCCTCCCTCCTTCCTTCCCTCCCTCCTTCCCTTCCTTCCTTCCTTCCCTCCCTCCTTCCCTTCCTTCCTTCCTTTCCTTCTTCTTTTTTTTTTTCTTTTTATTGAGATGGAGTCTTGCTCTGTCACCCAGGCTGCAGTGCAGTGGTGCAGTCTCATCTCACGGCCAACTTTTGCTGCCTGGATTCAAGTGATTCTCATGCCTCAGCTTCCCAAGTAGCTGGGATTACAGGCACCCACCACCACGCCGGCTAATTTTTTGTATTTTTAGTAGAGATGAGATTTCACCATGTTGGCCAGGCTGTTCTCCAACTCCTGACCTCAGGTGATCCGCCCACCTCGGCCTCCCACTGTGCTGGGATTAGGCGTGAGTCACCGTGCCTGGCCTCTCTCTTTCTCCCTCCCTCTCTACCTCCCTCCCTCCCTCCCTCTCTCTTTTTTCTTTTTCTTTTTCTTTCTGATGCAGTCTCTCTCTGTCGCCCAGGCTGGAGTGCAGTGGGGTGATCTCCGCTCACTGGAAGCTCCGCCTCCCGAATTCACGCCATTCTCTTGCCTCTGCCTCCCAAGTAGCTGGGACTACAAGCGCCGGCCACCATGCCTGGCTAATTTTTTGTATTTTTAGTAGAGACGAGGTTTCACTATGTTAGCCAGGATGGTCTCGATCTCCTGACCTCGTGATCCGCCCGCCTTGGCCTCTCAAAGTGCTAGGATTACAGGCGTGAGCCACCACACCCTCCCTCCTTTCCTTCCTTCCTCCCTCCCTCCCTCTCTCTCTCTCTCTTCTCTCTTTCTTTCTCTCTGTCTCTATTTCTTTTTTTCTTTCCTTCTCCTATTCATTACTTGGGGAAGTTGGGAGAAAAGTAGACCTGACCTAATTACAGTTGTATTTTCTTTGTTTTAATGAATCCTTTTGGGAATAGGTAGATGTAGTTTATCTCTGACTGAAAGAGAGGAGAGGATGAAATGAATACACATCTTCCAGAATAACAATTTTTTGGCATATCAGTCAGTTTTTGCTACAATAGTATATAACCCTAATATCATGGCTTATGAGTAACAACAGTGGTTTCTTGCTGTGGTTATCTCCAGCTCTCCTGGACTCTACAGGGCTCTGATGGACTTCTCTGGTTCCACTGGGCTCTGCTACATTTCATAAGGCCCTTTTTAGTCCTGTTGGACACTACTTAGCTCTCCCAGGCCTTGCTGGGCTCTACTAAGTTCTGCTGGGCTAGATTTAGCTCAGTATATCTTTTCATTCTGGTAGCCTGGCTGAAGATGTCACTACTGTTGGGGATATATTTGTAATCATGATGAAAGGTCAGAGCAAGAGGCCAGAAGCTAAGTCATTCTGTGGCATTGAAGGATTCTTCTGCTCAATGTGTTGTAGTTTCTCTTTAATCAAACTCTAGCCAAGGGCTTCTGAGTCCTCTTCTCAACTAGGCCTCAATCTGGCTTATGAAAATTGCAGACTCTCAGCACAAATAATTTTGTCTACACTTTCCTACCTCCCCCACCAAATACGAGACTTGAACAAACACTAACACAGTATTTGTTCTAACAGTTACCAGCTAAAGTCTGTCTAACCTAACTGCTCAAGGCTGCACCCCTAGGATGACTCTAGCCCCCACTTAAAATACTGGCCTAAGAAAGCTCAAGCCTGCCTAAAGAATTTATTGTTTCCTCCAGCCCATCCTGGAGACAGGGAGAGAGTCCCCGAGCCCTCTTTTAGAAATCTTACAGTTACAAATTCTTTCTCTGTCCCTTTGAGGTATGAATCTTCCACCACCCAGAACAATCTTCTCTAGGACCTGAGGGCCATCTCTTTACAATGCAAACATTCAGAGAGGTAACTTTCACTCTACCTCCCAGGCCCCACGTGGACAAGGACCAAACTTGAACAAAACAAACTTGCTTTAACTTGCATCATTACCTCCTGTCATAAAGATATAGAAATTTGTTTCTCCAGCAAGGCACAGTGGCTCACACCTGTAGTCCTAGCACTTCGGGAGGCCAATGCAGGTGGATCACGAGGTCAGGAATTTAAGATCAGCCTGGCCAAGACGGTGAAACCCTGTCTCTACTAAGAATACAAAAATTAGCTGGGCATGGTGGCAGGCACCTGTAATCCCAGCTACTCGGGAGGCTGAGGCAGAGAATTGCTTGAACTCGGGAGGCAGAGGTTGCAGTGAGCCGAGATTGCGCCACTGCACTCCAGCCTGGGTGACAGAGCGAGACTCCATCTCAAAAAAAAAAAAAAAAAGAAAAAGAAAAAAAAAAAAGAAATTTGTTTCTCCTCCAGATAAGAGCCAATTAACAAACTTAGGTGGCCTAGTCATCTTAGCCAACTCTTCTTCCTGCTTTTCCTAAATTTTCACTTCTCTAACTCTGCTCCAGCCCTTGCTATACCGCCTCCCTACTCCCTCATTCTTCCTTTAAAACTCCCAGTCAACTCTGCACAAATCAAAGTTGAGTGCAGTGCTTGCTGGACCATGCTCCCTATTGTACTAGTTTAGTGCTGAATAAAATCTACTCTCACCACTTTAACTGGTGTCTGTCTTTACCTCTGACAGTGGCAAATGTTACATTAGCTCATATTCCAAATCACGTCAAATGATCAAGCCCCAAATCAATGGAGGCAAGGAAACATGATAAGATGGGAACAAGCAAACAGATAAAGCAATGATAGCACACGTGGCTATTTAATGAAAATGAGCTAGGGCTCATTTCTTTAACAAGAAAGTAAGATACCAGAAAGATACCTATTACAGGAAGTCAGTGTTTTTGATACAGCAAATATAAATAGAAAAACTCAGAGCAATGTTGCTCTCTTAATAATAGATAGATCAACATAAAATTGTCTCAAGGGAACTAAACCCATAAATGAATTTAATGTATAAGCTTTAATATCTGAAATATGTAATTGGTATTTATCCTTAACTGATGAGCAGTGTTCTAGTGTTCTTTAAATGGGAGCCAATTAGTTGTACTGATTTTTTAATATTAAACATTTGTATTTGATAGTTAAAAATAGAAAAAGCCATAAAAATCTCTGGCAAATCAGGAGTCCAAAAGGTATCTAAAATGCCCTATCTGCTGTTGCAATCATTTTCCTAGATTTTTATTTTATTTAACAACAGCAACAACAAAACTGTGATTGTCACTTGATGTACTGCATCAGATCTTTTACAATCATAGTTTTTAGGCCATGCTAGAAAAGATAACACTAGTTATTTAGCACAGTGTTGTATTTAGGGAAATTGTTAAGCCACTTAAATTTCAGACTCTCTCTGCTCTAGTAGAGAGTACAAAATCTACTGTTTGAGTGATGTTCACAGCCCAGTGTCAGGAAACAAGTCTCAGAAAATTAAAGTCCAGGCTTAGTGTGTTCTGGATATTATGTTTCGTGATATTTGACTTGAAAGAAAACAACTACCATGTAGCAACAAATTTGATATGACTGAAGGTAATATATTTTCACTTGAGATTCAATGTGCTTTACATCTTCATCAATTAGTTGGGGGAGAACAATAGAATAATAAGTGGACAATCGTATTAATGATGGGTAGTTAATGAGTCTGGTGAAAGAATCTCAATGAATAACTTTGTTTAGCACATCATATCCTTACCTATTAAGTGGAAAGTTTACTTGTGTTTTGTGGATGGAGGAATAGAAGGGAAAGGAAGATAAAGTAAAATAAATAAATAAATAAGATGCTTGCTCTCCATGAATTTGTTGGGTAGTGAAAAGTTCTAGGAATTGATATTAAACATTTATGTGTTTGATGTTGATGATGAAATGGCCTGTTTTCACAATATAATAGTGAGTGGAGAACAGGGGAAGGAAGAGGAGGAAGTCTGCCCTTTGGAGAGAAGAATTAGATTTAAGAATTATTTGAACAAATTGGAGACTTGTTTCAATTTGAACACTACCAAAATAACATTTAAAGAGAAGCAAATTTAGAAAAATTAATGGTACTTGTAGTACATCAGGAGATGTTGCTTTATGTAAATATGGCTAAAATTTACATGGTTATGGCAAATCAGAGAGGAAACCAAATGATCTAAACAACTGGGCCAGATTTAAAATAAAACTGATGACAATAACAATGTTAACAGAATCATAGTTAATATCATAGTTAAAATCATAATTGGTCTCAGAACGGTAATTTTTCATGGCAGTCCATGTCATCTTATCAGAAAGTAAGTGACTTTAATGGGAATGAGAGAGAGAAGAGTTTCTTTAGATGACTAACTAAAAGGAGTATGGATTTAAAAAAGAAGGTGGAACAATCTTATCCTGAGATCTCTTTTGCAAAGAGGAGAGATTGATACTATTTTGCCTCATTGGGATTCTGCAGTTTAAGGATGAAGCCTGCCTTATTCCTCCTGTTGTATGGAGTCTATAAATGCTGATAAAGAATCCTGAACCTGGTATTTGGGAAATGACATGAGATTGCCCACGCTGTCCATTGTGACAGTCCTACTACTCCAAGTTTCCAGGACTAGGCACAGTGTCTTGAGGCCAATTGTGGGGATGTTTCCTCTCTTCACCTGTTCAAGGGAATCATAGTGTATCGTCAAGTCATTCAAGGAAAACTGTTAATACAATAGATAAAACAGGCTTTATGTAGAGAATTCTTGACTGAGAGATCCTGCTTCCTACTGAAACCCTTCTACCCTGGGCATGCTCGAGCTTCAAACCTAGGGGATGTTCTTATTGCCACAAGGATTTTCCCAGGATCAACCCAGTTCCTGGTACAGCTCCCTGGATGTTGTCATCTGAAACCTAAAATAACTGGCCCTGTCAGGGCACAGAGAAGCCTCAGTGAACGTAAGAAGGTCCCCAAGGGCTCTCTTGGGACAAGTATTATTACAGTTTCGGCAAGATTATGGGTTTTTTGGTTAGTTTCTTTGTTTGTTTTTTCTGAGACCGAGTCTTGCCCTGCCACCCAGGCTGGAGTGTAGTGGCGCGATCTCGGCTCACTGCAACCTCTGCCTCCTGGGTTCAAGCAATGATCTCCTGCCTCAGCCTCTCGAGTAGCTGGGATTACATGCGCCTGCCACCATCCCCGGCTAATTTTTGTATTTTTAGCAGAGATGGGGTTTCACCATGTTGGCCAGGCTGGTCTCAAGCTCCTGACCTCAAGTGATCCGCCTGCCTCGGCCTCCCAAAGTGCTGGGATTACAGGCGTGAGCCACTGCCCCTGGCCAACATTATGGTTTTAAAATGGTTGGACTAGTTGATTTTTTCAGTCTTCCCAGCTCTAACCTTCTATGAGTAAATGAGTTTGTGGGCAGGCCTGGGGACACACCCATCCCATTTCTCTGGGAAAGTGCAGTACAAATCCAAACAGGCTCAATAAATGGACTTCTGGAACATAATCCATTAAAGTTGGGACTAACTAAATAGAAATGAAACATATATAGGCTTTGGAAGACAATATATTGTGTCCATATTTGGCAGAGCCCCCGGAGACTTTGCTACTCCAACTGCTAAAGTAAACATTGCATGCCACACTTCAGTATGTCTGGTATATAACTAGGGCTGTGTTTTGAATTTTCTGTCTGCATTACCCCCTCTCCCTGACTAGTATTGCAGTAATAAGCCAATATGTTTTAGGCAGGAAAAGAAAATCGTAATAACCAGTATACTATTTGAAAAGATAATGCATTTGGGAAGAATAATTCTTTTTTTTTTTTTTGAGACAGAGTTTCACTTTGTCATCCAGGCTGGAGTGCAGTGGCCCAATCTTGGCTCACTGCAACCTCTGCCTCCTGGGTTCAAGCAATTCTTGTGCCTCAGCCTCCTGAGTAGCTGGGTTTAGAGGCACCCACCACCATGCCCTGCTGATTTTTTGTATTTTAGTAGAGACAGGGTTTCACCATGTTGCCCAGGCTGGTCTTGAACTTCTGAGCTCAAGCAATCTACCTGCCTTGGCCTCCCAGAGTGCTAGGATTACAGGCGTGAGCCACTGTGCCTGGCTGGGAAGAACAATTCTTGGAAGCAGACTAGTAGAAAAATATTTCCTTTTCTAGATATAAAACTTTGGTTATTCTGGTTTCCATATAAAATACCTCATTTCCGACATATACTTAGACCCCTATTTCTTTTTTTTGAGTGTGTAATTCAGCTAACAATTGGATCCTCCTGGTCTGGGAGTAAAGCATGACCTTCAACAAGATTTTTACTAATTCTCAGACCTTATTCTATTCTGATGTTGTTTGGATCTGTTTGCTGGTACTATTTGAAGTGGATAATTGGGTTTTAGCAAAACCCTCCTTCTATATAACAAAATGTTTTAAATACCAATCATAAAATTAATAAGCCAATAGGACCAGTGGCCAGAAAAAAAAAGACAACGAGAATTCCCAGTTACTGCACTTCACACAAGTACAAATTATGTCACTAAAAAAACATGAAAAATAAAATAAAGGTAACAGCATAGAAAGGAAGAATAATGGGCTAATACTTCTAAATTTTATTGGTGCATTTTCTAAAACAAAGGAAATGAAAACTTAACCACATATTGATCTGTCACAGTAATGAATAAGACTGTTATTATTAGTGTCTGTTTCATCCTTAATTTCTGAAAATTGGAAAGAATTACTAATTAAGAAAACTTATTCTTTGTGTATTCATATTTAATGGATAGCATAGTCACATTTGTTCATTAATACCTGTTCATAATTGATCAAAGAACAACTTTTAGTAATTTTAAATAAAAAAAATTTAACAGGCCAGCAAAGTGGCTCAAGCCTGTAATCCCCACACTCTGGGAGGCCGAGGCAGGTGGATAACGAAGTCAGGAGTTCAAGACCAGCCTGGCCAACATGTTTAAACCCCTTCTCTGCTAAAAATACAAAAAATTAGCCAGGCATCGTGACATGACTTGTAGTCCCAGCTACTCAGGAGGCTGAGGCAGAAGAATCGCTTGAACCCGGGAGGCGGAGGTTGCAGTGAGCCAAAATGTTCCACTGCACTCCAGCCTGGGCGACAGAGTGAGACTTTGTCTCAAAAAATAAAAAAAAATAAAAAAATTTAACATGCACCAACAGTTATATGAAAAGAATTTCTAAAGCATTTTAAAACTTCACCTTTTAGAATAATTTGAAATTTACAAAAAAATATGAAGATGGTATAGTTTCTATATGCCCACACCCCATTTCTCCCATTAATATTTTACATTAGAATGATACATCATTTGTTATAAGTAATGAACTAATATTTATACCTTATTGTTAACTAAAGGCCATACTCTTTTTATATTTTCTTAGGTTTTTTTTTTTTTTTCTTTTTTTCTGGAGGTGGAGTCTTGCTCTGTCGCCCAGGCTGGAGTGCAGTGGCGCGATCTCTGCTCACTGCAAACTCCGACTCCCGGGTTCACGCCATTCTCCTACCTCAGCCTCCCGAGTAGCTGGGACTACAGGTGCCCGCCACCATGCTTGGCTAATTTTTTTTGTATTTTTAGTAGAGACGGGGTTTCACCTTGTTAGCCAGGATTGTCTCGATCTCCCGAGCTCGTGATCTGCCCGCCTCTGCCTCCCAAAGTGTTGGGATTACAGGCATGAGCCACCACGCTTGGCCAGATTTCCTTAGTTTTTATCTAATATTCTTCTTCTGTTAGTTAAAAGATTAGTCAGATATCTGTAACAATTCCATTTCACAGTGTATTCAGGAAATTGTAAAACTGTCATGTCTGTTTGGATTGATTCCAATGGCTGTCAAATGATATGTTTTGCTATGGTTTGGAATAGTTTAAAATCACCTCTGGCATTACATATTCCAGCATTTGAACAACAGATTTGACATGATCAACATCATGTTGATCATGATACACATGATCATGATTGTAAAATTAAAGAAACAGAAATTGAGTTCTTAGTCTTGAATGAATGCATGACACAGTCTAAATGTGTTAGGGTGCTGATGGTTTAACGTGCTTTCTCCAAATTAATTTCCATGTAGAACACAATGTTTATTAAAGGAGAAGTGCTAAAATTTTGCCAATTTGTAGCTTACTTGTGCATTATTAGATTTCAACAGAAATCAAGGCAGTTGTTTAGATTTAGAACTTAGACCACCACCCAAAAGCTGTTTTCAGGGAGGAGCATTTTATCACTGATGTGGAAAATTGCCAGCTAAGGCAGACAGACCTTGAGTTGATTTCATTATTGTCTTTATGCTTCTAAATTTTTATTTTAAAAGTTTTTGGGTTACACGTGCTGTTTGGTTACATGGATAAGTTCTTTAGTGGTGATTTCTGAGATTTTAGTGCACCCATCACCTGAGCAGTGTACACTGTACCCAATATGTAGTATTTTATACTTCACCTCTCTCCCAACTTCCCCCACTAGTCCCCAAAGTCCATTATATCATTCTTATGCCTCTGCATCCTCGTAGCTTAGCTCCCGCTTATAAGTAAGAACATGTAATATTTGTTTTTCCATTCCTGAGTTACTTAGAATAATGACCTCCAGCCCCATTATTGCTGCAAAACATATTACACAACATGAATGCTACTCAGCCATAAAAGGAACAAAAGATATTATTTCACAGGTGACAAGAAAGAGAGAAGAGAGAAGGAGAGAAGAGCTGCAGCCCTTTGGAGGACCCAGACCTGAGAGCTCCCCAAACCAGGGCTGTGACTCCCCTTTTGAGGCCTCGTGGTTCCTGGAGTCTCCAAGCTCCCGGGCACCACCACATTCCCCAGTGCCAGCAGTGGAGGCAGCTTGCAGTGTGCCTGGTCCAGCCACAGCCTTACAGTGAGCCAGCACCTGTGCTAGTAACAAAATACATTATTTTGTTCCTTTTTATGGCTGAATAGTATTCCATGGTGTATATATATATACCACATTTTCTTTTTCTTTTTCTTTTTTTTTTTTTTATTTTTTTTGTAGAGACAGAGTCTCACTCTGTCACCCAGGCTGGAGTGCTGGAGTGTGGTGGCATGATCTCGGCTCACTGAAACTTCTGCCTCCCGAGTTCAAGCAATTCTCCTGCCTCAGCCTCCCGAGTAGCTGGGACTACAGGCACATACTGCCACGCCTGGATAATTTCTTTTGTATTTTAGTAGAGACGGGGTTTCACCATGTTGCCCAGGCTGGTCTTGAACTCCTGAGTTCAGGCAATCCGCCTTCCTCGACCTCCCAAAGTGCTAGGATTACAGGCATGAGCCACCACGCCTGGCCACCACATTTTCTTTATCCATTTGTTGGTTGATGGGCACTTAGATTGGTTCCATATTTTTGCAATTGTGAATTGTGCTACTATAAACATGCATGTGCATGTGTCTTTTTCATATAACGGCTTATTTTCCTTTGGATAGATACTTTGCAGTGGGATTAAATAGTAGTTCTACTTTTAGCTCTTTAAGGAATCTCCACACTGTTTCCACAGTTGTACTAATTTACATTCCCATCAGCAGTGTAAAAGTGTTCCCATTTTATCTTATCCATGCCAAAATTTTTTTTATGGTAATTCTTGCAGTAGTAAGGTGGTATCTCATTTTGGTTTTAATTTGCATTTCCTTGATAATTGCATGTGATGTTGGGCATTTTCTTGTACGTTTCTGGGATGTCTGTATAGCTTCCTACAGACAATCTCCCTCCCCTGGTTAACTGCACCCACTGCAGACCACTCTCACCACCCACCTCTCTGTACTTGGTATTTCATTGGGTCAGTCTCCACCGCTCCTTAGATGCAAGTCTTAGCTTCCCTCAACTATTTTCACAAGAAATCTCTTTACATCAACCTAAGCAAGCGTTTTGAGAAGTTTTAAAAAACGTACGGATGATGTGATATGTTACCAGCACAGGACACACGGTTTGGTCTCTTGTTTTCTCTCTAACACACCCCTACCCCTATTCATTTTTTTCTCCTTCCTCCTCTTGTCACTGTATCCACTCTAAGGCCCCTACATCCTTTTTCTTCTCCACAGTCAAAATTATCAATACAGTTCTTAACCAATGTTTGTCTCTCCATACAAGTGTTATGGGATCTTTGATGGTGTTGCTTTTCGGGCTGAAAGCCTCTGTGGCCAATGACACATTTGCCCAAATTTTGCTCGGGTCCACTGGGCCCACTCGTCCTGGTAGGCTGTGCTTGGCTCACACTACTGTCCTGGATCCTATGCTTCTGAAGAGACTGGAAAGGAGTGGCGAGGGGTGTGAAAATGAGCAAGTGTGGGGTCCGGGCACTGTGCACAGTCAGGTATGCCAGCTGCTGCAGCAGGGCGGGCAGTTCCAGATGCTCGCACAGGTGCTGGCTCATTGCAAGGCTGTGGCTTGACCAGGTGCACTGCAAGGTGCTTCTACTGCTGGCACCAGGGGACTTGGTGGTGTCCGGGAGCTTGGAGACTCTAGGAACCACAGGGCCCCAAAGTAGGAGTCACAGCCCTGGTTCAGGGAGCTCACAGCTCTTCTCTCCTTCTTGTAGCCTTCAAGGTGGTGAGCAAGGAGCATGTTTCAGCCCTGTTTGTGTTACCACTCTTTTAGCCTCACCATTTGGTGGGTCCTGAGTTCTCATCCTGTGACCAGGAAGAATGAGGAATGCAGACAAGTAGAGGGCGAGCAAGACGAAGAGGAGTCTGAGTTTATTGAGCAATAGAACAGCTTGGAGGAGACCTGCAATGGCAGCTCCTTTTCATAGCCAGGGTGTCCTGACTAGTGTTCAGCTCTCAGCAGAGAGGGCAGGTCCTCTCTGCAGCTGGTCATCCCTTCATCTCTTCAGCTCTCAGCAGAGAGGGTAGCTCTTCTTTTCTAGGCAGGTCATCCCGATAAGCATCCAGCTCTCATCAGAGAGGGTAGTTCCTCTCTGCAGCTGGCCATCCCATCGTCTCCCCTTTGTCTCTCCATCCTCTCCGCCCTTTGCTCAAGGCTGGCTGAGTCCGGGGTTTTCATGGGCCTCAGAGGGGAGGAAGTGTGTGCTAATTGGTCCATGGGTGGCCATGGACAGGACTAGGGAAAAACACCACAAATTCACTCTCTGGTTCATGGAACTGGAGGCCCGGCCCCCAGGCTTCTG
Organism: Homo sapiens; assembly: GCF_000001405.40. Taxonomy (NCBI): domain Eukaryota; kingdom Metazoa; phylum Chordata; class Mammalia; order Primates; family Hominidae; genus Homo; species Homo sapiens. The sequence goes on from NC_000005.10 coordinate 39,621,932, forward strand.
GCCTCCCTGGCTTGAAGGTGGGGCTTCACAGGGGACTTGCCCCCTTCCACCCGGAAGCCTGTCTACCTCCTGCTGCTGTTTATGTCAACCAAACTGTTCATGCCAAGGGGTGCCTGCAGTCCAGTGCCAGGTTGTCCTCAGCCTCCCTCGGCCTTCTCCCCATGCTTGTTGGTGCCCAAAGGCAGCACAGGGCTGGCATGTCAGTGCTACCCTGCATGTGTGCACATCTAGCTGGGCTTTGACAATACCTGGGCTTGTCCTGAGTTTGCTCCAAGAATGGAGTGAGCTCTGAGAGTGGGGAGAAGCCAGGCAGTGGGAGCAGGCATTTCTGAGCCTGCGGGAGGAGGAGGCCATTCCCAGGACCCCAAGAGCACAGAGATCCCCAGGTCCAGAGCCATGGCAGGGAGGCTGCAGTTGCACCCAGGGAGCTCCTGCCCACCAAGTTGGAAGGGACAGGGCTCCTGTTTGTCCCCGGCTCCCACCAGCTCCATGAAGCATGTAGCCCTGGCTGTACCTCCTCACAGCCTGGGGCAGGGGCTCCAGGTCTTCGCTGAGCCCCTCTCTGCCCATTCCTCTGTGCCCACCCAACTGCACTGCTCTCCTGCTGGCAGGTGGCTTGGCATGGCGCCATTGTGGCTGCTCCCAGGGTGGCGGGTTCTGGGGGGCTCCCAAGGGTGGGCTCTTGACGGCCTGCCACTACCATCACAAGGAATCCTCACTGGGCCTGCGAAGAGAGGGCATTTAATCTATTTTGTCACATAAATGATCAGGCCATATGTAATTTTTTTCATAGAGTAATTTTCCCAATCGTATTCTACCTTCTAGAATAAACGATATTGGTAGTTGTTATTAGTTGTTTGTGTTTTGTAGCTATAAAAACATCAAAATTAAGATGTGAAATGGCTCCTCCTTCCTAGAAAGATTCATTGTAAACCTAATTGTATAGTGAGTCTCAGATGCTTAAAAACCGTTGCACCTAAAGCTTTATCATTGATTAAATCCCTTAACTAACATTTTTGTGAATGCAAAGGAAAGGTAGGTATTCATTTAGAAGTTCTTTGCATGTTTACAAGCAATTAATAAGTGCCTGGCTGACTTTTAACGAGATTGTGCTAATTCCATTTGTCTAACTTTCCTCCTAGTTTTGATTTTGCAAACTTTAATCATTTCCCTTACTGTTTTCTTAACTTTTCTGCATTTCTTAACATTAATTTTACTTACTTAATTGTGATTAAATGGTGAACATATAACCAAGTATTTTGAATTTTTTTTACTGTATGTAACATTTAATAAATGTATTTTGGTCCTGATCACATTAATTTAGTGGGTTCTAATCTTACATAAGTACTTTAAATGTCTTCCATACTTAAATTTTGGTTATTTCCTTTACATGACCCATTTCCTGGTTTTGCTCAATGTAGAAGAGGATGTTTTCTATTTTTATTTTGAATTTTACTGTTCCCCAAGGCCTTCTTAATTATGTTTTTCTTGGGTAGGCAACATCTTGTCTCTTGATTTTTAAGCCATGACTAAAGTATACCCAGATAGCATGTGATTTGCTAAATGACTTTTTTTTTTTTTTTTTTTTTTTTTTTTGACAGAGTCTTGCTTTGTTGCCCAGGCTGGAATGCAGTGGTGTGATCTCGGCTCACCGCAACCTCTGCCTCCTGAGTTCAAGCGATTCTGCTGTCTGAGCTTCCTGAGTAACTGGGATTATAGGCCAGCACCACCACGCTATACTAAATTTTACTATTTTTAGTAGAGATGGGGTTTTACCAAGTTAGTCAGACTGGTCTTGAACTCCTGACCTCAAGTGATCCACCTGCCTCAGCCTCCCAAAGTACTGGAATTACAGGTGTGAGCAACCATGCTCAGACTTAAATGAATTTTTTTAAATGAAAAATTGGGTTAACGGGTAACAAAAACACTTTACAGTACATCACCCCACAGCCTAGTATCTAGAGTTTTCTCAGTGAAACATAATTTTAGAAATTATCTCTTTTCGTATTTGTTACTTAATTTGTCATACTGCAAATTTCAAGGGCTGGTAGTAGTAGCCAGTGAAATGCCATGCCCAAAGAGGAAGGTAAATAATGTTTTTAAATGCATTTGCTAGTTTTATGCTTTACAGAAAATATTTTATTTTCTGTAAAATAAATTAGTTCCAATTTAGAGATGAGGATATTAGGGTTCATAAATGTTCAAAAACTTGGTCAAGGTCAAATTAGTGAGTAGTAGTGCTCCTTTCACTTACTACTCAAGCATCTGTTTTCTAATTTTTGCACAGCCCTTGAATTCAGAGACTATAATTTATTAGTCTATTAAGGTGTAAATTTTAAAGAAGAATAATGTGCCAAATATTGTTATCAAAAAGATTTTCATATGAGACCATTTCTACAGAAACTTTTTGTTGTTGTTCCTTTTTCTTATTCAATCTTATTGCAGTGATGACTGCAGTAACATGTTGTATCTCTCCTCTTCTTACAACTTAACTTTGACACTGCTCCCATCCAGTAATGGGAACTATGTACTCTCCACTTGCATGTACTTGTCAATAATGTTAATACTTTGTGGTTTTTGAGGCTGAGTTATAAAAGGTGATTTTTAACCTTGTTCTCTTGGGACACTCTCTCAATTCAGCAACCATACTGTTAGGTAGTCCAAGCAGCTTGCAGATAGGTCCATATGGGGAGAATCAGGGTCTGGTCATTAACAGGAACCACTGAACTGCCAGTCAATAGTGAGCCCCAACTAGCCAGCCATGTGAATGAGTCATCCTGGGAGTAATCCTGCAATACCAGTTGAACTGCCCAGCTGATGCTATGTGGAGCAGAGGTAAAACCTTCACAAGGATCCCTGTGAAAACTGAAGTTTTATAAGTGAAATTAACTATTTATTGCTGTTGTTTTAAGCCACAGCATTTTATAGTGATTTGCTATTCGGCAATAAGCAAGTGTCACATGTTCTTTTGGGTTAATGGAAAACTTACTTTTGAAAACCATTTTCATTGCACTACATTTCTGAATGTTTTCTTCCTGTTGTATGAGCTAAAAATAATCCAAGAAAAGTTGCCCAACTCCTGAGAGACTTGGACAAACCTGAAATAATTTTTGTTTTGTAGTTTCATTCTTATGCTGCTCTATTAAAAAATCTTGCTTGTCTGTTTTGACCAGAAATATCCAGGAAAAAGGCAGTTACATTCGTTTACTCTGGACTTGCTGCAAGAGTATGAACAGGCAAAGTAACCTTTGCACTATAGTTAATGTTTTCCACGGAATCTATCTGAACATCAGACTGCTTCATTGCTACAAGTTATTCAACTTCTATTAATTCTATAATTGAATAGAAGTTTGATTTAACTTGTGGAATTTTGCTTCTAAGAAACCTGCTTCTTTTATTTGGAGCACATCTCGTTTCAGTCTTTCTTTGTGTGTCATATTAATAGATTTTTTAAACATTTGTTTTAAACATTTTCCTTAAAAATATATTTTTTTTCTTCATTCTTCTTATTCTTGCCATGTTCCTGGTCATAAATATCAAGGTGATGGTTTCTAGTTATCCAGGCTTATGTAGCTATTTAACAAGCTCATAAGATTATCAACTACATTGTCCACCTGCATATTTTGTCATGGCATAAATAAGCCATATCCTGCAATGGCATTAAATCATAGATATGATAGGATTCATATTAACTATTTGAAAGAAGCATGTGGACAGGAACTCAAGGAAGTCACACAGGTGAGTTATTCTTTATTGACAATACGGATAAGTAATTGACATTATTACTTTCTGTATCTGGGAACACTAAACCCTAGTGTCTAGTGTCACAACTGCCTTTACCTTGGCTTCCCCAACCCAATTCCCAGAAAACAAAGCTTGTAACAGGGGCTTGTGTGTGGGTGACTTATTTAGGAAGTGACCCTAGGTAACTGAGATGGGGACTGGAATAGAGTAACATGGAAGGAAGGAAAGCCATGAGTAGTAGTCTGTTTTCAGGCTGCTGATAAAGACATACCCGAGACTGGGTAATTTATAAGTAAAAATAAGTTTAATGGATTCAACAGTTCCATGTGGCTGGTGAGGCCTGACAGTCATGGTGGAAGGTGAAAGGCACGTCTTATATAGTGGCAGACAAGAAAGAATGAGAGCCAAGTGAAAGGGATTTCCATTTATAAAACCATCAGATCTTGTGAGACTTATTCACTACCACAAGAACAGTATGGGGAAAAGCATCCCCATGATTCAATTATCTCCCAACAAGTCCCTCCCACAACACATGGGAATTATGGGAGCTACCATTCAAGATGAGATTTGGGTGGGGACACAGCTAAACCATATCACCATGGTAAGAGTTATTTATCAAATTGGTCCCCACTATAGCTACAGGAGCTCAATTCCTCTGGGAACTTCTCACGAGAAAGTGTCTCAAGGATGAGAAGACAGGGCACTTATCTCTTGACCCCTCCTCCATTGGCCAAGGGTAGCCTGTGGTTTATTAACTCCTTGGGGCTTCTATGTCTCTTGTGTCTAAGCACGAAGTGGTCTTTGTAAGCCTCCTTTGTTGCTGCATCAGAGGAGTACTAGAAAAGGGAGAGGAGTATGTTATGTGTGCAGTCGAGATAATTATTTTCTAGTAATGCCTATGCAAAGGCAGCTTTTATTATGGTAGCCAGGATCTAAGGTAGCCTGAGAAGATATACAGCAAAATACCAAAGACATTCAATATAATTCTCATGACAAAAAGAAAAATAAAGAGAGGAGAAAATTTGTTGACATGTTAAAGGTCCCTTTCAAAGCGACTTTTAATGTCCAGTGTACAAAGAATAGAAGTACTAAATCCTATTAGTAATAAGTCAGAATCTTGTAAGAGTAGGATTTGGCATATTAAATATCAAAGTTATTTGAGAATTTTAAAATTATATATATATATAAGGAAACCATATGAAAACAAAGGGCTCTTAAAGGATTTTTTCATTATACCTGGAATATTTAAAAAATGTAGTCTGGGTGCAGTGGCTCACGCCTGTAATCCCAGCACTTTGGGAGGCCAAGGTGGGCCTCCCAAATCACAAGGTCAGGAGATCGAGACCATCCTGGCTAACACGGTGAAACCCCGTCTCTACTAAAAATACAAAAAATTAGCCGGGCATGGTGGCGGTTGCCTGTAGTCCCAGCTACTCGGGAGGCTGAGGCAGGAGAATGGCGTGAACCCAGGAGGTGGAGCTTGCAGTGAGCCGAGATTGCGCCACTGCACTCCAGCCTGGGCGACAGAGCGAGACTCTGTCTCAAAAGAAAAAAAATGTAAGCAAATGCTCACTTTACTGGTAACTGAAGCTAGAGTAAAATATTTACAAATGTTTATATGTATTATTGTGTGCATGAGAAGGAGAAAGAGAGAGAGAGTGAGTTTGGGTGGGTGAGTAAAGATTGATGAGAATACTGAAGTATATGAGTCATTAGACAGGTGAGAAGACCCAGTGTCAAGCAGAATTGTATCCAGCCGCTATGAGGATTACTAGGAAAAACTGAGAAACTGTTACTTGTAATCAAGGATGGCTGCATAAGTTGCAGACGCCGGTGTCAAGTGAAAATACATGGCCTATTTTTTTTTAAAGCAGGAAAAATTTGTGGTTATAGTACACAAAACTTTTGATTTGTTCCCGCAGTCCTGCTCTCAAATTGATTTTTTAAATTTGTTTTAATATTACTCTAAAGAAGAAAAAATTAAAATGTCAATCATTAGCTTAAATTTTACCTTTTGTCCTTGTGTTGTACAACGCCAATTCTAAAGGCAAATAGCATGTTTAATTCATGTGATATCACGACCAGGACAATTTCTATTTCATGGCTTGTCCCTGGAGGGTGTGTCAAGCTGGCTACAGAAACAAATATGAGCTGAATCTGGGAAGATTGGAAGAAGGCACCTTGAGCATGGGGAATCTCACTGGGTAAGTGCAGACCTTCACGGGGACCTGGAGTCCTACCCAGTGGACCAGCCGCTGGATTGATTCACTTGACTTCAGCTAGAGGAGGGGTCTGGGTTTAGGGGGTGAGGCTTCTACCCTTTTCATAGCCCACTGACCCAACCTATGGCAGACAGGTGACCCCCAGGGATCTTCAGACTTCTCCACCAGGATGCACTCAGTATCTGAATCAGGTGTCCTATATTATTAGTTTATATTAGGTTGGTGCAAAAGTAAGTGCGATTTTTGCCATTAAAATTAATATTTTAAAGTCCTGAAGGCTGGGTTGGCTATTGTTTGATTTGATCCATCTTTCTAACTTGCTGTGATACTTTGGATCCTTATTGTATGGGGTAGGTATTTATTCAGTTGTTTTCTCACGGACCTCTCTACACTTTTTAGGAACTAGCTATCTTCCTGTTTTATATGGAAAAATTGATGGGCTCCAAAATTTGCTCTTATCGCAAATCTATCACAGTGAAAATTACAATAAATGGTTCTTCCAATTGTAAAGGTCTACCCTAGTTGACAGGCAGTTTGGGCTATAATAGTAATTTTTTTTCTGTTTTAGAAGAGGTATCCATGACAACCAAGGAGCTGGCTCCAGCTCTCATTTGCTCTAAGGAGTTGATGCCATGAGTTTGGCATTCAATTCTCAATGCTGTACTTAGAAGGACACAAATTCACTGACATCTGTCTAATAGGAATGGTAGATGATTTTGAAAGCGAAATCTGTGAGGAACAATTTAAATTCTTAGAAGAAAAGGAGTTGTGGGAGCCATCTAGCTGATTTGAAATATTTAAAGACCTGTCATATGGAAGAGGAATGTGATTAATCTTGAGTGTCCTCAAAGACAGAACTAGTATTAATGGATAGATGTGAGGTGAAGGCAAATTAGTTTAACAGAAAGAAATTGTGGACAGCCACACTTGTGCAAAAGTGATTCATAACTTAGGACACTTTTCCTCATTGGAGGTATTCAGGCTGGAGAATACTCTGTACCAAGGCCACTGCCCCAGATTGAATTTGTCCTACTGTAGTGGAATTGAGAATGAATAACAGGGAATGGTTCCTAGAGCGTGAAGGACCATTTGCTGCTCTGAGAAGTATTATTTCTTGTTATAAACTGTTGTGTTAAGGAGCACACAGTGCCTATATTAATTTTTAAGGGCTGCTGTAACAAAGTATCACAAACAGGGTGGCTTCAAATGACAGAAACTTATTGTTTCACAGTTCTAGAGGTTGGATGTCCAAAGTCAAGTTGTTGGTGGGGCCATGCTCCCGAAACCTGTACAGAAGAATTCTTCCTTGCCTGTTCCTAGCTTCTGAAAATTGCCATCAACCTTTGTCATTCCTTGGCTTTCAACTGTATCACTCCAATCTCTACCTCTGTTGTTACATGCCTTTCCTCTTGTCATAAGGACACTAGTCATGTTTGATTAGGGTCTCCCCTAATGATTTCATCTTGACTACATCTACAAAGACCCTATGTCCAAATAAGATCACCTTCACAGGTACCAGTGTTAAGACTTCAACATATCTTTTTGGAGGACACAATTCAACCTATAAGTGTTCCAAGGAGAGTGACAATTCTGCACTTTGATTCTCCACCTGGCTCTGTCTCTGCCATACTTAATTATCTAAGGAAGACAACTCACCTCTTGGAACTTCAGTTGCTGTTTCTGTAAGATGAGAGCAATGCCTTTCTTTGGCTTTGGATCTATGTGAACATACAAAGCATTAACAAATGGACATGAACTCTGAAAAACTCTCATATGTGGATGCCTTCAATGCAGTTCACTCTGTATATGTACATCTCCAAATTATAACTCTTTTTTCTTTTGAGCAAATTAAAGCAAGAAGTGCTTTATTTCTAACACATAGGAAAGTCTCGGTCACCACAGGCCAAAAGGCGGGATTGACAGTAAGAACATGAAAAACAACACAGATGTATTTCATTTTGGAGGAGTCTGGGAAAATGAACTAACTTAGTCAACATGATCTACTCAGTCCATATGAGGAAAAGAAAACACACACACACACAAACACACACACAAAATTACAATTTACTCTAAAATTTCTGATCAATTTGTCGCTGTGCAGTCACTTTGTTCCCACAATATCTTATTCAAAGACTTTCTGGTGACCTAAATCTGTCATTTTCTCCTAAGAGTACCTGTTTTCTATCTTGTCTTTGGGCTCCAGCTACTCTTTACGTTCACTGTTGATTACCATCAGTGATAATTTGGGGTGACAAGCAACATGTTTCCAAACAAAGGGGATGAATGGCTCGGCATTTGAGAAAGACTAAAAAAAAAATAGGTCTGAAACGATGCAAACTGGGATAATGTATTCTCAAAGGCTTAAAGTAATGGATACGAATCAAGAGTGGCAACAGAAATCTTGAAAATGAACAAAGAAGAACTCATATTTTCTGATTTTGAAGTGTATTTCAAAGCTAAAGCAATCAAGACAGTGTGGAACTGGCATAAAGACAGACATAGAGATCAATGAAATTGAATTGAGAGGCCAGAAATAGACTCTTACATTAATAGCCAATTGATTTCCAACAAAGCTGCTAAGATAATATGAAGAGAGAAATAATGGTCTTTTTAACAAATGGTGCTGGGACAGTGGAATAGTCACATGCAAAAGAGTGAAATTGGACATCTGGTTCATGTCATATACAAAAATTAAGTAAAAATGGATCACAGACCTAAATGTTAAAAAGCTAACTCTATAAAACTGTTAGAAGAAAGCATGGGATGAAACCTCTGTGACTTTGGGTTAGGAAATGGTTTTATTTATTTATTTATTTATTCATTTATAATAATTATTAATATTTTTAAGTGACAAATCATAATTTATACATTTACAGGGTAGAATGTGATGTTTTGATATAGGTACCCAATGTGGCATGATTAAATCCTATCTATCACCTCAACTACCTGTCATTTTTTATGGTCAAACATTTGAAATTTAGTTTCTCAATTATTTTGAAATATATAACACATTATTATTGATAATAGCCACACTGATGTGCACTAGACATTAAAATCTATTGCACTTGTCTATCCAAAACCTTGTACCCTTTGATCAAGAACTCCCCATTCCCTCTCTCTCCACCAGCCCATCCCCAAGCCTCTGGTAATCATTGTTCTACTCTCTACTTCTATAAATTCAGCTTTATTAGATTCCACATATAAATGAGTCATGTGATATTTGTCTTTCTGTGCCTAACTTATTTCCCTTAGCATAATGTCCTTCAGATTCATCCATATTGTCACGAATGACAGGTTCCCCACCTCCTTTTTAAGGCTAAATAATATTCCATTTATATATATAAGGAAATGGTTTCTTTGATAATATACCAGAAGAACAAGTGACAAAAGAGAAAAGTAGATAAACTGGGCTTTAAAATGTTTTGTGCTGCAAATTATACCATTAAGAAAATGAAAGGGCAAGCTTCAGAATGGAAGACAATATTTGCAAATCATGTATCTGATAAGAGACTTGTATCCAGAATACATAAAGAACTCTGACAATTTAATAATGTAAGACAAATAGCCCTATTTTAAAAGGAAAAATTTCCAATAGACCTTTATCCTAAGTCGATATAAAAATGGCAAATAAGCACATGAAAAACTGCTTAACTTCATTAGTCATTAGGGGAATGTAAATCAAAATTACAATGAAGTTCCACTTTATACTCACTAAAATGGCTATAATAAAAAGGGTGACAGCAGCAAGTGTTGACAAGTTTGTGGAGAAATTGAAACCCTTATATACATGGCTGGTGGGACTGTAAAATGGTACAGGCATGGCCGGGCACAGTGGCTCACGCCTGTAATCCCAGCACTTTGGGAGGCCGAGGCAGGCGAATCATGAGGTCAAGAGATCGAGACCATCCTGGCCAACATGGTAAAACCCTGCCTCTACTAAAAATACAAAAAATTCGCTGGGCATGGTGGTGCATGCCTGTAATCCCCACTACTCAGGAGGCTGAGGTAGGAGAATCGCTTCAACCCGGGAGGTGGAGGTTGTAGTGAGCCGAGATCGCACCACTGCACTCCAGCCTGGTGACAGAGTGAGACTCTGTCTCAGAAAAAAAAAAAAAAAAAAGTACAGGTGCTTTGGAAAATGATTTGACAGTTTTTCATGATGTTAAACATAGAATTACTATTTGAGTTAATAATTATACTCTTCTAAATATACCCAAGTGAATTGAAAACATATGTCCACACAAAAACTATGCATGAATGTTCACAGCAAAAACCTCAAACTGGAAATAACCCAAAAGGTCTATTAAATGATGAATGAATAAGTCAAGTGTGGTATATCTATATAATGGAATTCTTATTGGCAATAAATAGGAATGAAGTGAAGCTGACGTTTGAACAACACAGGTTTGAACTGCATGGGTCCACTTATAAAAGGATTTTTTTCAATTAAATGCACATTGAAAAATACAGTATTTTTGGGATGTGGAACTTGCATATATGGAGGGCTGACTTTTCATATATTCAGGTTCTGCAGAGCTGACTGTCTGTTGCAAGGAGCTCCTGAAACCAATCCCTGTGCATAGGAATGGGTAACTGTATTGACACAGGTTACAACCGGGATGAAGCTTGAAAACATGATGCGAAATTAAATAAGCCAGTCACATAAAACCATAAATTGTATGCTTCTGCTTGTGTGAAAGGTCCAGGGCAGGTAAATCTATAGGGGCAGAAAGTAGATTAGTAGTTACCTAGGGCTGGTGGGAGAGAGGCAAGGACAATGACTGCTAATGGGTATGGACCTTCTTTTTGGGCAAATGGAAATGTTCTAAAATTAGATCATGATGTTGGTTGCACAACTCTGTGAATATCCTAAAATCCACTTAATTTTACACTTTACATGGGTGAACTGTATGGTATATGAATTATATCTCAGTGAAGCTGTTAAAATATGGTATAGGAGAAAGTACCAGATGGACATGTCCTTTCAATAGAATAGTCAGCAAAGGAGAATATGAAGAAGTAATATGTAAAGTGAGTTCCTAAGGATGTTTAGGAATTAGCCAGGTGAAAAGTGAGAAGAATCTAACAGAGACAACAAGGTGGACAAAAGTAAGAAAGGTGTTTTTTATTAAAGGCTTGTGGTAGGCAGAATGCTGCGAAGGCCCCCACTATCTGCCCACTGACGTTCATGTGCTGAATAATCTCCTTCACTTGAGTGTGGGGGAGACCTGCCACTTGCTTCCAGCCAGTAGAATGTGGCACAGATGAACAGATTTTCCAGGTGTGATTCAAGTCCCTTGAGTATGTCTCAAGTGATTTGAATCAGTTAATTTTGAGTCAGTCACAGTGAGATCATCCTACTATATCTCCTATTCAAAGTGTATTTATCCTTTAAGGTCTAGTTCAGGTTTCTTCCAAGAATCCGCATCACCTAAAGCAGAAAGTCCCCTTGTCTGTGCCATGTATAATGTTACATCTTCTTTATTGGAGACTTTGTGTGCATGCATGTGTGTTTGTCTTTGTTCTGGTACATTCCAATCTCGTAGAGGCTCATCGCACATTGCACCTTTGTATTGCCTTTGTAGCTGGAATAGAGCCTTGCAGAAATTAAAATATGATTTAAAGGTGATTTAAGAATCATATGTTATAGGTTTGGAAGAAAAATGATTTCACTATACTTGTAAAGTTGCATTTATTCACTTCTTCAGGATCAAATGGGGTAACAGATATAATCCTGTATTATAAGTTACTTCTACATTGTTACTGACACTCAGTAAATACTTATAATAGGAGTGAAAGAATGCCATAGTAGTCATAGGCAGAATGGTCTATGTATTTTTCCAAGTGTGCTAAATTCTCATATCCTTGAACAAGAAACATGTTTGAATTGCTTTTCATTTGGAAGACTACACTGTGTAAAATAATTCATCACTTATGAACCTCCCACTGTAAATAATGAAACTATAAAACTGTATCTATCTTAATGTAATACGTATTTAATTTAAGAGTTCTCTCCAGTGCTCTCACAAGGCTTTATCAGTATTATGCTGACAAGGAAATTGTATAGCTTGTTACAAACACACTTAGGAAATTAGAATTGATTTTACCTCAAGGCCTTTGCAAACTCATTTTCCAAGAGCTACTATAATTTTGATTCTCCAAAGTAATTCAAGTAATTTTTACCCACTTTCTCTTTTTGTTTTTTATCTTGTTCTTGTTCCTTTTTCTTTTCTTTCAAATTTTGAGTTTTTTTTGTTTGTTGCTTTTTAAAAATATGTACAGCTGTCCTCCTTTATCCAGTGGGGGGATATGTTGCAAGACCCCAGTGGATGTCTGAATCTGTGGATAGTACTGAGCCTCACTGCTGTCAGTCCAAACATGTTTTTTGTTACTGTCTTCTATCCACAAATTTAATACCTTTTCCATCTTAACTAAGCACGCTATCACACAGTGTGACCATAATGTGGACAGCAAAACTCTCGTACGTCTTTCTCCTTCTTCACAATTTCATGGATAGAAGATTCGTTCTTACCATAGATCTTAGCAACCTTAGCATATTATTTTTAATTTTCTTATTAAGTTGAAACATTCACTTTTCACTTATAGGGAAGCACTTTTTGGCTTCTCTTTGGCATATCTGAATTGCCAGCATCACTACTCCTGGGCTTTGAGGCCACTGTGACACCAATACCAGGACAGTCAATCTGATAACTGAGATGGCTACTAAGTGCTTCATGGGTGGACAGCATCTATACTGTGGATAAGCTGAACAAAGGAAATCATTCTTGTCCTGGGAGGAACAGAGTGACACAGCATGAGATTTCATAACGCTACTTAGAACAGTGTGCAAATTAAAGCTCAGAAATGGTTATTTCTGGAATTTTTTATTTAATATTTTTGGATCACCATGGGCCTCAACTGAAATCACTGAAAGTGAAACTGTGGATAAGGCAAGGATTACTATATTAATTTTAAAGCTGAAAATTATGATATAGTTCCATATTTGTTAATATGCATAAAATAATATTAACTGAAACACAGAGACACAGATTAAAGAATATGACACCAAAATGATAATAATGTTTTTATGTGAATGGTGTTTTTATCATATCATAAAATATCATAATTTTAATTGTCATGCTGTATTTCTTTGCATGCTTGTGCATACTTTACTTAATCAGCTCCTATTGTAAGGACCATATTTCTGGTTTCAAAAGGAACTCGTATCTTCCACCAACAGATGCTTCCATGAAATAATTTTGCAAGAAATGTTGAGCACTTAAGGATGCCACAGAACCCACCAAAGTAACCGGTGCAGAATTCATACTACAACACTTTGATAAATAATCACATCTCTTTTATTTTGAAGAGAATGCAAGTTTATCTTAAACCTGGGGGAAAGTGTGTAATTTGTTCTAGAATCTTTTGATTTGTCAAATCTATTTTCATGCATATCACTGTGATGGTTAATTTTATGTGTCAACTAGATTGGGCTGAGGCATGCCCACATATCTGGTAAAACATTACTTCTGCATGCTTCTGTGAGAAAGATCTGTCCTCGCAAATGCGGGCAGGCATCCTCCAATCCACTGAGAAGCAGAGTAGAACAAAAAGGCAGAGGAAAGGTAAATTCTTTATCTCTCCTTGAGCTGGGACATCCATCTTCTGTCCACAGACATTGGAGCTCTTGATTCTCAGGCCATAGGACACTGAATTATACCACTGGCTTTCCTGATTCTCCAGCTTGCAGACAGCAAATAGTGGGACTTCTTGGCCTTTCTAATCACATGAGCCAATTCCTATAATTATATATCTCTTTATTTATATATTTCTATATGTCCTATTTGCTCTGCTTATCTGGAGAATCCTGACTAACACAGCCAACTATCCCTAGGTAGTTTCTGAGAATCAAGTTTAATGCTATTGAATGGTTTGAAAAGATAGTTTTTTTTAATAGATACTTGTCTTTTTTTATTTTTTTTATTTTTATTTTTTACTTGAGTACACGTCACAGTGATCAACTTGAAGGCTCAAAGCTCTTGGGAATACATAGGCCTACGGAATGTTTATTATTGATGGAGAGTTTTGATAATGCAGTATTCTGGAGTAGTTGAACTAAAGTTAATGTGGACCTCCTTCGAGAGAGGCCAAAAGTTAGGAAAGGGAGGAAAACAGGAAAGATGTGGATTTTACTATCACGTAGGAGTTACTGAATTAAATTTTGATATAAATAGCTCTTCAAAGTTGTAGGGATAGCTAAGAAGAATATTTTTATTTTTTATTTCATCAGGGCTATAGAAATAAATGAAACTATGTCTTTGTGCAAACTACAAAGCACAAAAACTCTAAAAACATCCAAAAAAGGTGACTTTCATTGAAATAAAATCTACAGAAATTAATGTTTTAATTTGGACATTGACAAATTAAAGGCAGCAGTGCCTCACAGGCACATTGATTTCTTTAGATCTTTCTTTTCTTGCATTAAAATAATCACACATAAAATGATTGTAGGATAATAAATAATGAACTACTTTGAAATAAAAGGAAAACTTTTATCTTTGAATTAATATTTTCTCAATTCTCTAATGCCAAGAATATTTGAATGTTGAATAGAATCTTAAAACAAATTGTCATAAAAAAAGCAATAAGACACATTACTGCTCTTAAGAGTATGTGAAACAAGCTAGGAGCAGGGAAATAAATCAATGTTATTGATTTTTTTCAACTAATTATTACTGTGTTTATTTAAATTCAGGTAAAGGTATTATAGAACATACCTCACAGAAAATTGTTCAATGCTATTATTTTGCTTTTGTTTAAATTTTATGAACAATCATCACAAATTGGAAAATCCTGTCTGATGCCATTTAATGATGGTGATGAACATATTTTACATGTTTCAGTTTTGAATTATTTGTGTTTAGTCCATAAAGATCTCACATTGTTGCTAAGGCACAATTTATTGTGATAGCAACTATTCCCTAATCAAAACTTTGAATATTTTGACAGTAGGCAGTCTTATAATTTAATGCAAATGATACATTAAAAATGAACAGGATAATTCAGACAACTGTGGAAGTTTTCAATATCTAGAAATTTGACAGCATATGGATAGGATGCTCAGATAATTATTTTTTTATGTTCTTATGGATTTTTTAAATGTTGAGATAACAATTAGGTATAAAGTTATATTTCCTCTCCCCAAAAAGTAAATGCCCTTTTAGTTGATGGGTTTGCTTTAGATAATGATACCTCATAAACATGATATATTTGCATAAGATATTAAGGTTCAGACAATTAAAGGCACCTGAACTATGCACTGGGCTCACAAAATGATTTGTAAAACTATAAAAATAGAAGAGGCAAAAGAAGAGTTATAAATAAACCGAATTTCCAAATTCATCACTAGGATCAATCAGCCTGTCATTTTTCCTGGATATGTTTAGGCCAAACAGATATGAAATGGTGGGATTAGACTGAAAAATGTTCTCTTTTAATCCTAAAAACACATATATCAGTTAAATAATTTAGTTATGACCATTACATCATTAGCTTCAGGGAATTGCTATTTTTTGTTCCAGTCCTATTCTAGTCTGAGTTACACAATTATTGTACTGTGTTGAAGCAATTTTAATTTCAACAAGTGTATGTAAAAGTTTTGTTTTAGACTTAAATATAATCTTTATTTTGCATTGCATATGATAGTGGGTGGAGGGAAGCTATGAAATAATATATTAAGCAAACCCAATTTCAGTTTGTGATAAGAAGATGTGAACTGCAGCCAGAAGCTTGGACTTCTAGCTTAAAGTCTGCCTCATTCTACTTGTGTGGCTATGGAAATCATGTACCCTCACATGTTTCTGTTACTTCATCTATCAGAGGGAAATAATATTACCTACCCACTCATAGATTACAAATTGCTTGAGGGCAGAGACGATTTTATCTTGAAGAATTTTTCCTTAGCACCTTTTACAGTGCTGAGCACTGGTAAGTATGAAAACAATTGGTTAAGCATTTAATACATAAATAAAACTGAGGTACTAGGTATATAAATTACTTTAAAATATAAGTATTAAATAATGATAATATTATCAAAAGTCATGTATATATATTACAGAGATAGTTATCAAATAAGTTTGATTCCTTGGATGAAATTTGAGAAGTTAGCAGTATGATTTAGCAGAAATATCACTGTACAGTCATACCTCAGTATCCATGGGAGATTGGTTCCAGAACCCCATGGGTACCAAAATCCAAGGATGCTCAAATCCCTTATATAAAATGGTGTAGTATTTGCATATAACCTGTGCACATCCTCCTGTATACTTTAAATCATCTCTAAATCACTTATAATACCTAGTATAAACGCTATGTAAATGTTTGATATGCTGTATTGTTTTTAAATTTGTATTTTTTATTGTTGTGGTTTTTAAAACTTTTTTTCAAATATTTTCAATCAGCTGTTGGTTGAAGCTGAGTTTCCTGGATGAACATATTCTACAATGCATTATAATTTATCTTTGTCATTTTATGGGAGAGTAAATGATTTTTCCATAATTCTGGAGCTCCTAATACCCATGTCTCCTGCTTCCTTCTCCAAGCTCTCCCTTCCCTTACTTGGCCAAGACCCTAATGAGAATAACTGGATGTCTTCTTCTTTTGGAGCTTGAGTTAGGTGCTCACTAGAATTTCTTAGTATTATGGTTAACAGAAAATTTAAAGAGAAAAAAATCTCTTTCTTTGTTGGTTTTTACTTATTCATATCTCTAGTAAATTAAACCAAGATTTAACTCAATACATGGATGGATGGATGCTTGTTTTCATCTTGCTAGTACACTATTTCTCCATAAACAAATGAACAACAAAACAACTCCATGATACATTTAAAGTAAGAAATAGAACATTTGATTCTGATTAAATGACTTTCCAACAGATTTGTTAGTTTCTCAGGTTTGGACCCACCCTGATCTTTTCACAAGGGCCTTGGTTTTCTGAGAAATACATGTTGTGTACTGATGTATATTTTAGTGAGGTGGTAGGAGGCTTACTTATTATTTTCTGTTTTCTCATTTATTTGTGCAGCTGGGAAGGCAATAAATGGAAAGGTGAGTCAGAATGACAGGGCCTTAATCACTGTTAAATCTTACTTGGTGACATTAAGCAAGAAGCTCTCTAGGCTGGTTTTATTACCTATTCTGAACCTCAATTTGGGGTCCCCAAGCCTCTTTGACTTCTTTAGGACATAAGGAGAATCTGAACACTTTATTACATTTTAAATAAAGCTTAATTGAGGTCAGTTATGCCTCCCTCTATTAGGACACATGGTCTGAAATAAAATGTTCTTTACTTTTTATGACAATAATAGCAGCTTAATGTAGGCCCACAAGTTGTCTCATGCTGAGGAACTATTCTGATTGAAAGTCATTATATGCATTAAATTATTTAGTTAATAAATATAGTTTGTTAATAATTACAAAACAATCTTTTAAAGTGAAAGGCTTTAGGAGAAAAAAGGAAGTACTATATTTCTGGTGGGATAAAAGATGAGAACCCTTGCACTAGATCATTTCTAGAGTGTTTCCAGCTCTAGGATTCTAAGCTAGGGATTGGCGAACTTTTTCTGTAAGGGTCAGATAGTAAGCATTTTAGATTCTGTGGGTCAAATTGGCTCTGTCACAACTGTTCAGTTTTGCTGTTGTAGTGTGAAGGCAGCCACAGAGAATATGTACATGCATGGGTTTGTTTGTGTTCTAATAAAACTTTATTTACAAGAACAAGTAGTAGGCCAAAATTGGACAGCAGATTACAGTTTATTGACCCCTGTTTTTGGTGATCCCTGAAATTCTGGGATTGTTTACTCATCAAGCAAAGGAATGTAGAGACAGAAGGAAAGATAAACAGGAAGAAGTCCGTTTTGTGTCTGTTAAAAGCTTATGTGTCCACTTCCTATTCCAGGTACAGAGATAATAAAATGACTCACTATCAATCATATTTTAAGGTTTTTATAAAATATTTTAAATAATTGAGGTTCTCATGTTATTCTATTTGTCATAAAGTCAAGCCTAGATTCATACTGGCCGTTGTTGAGGATACCGGTTGGGTACAGAATGAGTCATGGCAGCTTTATTCCAAAGAGCATGTTGCAGGGCTCCAAGCTCAGCTGTCCTTTTGAGATTCCTAACTGAGGCAAGTAGAAGACTCAGTACTATGGAGAGAATGTCCCAGAAGACTGTTTTTGCTTTCTATGGCAGAAGCTCCTAGTTGTGACTAAATATGTAGGTTCTCTTTCTTCATGTTTATCCGAACTTCTCATTTGCCACTGCAATCCCGGCCACCTGGATTACATATTTATTTTCTGGTCTTTTGCAGCTAGTTATGGTTCTGTGTCTAAACTTTGGCCAGTGGGATTTGAAGAGAAGTGTTATGTATAAGTTTAGAGAAGTGTTCTGGAAGGGGGGTGGGGTGCTTTTCTTTTCTCCTTCTTCCTATTGGTTGAAATGTGACATGATGGCTGGAGTTCCAGCAGCTACACTGGACCACGAGGAGAAAGCCACATGTTGAGGATGACAGAGTTGCAAGGTGACAGGAGCCAGCATCCCTGGTGATTAGTGAAGCTCAAGCCTTCTTTTAAGTGAAAGAAAAAACAGTGTCTAGTTTTAAAAAATCATTATTTTAGATTTTCTTGCTTTAGAACAGAATTCTAACAGAAACATCCACTTTCCCTCAAAAAAAAAAAAAAAGTCAGTTGAGGCTTCACTTTAGAAATTAACATTCATCTGGACCTGGAGAAGCCCCTACATCTGTTCTGATTTGCATAGCACTAGAAGTTTTGGTTCAGTTCTAAGTCATTAGAATAGGTCAGGGACTTTTCAGCAGTCAGCCTTGTGACTGGGGATAGAGGCAGGACGAAGAAGAGACTGGTCTACTTCAGCATGTGTCTCAGTGGCATTAACTTATTTCATGACATCTAGAGGGTTAGGCTGGATTGGGATAAAATATGTGAAGTAAGGCCTTTGCATTCTCCTTGTGCAGACATTTATCCAGCCACAGGGTTTTAAAAGAAGGTCAAGCCATCCCTTCTATGGATTCTGTGAGATTTCTTCCTCAGTTTGCTTGATATCTTAGTTTTTCCCAGTTTTAATAAATATCTTCTTCGGTATGCAAATGTTGGTATTTTTTCCCTGAAGAAGCTCTCAATTTCCTGATGCTTTAGTCCAATAATTACACATAGTGGGCAGGCCATTAAAAACATATGGGTCAACATCCTGCTGTCTATTTCTGTTGGTATCACAAATGGACTGCTCTTCTTTATTAATTCAACAAATATTTATTGAGTACTACATGTTAGTGCCTGATGTTGTAGCAATAAAATGGTAGACAACACAAAATAAATTTCATTGATTCATGCCTTTTATACTTTTTTTGTGAGAAAAATGCTTTTTTTCCTCATTTTTTAATTTGAACTCTTGACTCATGATGTTTTCTATCTTTCTTGTTTTTCTATAGTCCATGGTTTTGGTGTGCTATGCAAACAAAGAGGATTTTTCACTTCTAATGGGATCCCCATTAAAAATATACCCCAAGTGTACGGGCTTCTTTCTGTTACTTTGTTGCCCTCACAAGTTGCTATTAGTAAAATTGAAGCTTTTTATAAAACTGAAACTGAATATCAAGAAAATGCTCTACCCGACTTCCATTTTCAATTAATAAGTAATACGGTATGCAATCTAAAGAATTCCATAAGATTGATTCCAATCAAATAACCACCTATGATAATTTATTCAATAATTGATGCTGTGCACCTGAATTAGAAAAGAAAAGAAAATTGACACTTAAAAGATTCAAATTTAACACTAAATGTGAACTCACTGAGAGCCCAGATGGACACCTTGTCATCACTGAGTCTTCAAAATAGCCACTATTAAAAGATCTACACTACATAACTCACCATAATATAGTCAAAACGGTCCAGATTATGAAAAAGTATGGGGGTTATTGTTCTAAAGTTGCAAAAAAGGTTTATAACTAGTGTCTGATTTGTCATATTCCTAATTTGAGAAAAGCCATTAAGGTTCCAGGTGGTACATGTTTAGTATCTGCAAGATCATTTTCACCCCTACAAATAAACTTCATTTATCTGCTATCCTCCATGGCTTATCAGTATGTTATGTAACTGTATGCCTGTTCTCAGGATAGATTGGAGCCTTTCCATGCAGGAAGGTTGATGCCACAACAGTGGCAAATTATCTGTCTATCTATCTATCTATCTATCTATCTATCTATCTATATCTATCTATCCATCTGTATATACTAGAAAATGTATTTCCTTCATGAAGTGTCCTTGGAGAGATTTCCAATGATAGGAGAACTCATTTTACTGGACAAATTATTAAACAATTAAATAAAGTTTTACAAACAAGATGACATTCTCATTGTCTTTACCATCCTAGTCTTCTGTAAAGGTTGAATGGACAAATGGTATCCTAAAACTAAATTTGGCTATATTAACGGAATTCATTGGATTGCCGTCACCAAAAGTTTTACCACTGACTTTAATGATAATTAAATCTACCCCTACTGCAATGCGCAAGCTGACACCTTTATAAAATAGTAACTGGAATACCTGTGCCCTTCATGATAAAACCTCATGTATTTCTTATATTTGTAATCGCTGACATGACTCAATATTGTGAGGCTTTGATACATTATGCCAATGCATATTTTCATTAGGTTAAATAAGCTTCTGTGACTCACTGATTCATGATCAGATTTTCCACCATCTAGAACCTGGAGACTGGGTCTTTTGGAAACGATATCAAAGAAAGACTACCCTTGAACCTTGTTGAAAGGGAACATACTAAGTTTTTCTCATAATTCACACTCCAGCAAAACTTCAAGGCCTTGAATCTTAGATCTATGTCTCTCAACTGGAGGGGGGCCCCCTCAATTTATGGAACTACATGCCAGTTGGTAATCTAAAGATAAAGCTGACCAGAAAGATCTTTCTCCAGAAGCAGATGACATCTTAAATGTAAACAGCTTTCCCAAGAACCTCCTCTCTCCATCATGAACCCCCTATTTCTTTTCCTCTCCTATTTCTTGCTCCTCCTTTTTATCTTTGCATGGAATCTAACGGGTTGGGCATGGTAGCTCATGCCTATAATCCCAGCATTTTGGGAGGCCGAGGAGGGTGGATCACCTGAGGTCAGGAGTGCGAGACTAGCCTGGCCAACATGGCGAAACACAGGCTGTATTTTAAAAAAATTCAAAATTAAAAATATTCAAAAATTAGCTGGGTGTGGTGGCAGGTGCCCATAATCCCAGCTACTCAGGAGGCTGAGGCAGGACAATCGCTTCAACCACGGAGGCAGAGGTTGCAGTGAGCTAAGATTGTACCATTGCACTCCAGCCTGGGCGATAAGAGCAAAACTCCGTCTCAAATAAATAAATAAATAAATAAATAAATAAATAATCTAACAGTCAATAATAGCTTTCACAGAAAATTTAACTGAATGCTGGATTTACACACTAAGCCAAAATCTTTGCATGACTTTAGAGATCCTTTCCTCCACATTGTAACTGAAATAACTAGAATCCCAAATGCAACCATCTGTTTAGATTGCACAGCTGGTTTCTTCTTTAGTTAAGCTTCTGGACCCATTTATTTTTAACCCTTGTTTTAATATAACCCCAATAATGGATTGGGCTGACCAGGTCTGCTCATATTGGAAGAATGTTATGATATATACATATGAACATAAATAGATATATCTGCAAGAATGCCTATGTACCTATGTCTTTTGACAGGCTTTCAGTATATAATAACTTAACATCAGTCTCTTGGTTAAACTAGAAACTGCCAATGCCTCTATTCCAACTAATGGTTGTATAAAAGAAATCACCCAAGGTAGAGGCTTATGCCCACCCCCTGGGTATATCTTTATCTCTTGAGAATTTACCTCTCAGCCATATATTTGGACCACCCTATGTCTTTACAGATGGAGAATTAAAGGCCAATGAAACCTAGACATTTTATTCATTCATCTATTTGTTCTTGCTGAGTAAATAATTTTATTTTTTTTCAGCTTTTATTTTAGGTTCAGTGGGTATATGTGCAGGTTTGTTACATGGGTAAATAGCATGTCATTGAGGTTTGGTGCACAAATGATTCCATCACCCAGGTAATGAGCACAATACCTAGTAGTTTTTCAACCCATTCCTCCCTCCAACATCCCATATTAGTCCCTAATATCTACCGTTGTCATTTTTATGTCCATGTTTACCCAATATTCAGCTCCTCCTTATAAGTGAGAACATGTGACATTTGGTGTTTTGTTCCTGCATTAATTTGCTTAGGATAATGGCCTGCAGCTGCATCCATGTTGTTGCAAAGGACATGGTCTTGCTCTTTTTTATATCTGTATAGTATTCCATGGTGTATATGTACCATATTTTCTTTATCTGGTACACTGTTGATGGGCACCTAGGTTCATTCCATGTGTTTGCTATTGTGAATAGTGCTGCAATGAACATATAAGTGCATGTGTCTTGTCTGTAGAATAATTATTTTCCATTAAGTATATATCCAGTAGTGATATTGAAGAAACTATCAGCAGAGTAAACAGACAACCTACAGAATGGGAGAAAATATTCACAAACTATGCATCTGACAAAGGTCTAATTTCCAGAATCTATAAGAAACAAACAATTCAACAAGCAAAAATCAAACAACCCCATTAAAAAATGGGCAAAGGACGTGAACAGACACTTCTCAAAAGAAGACATCCATGTGGTCAACAGATACATTAAAAAATGCTCAACATCACTAATCATTAGAAATTTTAATAGTGCATTGTTTCTCCCTATCCAATCAGAAGCTAAACATTGGTCTACCCCTCTAAATATATTATAGATTAAGCAAAAACATACCAGCAGATGTATAGAGAGGTCAAGAAGAATCTGGGCAGGCCTTGATAGATTTTTTCACTCAGTCTATTACTGTTAGCTCGTACATTTTTTTTGTTTGTTTGTTTAACCATATTTCTACATGACTGTCCCTACTTCAGTGAATGGAAGCATAAAATCAGATAGTTTCCCCTGTATCTTTGAGTCTTCATTCTGAAGGCTCCCATGTCATGAAAAACTGATGAATTAAATTTGTTATGCTTTTCTCTTGTTAATCTGCCTTTTGTTATAGGGGTGTTGGCCAAGACCCTTAAGATGGGGAGGAAAGGAATCACCCCCTCTCCACCCCAATATGACAATGCTGCATCACAGCACTCTGAATCTTTTTTTGATTCAAAGTACTATCCAATTTATGAATTGTTCTTTGCTCAAATAAACTTTATTAAATTTATTTTGCCTAAAGATTTTTTTCAATAGTATTCTACTATGAAAATCTT
Organism: Homo sapiens; assembly: GCF_000001405.40. Classification (NCBI taxonomy): domain Eukaryota; kingdom Metazoa; phylum Chordata; class Mammalia; order Primates; family Hominidae; genus Homo; species Homo sapiens. The sequence continues at coordinate 39,645,300 of NC_000005.10, forward strand.
TTCCATGGTTCTTCATCACCTACAAGATGAAGTTCAAACTCTTTACCTGTGAATATCTCATCCTTCATGAATTGAACCTATTTACCTCTCCAACGTTATCGTCCACCACTTCCTTGCCTGTCCTTTATAATCCTGAAGTTCTACACTGTTTTAAATGCTACATACATCTAATAATGTTTTTCAAGTCTATATTTTGACCATGCTATTATTTTTCCTGGGATCCCCTCCTTACTTCACCCCTGCATAGGAAGTACCTGGATATTTTACAAGGCAGCTCAGATACTATCTCTTTTATGATGACATCCCTAACATATTCTTCCTGTATGGGGCCCAGAATCTTGAGCATGTTTCCATATCTGCATTTATAATAAGTTACCTACTTATGTGTCTTTCTTTTCCTTTGAAATGTAAGCTTTCTATGAGCAAAATACTGCTTTCCTCTTTATTCAATATATTTGACCAAACTTGTTTATTATTTGCTGATTTTGAGTGCTGAACTCTTTTGGTGTTTTCTCCTTTATGGCAGTCACCTTGTCTTGGGTCTGGAAGAAAGCAAAATCTCAAGAACAAATGTTGAACTATAATGAGACTAACTTTTCCCTCTTAACTTAGGCCCTTGTGTTCTTTAACCAAATTTGAGTGTTTTGTCCCTCTTTCTTGTGATAAGCCTTTTTAAAAAGAGTCTTCTATTGATTAAAAAAATTATTTGTGACTTATCTGCACTCTATACTTCAGATGCCCTCCTATGGCAAGAAAAATAAAAGAAACATGGGTCTCACAGGGCTTGAGGTGTCCCAACCTACACGGAGCCAAAGAACAGATACCGGAAGTTGTATTAGGTACTATATAGATTAGGCACTACACATTTCAGTTCTTGTTTTAACTTCTGTCTTAATGGGACAAAAGGAGCACACAATTCTTTATCCTTATAGGGAAAGCCAGTTAAGCTTGAGAGATGTGACTATATAATTTACAACAGAGAAGATGGATCTCAGAACAAACCTAAAGTTATTGTACAGTTTCCAAAACATAAAGACAATGTAAGATCAAGTGGAAAGAGTGTGGGTTTAGAGTCAGATAGAAATGAATTTAAATCTATTATTCTTATATTTTATCAATTCATCCTAAAATTCTTTCAACAAGTAATGATTGTGCATTTGATATGATTTGGCTCTGTGTCCCCACCTAAATCTCATCTTGAATTGTAATCCCCACATGTCAACGGAGATATCTGGTAGGAGGCAATTGGATCATGGGGGCTGATTTCCCCCATCCTGTTCTTGTGATAGTGAGTGAGTTTTCACCACATCTGGTGGTTTAAAAGTGTGGCACTTCTCCCCTCACTCTCTCTCCTGCTGCCATGTAAGACATGCCTTGCTTCCCCTTCGCCTTCCGCCATGATTATAAATTTCCTGAGGCCTTCCCCGCTTTGTGGAACTGTGAGTAAATTAAACCTCTTTTCTTTATAAATTATCAAGTATCAGGTAGTTCTTTATAGCAGTGTGAAAATCACGAGTAGATGATGTTTGAGGGGAGAATTGAATGGCAAGAAATACCCCACCTAGAACTGTTAGTGCATAGACTCTGAGAAAAGTGGGTTGGAGGACTGAAAAATGAATCAGGGTGGCTGTGGAGCAGTGAGGGAGAGGAGAGTGGTAGGCAGGAAGTCAGAAATGTAGAGGAGAGACAGAATATATAGAAACTTGAAGCCCATGGAAAGAAATCTGAACTTTATTTTAAGAACAATGATAGCTTTTAGAGCACTTTTAGTAGATAACTAATACTTGACATTATAACAGATCATTCTGGTGGTCATGTGAAAAATGGAATATAAATGATGAGAATGCTTAAATGTAAAATTGGACATTTTGGAAGTACTTTATTAGAGTAAATTTTTGTTCATATTAGACAACCTAAAGGAAGACTGACTTATTAACAAAGCAGCAATTTCTCATGTTAATTTACTTTAAAAACAAATAAACTAATGAAATAAAATGAAATAAAGTAATGAAGTAATGAAAGTTAATTTACTGTAAATACAAAATAAATAAAGTAATGAATAAGTAAAGTAATTTTAGGTTAATATTTATTAACCTAAAAATTAAAACGTGTTAGAAAGTTCAGGCCACTTTAGACTCATTATTTCTGGCTCAGGAGGGCCTACAACAAGATTGTATTCAAAATCAAAGATGGCTCAAAATGCTTTGGCAAACTTGATTAACACAATAAAAAAGGCAAAGGACATGTATCAGTGTTCCAAGAAAATGAAGATATTTTCTGTAATAAATAAGGTACAATTAAATATAATAGTAATAAAAATAAGAGAAATGGTTTTGATGTATGTTTCCTTTTCAAAAGAAGAGATTTATGATAGAAAACTAAGCAAATGATAAATTTCCCTGTTTAAGAAAGAGGTGTCTACCTTGCCCCATTTGACAAATGACCAGGTGGTATAAAGGAGAGAGACTCCCTAAAACACTGTCCACATTCACAAGGTAGAATAGGAGAGACTGAAGGGAAAACGTAAAACTTACTGAATTTCAGGTTTTTTCAGGCTACATGTCATGCCTGAAAAATTTTTGCCAGCTTAATCACACTGAACTTCAATTGTATAAATTGGAAATAATACTGCCTTCCTGAACATAATTATAGAACTCTTCTGTGTACCAGATGAGGTAATGGTGTTCTAAAATTCACGTAGCTTTAGAAAATGTAGTATATCATTACTATTACACAGTTGATTATCTTCTTGGAAGGAAAGATCCACAACGACATGAAATTTGTTTTATGACATGTCAAAACATTTTAAAATATAGCATTAAAAAAGTACTGCCTGGAGAATAGGAGATAAAAATGATAACAGCTTATATAAATCAAGCATTTTCTTTATGCCAGGCACTAGGTTAAATAGTTTTCATGATTATATAATCACGTCCTCACAATATGGGCTATTATTGTTCTTCATTAGGAGGAAATTGCAGCTTAGAGAAGTTATGCAACTTGCCTAGGGTAAAAGTAAGTGTTGGTAATACATGGTGGCTCTTGAATTTAAGCCAAGGTTAGTTTGACTCCAGAACTTGAGCCCTTCTACTATACTGTCCTACTACTTCTCCAATTTCAAATCTGAAATTTGATTAAACTAATTGTATAAAAATCATGGAACTGGCCATTGGTGTCGCTTTGAAAAAGAATTGTTAGCTCCATATAACAAAAAATTAAGAAATGTTATTGCCTATCACAACAGTGCCTCAAATCTGACTCAGATATGTATAAGCACATTCTTTCTGGGTGTAGGGGAGGCAAGGACATAGATTGAGCCTCATGGCTACATGTAGATTTTTGTCAAGGGCCTTGCTTTGGTTGGAAGTTGTTGGTTCTCAGGCTTGTTATATTATTACAAATAATTCATTCAATAACTGACTAAAAGCAAGCCTTGCCTTAAATGCAGCAGCAATGACTATGTCACGAACCACTGATTATGACTAATCTAAAATCCAATTCTTTGTACTTAATGCCAGCAAAATAAAGAAAATAAAAGAGAAAATTAAATCTGAGAGTTCCCAGTTCAAGAACTTTTAAAAACACCCTTCTAGAAGCATCTGAGGAGATGACATTCTTTTTCCCCAGTGTGTGGCACTCTTCTTCCAGTTAAGCCACCTGACCCACTGCCCTTCTCCAAGTTCCTGTGTTACTTCTCAGTCTCACCTGATGACTCATCTTGACCGGAGTCTTTTTTTTTTTTTAAATGGAACCTTGCCCCGTCACCCAAGCTGGAGCACAATGGCACGATCTTGGCTCATTGCAACCTCAGCCTCCCGGGTTCAATCGATTCTCTTGCCTCAGCCTCCTGAGTAGCTGGGATTATAGGTGCCGCCACCACTCCTGGCTAATTTTTTGTAACTTTAGTAGAGATAGGGTTTAACCACGTTGGCTAGGCTGGTCTTGAACTCCTGACCTCATGATCCGCCCACCTCAGTCTCCCAAAGTGCTGGGATTACAGGTGTGAGCCACCACGCCCGGCCTAGTCTTTTTGTGAGAGGTCAGTGGTGAAGTTTCTTTCTAAAATAGAAAATGTCTAGCACATTATTTTATTAAAAAACTTTGAAGAGAATTTAGGTAACTGGATTTGTGAGGAAGTTTTGAATGATCAAGTTTTTTTTTTTTTTTTTTTTTTTTTGAGACAGAGTCTCGCTGTGTGTCACCCAGGCTGGCATACAGTGGCACGATCTTGGCTCACTGCAACCTCTGCCTCCTGGGTTCAAGTGATTCTCCTGCCTCAGCCTCCTGAGTAGCTGGGATTACAGGTATGCGCCACCATGCCCGGCTAATTTTTTGAATTTTTAGTAGAGACAGCATTTCGCCATGTTGCCCAGGCTGGTCTTGAACTACTGAGCTCAGGCAATCTACTCGCTTCGGCTTCCCAAAGTGCTGGGATTATAGGCGTGAGCCACTGCGCCCGGCCTGAATGATCAGGTTTTAAACATAGAGAGAAAACTAAGTAAAGGGGAGACACAATGGCCATGGATCAACCCTCTTGGCGGAAGTAGGACGAAAGCTCCTATACTAATTGACTAAATGTAGGGTATGGTTGCTGGCATGTGGCCCTTCCTCCTAACCGGCAGTCAGCAAACCTGAACTTTTGTTTTCACCTTTCTTTGAACTAACTCTGTGAGTTAGAAAATGATAAACAATCTGAGTTTAGGTTTTCCTTATCTTTAAAATCAAGAAGTTTGAGCAGATGATAGCTTAGCTTCTTTTTTTCACAGAGGAGAGAGAGAGAGAGAGATTCTTAAACTACTTTAGAATATTGAATTATGGGCTGATTTTATATAAAACTATTTTCACTTTGCATATTGTTGAATATGGTACATACATATTCATATGTATACATATTGTTGAATATGTATGTGTCATATTCAACAATATGATTTGGGTGAATACTGAACACCCATAAGATGTATGACTGAATCTCACATGAAGACAGACTTTCTGCTTTGAGGGTTTATACTACAAAAGTCCTCCCTAAATAAGTTGCTGTATACGTGAATCAAATGCACATTCACAAATATCTTTTGTTCAACTGGGTTCCCTAGGCTCTCTGAATATGCCTCATCCCTGTCCTTTTCTGTTTCTGTTTTCACTCACTTCACTCCTTTCTAACTCCCCTTTACACCTCCTTAGAATATTGCAAATGTGAGTCCTTGTTCACTCAACTTGCTTGAAGCAAGATGACTGAACATAAACTGTAGTCAGTTGGCTTTATTCTTTATTCTCATTCCATGTGATTCCTCTGCCCTGATTGAGGGCTGAAGGAGATGTGGAATGCTTCCATTTAAACAAAAGATGTGTTTTTGTTTTAGATTTTGCAGCCAGTATGACTCATGGTGGTCATAATGGAAAATATATGTCTGTAAGACTCAAAATAAGCAAGATAATTTATGGCTTATGTTTAACATTAATTGCTTCCTTTTTTGCAATAACAATGTGAGAAAGATTATTAAGATATTTATTTTATAAGTGAGAAAACCGAGGCTCAATGAGTTAAATAAGTTGGCCATGGTTGCACTGTAAGTGAATAGCTAAACCAGAATTATGGCCAAGTGGGTGCATACCACACCCTCTGCTTCTTGAAGTTTGTTATCAAATTCCCTATACATGTCTTAGATTAGTGATCAGAAATAGAACACATCTAAGCCTCCAATGAACCCTCATGCTCCCCAATCAAAACAAAAGATTTTAGAAAGACAACTTATTTTTACTGTTGAATTATCAGAAGAAAATTGTTTGCATTATTTATTTGACTAATATCCTAACTTGGTTTCCCTACATAGTTGATGAAACTACTTCCTGAAGCATTTCATTGAATTTAGTGTTATGATTATGTAAATGAATCACTTTTCATGTCTCACTAATATCAGTAGCAGGGTGAATTCATCATAATCATAAAAAATTCTAAAGCCAAATGGCATGCTAAGAGAATTGAACATAACCATTTTTTATACCTTTATTGCTTTTACCTTTAATAATGATTTATCTATGAATAAAAACATATATGCTTTATGTATTTCAAGTAGTAAAAACTCAAATTAATGGGGGCAAAGACAGCAACAAAATAATGCCCTAGAAGACTTTTTTTTCTTTTTTTGAGAAATATCTAAATATAGTTTCAAGATAACTTCTTTACTATGGTTTTGGCCCAAATTACCAGTTATTAATTGTTCTTAACTTTCCTTTCTGTTTTGTATTATTTCCTTATTTTGAACTCTAATTCCTCAAGGGATGAACTTAGATATATATCATGAATGTTCAGTTATACCTGCATCAGTCTTTTGGGCAACTATTCTAATGTGAAACTAATGGTACATGATAGTACCAGGAAGATGAAGATTACCATAATTAGTGCTGTATATTATCAAAGTATAAATGCATAAGAATCAAATGGGATTCCTACAAGACTGGAATGCAGTGGTGTAATCATGGCTTACTGCAGCCTTGAACTCGTGGGCTCAGGCAATCCTCCTGAACTGGTATTACAGGTGCACAACAGCATGCCTGGCTAATTTTTATTTTTATTTTTAGTAGAGATGTCTTGCTATGTTGCCCAGGCTGGTCTCAAACTCCTGGCCTCAAGCTATCCTCCTTTCCTGCCAAAGTGCTGGGATTAAAGGAATGTAATCCATTGTACTCAGCCAATAATGTGTTAATATTGACTTTTAATACAAGATCAATAGGCTTGGATAAAAAGCTACTGATCCTTTTACGGAATCCTTTGGTTTCACAGATGAGAAAAACTGTAATCTGTCAGTCTTCTGATTCTCACTAGCATGTTCTTTTATTCTACCCTCCCTCTGCTTAGCAACTTCAACATACTCTAGGTTAACTGTTTATTTGATGTTGTAAGTCAGTAACTGCCTATGTCTTGCCCAACCAAGATGATTGTGATGGCCATGTGAAAGAGTTGCACAGATATGGAAGAGTTGCACAGCTCTCCTGCTTGTGTCTAACTACTGACGACAAAACTCTCTAAAATAAACAAACTGCTTACTCAAAAGCTATGAGTGCTAGAATTACATATTTGTTATGTATAATAGTAATGTGTCTAGAATTTATTCCTTCCGGTGGGTTCTTCGTCTTGCTAACTTCAAGAATGAAGCTTCGGAACCTCGAGGTCAGTGTCACAGCTCTTAAAGATGGTGTGTCCAGAGTTTATTCCTTCAGGTGTTCAGATGTGTCCAGAGTTTCTTCCCTCTGGTGCGTTTGTGGTCTCGCTGACTTCAGGAGTGAAGCTGCAGACCTTCTCAGTGAGTGTTACAGCTCTTAAAAGTGGTGCACCCAAAGTTGTTTGTTCCTCCCAGTGGGTTCGTGGTCTCGCTAACTTCAGGAATGAAGCTGCAGATCCTTGTGGTGAGTGTTACAGCTCATAAAGGTAATGCGGCCCCAAAGGGTGAGCAGCAGCAAGATTTATTGTGAAGAGTGAAAGAACAAAGCTTCCACAGCCTGGAAGGGGACCCGAGTGGGTTGACACTGCTGGCTGGGGTGGCCAGCTTTTATTCCCTTATTTGTCCCTGCCTACCTCCTGCTAATTAGTCCATTTTACAGAGCACTGATTGGTCTATTTTGCAGAGTGCTGACTGGTCCATTTTACAGAACGCTGATTGGTCCATTTTGCAGAGTGCTGATTGGTCCATTTTACAGAGTGCTGTTTGGTGCATTTACAATCCTTTAGCTGGACCCAGAGCACTGATTGGTGTGTTTTTACAGAGTGCTGACTGGTGCACTTACAATCCTTTAGCTAGACACAGAATGCTGATTGGTGCATTTTTACAGAGTGCTGATTGGTGCATTTATAATCATTTAGCTAGACACAGAGTGCTGATTGGTATGTTTTCACAGAGTGCTGATTGGTGCATTTACAATCCTTTAGCTAGACACAGAGCACTGATTGGTGTGTTTACAATCCTCTAGCTAGACAGAAAAGTTCTCCAAGACCCCACTCGACCCAGGAAGTCCAGCTGGCTTCACCTCTCAGTAACACGTTTTAGAAAAAGAAAAAAATTTTAGGTAGCCTCAAATACCACTCCACTGGGTTAGACGGACTTTTTCTATTTTATGTCTGCTCATCTTAGACATTTAAAATTTAAAATTTAACAGTGTTTTCCTATGACATGAAAATCCTGTTCAAAGCCAAATTTTACCCTTGTGTTAGTTTGTTAATATTAACCCCAATTTGTTTAAATGAAACATTATAGATCATACCGTTTTATCTTAACCAATTTGACCATGAAGTGAAATCTTTACAAACCTTTTATAACCCTTTTATTAAAGGGCAGATTAGTGTCTTAAGATCTCCTTGCTATGCTTTTATTTCAATTCTCAATTTATGAAAAGACCATATAGATACTATGGGAGAAGATGGTGTAGTGCTTCTACCATGCGCTTCATTGCAAGACAATCCAAAGCCAATTGGCTTATTTTGTAATCAGCTCATCCCTGCCTTTGAGCAGGATTTTCATGTCATAGTATAGGCTAATGAAAGGTTTTTGCCTTTTGAGTCATCATTTTGGCAAAGTAATTTATGGCAATCTGGAAATTGTCTTTCCTGATGCTTGGCTTTTTGGATGGTTCAGAGGGCCCCTGAAACATTCAGAAAAGAGGTAAACATGATTATTTGACATGTTTAGTCACATAAGATTGCCAAAATGATGTCTAAGTTATATTTTGGTGAATAATACTAATATATGTTCAAAAATTGAATGGGATTTCTAAAATTCTAATGTCTAAGTATATGCTATCAATCATAATTAAGGGTAAAGTTATTGTAAGCCACAGAGATAAACTTCTTTGTCAGTCATGTTTTTAACTGTAACTATCCTGGAAATGTTGCCATTTGCAGACAATTATTGTCTTGCTATGTTACTTCTCAAAGGATGGTTTATCATCAAGCTATATTAAGGACTTTAACAGGTGTTTTCAAATGCAGGTTTTTAATAGCTTTGAAGATTGTAACATTGGAATAGAAAAAGAACGTAGGGGACTCCTAAAAAACTGACATGTTCACAAATACCAAGCAAAACAAAAGTGAACTAAGTGGACTGCACTCAGAAAGTTTAAGCAACCTTTTTAACTTTTGCTTGGAATATTGCTAATCCTTCTTTTGTTTTTCAGAGTGAAGGAAACTTATTTTAAGCTATTTATGGCCTTTAATAATTAAGTAAGGTATACTACTGTGAACAAAATTTGGAGCATGTTCATTTTTCTCCACCTGGCTCCTCTAGAATTTGGAGAGTATCTGAGTCAAGCTTGACATGCAGAGCCAATAAAGCCCCTTTATTGGGAGAACTGGCCTCATACATTGTCCACACAGTCCCTGCACAGGGTTCCTAACCTGTAACCAGTAAAGAATGTCACTTTCTAACAGGTCTGGAAGTTCCGAGTTTATCTTGGGACCTCGAGAGGAGAGGATCACCCAACTCACAGAAGCAATCAAACTCCAAATGGCGCTGCAGACTGAACCACACATGCACATGCCATTCTTCCAAGGACCCTTAAGTTGACCCTAGGAGGATCCCTAGCTGCTGTTCCTCATTCAATGCCCCTTTTCAGCAGGAAGTAGTCAGAAAGAGTCATTGCCCAATACCCCCTAACAGCAGTTAGTGTGACATCTCCACAGTGGAGAATGTTGAAGGAGTTATTAAGAAATTATTTTAGGCAGACAGAGAGGAAAAGGGGCCGTTGGGAAGTTTTCATTTTTAGAGCTGCTGCAGAAGACTTTCTTATAAAGCCCTGGCATGCAAATGCAGGGCATTAGAAACTGGATCCACATAGTGATTCCCGTTGTCTTCTTGCCCTTGCCCCACATGTTCCTGGCAACATGGTTGCCCCCACATAGCCCCTTGTGTGTGGAACATCATGGCGCCCTGCATTTGCATATTAAAATGCTAAGGTGAGAGGGCCAGCTTTTCCTGCTATGTGAATGACATGCCTAGTAAAACCAATCCCCTAAGCCCTGTGTAAATCAGACACTGCCTCCTCCAGCCTTTGTATATATACCTGGCTGGTATCCATGGCAGGTGGGGTTCCCTCTCTCCACTTTGGAGAACCCCCTCCCTTTGTCTCTGTACAGGGGAGCTTCTTCCTTCTCCTTTTCTTCTTGCCCCTTCTAGAATATTAAACTCTCCTGTCCTAAAAACCAAAAAAAAATAAAAAAAAAAAACAAAAACGAAAGAAAACAAAACAAACAAAAAACCACCAAAAAACAGTGTTTTCCTGTGATAACTTCATTATATTTAATAATAACACTCTAACACTGTTTCACACTTGAAAGCTCTATATAATGCATTTTGGACTTAAGAGACTCTTAAAACTAAAAATATATTGCATGAGTAAATAATAAAATACAAAACAAATCTACTAACATACACTTCTCTGTTTGATGTCATACCCATTAACAACTAATAACTTTCCAATGAAGAAACGCACTTTTTAGTGGTATATGACAAAGACAGCCCATTTTAAAATGCCATTCAATATGTACTCAGTACCAAATCAAAAATGAAGGACTTCAATTTCACGGCTGTCCATTTCCCATATTCTATTATGTTCTTGATTATTTTAAAAAGAACGGTTTGTTTTTCTCAGTCTAAAAATACTACATTTACTTTGAACTCTTACTGTTTTAGAAAAACAGACAAAAGAGATAACTGGGCTTTGTTTATAAGAGTACTTTCCAGGTAAATGCACTACCCACCAATTTGTAAAAGGTAATTATCTTCTAAGCTGTTTCTCTCACACTTTTTAGTATACAAAGCAACTTTTCTGTGTAGCATCAGGAAAACATGAGACACATGCATGAAAAACAGTAGATCCCCACATGGTAGGATGCACATAAATAGAATCAGACAAAGGAAAATGAGGGAAGGGGCACATTTTGTCCTGAGTACCCACTGCTTCCTGCTTTGTAAGCTTCTTGTCTAGGTCAGTTGAAGCTCCAGTCATCACAGACTTTTCCTTGGAGCATCCTGACCAAGACAATTATCACAGGCAGTGCCTCCTTCTCCTAGTAAGCCTGCCATTTGCTCACTCCTTCCCTCCTTCACCCATCCGCTATACTCAGGTCTTCTTTATGGCTCTTCTCTCAGCTAACTTCCAGAATAAATTACACTGGGACAGACTTTTTCATAAGAAACCATTTGAGACTGACGAGAAAGGCCTTTTATAAATATCACTTGATTGAGTGCCTTGGAGAGGCAATGCTTTAATGTTGGAATGTTAAGCTTCATCAGGAGGAAGTAAGAGAGATGACTTTTAAAACACAGGGTTTCCTGATTTCTCTGCTCAAATGATATAGGTAACTATCATATCAAGCTGATCAATTCCAATGATATGAATCTCCCAGGCAGTTTGCATTTTATTAATTCATTCAGCAAATATTTGCTGAATGGTAAGTGCCAGGCACTGTCCTAGATGTTGGCAAAACAACAGTGAATAAGATAGGTGTGATTCTTGCCTTTGTGGAATTTATAGTCTGACAAGGTAGATATTAAACAAGTAAGATACATGTGATGCATGCATTGAAATATGAAGTACAGGTTTCTATGGGAACATATGACATGGAGTGTTAACCTATCTGGACAGGCAAAGAATGTTGCTGGGATAAAGTAAGAGCCCAAAACAAGGACTGACTAGGTAACTTAGCCACCCAACTGTGTCCCAAATGACTGCCATCTAACTGGCCAAAGGTATTCCCCCGGCTTTCTGCCTGGCTCTTCTGTCATCCCAGCCTAAATGATGGTTGGCACAAAAACTAGAGAAGCCATTATCTTTTGCTAAAGACTAACATTTAGTTTTCATTTTTAATTACTTATCTGGCTGCTTTGGCTTGTGCTTTATTAAGAATAGAGACTTATGGCATTATTTTTAAGTGTAGCCTTCTTCCGATCACAATTTTCATTAGTTTGATTGACATGAAGCTGAAGGTTTGGGAAATAAATGAGTACTTAAAATTATTAAAGATTAATATGCAGTGACTGAGACAGAAAGAATGCTTCAAAGAAAAAGAGGAATTAGAATATTTACTCAAAACATAACTAAATATTCAGCAACCGAAATTCAGAAGAAAAAGGACTTTAAATGACCTGGTAAGAATTATAATTCACTTTATGTTGGACACTCCACTTTAAAACACACGCACCTGCCCCCTGCAACTATCTCAATGGCTTTGTGTATTTCTCAAGGTTAGAAGAGTGCTTTAAAAACAGGAATATTTTAAACTTTGTGCTGTTAGAAATTTTTGTTTCAAAACAAAAGCAATATTCCTTAAATGATACTTTCTGGATAGCCATGAGCTAGGTACTCTGCTGCTCTTTAGGAAAAACAAAATATACATGACAGAAGGAGCTGTGCCTCTGTGCTGCTTGTGCTCATTTTTATTGCTTTATTCACTCTCCAAGTGTTTTCACTGCTCTAAAATCCTCCATATAGGCTATTTTTGTTACAAGCCTGCTTCAAAATATTATTTGAAAATAATAGCACACACAACTTTATGACCTATTTAATCTTAAATATGTCATAAGATTCCCTAAATCAGTTAAGCATGGTTTTCATTTGGCCACTCCAGCCAACACTCATTATTTCATAGTCGCATAGAAAACATACATCATTTAAAAAATATTTATATTGAGAAGTGAAAGTAGGTACTATTGATAAGACTTTTATATATTCTCAGAATTTATTTCATTAATATTTTTTAAAGTTAAAATTAGGCAAACATTAATGTACTTAGTAAAAATGTTAGAAATGTAAGAAGCATACGGATGACTCAACCACAAAACCACTGGGAAACCAGAGAAGAGCACCTGAAACATCAAAAACCAAATAAACCAGGAAATGAAAAAAAAACTATTATAGTAAAATGAACAGAAAACTTAAAAGAGAAAAAATGATTGAAAGTGAGAAGAATAAAATGCTTTATGATTAATGTTACTAAAATAAACTCAAAATGGATCAAGAACTAAATGTAAAACTTGAAACTATAAAAGTCCTAAAAGAAAACACAGGGGAAAATATTAATGAAATTGGAATGGGCAGTTGATTTCTTAGATGTGGCACCAAAAACACAAGAAGCAAAAGCAAATGATACTACATCAAATTTTAAAATGTCTGCATAGCAAAGGGAACAACTGATGAGTGAAATGCAACCTGCAGAATGGGAAAAAATATGTCCAGGCTTTGTATCAGGTAAGGGGTGAACATCCAGTGTACATAAGGAAGTCCTACAATTCATGAAAAAGAACCAAAATAACCCAATTTTTAAAAAAGCAAAGGGCTCAAATAGTTTTCTTAAGAATACACACAAATGGGTAACAAGCATGTGAAAAAATGTTCGATGTCACTGCTCATGAAGGAAATGCTAATCAAAACCACAATTAGATATCACCTCACATAACCTCACACCATTTTAGGGTGGCCACTAAAAGCAAAAACAAAAGAAAACAAAACAACAACAAAATCCCAAACCACAGAAAATAACAAGTGTTGGTGATGATGTGGAGAAATTAGAACACGTGTACACTCTTGTTGGCATTGTAAAATCGTATGCCTGCTGTAGAAAACAGTAAAGTTATTCCTCAAAACATTCAAAATCAAACTACCATATGATCCAGAAATCTCACTTCTGGGTATATATCTAAAAGAATTGAAAACAGGATCTTGAAGAGATACTTGCATAGCCATATTTATCGCATTATTCACAATAGCCAAGATGTGGAAACAGCCCAAATGTTCCTTGACAGATGAATGAAAAAATGTGCTATATACATACAGTGTAATGTTTAGTTTTAAAAGAAGAGGAACAGCAGGGTGTGGTGGCTCATGCCTGTAATCCCAGCGCTTTGGGAGGCTGAGGTGGGTGGATTACCTGAGGTCAACAGTTCCAGACCAGCTTGGCCAACATGGTGAAACCCCGTCTCTACTAAAAATACAAAAATTAGCCAGGTGTGGTGGCGGGCACCTTTAATCCCAGCTACTCAGGAGGCTGAGGAAGGAGAATCACTTGAACTTGGGAGGTGGAGGTTGCAGTGGGCCAAGATCATGCCACTGCACTCCAGCCTGGGCGACAAAAGTGAAACTCCATCTCAAAAATAAGATAAAATAGAATGAAATAAAATGAAAGGAAATCCTGTTATATGCAACAATATGGATGAACCTTGAGGACATTATGCTAAGTGAAATAAGCCAGTCACAAAATGACAAATATTGTATGATTCCACAAAGACGAGGTATCTAAAGTAATCTTACTGATAGAAACAGAAAGTACAATGGGGCTGGCGGGGGAGGAGAAAACAGAGAGTTGTTCAATGGATGTAGAGTTTCAGTCATGAAAGAGGAAAAACGTTTTAGAGATCAGTTGTACAGCAATGTATTTATAGTTAATCATACTGCACTGTACACTTAAAAACTGTTAAGAGGATACATTTTGTTATGTGTTTTTTATCACAATAAAAATACCATACCACCTAATAAAAGCTATTAGGATAAGCCAAGACAGCGTGTATGGCACCGGAAAAATTAGTTTCTCTATGAAGTACGTGCTCATGTGGAGATCTAGCAACCGAGAGAAACACAAAACAAAATGAAGTTACACAATCTAAGCCTTTAAAACTCAGTTACTATGACTATGATGCTTATAATGGAAGCAAAATGGGTAATTCAAGCCTTCGTGTAAGAAAAATTAAATGTTTCTTTGCTGGGGAAGTGCATTTAAGTGTTCTTTTCTTTAAGTTCAAAGTCTGCCCATCATAGTTATTTGAGTTGTTAAAGGAACTCTTCTGGAAAAAAAAGCATTTAATAAGAGTCAGGATTATAATACTCATTATAATCCTGCTCAGTCCTGGCAGGTTCTGATCTAAATACCAAGTCCAAGCTCCCACACAGCCAATTAGGAAAGCTTTTCTCAATATCCAAAGAGAGGTGCCAAAGAGATTAAGTGTGAGATGCCACTGACAGCTTCTTCCCATAAGAAGACATTATTTTGACAACATTAAAGATTCTTAGTGGGTTTATTTTAAAGTTGCTGAATCGTCTTGGTGTAGTAGGATGTCTACATCCTAGAAAGTGTTATCAAAATTGAAAACGAGTAATGTAAATTTTTAAAATTAATTTTTACATGAAAATTTTGTACATTTATATTGAATATAATGTGAAAATATGGTAGTGTAAAATATAAAATATGGAAAATATGGCTCAATGTCTGATTTATCTAAATAGTTGTAAGAAAATGTGTTTAGAAAAATACGTAGTGACAGTCAATTCAGATATCACCTTTGGTAAAAATGAAATATTTTGAGTGTGATAAAAATGAAAGGAAGTAACAAAAATAAAACAGAGGTAAAATTAAAAAGGCTAAAATGCACAGATTACATGTATCTGAAATTAGGTATGTTATCTTCCATTTCCATAATATTAAAAAGAATCTCTTCTGCAGCAATTATTTAAAAATCTGTGGAAAACGTTGTGTTAAAAAATATTCGCATTGGAAGCCTGAGAGACTGTCTGCTAGATTATTTTTTATATGACTGTATCATCATTGGATTTTCAGTTTATCTTCTCTTTTGGCCTATTAGTTCTGACAAAGACTCTCTTCTTAGTCAGACTTTAGGTAGGTCTAAAAGCTCTGAGCTTTTCAACTTGGCCTTGACCTTGACCCTTGTCCTGTCTTTGGTTTACCTAGTAAGTTTTAGGAAGAATCCTGCTAAGTTTGTTTATTAAGTCTCCCTACCCTTGATATCTAATCACCCTTTTTCATCCCCTACTCTTGATGTCTAAGTCCTTGGCCTGTCTTTAGCAATAATCTTATTTGGTGTGTTTAGCAAGAATACCTCTACTCCTGATGTCTTAGTTATTTACCCTCAGGAAATTTCTCTCCACTGACCCCCTCACATTAGTCATTGGCTGTATTCCAGTGACTCCACTTGTTCTTGTTGTATTTGGTAATCCCAATCTCTCTCATCTATTGCAATAGCCCCATGCAATAGTCTTGAATAAATTCTTCCTTAGTCTTTTAAAAGTGTTAGAATAAATGTTTCTACTACCTTTGTTACCTTAACACCAGGGGTTTGGTGGTCCTGCTGCTGGCCCCACAGAAAGCCAACCACTGAGACAATGAGCATTGCTAGGGAAGAAGGGTTTAATCAGTGCTGCAGCCAAGGAGATGGGAGATCAGTGGCAAATCTATCTCCCTGACCTGCTAAAATTAGGGTTTGTGTAACAGGGAAGAAATGTAACTATGTGTGGGAAAACCAAAACTGGGGCATGGTAAGGAAGCAATCATGATGAATGAGGGTTCTGGCATCTCATTGTCTGGATGCAGTGATCTGGTGAGTTTCAGTTCTTTGATCATTTTTGAGAGGCCTGAGGGTAATTTCCTGAGGAAGGAACTCATGAAACAAATGTAAGTTTCAAGCTTTAAGACCAGAAGGGTTACTTTCTCTGTTTCTTCAAACAACAGCAACAACAACAACAACAAAACTGTCTATGGGACAACTGGGCCGGTTTCACCTTTATAAAAATTATTAATTCTTGTTGAGTGTCCCTCGTATCTTTTCTGTCTGTACCATTTTATTTCCTGAATTTGAATTCTAAGAAGAAAAGCATCTTTACTTCTTACTCCTTTCAGCATAATGCCTTGCTGAAGCTCTTGGTTTATATGTTATGTTTTATAGCTAAATACAACATACTCTGGGCAGAAAGCTAATACAAGTGAGATTAAGTATTATAAAGAAGATAAGTATCTTTTAAAAATATCTAATAAATACAAGAAAAGTAGAAATGGGTGTCAATAGTTAAAATATAAAGCAGTTAATTTTAGAATAGACAAGGACTAATTTTAACAAAGGGATAAAGTAATCTACAAAACTCATTAACTCAATGCCTGGTAGTGCTCTCAAATAATTTTTAAAAAATGTTATTTATTTATTTTTATTTTTTAAAGACAGAGTCTTGCTCTGTCACCCAAGCTGGAATGCAGGTATGCAATCAGAGCCCATTGCAGCCTTGAACTCCTGGGCTCAGGAGATCCTCCCACCTCCATCTCCCAAGTAGCTAGGACTACAGGCATGCACCATCACATCTGGCTTTAAAAAAAATTTTGTAGAGATGAGGTCTGCTACGTTGCCCAAACTCATTTCAAACTCTTGGCTTCAAGCAATCCTCTGGACTTGGACTCCCAAAGTGCTGGGACTATAGGTGTAAGCCACTGCACTTGATCAAATAATCTTTAGATCAGGGTTAGCAAAATATGTTCTGCAGTCCAAATCTGGTCTATTGTTTCTTTTTGTAAATAAAGTTTTATCGGAACACAGCCATGCCCGTTTGTTTATGTATTGTCTGTAGCTGCTTTAATACAGCAATGCCAGAGTTGAGTGGTTGCAGCGAAGACTGTATAATATGCTGAAAATACTTACTATCTGATACTTACAGAAAAAGGTCTGTTTCAAATATTTATGCTTTTTCTTCTTTTATGATCAGTATTAGCTCAACTCTTATTATTCCAAAACAGTTGCCCAACAGAAGCCCTTAATGTTATATAAAATTAGGCAAAATAATATTTATGAACTGATAGTGAATTATATTGCTGTTTACTACAGGTACTGAGTAATGTGATATACAGGCTCAAATGAACTCTACAAAACTTCCTGGGATTTAAGGCGGCAAATGTCTGTAAAAATGCAAAATACAGACAAATTATGATCTATCTTTGTGAAGCTAAATAATTTAGAGAAATTACCTGTGTGACTTGTTTCATAATCACTGTTAAACATAATGATTGCAACCTAGGACAGCAAACTTTCAAAAATAACAGCCAATGAGTCCGTTTTGAATTCTTATTGATTTTCTAGGTAAGTGATTATGTAATAAATGCCCTGATTACTTGCCAATGTCGGCTTCATTTAGTATTCAAATACAAAATATTAGTTGAGCCACTAATGCAGTGTATATACTTCATAGGCTTGAACATGACTGGGACTTAACCCATCATAACATTTGACCATCTAAACTATGCCTTTTTTGACTGAGCATTATAAGTTTTATATTCCCATTCTTTATATATCTTTCTGTTCTTTATATTTCTACAACCTCATGTCTAAACTCTGTACATGGGCCATGTGATCAAATAACAATACTATGTTATATGAATAAATTACTATAGCTTATATGAAGCATGTGAATAGTATTTGATCCTTTCAACAATTTCTTGCAATGGGCAGAGTGGATATCCTCAATTTCCCTATGAAGAAATTACAGCAGAGGTGGGGAATGGTTTGTCTCCAGTTAGACAATAAAATCATAACAAAAGTAGGTCTTTTGATTCTAAATGCAGGGCTCGAGTCTTTGAAGCTGCAGTTTTCCTAGACAGAGAATTAGGTTATTTTAAATGTGTGAAATGTCATGATATATAATCATTATGCTTATTACTATTATTGTTCTTCATAATGCAGCAGTTTGGTTTTCACATTGTAAATGCAGGCTAAAATTTAGATGCTGAAAGAATCATAATTCATAATTACGTTAAAAATGTCTGTGTAGCATATAACTATGATTTAATCAGGTACCATACTTGATTTTCAAGGAACTTGCTTTGGGTTTCTTTGAAAGGACCAGTGAGTTGGATAAGATTATTATACGAATTCATTTGTATATTATTTTACTATCTCCATAAAGGAAATTGGGTAAGTTTGCAAGATGAAAGCAGTTGAAGTAAGATATTTAGGGAGTAAGGGTTAGATACAGAGGCCAATGATATTTAATGTATTATACAAACTCTTTTACTGTGTAAGCTGGAACATGCTTCTTTGTAGTCTCAATGTTGTATCTCCAGGATTTTGATTACTCTCATATACCAGTAAAAATATTTGAGCATGTGGCCATTTAGCATGTTCTTACAGTAAATATATCTATTTTTGATAGTGGTCGGAAGCAGATAAATTCCTAGGCAGACAAGGGTGGGTCCCTGGTGAAGCCTGACCTTCAGGATAGAGACAACCTACACCTGAAAAGTGGGGTGCCAGTTCAGGGTGTAGTCCACAACCTATAGTAAGAACTTCCTTGATGCCTTTCAGCCAATCAGATGATGCTTTTTCCAGGTCCGCCCATGGACCAATCAGCACACACTTCCTCCATTCTGAGCCCATAAAAACCCCAGATTTGACGCCGAGGTAGGTGGATCACCAGAGGTCAGGAGTTGGGGACCAGCCTGGCCAACATGGTGAAACCCCGTCTCTACTAAAAACCCAAAAATTAGCCAGGCATGGCTGTGGGCACTTGTAATCCCAGCTACTTGAGAGGCTGAGGCAGGAGAATCACTTGAACCTGGGAGGTGGAGGTTGCAGTGAGCCACTGCCATTGCACTCCAACCTGGGCAACAAGAGTGAAACGCTGTCTCAAAAAAATTAAAAAGACAAACAAACAACAAGATTCAGCTGTACTCAAACACACACTGGGACTACCTGCCAGCAGGTAGGAGCTACCCACTTTGGGTCTCCTCTCCACTGAGAGCTGTTCTGTCACTAAATTAAACTCTTCTCCACCTTGGGCACCCTCCAGTTGTCCAAGTAACCTCATTCTTCCTGGATATGGAACAAGAACTTGGGACTCGCCAAACGGTGGGCGCTAAAAGGGTTGCAACAATTTCCTGACCAGCGCCTGCCGTGGTGCGGGCTGTAGCAAAAGGGAGTGTAACATACTCCTGGCTGGCTCCCTGAGCTGTGGGTCACAGCAAAAGGGGCTGTAACACGTTCCTGGCTGGCTCACCAAGCTGCGGGCGGTGACATGCTCCTGTTTGTGGGGCTGCAGGAGTGAAGAGCAGGGACCTTTCTGGGACCCCAGACCTTGGGAATCCCTGAGCTAGGGCTGTAACACTATAGTCCTGTTGCCCTCTGCCGGCATAGGGCAGCCGCCCCACGTGAGGGGAAGTGGTGGCAGGGCCAGGCCAGTCCAGGAGCCATGGGCTGGAGCAAGACAGACTGAATGCGCTATAACACAAACGGGCTGAAAACATACCCCCTACCCCTACTCCATTCGCCAAGCTGCGGGCGGCAGGAAGGAGAGAGGCCCCGCCCCCGCTCCCACTCTCACCCCAGTCCCCCCGCGTTCCCCGCAACCCCTTGGGGCTCCGTGGTTGCTGGTGTCTCCTGGTTTCCAGGCACCACAGCGCTCCCCTTGTCCAGACACCGGCGCCCACAGCAGAAGCCGCTAGCAGTATACCTGGTCCAGTCACAGCCTTGCATGGAGCCAGTGCTTGTGCCGGTCGGTGTCTGGAGCTGCCTGCCTCACTTCAGCAGCTGGTGCGCCTGGCTGTGTGCCGTGGCCGGATTCTGCGCTTGTTTGCTCACACACCCTTCGCCACTCCACGCCTAGCCCACCCTCGGTGGGCATGGGATCTGGGCTGGTAGTGCAAACCGAGCGCAGCCCGCTGGACCCCGAGTGGGCGCGAGTGAAACTCAAGCAGAGGCACTGGTGGCCACAGAAGTTTCCAGAAGTTGAAGCGACACTCGAAAAATCCTGTGAAATTTCCAGTAATTTCTAGGTATTTCTGTTCCAATTATTATGGAAATTTTAAACAAAAATGAAAACAGAAACTAAAATAAGTATAAAGAGAAAACAATATAAGAAGCAATTTTAAATTTTAGTTATTTGCAGTCACCAAAAATAAACATGAATCTGGAGAAACTTACTTTTTGGGGGGATGGAATGTGCATAAATGTAAATCAGGATTTTTCCCCTAATTCCTATGTAACTTTTCTGTGACAATTATTTCTATGGGCTATCATAAGCTGATGAAGATTCCCACAAATGTATGCAAACCCAAGTAAAAGAAATGTATCGTTGATTATCCTTACTTACTAATTCAGAATACTTTTTAAAAAAAAAATCAGGCACAAATTCAGGGGTTTGTCTGCTTGGTGATTTTATTAGTATGTCTATGTAGCCCTCAAGGTCAATTAGTTATTAATACAAAATAATTAGATGTGTACAATTTTATTAATGAGTTCGAAATCCACTGAAACTCACTTGGAAAATTTTTTAATGAGTTAGAAAATTTTATATCCAAATTTATTAGTCAGATTTTCCTAGAGAAACAGAATGAATAGGATATTCATACAGTCATTCCTCAATATCTGCAGAGAATTGGTTCCACCCAGAACCACATGGATGCCAAAACCCAAAGATGCTCAAGTCCCTGATATATAATGATGTAGTATTTTCATGTAACTACACACATCCTCTTGTATACCTTTAATCATCTCTTGATTATTTATAATACCTAATAAAATGTAGATGCTACGTAAATGGTTGTTATACAGTATTGTTTAGGAATAATGACAAGAAAAATGTCTGTACATGTTCAGTACAGATGCAACCATCATTTTTTATCCTGAATATTTTTTATCTGTGATTGGTTGAATCTATGAATGTAGAACCCATGGATAGGGAGGGTCGACTGCATATATAAGAGGAGAGTCATTATGGACATTGGATCACAAGATTATAAATGCCAAGTGTCCTACTATATACCATCTTCAAGCTAGAGAACCTGGAAAGTCAGTGGAAATTCAGCCAGAGTCTGAAGGCCTGAGAACCAGTCCAAATGCAGAAAAAATGGATGTCCTTCTTCCACCTTTTTCTTGTATCTGGCCCCTCAATGGATGGTAAAATACCTGCCCATATCAGTGAGGAAAGATAATACTAGGCCGGGCGCGGTGGCTCACGCCTGTAATCCCAGCACTTTGGGAGGCCGAGGCGGGTGGATCATGAGGTCAGTAGATCGAGACCATCCTGGCTAACAAGGTGAAACCCCGTCTCTACTAAAAATACAAAAAATTAGCCGGGCGCGGTGGCGGGCGCGCCTGTAGTCCCAGCTACTCGGGAGGCTGAGGCAGGAGAATGGCGTGAACCCGGGAGGCGGAGCTTGCAGTGAGCCGAGATTGCGCCACTGCAGTCCGCAGTCCTGCCTGGGCGACAGAGCGAGACTCCGTCTCAAAAAAAAAAAAAAAAAAAAAAAAAAAGACAATACTAATTTCTTCCAGAAACACCCTCACGTACACACCCAGAAATAATGCTTTCTAGTTATCTAGGCATCTCTTTAACTCAGGCAATTTGGCATGTAAAATTAACCTTTACACAGAGTAATTTTTTTTAGAGATTTTATACATTGCACACATGACTTGCTTTCTGCATGAGAATCATGTAGTAATGGAAACTTCTCCAAACGTCTATTTTCAGAATGATCTTCCCATAGCCCAGATTTATTTAGAAATGCAATTACTTCTTCACTCATTAAAAAAAGTCTTCCTACATTAAAGAAGTGAAAAAAGAACCTTTATTTTTTTCCCCAAATACTTGCTAGGTAACATACTACAGTCTGCTGATTAGATCACTACTCTCCTCTCTCCTTCCTCCATTGTGGCTATCAAAAACAGAAGTCAAATCTGTCATTTTATGATTGATCACTTGTGTGTGTGTGTATATATATATATACACACACATCATATATATATATATACACATCATATATATATACACACATCATATATATATATATATATGAGTTTATGTTCAACCCCCAGTTTCTTGGAAGAATCTTTTAAAGACTTCTTCCCATTTTTGTAAGAATTGCCTTAATAAGAAGCACATAGTATAATCCATTAATCCACTTAACTGGGTCCCTTCTCAGCTGTGGGACTCCCACTTTTCCCTCAGGATAATTCTCTCCATTATGTTAGAGGGAACTGAGTAGACATGACAGCATCAAGCATTATATTAAATATTAGCTGAGTTTAATTTCATTCTGATTTTTACATAAAAATTGAAAATACATAGTGGTTTCCATTTTTTCTTCTCTTATTCTAGTCCAGTGAATGATCTTATGCATAAGTGCATGCACATACTCCATTTTGGAGCAAACATAGATTCATCATTCTCCTGTGGGACAGGTAGAACTGACTTCAAAGCATTTAAAAATGCAGATTCCTGAGCACTGACATCAAGCCTTTTTAACCAGACAATTCAAGGGTTGAAACACCATTTTAGTTGTAGGTATGAGTCTAGCCTTTTGAAACACCAGCTCCTGGGGTAACATTTTATGCTTCCACTCCTCCACTCTTGAGTCACTGCAGATCTTCAGCAGCATTGGAGTTTGTCACATTTTAGAGCTTAGAGAATTGTAATAACCTGGGATCATTTCTGTATGATAGCTAGAGAAAATGAGCCCTGAGTTTTCAAAACTACAGCCGGTGGCCAAGCTGGGCCATAAAGGGATTATAAGCAGGACTGCTGATTCATTCAATGCTATCACCATTAGACCAGGCTAATTAATGCATAAAGTCATTATGGCTTTTCTGTCCATTTTCTGTCCAAATGAACTTCACTTGAACCTATTTCAAAGTAAACACACAAGGGTATGACATACATGCATAAAATTTTGATAATTTAGTTATTAGAAAGAGCCAGATGTCCTTTTATTAAATACATCTTTCAAAATCTGAGTGCAGTCAGTATTAAAAGAGGTGAGCGGAGGCAGGAAGTATTCAAAACAGCTATGATTACACAGTATGGCTGCTGGTGGAACATTTTTAGTTATTGGATTTGACTACAAACATGTCTTTTATTCCAGAAATTGAAGGCATTTTGTAAAAAGTTATTAAATATATATGTCTAAGAAGAAAGAAGCTGTGTTGCAGCTAATGGCGTGCACATTTTGGCAGAGACTAGCCAGATGTTTACAAAAGCCATTTATTTTTCTTTCTGGATGAACAGCTAGACTACATATCCCATCCTTCCTTGTGGCCACTTAGGTTGGGTCATGTGACTGAGTTATAGCCAATGAAATATCAAATGGAAGGATCTGCCACTCCAAGGCTGGCGCCATGAAGTCTCTCTGCGCATGATCTTTTCTTCCCCCATCTCCTGGCCAGCTTCTGAGAACATGGCAAAGAATTCTGAAGGCCTTAGGGATGACATACTCATAAAATGGAAACAACCTAGGCCCCTGAGTCCCAGAGTGGAAGTTTCCACTATAAACACTCCATTAAACTAGGATGGACCCCCATATAGATTTCCAGTAAATCATGCTAAGCTACTGAGAAATGTCTGGTTAAGCAGCAAGACATCGTGTTAACTAATATACCTTGTCCCATTTCCTTCTCTTATATGAACTCCTACCACACAAATATCATGTACAAAGGAAGAAATGCTTAATTTCACTTGTGGAGATAGAAAACACCATCCTTGATGTTACCACTTGGAGTGGTGATGAAAAAATCAGTAAGTGAAGACCAGCTCAGGGTGCACATTAGGACAATTCTTCTAAGGAGAGATTTGGCTTTTTTATTATTATAAGACATATTTGAATTTACAAGATAGATTTTTTTATGCAATAAGATAAAGGGCAATAAACATCCTTCTTTCCCCTTTCCAGGAAAGTAATCTTCTCTGATGATTTGTGTACAAGGCTCCTTTGGCTTTAGAGATTATCTTCAGAAGTCTGGAACTAAAACATGTATTTTTTGTTTTTTTAGTTGTCATGTCTTTTGAATCTTTACTATGGAATAATATCCTAGCTCCCTTTTCTTTCATGACATTGATATTTTTGAGGAGTGTGTGCCACTTGTTTTATAGCCCAGTCCTTGATTTTGATTTGTCTGATTCAGTATTTTTTTAATCAATGACTGTATATTTTAATTTGAAAAACATGGAAATATATAAGGGAGAAAACAGTCACCTTTGATTCTGCTGCCCAAGAATACTATACTATTGATATTTAGACACATTTCTATTTTCCTATGAGTATATTTTTATATGTAATTGAGATTATTCTGTATATGCAATTTTTGTATCTGATTTTATAATACTTTTTCCATCTCATTAAATGCTCTTTGAAAGCATATTTTTTATAGCTCCCTAATATTCCTTTTTTAAAATTTCAATAGGTTGTTGGGGAATAGGTGGTGTTTGGTTACCTGAGTAAGGTCTTTAGTAGTGATTTCTAATATTTTGGTGCACCCATCACCCCAGCAGTGTACCCTGAACCCAGTGTGTAGTCTTTTACCCCTCACTCCCCTCCCACGCTTTCCCCAGAATCCCCAAATTCCATTGTATCATTCTTACGCCTTTGCATCCTCATAGCTTGGCTCCCATTTATAAGTGGGAACGTAGGATGCTTGGTTTTCCATTCCTGAGTTACTTCACTTAGGATAATGGTCTAATCCCTAAGTGGTCCAGGGGAATTTCCCTTTATTCATATGCAAATAAATAGCTTAAGTCTCCAGTCTACCTTTTGTGGCCAGTCTCAATCCTGTCCCACATTTCTGGAATTTCACAGAGGATTATATTCTTGCATTTATTTCTTACTCCGTATTTCTGATAATGCTGAATTTTTTATATGCCAATTGTCGCGTCATTTCCTTGGTTGTCTTCTTTTCTTCAAACTACTCTGAATGTCATTCTTCTTTTTCTCTTCTTTGCTGCCATTGTGGATAAGTGAGAACTTCACTTCTGAGTAACAGAGAAAATGATCACTGTGAATGTGAAAATAAATCCAAAAATTAAAAAAAAAGAGAAAAAGCAAACAGCAACAGCAGTAGCAGTAAAGCATATTTCCTATCTAATTCTAATCTTCCAAATAAATAAAATTTCTGGCATTTTCCTTAACCTTCTGACTTCCTAACACAACAGCTTTTTGCCTGAATTTTGCAATGCAGATATCTGATGATGACATTTGTGGGTATGATATTTATGAGAGAAAATTGTTTTCCACTATGGGTAGACTACATCTAAACTCAGTAATCTGGTTAATATTTTACAATTTTATCATAAAGCACCTGTTTTATATTTATTTGGTGAGCCAGTCTGCTAAAGTCTAGATCCCTTGCAATCCTTCTTTGCAAGTAGATAACTTTTTTTCCCCCAAATGCTTCAAATCCAAGTATTAAGAAAAAAAAAAAAAGCTTTCCACAAATTTAAATTGAGAAGGCATATATTCAGGCATATATTCAGGAAAATAAACATATTTTTCTCCTCCCATCTGACCAGGAATATATGTTTTCTCAAATGCATGTGAAGAGAGGACTGAGCCTACACAATAATCTGAAAGGTCTTTGTGAAGCATGTAAGTATTCATATTAGTTGAAAAGAAAATTTTTTTTTTCTTAAAATCAGAGCTGAATTCAGCACATTGTCAGTTACCATAGTAGCAGTAATTTCAATACAATGAGAGGGTGATTACATGCAAGTAAATAAATAAAACCATCTCCCAGAAATTCTTGTATTATGTCTTTCAGTTTAATTTGGCTTAAATCCATACCAATATGGGCAACTTTTCTAATGGTCTTAAAGATGTTTTTACTGTAGAAATAGGCCATCTGGTGCTCTAAAAATTAAAAAAACTAGAAACCAGGCTGTAATCTTAAGCTCCTGAGAACGAGAGCAATTCTTGACAGGTTAATTTTTGCTGTAACCCTGGTTGGGTGCCTCAGACATATGTGAACATAAAGAGACTTTACAAATGAAGACAAGTGCACACTGCCAGACTGTTGGATTATGACATCTACTGCACATTTGTTATTCATTGTTTTGGAGGCTCCATTTCAGACAGGCTGACTTTTAAACTCAATTTTTATTTGCAAGGATTAATACATTAAAAGCAGTAGCTCTATTAAGTCAAATATGCAACAACAGAGCTATCTGCTTTCACATAGAAGAGGCAGTAGAAAAAGGGCCTCTACCTTAAAAAACAAATCATTTGAGCCTTATTTTATCTAAGAATGATAGAAAAAATAGTGAAAACAGATATAGGCAACTGAATCTATATCCCATTAACAACCTGAATCTTTATAGACATTGATTTCTGGCTCCATTGGGCCTTTCCGGACCTGTTGCCAAGGATTGGATTTGAGATTGGTATGGAGAACTCCCACTGGGGTCAAGGTCTGACCAAGTTCTAATAAGATTATTTTGCTGTTTTCTCTATATTATTCCGTTCTGAATAGATCTTGGTATTTTAAATAAGAAATGAGACAATGTTCATTGGATTACGTTTTTTTTCCCCCCTATTGCAGACTTAAATTGAAAACAAGCCTGCAGGGTCAAAGTAGAAAAGTGTTTTTAAATTTGTCCCTAATGAAGTGGAAATGGATTCCCAGCTTTTGGAAACTTTGGTTTCCTCTAGACAAGAACCTGGGCTTCCAAAACAGGAAATTTCTATGTAGGAAATGGGGTGAGTAAACTGGCGCAAGGTTCCGCACAGGGACCAGGGACTCGGGGTTCTTATGGCATATTGCTCCATTGTGTTCAACTGTCATTCCCAAGGTTACCTCATGACTCAAGATAGCTGCTGGAGATCTAGCCGTGACATCTGTCTTATAGCAATCAGAAAAGCAGGGCCATTTTCTTCCACTTTGACTTTGACTCCATTGGCCAGAATATAGCCAAATGGCAGTACCTAGTTGCAACAGAGGATGGGAATAAAGTCATTATTACTGTAAATATCTGTCTGGCTAAAACTCACAGAATAAATATAGGAAGACAATTAGCAGTTTCCATTACAATTTTATATATATTTTAATGTGTGGCTTTGGGCAAGTTGTCTGTATCAATCTCATTTTTTTCACCCAAATAAAGAATTTGACAATTCCTATTTATTGGACTTTTTGTGGAAGTTTTATGAGGTAATATATGTAAACAGTTTTGCAAAGTACCTGACATGTGACAAATTCCCAGTAAGTATTGTTATTCCAACTTTGGAGCCAAAAATGTGTGCATGATCCTTTTTTAACACTGGTTCTTAATATTTGAGAAAACCAGTAATGATAGTTACCTAGGGACTGCCCTACTACTCGAATAAAACAGGCTCCAAATTCACTTAGCTACCCACATCATCCCTCTGACTAGATTTTCCTCTGATCCTTTCACGCCAATATGACCCAGGATTGAGAATAATATTTTTAACATTCTAAAACATGGTATTCTTTTGAGAGATAATGGACAAAGTCTCTGAGAGTTGAAAAACATTTGAACATTTGGCAGCAAAACATTTACAATAATGCCAGGCTTCTAGCAAGTGCTAGTTATCATCATCATCACCATATCATCATTTTAGTGAATAGACTTGTGTCAGAATACGGTTGGAAATATCTCATCTGAGTGGGTTGAAATGAGACATCATAGTTGTAAAATAATAGGAATGCATCAGTCTGTGTTTAGTCAGAAAAGCAGGGCCAGTCTGAGTATTTGGGGAACAAGAGATTTACTATAGTGATTAGACCTTACAAGGATGTCGGAGGAGCTAGTGAAGTGAAGGCTGGACCAGAGAGAAGGGGATCAGACAGAGTCACTAATCAGTTGTCTGCCAAAAACACTGATAAGTACTGTGTGGATACGTCAGAGCTTGAAGGTAAATACTCGTTTTGCCCAGACAATGAAGTTTGTGCAGAGGGGGATGCCATGGAGATGCCTACAATAAGCTGTTACCTCTGTGTAGGCATTACTTCTATGAGATTGTAGCCAAACATTTGTTTGTGGGCCTGGAGAAGCTGTTGTTCAGCATGGCTCTCAGTGGGGATGGCAAGTTGCTCAGGCAACAGAGGACAATAAAGATGAGTTGGGATCTTTTAGGCACCTCTGCAAATGAGCATCACCATAACTGACCCCAATGTCCTTCTGAGCATCGTGGCTACTATTAAACCTCTGCCTTCCAAATCACATCTGCCACCACTCAGAGAAGAAGATTCAGGAAAATATAAATCCCAGTTTAATGAAGTTGATGTGGCACAATCTAGCATAAGTATTAAGTAAACATAAATTTCGTTTTAATCAAAAGTTTATCATTATTTAGTAAGTTTTGCTCTCCTTGAAATCAGTATTTATTTTGTAATTTTTATTTAGTAAATTTTAAATTCTTTACTGATTTGCTTATGATGTTAGAAAGAATTATTCTCATCTTGGAGATGAAGCAGAAAGATGATTATGCAACCTTTTAAAATTATGCCAGAGCATTCTCTAACATACCTACCTCAGAGTCATATGACTCTTAGAAAATGTAACTTTGTTTGACTTTAGTAATCACGACTGACTAGTACATGGGCATTTTACAATTCTGCTTTCAAGAATGTGAGTTGTAGAGAATTTATTAGGTACATGAATTGTTTTATTTTTATTATGGTTGATGACTCCCAAAGTTATAGCTATACTGCCCTGTAAAGTATAACCCATTTTGCTCTAATTTAGCAATCCTATGTCAGCACCATTTTTTATTGACCATATTAAATCTCTGGTTTTCATTTTTCATTCTACTAGCTTCCTCCTTACTGAGTTAAGTAAAACTTTGATATGTGCTCACTATGTATATGACAATTTTGTTTTTAATGTTTTAAAAAATATGCTTTGACAATTATTACAAACTTATTATTTTTATAAACAAAAGGGATTATGAAAGGCTGGTAACACCTAGTGTAGTCAGGGCAAAATATGGGGAACCTGGACACTGAGAACCTCACTGGAGCAGATACTGGAGAAAGGAGGCAATTGCAAAGACTTGGCAGGAGTTAGGAAAATAGGAGTGTAGGAGGAAGTCTAAGCCCTGGAGAATGAAGAGACAACCTAATTCAGTCACCTAATTCAAAGGGGGCCTTGTTCACATGTGGTACTATAATTTTGGAAAATTAGGATTCATACGATATAATCAGACAATAACTTTATTTATTTTCTCCATTTCTCCATTTCTTGTACAATCTTGACAATCTTGGACCACTGGGTAAAGTCCAGTGCAAGACCCCAAACCCCTAGGTGACAAAATATCCTTTGGTCACTTCTTAATTAGTTCGGTAATTAATATACCCAGGCCACCCTGGAACTTCTTTGGGCTAGACACCTACGGTTGGAAGAAGCCATGAACTACTTTATTTTTATTGTCCCGCCTAATTCCCTACCTAAAATTCAACTCCTCTTCCTCCCCTCACTAGGTTTCTCCACCAGATCCAACCTCTACTTCTGACGTTGCATCTCCTTCTGCCTTTGACCTCTTGCCTCCCTTGCATAAGGACCCAAGTAATGACATTAGGCCCACATGGATAAGTCAGGACAATCTTTTTATCTCAACATCTGTAACTTAATCACATCCACAAAATCCATGTGCGTTTTTGCAGATTAGGGTGTGTACATCTTTGGACAGGAAGACATTATTCAGTCTATCACAGAAGGAAAAACGTTACTTAACTTGTACTTTGTAATTATCTAGGATTGGCATCCTCTGGGTCTGATAGTTGTTTAAAGCTGATTCTTTCTCTTTTGAGAGAAGTTTTCATGAAATCTCTGAAGGCCACCAAACCCTAGCACCATTACTGGCCATCTGTTACTCATAGGTTCCTATCAGGAGCAAATTGGCTCCTCTAGTTATCTGCTTCTGATTTTAATTCATAGACATCTAGTATGGTCCCTAGTTTTTTTGTTTTGTTTTGTTTTTTCTTTATTTTCCCACTGAGATCTTCACATTCCTCCAGGAGGCCCTCTTGGGCAGGCAGGCTGTGAGGCAACTGTAGGCTGACTTTTTACCCAAATGGTTTATATCTGGTCCATGGGAAACATTCTTTGCTCTCCAAGTATAAACTTCGGAATTCACATAATAGGGTTTTGAGACAATGTAGTACGACACAATAGGAAATGGCTTTGAGGGTCAGAATATAATTGAAGCTCTGTCTATCACACCATGGATATATACTGCTGGGCAAGTTATTCACCTTTATGAGGCTAAGTTTCCTCTCTTTTTAAAATAATAAAATCATAGACAGCATGAAAGTGTCTAGCACATATCAGGCTCATAATTGCCATGAACACAATAGTTGCTTTTATTATTACATTTATATGGACCTTGATTTGCTTATAGCAGTCTCAATTTAAAGGCTTTTTTCCTTCCTTTCTGAGAATTTCCCTAATTGTAAGCAAAAACCACCATGCCTGTTAGGTGATTTAGTTAGGTGTTCAGTGTGTGTGTTCTTCTATTTACACGTTCTTTTGGTTACAGACTTTTTAGTGAAATTAACTATTTTGGAAGGAATAAAAAAATTGTTTTCCCTTAATAGTTATCTCAAACTTTAATAACAAAAATTAAAATATTGGGTAATGACACACTGCTTGAATGAAAGTGACAGAATTGGTTGTAGAAATTAATTCCTATGATATATGATTTATATTCAGTTCTGAGAAGACAATCGGGGTTGTAGAAATTAATTCCTATGATATTTGATTTATATTCAGTTCTGAGAAGACAATCTAGGTATCAGAGAAACAAATATATTCTTAGCAGGGATTAACGTTCATTTTTGTGGAATGGCATGCATACAGGGCAATCTAAGTAAGATTACAACATATTTCAAGAAGACCTTAACTATTAAAAAATTAAGTGAGAAATTTGTTTTATATAATATTATATAATGAAACAAAGCCAGATAAAATAATTTGGCAGTAATAAGAGGTATGCAATCATTCACATTTCTAGATTCTAATAACTGAAAGTTTAAATTTCTGTCTTTGTTTTTTTTTTTTTGTATTGAAAATTATTAGAAGATTAGGGACTTTTTCAAATTATTCAATGTTGTTTCAGAGTTTTTATATTGTACAAGAAAATATAAGAAGCAGTGCATTTCAGTGGAAGATTATAACAATTTATTCTCTTTTTCCTCATAATAAAGCCAAATGCTCTCATTAAATTCACATTTAATTCTCATTTCTTCATCTCACAATCAGTCATCTGATCTATGGCTGAAAAACCCGTTCACACTGCATGTTGTAGTAGTATCAACTTTACTTAGGAAGCTCCATCCTCATTTGGTCCCACTACTTATACTTTTAGTACCTTCTATTAATTCAAAATAGAAAACATTTAAAATGTGAGCATGCACTGTATTGGAATAAACGCTAAGGAATCAATATGTGCTAATTACCTTGGAATATCATGCTGATTATGCAATCTGTTCAGAAAAAAAGAACTGGCATAATGTACATTTATTTAGTTTGTATTTTTAGCAAGAGATCTTTAGTGACAAATTTTACTCATTCCCAATTCATTCGTTGCCTTGAGAGATTTGTCTTAGATCACTTGAGACCAAATCTCTCAACCTTATAAATAGTCTGTCTTAGACTTTCATTCTAAAACACTCTTAAGACTCTATCTTGTTGTGACTCTTCCCATCTGTAGTTGAGTCTGATGAACTTAGCTGATTTATGAATAGTTTGTTTCAGTGGCCTTTGGAGAGTTGAGAGTAGATATAATGAAGTCATGTCATTAACAGTGGTTGTCCGTAAATATGTTGAAAATCCAGATTCTGTTTTTACCAGAGGAGTAACCTGGTCAAGCAATACTATTATTTTTTTATGATGGACAAAATATCTACTAAACCCTATGTATGTGCCTTTACATAGATTACCTTTTTAAATTGTTTCAAATGCCTATCAAGTTTGTAGGTTTTTTGTTTGTTTCTGTTTTCTTTTCTTTTTCTTTCTTTTTTCTTTCTTTTTCTTGAGACAGAGTCTCGCTCATGTTACCTCGGCTCACTGCAACCTCCACCTACCGGGTTCAAGTGATTCTCTTGCCTCAGCCTCCGAAGTAGCTGGTATTACAGGAGCCTGCCACTATGCCCAGCTAATTTTTGTATTTTTGGTAGAGACGGGGTTTCACCATGTTGGCCAGACTGGTCTCAAACTCCTGACCTCAGGTGATTTGCCCACCTCGGCCTCCTGAAGTGCTGGGATTACAGGCGTGAGCTACTGCACCCAGCTGTTTCTGTTTTTTTTTTTTTTTTTTTTTTTTTTTTTTTTGAGACAGGGTCTCACTCTATTGCCCAGGCTGGAGTGAAGTGGAGCAATCCCAGCTTACTGCAGCCTTGACCTCCCAGGCTTAGGTGATCTTCCAGCCTTAGCCTCCCAAGTAGCTGTGACTACAGGCCTGTGCTACCGTGCCCAGCTAATTTTTGTATTTTTTTGTAGTGACGGGGTTTTGCCATGATACCCAGGCTGGTCGCGAATTCTTTGCTTAAGCGATCTGGCTGCCTCAGCCTCCCAAATTACTGGGATTACAGGCATGTGAGGTGCCACGCCTGGCCAAGTTCATAGTTTTAATAGCTCCATTTTATTGTAAGGAAACCAAGGCAAAATAAAGTTAATTATTTTTCTCAGTTATGCAGACAGTGAATTTCAGAACCACTTAGGAAATTCAATCCAGACACAAAGGCTCCAGATTACTAAATATAGGTTTGTAGGAAACAAAAAAATGGGGCTAAGGTGTTCCAGCTAGACTCAGATTTCCCCATGTCCCATAGCGGTCACTACAGCCTGAGATGGGGCTCAGCTTAAGGCTATGGGGACTAAAGAGATAAAAGGATTTGTATTTTAGCCTCATTCTTAGTCAAGATTGCCACTCCCTTCCTGTGCTCCTGGCTGCAAACTTACTTCTTAAAAACTGGTAGGACTTGTCTCCCAGGAATGTTTTCAATCATAATTTTTAAAAATCTCATTAGAACATCTAATATTTTATTATTGTTTTTCAGGTTTTCATAGGATAGCTGTTCAAAGGAAAAAAAATATACAATGCTTGTTTCCCTGAGTTAACAGGAAGACCAGATTTTTCACTAAACTGACCAACATTGCTGTCTGTATGTTATGGAGTTGTCAACCCACTGTTTAGTCCCTAAGAAGAGAGGATTTGTCACACTGGCTCACACTCACAGACTCAGTCCATGTTTTATAGCCAACAAAGCCTTCAAGGGACAAACAACATATCTGATATATAGTCTCTTAAAATTTTTGTTGCTATCAATTTTCTATTTATAAACTCACTGCTTGTGTAAATATTTTGTTGTGATTTTTTCCAAAGATTTGTTATTATTATTCACATCCATGATGGGGGAGGAGAAAGAGATAGAGAAAGAGAGAGAGAGAGAGAGAGATTGAGAGACAGAGAGAATACTCACATTTCAGCCCTTTGAAATCATGCCAGTTATTTTCTGCATAGGATCCCGCTGTTTGTGCCTCCACCTCCATTATTCACCCTGCTCGAACCCCCTCAGTGCCCCCAGGAAGCCACCAGCATATGACAGGCTTGCTGGGTCCTCTGATTTACTGCTGGCTTCCATTAGCTAGGAGCCCACTGGGTAGGAGATTGGAAAGAGAGTCAGGTGAGAGTATTTATTTCCTGAGCTTCCTCCCTGCCAGGTGCCTTGGGGTAACCCTTTACCAATGGTCACTGATCTTTGCAACACAGAGGAATTTCTGCTACTCTCTTCTCTCTAACTGTTAGTTGCCCCCTCCCTCCACTCATCTCTCCCTGACTAGGAATAGTAACAACTCACTTATCATAAGCCCCAGATTAGTATCCTTTGTGGCTCCCCTGTGTTAACAACCACTCTGAAAATTAACCCTCCTCTGATTATCCTATTTTGATTTTTCCAAATACAGCTGGTCCGTTGTATTCATGGGTTTTGCATCCATAGATTTAACCAACTGTGGATCAAAAATATTTTAAACAATGGATCATTGCCTCTGTACTATGTACAGACATTTTTTTCTTGTCATTATTTCCTAAACAATACAGTATAACAACTATTTACATAGCATTTACATTGTGTTAGATATTATAACTAATCTAGAGTTTATTTAAAGTATACAGGAGGATGTGTGTAGGTTACATGCAAACACTCCATTATTTTATACCAGGAACTTACTTCGGCTTCTGCAGATTTTGGTATTTATAGGGTTTCTGACACCAATCCCCCATGAATACTGAATGATAACTATATTTCCTACTGGAATTTTTACTTGTGTTTTTTTCTCATCATCCTTTTAAAGACCATAACCTACTTGAACAAGGCTATAATTATTTCTGCAAAGAATATTTCAAAGGGAAGATATATGTAAGGCAAATCTGGCACACTTTTAATTTGCTGCTCTTCCTAATACTTTTTTGTGGTCTCTCTAAGTCAAGTGTGTTTATATCTTGCCCTATTACAGTGACACATGCTATTCAGCAAAGAAATGTGTCTCCAGATCTTCTGTCTATGTCCAAATCCCTCAGGACTCTGTTCTCTATTATGCAAGAGTGAACTTAGGTATCTGATCATGAATGTTTTACTCTAATAATGAAAGACAATGTTTTCATACCTTTTCTTTCATGGGTAAAAGACTTTAGTTTTTAGAGACTTTTAGTTAACAATGTTCTTAATGTTCGTTTGTTTTTGGTTTTTGTTTTTAAATAGATATAGAGTCTCATTATGTTGCCCCGGCTGGACTCAAACTCCTGGACTCAAGAGATTTTCCTGCCTCAGACTCTCAAATAGCTGGAACTGCAGGCATATATCATCACACCTGTCTCAGATGACAGTTTTAATCAAATGGCTTTCCTAGTTTCTTGAGTTGTGAACTTCTTTGACTCTATTAAATTTTATAAATAAACCCAATATGCAAAAGATAAAAACACAGCTATTCTGTGTGATGTGGTGTTAGAAGGCACACTCACACACTTCTCACTCAACCCTGGAGATTATAGTCTAATGAAAATTCCAAGAACCCTGGGGTTCTGCAGAACATAGTACATAAATCACTTTACTCATCCAGAAGAATTGCCCCACTGATCAGGAACAAGACAAAGATGCCCATTTTCACCATTTTAATTCAACGTAGTGCTAGAAGTCTTAGCCAGAGCAATTACACAAGAAAAAGAAATCAAAAGGCATCCAAATTGGAAAGGAAGAAATAGATTTATCTTTGTTCATAAAGGATATGATCGCATACCTAGAAAATCTTAAAGATTCTGAGTGGTGCACCCAAACACACACACACAGTTGGAAGTAATTAATGAATTCAGCAAAGTTGCAAGATACAAAATCAATACTGAAACATCAGTTGCAGTTTTACACACTAACAACTGGAAAAAGGAATTAACTTCACACTTATTTGGATGGCCATTATTAATAAAACACAAATAAGAGGTGTTGGCAAGGATGTTAAAAAATTGTGACCTTTGTGCCCTGTTGGTGGGAATCTAAAATGGTATAGCTGAAATGGACAACAGTATGGCAATTTCTGCAAAAAATTAAAATAGAATTACCATATGCTCTAGCAATTTCACTTCTGGGCATATATACCTGAAATAATTGAAAATAGGTTTCTAGAAGAGATATTTACATACCCATATTCATAGAGGCATTATTTACAATAGTTAAGAGGTAGAAACAGCAGCTTGCATGTCCATTGGTGAATGAATTGATAAAGTCTAATACATGTTTCCTTGGAGTTACTTATCCTCAAAAAGAAAATTCTGATACATGCTACAACATGGCTGGACCTTGAGGACATTATGAGAAATGAAATAAGCCAGTCACATACATAGAAATGCTGTACAACTCATAGTATGTGAAGTATTTCAAACAAATTTATAGAGACAGAATGTAGACTGGTGGTTGCCAAGGGATGGGGCAAACAGGGGATGGAAAGTTACTGTTTAATTGGTATGGAGTTTTAGATTTGTAAAATGAAACAAGTTATGGAGATCGGTTGCACAACAATGTTAATGCATTAACATTACTGAACTATATACTTAAAAAGAATTAATATGGTAAATTTCATGTTATGTATATTTTAACAATTCAAAAGCATTATTAATAATAAATAAAGCATGGTGTGATGCTCATGGTATGCAATAAAAAATAGCTGTTATGCCAGGCGTGGTGGCTCATGCCTGTAATCTCAGCACTTTGGGAGGCCGAGGCAGGCGGATCACGAGGTCAGAAGATCAAGACCATCCTGGCTAACACGGTGAAACCCCGTCTCTACTAAAAAAATACAAAGAAATTAGCCGGCGTGGTGGTGGGCTTGTGTAGTCTCAGCTACTCGATAGCCTGAGGCAGCAGAATGGCGTGAACCAGGGAGGTGGAGCTTGCAGTGAGCCCAGAGCACGCCACTGCTCTCCAGCCTGGACAACAGAGTGACACTCCATCTCAAAAAAAAAAAAAAAAATAGCTGTTATAATTTAGATGTACTATACTTTTTTTCCTTTATATTTCTTTTTTTATTTGGACATCAGGTGCGCAGAATTGGATTATTCATGATAATGAATACCCTTGGCTCAAGGCATACTCTTATCAGTGTTTTGTGTGTGGCCTGCCTTTATGTTGTTAGTTAGCATTTTTTTTATTATACTTTAAGTTCTAGGGTACATGTGCACAACGTGCAGGTTTGTTACATTTGTATACATGTGCCATGCTGGTGTGCTGCACCCATTAACTCGTCCTTTACATTAGGTATATCTCCTAATGCTATCCCTCCTCCCTCCCCTCACCCCACAACAGGCCCCGGTGTGTGATGTTCCCCCTCCTGTGTCCAAGTGTTCTCATTGTTCAATTCCCACCTATGAGTGAGAAAATGTGGTGTTTGGTTTTTTGGCCTTGTGATAGTTTGCTGAGAATGATGGTATCCAGCTTCATCCATGTCCCTACAAAGGACATGAACTCGTCATTTTTTATGGCTGCTTAGTATTCCATGGTGTATATGTGCTACATTTTCTTAATCCAGTCTATCATTGTTGGACATTTGTGTTGGTTCCAAGTCTTTGCTGTTGTGAATAGTGCTGCAATAAACATACGTGTGCATGTGTCTTTATAGCAGCACGATTTATAATCCTTTGGGTATATACTCAGTAATGGGATGGCTGGGTCAAATGGTATTTCCAGTTCTAGATCCCTGAGGAATCGCCACACTGACTTCCACAATGGTTGAACTAGTTCACAGTCCCACCAACAGTGTAAAAGTGTTCCTATTTCTCCACATCCTCTCCAGCACCTGTTGTTTCCTGACTTTTTAATGATTTCCATTCTAACTGGTATGATATGGTATCTCACTGTGGTTTTGATTTGCATTTGTCTGATGGCCAGTGATGATGAGCATTTTTTCATGTGTCTTTTGGCTGCATAAATGTCTTTTTTTGAGAAGTGTCTATTCATATCCTTTGCCCACTTGTTAATGGGGTTGTTTGTTTTTTTCTTGTACATTTGTTTGAGTTCTTTGTAGATTCTGGATATTAGCCCTTTGTCAGGTGAGTAGATTGCAAAAATGTTCTCCCATTCTGTAGGTTGCCAGTTCACTCTGATGGTAGTTTCTTTTGCTGTGCAGAAGCTCTTTAGTTTAATTAGATCCCATTTGTCAATTTTGGCTTTTGTTGCCATTGCTTTTGGTGTTTTAGACATGAAGTCCTTGCCCATGCCTATGTCCTGAATGGTATTGCCTAGGTTTTCTTCAGTGTTTTTATGGTTTTAGGTCTACCATTAAAGTCTTTAATACATCTTGAATTAATTTTTGTATGAGGTGTAAGGAAGGGATCCAGTTTCAGCTTTCTACATATGGCTAGCCAGTTTTCCCAGCACTAGTTGCTAAATAGGGAATCCTTTCCCCATTTCTTGTTTTTGTCAGATTTGACAAAGATCAGATGGTTGTCAATGTGTGGTATTATTTCTGAGGGCTCTGTTCTGTTCCATTGGTCTATATCTGTGTTTTGGTACCAGTACCATGCTGTTTTCATTACTGTAGCCTTGTAGTATAGTTTGAAGTCAGGTAGCGTGATGCCTCCAGCTTTGTTCTTTTGGCTTAGGATTGACTTGGCAATGTGGGCTCTTTTTTGGTTCCATATGAACTTTAAAGTAGTTTTTTCCAATTCTGTGAAGAAAGTCATTGGTAGCTTGATGGGGATGGCATTGAATCTATAAATTACTTTGGGTAGTATGGCCATTTTCATGATATTGATTCTTCGTACCCATGAGCATGGAATGTTCTTCCATTTGTTTGTGTCCTCTTTTATTTCGTTGAGCAGTGATTTGTAGTTCTACTTGAAGAGGTCCTTCACATCCCTTGTAAGTTGGATTCCCAGGTATTTTATTCTCTTTGAAGCAATTGTGAATGGGAGTTCACTCATGATTTGGCTCTGTGTTTGTCTGTTATTGGTGTATAAGAATGCTTGTGATTTTTGCACATTGATTTTGTATCTTGAGACTTTGCTGAAGTTGCTTATCAGCTTAAGGAGATTTGGGGCTGAGATGATGGGGTTTTCTAGATATACAATCATGTCATCTGAAAACAGGGACAATTTCACTTCCTCTTTTCCTAATTGAACACCCTTTATTTCTTTCTCCTGCCTGATTGCCCTGGCCAGAACTTCCAACGCTATGTTGAATAGGAGTGGTGAGAGAGGGCATCCCTGTCTTGTGCCAGTTTTCAAAGAGAATGCTTCCAGTTTTTGCCCATTCAGTATGATACTGGCTGTGGGTTTGTCATAAGTAGCTCTTATTATTTTGAGATACATCCCATCAATACCTAATTTATTGAGAGTTTTTAGCATGAAGCGTTGTTGAATTTTGTCAAAGGCCTTTTCTGCATCTATTGAGATAAACATGTGGTTTTTGTCTTTGATTCTGTTCATATGCTGGATTACATTTATTGATTTGCATGTGTTGAACCAGCCTTGCATCCCAGGGATGCAGCCCACTTGATTGTGGTGGATAAGCTTTTGGATGTGTTGCTGGATTCGGTTTGCTAGTATTTTATTGAGGATTTTTGCATCGATGTTCATCAAGGATATTGGTCTAAAATTCTCTTTTTTGGTTGTGTCTCTGCCAGGCTTTGGTATCAGGATGATGCTGGTCTCATAAAATGAGTTAGGGAGGATTCCTTCTTTCTCTATTGATTGGAATAGTTTCAGAAGGAATGATACCAGCTCCTCCTTGTACCTCTGGTAGAATTCAGCTGTGAATCCATCTGGTCCTGGACTTTTTTTGGTTGGTAAGCTATTAATTATTGCCTCAATTTCAGAGCCTGTTATTGGTCTATTTAGAGATTCAACTTCTTCCTGGTTTAGTCTTGGCAGAGTGTATGTGTCGAGGAATTTATCCATTTCTTCTAGATTTTCTAGTTTATTTGCGTAGAGGTGTTTATAGTATTCTCTGATGGTAGTGTGTATTTCTGTGGGATCGGTGGTGATATCTCCTTTATCATTTTTTATTGCGTCTATTTGATTCTTCTCTCTTTTCTTCTTTATTAGTCTTGCTAACTGTCTATCAATTTTGTTGATCTTTTCAAAAAACCAGCTCCTGGATTCATTAATTTTTTGAAGGGTTTTTTGTCTCTATGTCCTTCAGTTCTGCTCTGATCTTAGTTATTTCTTGCCTTCTGCTAGCTTTTGAATGTGTTTGCTCTTGCTTCTCTAGTTCTTTTAATTGTGATGTTAGGGTGTCAGTTTTAGATCTTTCCTGCTTTCTCTTGTGGGCATTTAGTGCTATAAATTTCCCTCTGCACACTGCTTTTAATGTGTCCCAGAGATTCTGGTATGTTGTGTCTTTGTTCTCATTGGTTTCAAAGAACATCTTCATTTCTGCCTTCATTTCGTTATGTACCCAGTAGTCATTCAGGAGCAGGTGGTTCTGTTTCCATGTAATTGAGCGGTTTTGAGTGAGTTTCTTAATCGTGAGTTCTAGTTTGATTGCACTGCGGTCTGAGAGACAATTTGTTATAATTTCTTTTCTTTTACATTTGCTGTGGAGTACTTTACTTCCAAGTATGTGATCAATTTTGAAATAAGTGTGGTGTGGTGCTGAGAAGAATGTATATTCTGTTGATTTGGGGTGGAGAGTTCTGTAGATGTCTATTAGGTCTGCTTGGTGCAGAGCTGAGTTCAAATCCTGGATATCCTTGTTAACTTTCTGTTTTGTTGATCTGTCTAATGTTGACAGTGAGGTGTTAAAGTCTCCCATTATTAATGTGTGGGAGTCTATGTCTTTTTGCAGGTCTCTAAGGACTTGCTTTATGAATCTGGGTGCTCCTGTATTGGGTGCATATATATTTAGGATAGTTAGCTCTTCTTGTTGAATTGCTGCCTTTACCATTATGTAATGGCCTTCTTTGTCTCTTTTGGTCTTTGTTGGTTTAAAGTCTGTTTTATCAGAGACTAGGATTGCAACCCCTGCCTTTTTTTGTTTTCCATTTGCTTGGTAGATCTTCCTCCATTCTTTATTTTGAGTCTATATGTGTCTCTGCACATGAGATGGGTTTCCTGAATACAGCACACTGATGGATCTTGACTCTTTATCCAATTTTCCAGTCTGTGTCTTTTAATTGGAGCATTTACCCCATTTACATTTAAGGTTAATATTGTTATGTGTGAATTTGATCTTGTCATTATGATGTTAGCTGGTTATTTTGCTCATTAGTTGATGCAGTTTCTTCCTAGCCTCGACGGTCTTTATAATTTGGCATGTTTTTCCAGTGGCTGGTACTGGTTGTTCCTTCCTTTCCATGTTTAGTGCTTCCTTCAGGAGCTCTTGTAGGGGAGGCCTGGTGGTGTCAAAATCTCTCTGCATTTGCTTTTAGGTAAAGTATTTTATTTCTCCTTCACTTATGAAGCTTAGTTTGGCTGGATATGAAATTCTGGGGTGAAAATTCTTTTATTTAAGAACGTTGAATATTGCCCCCGCCTCCCCGCCTTCTGGCTTGTAGAGTTTCTGCCGAGAGATCAGCTGTTAGTCTGATGAGCTTCCCTTTCTGGATAACCCGAGCTTTCTCTGTGGCTGCCCTTAACATTTTTTCCTTCATTTCAACTTTGGTGAATCTGACAATTATGTGTCTTGGAGTTGCTCTTCTCGAGGAGTATCTTTGTGGCATTCTTTGTATTTCCTGAAGTTGAATGTTGGCCTGCCTTGCTAGGTTGGGGAATTTCTCCTGGATAATACCCTGCAGAGTGTTTTCCAACTTGGTTCCATTCTCCCTGTCACTTTCAGGTACACCAATCAGACGTAGATTTGGTCTTTCCACATAGTCCCATATTTCTTGGAGGCTTTATTCATTTCTTTTTATTCTTTTTTCTCTAAACTTCTCTTCTCTTGTCATTTCATTCATTTGGTCTTCCATCACTGATACCCTTTCTTCCAGTTGATCGAATCAGCTACTGAAGATTATGCATTCGTTACATAGTTCTTGTGCCATGGTTTTCAGCTCCATCAGGTCCTTTAAGGACTTCTCTGCATTGGTTATTCTAGTTAGCCATTCGTCTAACCTTTTTTCAAGGTTTTTAACTTCTTTGCCGTGGGTTCGAACTTCCTCCTTTAGCTCAGAGTAGTTTGATCATCTGAAGCCTTCTTCTCTCAACTCGTCAAAGTCATTCTCCATCTAGCTTTGTTCCGTTGTTGGTGAGGAGCTGCTTTCCTTTGGAGGAGGAGAGGGGCTCTGATTTTTAGAATTTTCAGTTTTTCTGCTCTGTTTTTTCCCCATCTTTGTGGTTTTATCTACCTTTGGTCTTTGATGATGGTGACGTACAGATGGGGTTTTGTTGTGGATGTCCTTTCTGTTTGTTAGTTTTCCTTCTAACAGTCAGGACCCTCAGCTGCAGGTCTGTTGGAATTTGATGAAGGTCCACTCCAGACCCTGTTTGCCTGGGTATCAGCAGCAGAGGCTGCAGAACAGCGAATATTGGTGAACAGCAAATGTTGATGCCCAACTGTTCCTCTGGAATTTTGTCTCAGAGGGGTACCTGGCTGTGTGAGGTGTCAGTCTGTCCCTACTGGGGGGTGCCTCCCAGGTAGGCTACTCAGGGGTCAGGGACCCACTTGAGGAGGCAGTCTGTCCGTACTCAGATCTCAAGCTCTGTGCTGGGAGAACCACTACTGTCTTCCAAGGTGTCAGAGGTTTCTGCTGCCTTTTGTTTGGCAATGCCCTGCCCGCAGAGGTGTAGTCTACAGAGGCAGGCAGGCCTCCTTGAGCTGCGGTCAGCTCCACCCAGTTCGAGCTTCCTGGCCACTTTGTTTACCTACTCAAGTCTCAGCAATGGCGGGTGCCCCTCCCCCAGCCTCACTGCTGCCTTTCAGTTTGATCTCAGACTGCTGTGCTAGCAATGAGCGAGGCTCCGTGGGTGTAGGACCTTCTGAGTCAGGCACGGGATATAATCTCCTGGTGTGCCATTTGCTAAGACCA
The DNA here is from genome assembly GCF_000001405.40 of Homo sapiens. Classification (NCBI taxonomy): domain Eukaryota; kingdom Metazoa; phylum Chordata; class Mammalia; order Primates; family Hominidae; genus Homo; species Homo sapiens. The sequence goes on from NC_000005.10 coordinate 39,688,344, forward strand.
TCGGAAAAGCACAGTATTAGGGTGGGAGTGACCCAATTTTCCAGGTGCCGTCTGTCACCCCTTTCCTTGGCTAGGAAAGGGAATTCCCTGACCTCTTGCACTTCCCGGGTGCGCTGCACCCACTCTCCTGCACCCACTGTCTGACAAACCCCAGTGAGATGAACCCAGTACCTCAGTTGGAAATGCAGAAATCATCCATCTTCTGCATCACTCACACTGGGAGCTGTAGACTGGAGCTGTTCCTATTTGGCCATCTTGGAACCGCCTCCTAGATGTACCATACTTTTAATAATTCTGCTAAGTTGAAGAGAGACAGATATCTTGCTTATTTTTCCAATTAAATGAACTGAGAAGGGAGGTGTAAATTTATCTCATAGAAATAAAATTCTAGTACATAAGAGTTAATGTTCAAGGACATTTATTGCAGCACTATTTATAGTGGTAAAAAGTTATCATCAACTAGCATCCTCATAAGTTAAGAAATGCAGAAATATGTCCATATAATATAATCTCATGTGGTTGTTTTGATGCATTTGTATGGCACATTTTTTATAATTAATGAGCCAATGTTGGTATATTATTATTAGCTGAAGTCTATAGTTTAGTTTAGTACCACTAAACTAATGCAATATGTAAATAATAGGGTTGTATGGCTGTGTTTGTCAGGAGATTTGTAGGAAGTTCCTGTAGTTTCAGCTCAATTTTTCTGTAATTCTGAAATTGCTCTCAGAAATAAACTATATTCATTTAAAAATCACAAAGCAATAATATAAGGATGGTTGATGCCTATGTTCTGACTTGAAGATTTTTAATGCGTTGTTAAGTGAGAAAGCTGGTCAAAGATCAACATATATAAGTTGACTTGTAAAAACAATACGAAAGCACTCTGTATTTTTTATTGTGATTATATGAAAATGAAAAAATACACACCAGGCGATTGGCCTGTTTATTTGGATACAGATGAATGTTCGGGAGAGAGAGAAGAAAAAATGGCCTTTTAAAAATGGAAAAATACATGTTCTGTTATGCTAAACAGCAGTGAAATATACATACATATTTCTATTTTATCATTAAAACAAATGATAATAAATACAACAAATATAAAATTGAATCGCACCATTCTCTCTAATTATGGTAAACCTCTAAGCTCAGACTTTTAAAAGATTTTTTCTAAGCTCAGACATTTTAGATTTGTCCTTAAAAAAAAAACAAATGTGAAGGAAAGCTTCAGTGATATAGGAAAAAATCATTTATGTTTAAAAAGAACTTATGAAGACTGCATTTCAGGACCATATCACTACAGACTCAAAAATATATTTTAAAACTTGAAGTTACCACAGAGTTATCCACAGAGCTTGGATTTAATCAGTAATTTATGCAAATCACTTATTTTTTCTACATGATACTTGCAATCTGGGGGAGCTGCAAAGAAACTTGGTCTATGGGAAATTAATTTAATATGCTAGTGAAATATTTTTTTAAAGATACTAATTTTGCTAGACAAGACAGAGAATTATGAGGCAGAAGTTTTACTCTTCCCCAAGAAAAGTGAAGTAAAATAATAAGAAAATAAAATCTTCATTATTTTAAGTGGCTTATCATCTTCTTTATGCTAAATAAACATTTTTCAGTGTAAGTCTTAGAATGAAATATCAGTACTTGAGAGGACTTACTGTCATCACAGGGACCTTCCTCACCCTAACAGAGCAGTAGTTGCCTAGCCTGAAGGTTATAGGTGAGAACAATCACAAGGGGTAAGAGAGGATAATGTTTCCTGCTTCTGTTTACAGTCTCCAGCCCTAAAGTTTTACACACTGATCATGAGTCAATACTCCAACAGATTCTGCCACAAGGGATTATGAGGATGAGTTGATAAAGAGTGTTGGGAGATGAGATGGGTGCCAGTGGGAAGCAGATTCTTACAAATAGGGAAAGAAATAATCATTGGAGGGTAAGACAGAATTTGGAGCTGAATCATACCCCTCTCCCTACCTGAGATGTTTGTACATAAAATTTCATTTGATAGGCATTAAAATATTTTGTGATTGACAGAGCTGGTTTTCAACAATCATTGATAGAGCTCTTTTTTGCTTGGGTTAAAAGCAAAATTGACTTCCTAAAACTTTCTCATCTTTTCTCAGATTGGAATAATTGCCCACGTTGCCCTCAATTCAACAGCCCACAGAAACAGATGTGTTATAAGACAGGCAAAAATGTGTGCCTGCTGTTGGTAGTTTGCTCCAAAATAAAGAAGGTGCCAAACTCACAGGCAGTTACTTCTTCCAACCTCCCAAGTTGGGTGAGAAGGTAAAAAGGGTGGTCATAAATTTAACTTTCATGAATATTCCCTCATGGCAGATGAGAAGTGGGACCAGGATTCCCTCAACAGCAAGAGTGTAAAAACTTAGTGAGATGATAGTGTTAGTTATCATACATGTTACACTCTATAAACAAATAAGTAAACAGGAACAGGTAAGGATTTCTTTTTTTTTTTTTTTGAGACGGAATCTCACTCTGTCACTCAGGCTGGAGTGCAGTGGAGCAATCTTGGCTCACTGCAAGCTCTGCCTCCTGGGTTCACGCCATTCTCCTGCCTCAGCCTCCCTAGTAGCTGGGACTACAGGCGCCCACCACCATGCCCGGCTAATTTTTTGTATTTATAGTAAAGACGGGGTTTCACCATGTTAGTCAGGATGGTCTCGATCTCCTGACTTCGTGATCCTCCCGCCTCGGCCTCCCAAAGTGCTGGGATTACAGGCGTGAGCCACCGTGCCTGGCCAAGGATTTCTAATATAAAAGTAACTTTGTAAAACACTACATATTTTATATCACTTCAGCATTCTAATTCAGTATGATTCAGTTCATTGCAATTTAATGCTATTTATTAGCTACTTTTAAAAGTAACTTTTGTAAAACATTAAATATTTTATAACATTTCAGCATTCTAATTCAGTATGATTCAGTTCATTGCAATTTAATGCTATTTATCAGCTACCACAGCAGGCACTGAAGATTTAGAGGTGAATAGAACAGGCTCTCACCGCTGAAGGAATTTGTAACTTGTTTACCTTTTTTCAGTATAGTTACCAAATCATTTGAAAGAATTTTTTAAAAAATGTTTATCACCACTTTCAAGTTTTGAGTTTTCTTGGAGCCATACCCTGAAATGGCATGCAGGGGCATGAAGACAAGTCAAGTAGCAGCACAGGCCTAATACCAGCCTCCTCTCTGGAGCTCTGGAGTTAGCGCGGCCCCTAGAGTGTTGGGAAAGATTGGATCACAACTACCTCAATCAGTCATTGAATGTGGGCCTTCTTAGGAAAGACCTGTCCTTGGGTAAGCTGATGCTTCAGATGAGGCAGTCCTTGAAGTGGCTGACAGCGGCAGGCTGTCTGCTGGCCACATTCCCTGCAGCTGGCAGCACGACCTTTCTCAAAAGGGATCAAAGTGGTACATCTTCATGTTTATCAGAGTCTACACGTGCACTGCTTGGATCTAGTTACATATATGGGGAGAACTCCACTAGGCTTCTGATGCTACAGCCCGGTCTACTGGAGCTAACTTTGGGGCCACAACCAGTTGTCACAGGCTACCTCCTTCACCATCCATTCTAGATTTCCCTTATTTCAGGGAACACCGTTGCTGGTCTCAGTGGCTTACCCGTTGTCATGTCTTTACACAATATCCTTAAGAGGGTCTGAGCCCATGGTCACCATGGCTTCTCAGACTGTGATTGCTGCATTTGTCCATTTAATATCACAAAAGGGCAAGTTAGTAACAAGAGATGCCCAGTGTGAGACCAAACATAGTCCTCCTTGCCTCCAGCATGTAATAGCATCCCTATCTCCCTCCAGTGGTCAATCTTAATTACTGTCCAACATTCTAGCGCTTTTCACCTGCTGCTACCTGCCTAAAATACCTGGAGAACAGCCATAACTTACAGATGCATAGGGCTGTTTCTGTGTCTTCTGGATGAAATGTCCCCTCTTAGTAAGGACCATGAACTCTTTACTCTGGAGAGGCTATATTTGGGATGAGAAGCACAAATTCCCCAAGTGGGTAATTGTAAGTGAGAATAAGTGTGACCACTCCTGTTTCTACCTCTCTGTTACTGGACCCCTGTATTCTGGATGCAAAGCACCATGCAAAGTTCTGTGACTCAAATGTATACTGCATCTTAGAGTATGTAGACATCATCCCCAAAAAGAATTATATCTGAGCTGATGTTTCACCTATGCCTTCAGGAGGCTGTTCCAGAATGTGGTGAGACCAGTAGGTTCTGGATAGTCTGATATGTGATATGATCCATGAATCTCATGGCCACGGACCCCCACCCACATAGTCTTTGCTATAAAGTGGGCTTCTAGATTTGTGATGTTATGTGGGAAGGCATACTAGTAGATCAAACATGTTACAAGCCCTTGGGTAGTGGTGGTAGTTTGGATCCTATTAGCAGGAAAGAAAAACTCATACCCCAAATATTTATCTATTTCTATCAAACAAATATTTCTATCAAACAAAAATATTTCTATCAAAACAAATAGCCGGCCTGTGCACTAGTGAATAATGATGCAAGTTGGTTTCCTCAAGGAATGGTGGCATATTGTTGAGGGTTCAGCACTGTTTGTTGTTGGTAGGTTAGGTGTTCAGTGGTGGCAGTAGCTCTATCAACCTTGGTTCATCTTTACCACTGTGGCCATCTTTTGATGTGCTTATCGTGCCAGCACTGGGGTGGCCAATGAGAGATGCTGGCTGACATCAACTAGCCAAATCATTTTGTGTGCTTGTGATTTAGTGCCTTTATTGTGATGGTAAATCTCTTGTAGGAGCTAGCATATGACACAAAAAATATTCATCTTTAGCCCCTCCTCCAGTAGGTCTAGCAATATACTTCTACTTCAGTTATTTTTTCCTGGGTTTCCCAATCTTTCTCTGTTCCCAGCCCTTGACCAGCTAGCTAAATCATCTGCTATTGCCCATGAGTCCTCTCCTTGGATATGGTGTTTTTGGTTTGGTACCTGACCAGGTGTAGAAAGGAGAATTTTATAGGCTTCCACTTGACATTCCTCACTGTGACATCTCTCATGCCACAGGTTCTGATTCCAAAACAAGGGCTCTTTCAACTCCGTAGTATGTCTATGTCAATTATCATTCAGGTGTCAAATGAGAATCTGGGTGACACGCCTCTGTGTCCATCACAAACACCTAGTGAAATTATCTGAATTCAGTGAATATTATGCTAATTTGTAGAGGATTTATATTTTGACGCACATGTCCTATGGCCCTAATAAAGGTAATAAACTAAGTTTCTAAGGATTCCTCTTTGTGAATAATTTCTGATTTAACCTCTTCTCTCTTTTTTCTCTTTATCCATGCGATTAAAATTATCTTTACCCTTCTAGCAAATCTGTGCATTCATGATCCAGATCCTAAGTTAATAACACTGTTTTTTTTTTAAGACCAGTCATACATATTCCCTTGGCTCTAAATCTTTCAATAGCTCCATAGACTTTCAGAATATTAAACAAAGAATTAGTTGCACTAGATCAACCAAGAAAGTTTAAGTTTATGAACATTGGTACATAAATATTACATTTATGAGCATTGGCAGTGAAAAGAAGGGAAACATTAAGAAAAATTGAGAAATAAACTATGCAAGCTCTTATAACTAATGTGTGATGCACAAGGGAGAAAAGTTGTGAATGATGCTGAGATTTCTAGCTTGACTTCAATAGATTCTAATGTTGCGCTCCATGAAAGAGAATAAAACGTGTATAAAAGTTGTTTACTTATAGGTGTTAAGCTCTTTTCTTAGACTCTGATCTATCTGGTAAATGCACTAACACATCTTTGTACTCTTCACAGGATTTACTATAACATACTGTATGTAAAATGAGTCTCAAAAAAGTATTTGATTTATGTGTGGGTAAATGTGGACTATCAGAATCTTATCCACAGTGCTACAAATCTGCTGAGGTTACTGGAGCCAAGGAGAAACAAGTCAGAGTAAAAAAGCTTTTTCAAAAATCCTGATGTTTAGATACATGGGCAAGCAAGCCATGTTATATTACTAATATCAAGGCAAGCATTAGTATTTCCTCCCCTTATGCCTTCACATTCCCCAGAAGAGAATTTCTACTTTCTTTAAAGACTCTTTTTAATGTTTATGTGAATAAGTTGGTGGCCAGGTAAGGAAAAGAGAAACTTGTTCACCAGACCCATGAATTGTACTAGAAAAAATGTACATATCTCATGGGATTGTAAATTAAAGTGCAGACCTTTTTCCCTCAGTCGTCACCTACGTATAACTACTTGTATATCTCATGTGTGGTCAATCTTCTCCATTTTGTATTTGGAGACAAGGGAGCAAATGATAAAGGAGGATGACAAAATTCTAGCTAGAAATGATAGCAGACAAGAGCAGCGATTCTGAAAACTAAAGTGGAAAGCAACACAGAACCTCCTATTGGCATTGTTAGGACCCAACAGAGCATCCAGGGTTGTAGGGGATATCACATTAAGAACTTGTGAATAATGTGATATCCCCTATAACTGTCCAACTCGGAGTCTAGGCAGACTGGCTCTTCATTAGTGGGAACTGACAAGCCATTTGGCACTGAAAAGACATCAGAGAGGAAGAACAAAACCCTGCCTTGGGCAATGGCATCACTGAGGAGCACTAATTCACTTAGCCTGGGACTGCTAGATTTTTCTTTTGTTTGCACCAGCATATGGGCAATATTATTAGAATAGCTGTTTTGCTCTTCTGCGTCTGTTGCTAACACAAATAAAACCTTTCTGGTCACCTTATTTATACCTTCTGCTCACATGACAAAGATAATGATTTTCAGTCTTCTCAAGGCACATCTCATAGCAACACATGGTTGTTATTGTAAATAGGTTAGTTTAACTCTACTGGCTCACCAAGATGTGAAGTTCAGCTCATTGCCCACGCAAGCACAGCTACAGGCTTGGAACGAGATCTCAGGGAAGAAATGCATTGCAAAAAAGAAAATCCCTTAAATGGGATATATGAGGACAGAAGAAAGGGAATTAATTGGTACTGTGAAACTTAAAAATGGTAATAAATTATGATACAGCGTTGGCAACATTAATGCAAAAATAGTAATAATGAACAGCATTTCTGTTGTTGTTTTATAGTTTATTGAGCAGAAAAAATAAGGATTTTATATATTAAAAACAAATTGTTCACTGAGGAATACTCAAATTCTTTAAGTTAGTTAAGGGTTGAGCTAACCCTGAGACTTAATGATCCTTATAGTTTGCCTACTGCTTTTTTTTTTCCTATAAAGCAATTCTATCCCTTAAAATAAAAGCCAAGCCAAATAAATGTAAAAGATAACAATAGAAATGGAAATTCTCTCTATCTTATTAGGCCTGTGCTGCACATTTCTTTGCCTATGTTCATTAATAATATAAAAAGAGTGCATATGTCATGGTATCTGTCTAATACGAAGATCATCAAGCTCATGTCACCATTGGGCTAGAGGTCCGATTAATGCCAAAAACACAGAACACATAGAAAAGATCATCCGTGTGTAATTGTAACATCCTGGAAGCTGATGTGCTGTCTTCTCTGTAAAAATCTATTACATTTTGGGAGAAGGCGTCAGTATGAAAAATCATCCCGCCACCACTTACTTGACCAAGAGTTAAATGGAAGAAGAAACTTTGCTCCCTTGAGAAAAAATATTTACAACACACCAAACATTTTTTTTTATTAGACACAAAGTATCAAGCACAAAGGCATGGAAGGAAAAATCAGCAAGACATTGAATTATTCTCATTCTGCTGCCTCGCTATTCCGCCCCATTTTCTGTATTTCTCTTTCTTTGTTCCTTCTCCTTTTTCCTCCCCTGGCCTCTGCTGCCTACTCACCTTCCACCCCCTTCATTCCCTCCGCTATCTTCTCTTTTTGCCTATATCCTCCATCTCCTTCCTAAATTTCTGGGAAGGTGAAAGGAGCTATGTAGTATAATGGTTATATGTGTATGTAACGCCTATGTCTGCCTATTTTTAAGTTATTGTTTTTAATATTGTTTTTAATTAATTATATTTTTAAGTGAATTCAAACCTATGGTTATTGGATAGTCTACTGTGCTGCACTTTATACTTGCTTTTTGTCTGTTTTATTTCACGCTTAGATCAGTTATCTCAGCTATGTGATCGAGCTTGACTAAAATGTCAGTATGCAATGAATGATAAACTTGATTATTATCAAAACCTGGTGAAAAATACATGCACTCTATGTCATTAATGACATGATAATTAAATATCTTATGTTCATATTTAAAATAATGCATTTTATACATGTATATCCATATATATGAGGATAAAAAAAAGAAAGGATAATTAAATCAAAAGTCTTGGAGTATTTTTAATGCTTAGAAAATAAAATACTATCTTTCTTCATAAGTAAAAGCATTTTGACCATTGAACTTCCAAGTTTAGAGTCTAACCCCTTGGTTAAATGGCATAGTTTACAGACAGGCTTTTTAGCAAATACCATGTGGCAAGACTAGACTAAACCTGGAATCCAAACATTTATCTCATGACAGCTACCCTTACTTGGAATTGACTGTGTTTACCAATGAATCTAAAATGTAATTAATGAAATTTCTGTTTGTTTGAGAGAGGAGATTTGGAAGGGGAAATGAAAAGTGTAAAAAACCCATAATTACTCAAAGTTACCCAAATGGATTTGTAGGAAAATGACAAAGTACAAAGTTTCCAAGGAAATTTTCCAGTGCAATTTTAATTCACCTAAACTAGCAACATCTACATCTGCTGAGGTCAAATATCTTTGAAACCATGCCGTATTGGAGCTACACTTTTTTTTTTTTAACATAACAAAGTTCAGATTTGTTTTCTTTTCAGTTAAGGAGTTCTGGTTTTCCCAACATGCTATGTCAAAGTGTGTACATTCCTTTTAGAGCCTGATAAATAGAGAAGCAATCTGTCATCCATGATATCATCTATGATAGCAAAAGTCTGGGCAAATATTTAAATAAATACCCATAAGCAACCCTGAAATTATGGGCTATAGAAAGTATTTATAATTATCCTTTGGAATTTTCCAAGAGAGAAAGGTGCTTTCCCACCCTTATCTCATGTAATTTTCAAAACTGTCTGGAGTTTGGGGACAAAAATAATGCAAATATTCCCAGCAGTTTTTCATGGAGTTTGCAGTGAAGCTAGGAATTGAATCTGGGCCTGCCCAGATATCCTTCTGGCTAAATGATATGTGTGTCTGGGCCTGATGGCTCCTTCCAGCTTCTTAACACTATCCTTTCTAGTCTGTAGCCTTTCTTATCCTGGACCTTGTCACTGTGAAGATGTTTATGAAATTTCAGTTACAGAAATAGATATGTATCTTTCATTTTTTATAGAAAAAGAAATTGATCCCCAGAGAGGTAGAAGAGTCCATTAGAGTTAATAAGTTCTAAATCCAGGAATAGAATCTGCATTTCTTGTTTCCAGGTCACTGCTTTTTTCAATTCAACAGAACAATTCTGGTCAGTTAATTTTCCAGTAGATCTTCCTAACACTTTGATTAAAATTTAATCTATTTTTTTAGATTTATATACCTGTCATTTTTATTGGTTAATTGTTAGTCAATTGTATCTTTAATTAGTTGTGTGATGGAGTTGCAATTTATGTTTGACTATCCCACTGAAGTGTTGCCTTTATTTTCTTTTTTGACTCAGGAGTTTCCCCATGACTGAACTCTAGGCATTTGTGCAAATAGCTGATAAAATGGCATAGTTAGAAAGGGCCATGGTGGTAAGGAATACTGGTAGATTTTTCACAAGTAGCATGTCTGAGATTTCAAATTTAATTAAGAATGTTGGGCCAAATTCTCTATGGATATTTCCTGATTAATGAAATAAAGTTACAATAAATTGCATGAAAAACAAAGTTGAATGACAGTTTTTAATCCTTGAAATCAAGAGTAACACATTGACACACTATTTCAAGTGTTAAATATTGTTACACAAAAGCATATATTTTTGTAGTGGAAAATGTCATTTTAACTTACTTTCGGGTCTGTACTTTGTAAACCCCAATTGGTCTTCATAGGGTTTTAATAATGTAGGCAGTCCAGATAGATGGTGATTGAAGCATAATTATAGTACTTTACGGTTTGCAAAGAACTTTCAATGTCATGATCTGAGTTGAGGCTTATAATGTTCTTAGAATTTATTGGTTTATTATTGTTATATCGTAAAAAGTAACATTTAAAGATACTAAATAATTTAGTCAGCCACAAAATGAGTTAATCGTGTAGTTTGAGGTTTGTCCATGTTTTCAAATTTCAAATTAGTCAGAAAATAAATATTTATTGAGTATCTCTGTGTGCCAGGCATTGTCCTAGGTACTGGAGATAGAGTAGTAAATATGACAGTCTTTACCTTCATGGGGTTTACAATCTCCTAAATGGAGATGATAATTAACCAGAAGCCAGAAAACAGACAAACATAAAACAAATTTCAGTTGCTCCTTATGTATGGAAAAGCCAGGATAATGTGTCAGTGTTTGAAGTCAGGGGCAAACTAAATGCTTTAGAAAGGATGGTCACAGAAGGCCTGACGAGGAGTCATTTAATGCCTGAGTTACGGAAAGAAATCAGCTGGGTAAAACCCTGGGAAGTGTTCCAAACACAGGGATCTAAGGTGGGAAAGATTTTGGTGTTTCCAAAAGAAATGATAAGGGATAGAGTTAAGAGATAACGATGTTGTTATAGGCAGAGGGGAGATTATGTAGCACCTTGCATATTGTGTTGAATAGTTTAGAATGTTGTATAATTTCAGTGATATGCCATTAGAGGATTTTGAGAACAGATGTGGTGTGACTGGATTTATGATTTAGAAAATCCATTCAGCTATTGTGTATAGGAGGATTGCTTGTGAGGGGCCAAACTGGAATTGCACACACACACACACAAAATAGCTAGGAGATTACAGAGATAAACCCATGAGACAGAATACCGTGTCTTGGACTGAAGTGGGTGGCAATTAATCTAGTGAGGAATGTGGGGTGTGTCACTATTAGACTGATAGAAAGGAATGGGGAGGAAGAGAGAAAGAGTAGAATCAGGAATAATTTTGGGTGTTTTTGTTCTGAGTAAATGGGTATACAGTAATTTTCTGAATTAGCAAAGGCTTAGTGTGAGGAACATTTAGGGATATAAATTTAACAAATGCTTATTGAGTGTGTATTACCAGCCTATGACCATACTTAACACTGGGAAAATAGCTGTGGGGATTAGTTCCTGTCTTTATGGACACGTTTTCCAGGTGGGGGAGACAGACAATAAATAAATAATACGTATCGAGTGATGATAAGTGCTATGGAGAAAACGTTAACATTACAAGGCAAATAGGAAGTCTTAAGATAGGGTTGATCTTCTATACAGGTTTGTTAGGGAGGCCTCTGCAGTGGGGTGATGTATGCAGAAAGACCTAAAGACAGTGAGGAAGTGAGCCATCCCAAATCTGATTGGATTATTGGATATTTGTGGAACATACAAATTTTAAAGGTAGATATTCAAGTCTGGAGTTTAGTGGAGAGCTTGGGGTTCAAGATATAAATTTGGGAGCCTTTGGTATACAGCTGCATTTAATGCCCTAGACTTATAGGAAATAGAAGAGGGCTTGAGAGAGACACCTTGATCTTGTCCGGGGGCACATCTATTTAGAGATCATATGGGGAGAAGAGAATGCGTGAAGAAAGAGAGAAAAGAGAGAGAGAGGCTGGGCACGGTGGCTCATGCCTGTAATCCCAGCACTCTGGGAGGCCGAGGTGGGTGGATCATGAGGTTGGGAGATGAAGACCATCTTGGCCAACATGGTGAAACCTCATCTCTACTAAAAATACAAAAATTAGCTGGGCATGGCAGCATGTGCCTGTAATCCCAGCTACTTGGGAGACTGAGGCAGGAGAATCACTTGAACCTGGGAGGCGGAGGTTGCAGTGAGCCGAGATCGTGCCACTTCACTCCAGCCTGGCGACAGAGTGAGACTCCATCTCAAAAAAAAAAAAAAAAAAAGAATGAAAAATGAAAGTGTTCATTAAAATATGAAGAAAATTAAGTCTGTGGTCACACAGTGTTACCTGTGTTGAACAAAGGAGGGAGAAGTCAACAGTGTCAAATGCTGAGAAAAGTCACAGTTGAGAACAGAAAAGTGCCCATTGGCTTTGACAAGATTCAGATTCTTGTTGAAACTGAGCAAAGCCAATTTAATGAAATGCTGAGGACTAAATCTCCACTGGAGTGGATTGAGAAGAGAATGTGATATAGGGAAGTAAAACCATGAGTATAGTCTAGGTTTGAGAGGCAGTCTGTGTGTGTGTGTGTGTGTGTGTGTGTGTGTGAAGGAGATCGAAATCACATGGTTGTGGCTAGAAGCTCATGTGGGATCAAAGAAGGATTTAGTTTGTTTTTATGATGAAGACATTAAGACATATTTCTAAGTTGAGAAATGATTTAGTATAGAGGGAGAGATTTATGAGCTAGAAGAAAAAGGAGATAATTTCAAAAGCAACATGCTTATTATAAAGGCAAGGAAAGAGGATCTAGGGTACAAGGAGAGAGAGTGGAATTAATCAGAAAAAGGAGCTCTAATTCCATTGGAAAAAAATGAAAAGTAGGAGAGAGAAGAGAGAGAGAGAAAGTATGTGTGCATGTGTGTTTGTATGTGGTGGTAGCTGGAGGAAATTGGTAGTGGGAAGATGAAGTTGGCTTTTAAAAATGATTTTATCTATTTTTTTCAGTGAAGTATGAATCTGAAGTTGACAACTGTATGTGAGATGCAGTTGAGCTTTACAGACTTAAACAAAGCAAGGTGTTAACTAGTTGTCTCAGAGAGGGTGGAAGTGAATTTACTAGAGCAATGTTAAATGGCTATAATAGCGAACCTAATTTATAGTGAATCCAGCCAGCAAGTATGTGGAATTGGACTAATGTTTTTAGCTGCTCAGGAACAACTGTGTCAAGTAAGTACATAGTTGAGTTTAACCAGGCTTGGGTTTTTACCAGTCCAGTATGATAAAAGAAGGATAATTTTTGTAGTGGAGTCATTATATTTTTGGATGATGAAATATGTGCTTTTTAAGATAGAGAGGAGGTTACGGATAATGAAAAAACTAGTAGAGTAAATAGATTAAAATTAGCTGTGGGATAAAAGAAAATTTTAACTAACCATCAAAAAATGGGATGACTGAAATTGAGATTTTGCAGATAGTGCGATCGGGCATATGGCCATATGAGGGTGGCTGGGGTAAGGAGAAGACAAGATTTTTGGCCCTTTACATTCCAAGAATTGGGAGGGCAGGGTATCAGGTGGCTATATGCTGATTTTAAAGTCACAATGATTGATGAATGGGGTGGCAGAGTCTACTAATGAGATAGGCTTAGTAGATGACATTTCACGGTGTAGGGACAATGGCAAGAACTATGGCATGTGCTTCAAAAAAGCAGGGGTTTTGAAAGAAGGTATGAAACAATTTGGAAATAACAATGGGAAGCAACGGGGCGATCCACTCCACTTCCAGACTATAAGGATCATAGGGAATAGAGAGTAACATATCTTTACTTGAGAGGGAAGTAGGAAGAAATGTTCTCAGGCAAGAGCCTGATTTTATTTAGAGCAAGAAGGTGTAGGACATTTTCAGGAAAGAAGCTGAGGATGGAAGTAAGATTGCTGAGGACAGACCAGGATTTCTAGAAGCCATAATGGGAGCATCTGAGAGGAGAGAGAAGGTTGGGTGATAAAGTCAGATTAGTGGCATTGCCAAAGAATAGAAGACTGGCATCTATGTGGTGATCTAGGGAGCTTGGATTTATGATGGTGACTGAGCGGAGCAATATGACGAGCAGTGTTGGGTTTGCTTCAGAGTGTGTGGCAATTGGAGAATTTTGATGGCTGATTGGTCCATACTTAGAAGTGCAGGACAACTGGAATCATGTAAGGTAAAAGCTTTGGGCTACTGATCTTCTTAATTCAAGTCTAATATTTTCCTTGTTGTTAACCTGGGACTCCTATATCATGTTTTTTAAAGCTCCTGTGAAGTATACAGTATTAGTTGCTCTCTAGGAGTACCAGAAAGGAAAACTTGCTCCTACTTTTTGTGAAACTCAGAGAAAAAAAAAAAAGGAAAACAACTAGGAAAATAAATATGGTTGCTTTATAATATACAAACTGTAGATTTATGTTAGGAGGGAATGCATAGGATAGGGCTGATAAAAAGAATGCAGCATAGAGATTGCAAATTTTAAATAGTATCTGGAAGAGACCTTTTACTTTGCTGGGAAATAAGGTATAGGGCATTTTGGTCTGGTTTTTATAGTTGCAATGGGAAGCACTTAATTTATTATAAGACTGCCTTTGGAAAAATAGATGGATTCTCATGGAAATTTGGAGAGGAGTCACACCAAGTTCTCATGAAACCTAAAGTTTGATGATGGGGAGTGGCTGAATTCTCAGGATCTATTAAAAGCTTAGAATTTTTAGTTTATGGATTTTATAGTCTAAGATTTTGCATTTGTTAATATGACTTTGCTGTACTCTAGGAGATTTGTTCCTGTTTCTCCAGCTTGCCTTTGTGAATTCTTTACCTCCCATTACAGTTGCCAACAGATAGAATATGATTAACTTGCATAATAGACCAAGTGATTAAGCGCCCCATGGATAGACTATATCTAATCAGGAACAACCTTCTCAATTAACCAAGATTGGAAATGAGAGGAATGAGATTATGTGACTACTTAGGCAGCAAGGACTGTGGTTGGACAGATTCCCTTAGAGGGAGATATGGGAAGCAGGCAATGACTACCATCGCTCACTGCTAAGCTATTCCAGGCTGCAGAAGGACGTGTACAAATGCCTCAAATTATCTGTATTTTTGTATTGGGGAGTGGTCATCAGCATTCTGAATTCATGTATATTTAGCCTTATAATTGTAATGTTTATTATTGCATGATGCTATATGCCATTTTGGCTCATATTCTAGAACAGTTTTTAGAACCTTGTAGATGAACCATAGGAAGTAGAATAATTTTTTTTTTTTTGAGACAAAGTCTCGCTTTTGTCCCCCAGGCTGCAGTGCGATGGCACTATCTCGGCTCACTACAACCTCTGCCTCCCGGGTTCAAGCAATTCTCCTGCCTCAGTCCCCTGCGTAGCTGGGATTACAGGAGCCTGCCACCACGCCCGGATAATTTTTTGGTATTTTTAGTAGAGCTGGGGTTTCACCATGTTGGTCAGGCTGGTCTCGAACTCCTGACCTCAGGTGATCCACCCACCTCGGCCTCCCAAAGTGCTGGGATTACAGGTGTGAGCCACCGCTCCCGGCCAAATGATTTAAGAAGAGAGTTCTCAGAAGATTTTCTTTCTACTTTTCCCAGAGCCTGCTCACCATTTGGTGTAGGGATATAGAGGAAACACGTTTGATAGGAAATTTACAACTTGCTACTAAAATATGCTTCTGTTCCTAGAATTATGCCAAGTGAATGGAACAGATTGTCATTTACTAATGTAACTAATGTAACCCTGAGTTCTGGTATGTCTCTGCCAGGATAATTTGAGGAAGGGAAAGTTGGGGATACTCACCTTTGATTTTGTTTGAGCTTCATATTTTCTTTCTCAAGAAAATTTAATGAAACAGATTTTACTGAACAGCACCTGGCACTTCCTACTTGTATAAACTTTTAACCTAACATTACAGAAATCAAAAAGTTTTCATTAACAGTGAATAAAATTATAATTATATAAAATTATAATTCTGTTTAAAAATTTCAACTAATGCCTTTCATTGCTAAAATCTTTCCTAAAATTAAGCAAAATCAGACTAGCTATGAATATTCTTCAATATTGCTTTCAATATGTCCTAAGGACTCAACTGCTTTCTTATTCTTTTGTATTACCTTCTCTTCTAGACATTTGAAGTTCCCTTGAGCTCTCCAAAATTTAACTAATAAATAAGATACAGTGTCCCCAATTTCCTTAGTATTTGTGGTCCACAAGAATAATCAGGAAGGTTTCTAATAATTCCAAACAATCAGAAAAACAATTACAAAATTGCACACATTTATAAACTGCATAACAAACATAAAATTACAAAACTTTCAAATTTCTTACAATGGTAGTTTTTAACTTCCATCTATATTGGTAACTGAAACTCCCATGGACTTCTATTTTGATTTTTTTAATCTTTGGGGTAGAATTTCCCAAAACACTCATTTACCTCAGATTTTGTCCTTCCTTGCTGACAAATAGAACAAGTGAAAAAAGACTAAGCATCATCTTGGCTCTGAAGACAAATTAGAATTTTCAAGACCACCAAGTTCATTAATAAGTTAGCCTCATAATTGTAATGTTTACTATTGCATGATACTATATGCCAATAGGTGTTGGCCTTGCTCAAGAAAAGTCTTCTTCTTCTTCTTCTTCTTCTTTTTTTTTTTTTTTGAGACAGGGTCTCACTCTGTGGCCCAGGCTTGAGTGCAGTGGTGAGATCTTGGCTCACTGCAACCTCTACCTCCCAGGTTCAAGTGATTCTCATACCTCAGCTTCCTGAGTAGCTGGGACTACAGGCACGTGCCATCACACTCGGCTAATTTTTGTATTTTTAGTAGAGACAGGGTTTCACCATGTTGGCCAGGCTGGTCTCAATTTCCTGACTTCAGGTGATCCATCTGCCTTGGCCTCCCAAAGTGTCGGGATTACAGGCATGAGCCATCATGCCCAACCAATAGAAATCTGTGGTGCATTTCTTCATAAAGCTCACAGTGGCTGAAGGCTGAAAAGTCCCCCGAGGCATAAAGAAGCAAAACATGGCAATAAAGGGTTTTTTTCTTCTTTTATATCTAGACACAAGCACTGGCCACAAGGATTATTTGATGGCATCAAACCTCAAGTCTGCATTCCTGGGGCCATGTTTACTATTCTTTCCTTAGACTATCTTAATGTGAGTTGGGGTAGGTAATGGGAGAACAGACTTTTTTATCTCCCTCGGGGAGTAATGTTTTTCCTAAAAAGGGCTCATAAATCAGATCAAGGACAGGTTAAAGAGAAACAGATCATAGCAATCTCTCAGGGCTGCACAACAAACTTTATCAGTTGTAGCTTTCAATTCCATGAGGTGCTCTTGCTATCTAAAAACGAAGTGAGAAATTGCATCTTGCTGTTTACAACAGAAATGGAATCATTTTTCACAACCTGACCTTTATGCCAGGTGCTTTTTCATCAGAAAATATGTCAGTGAGAAAGGGGAAAGGGAATGAATGGTGGAGCTTCATATGAAATCTGAAATTAAATCTATTTCAAGATAGTCATCTTGAAATCGGTGAAGTATCTTGTTTCCACAAAATCAAACAGAGTATCTAAAACATTTTATTTCATATTTGACTACATTTTGTACATAATGTAACTGGGTTTTGAATTTATAGGAAAGAGGCTCCTTTCTCATTTGGAACACAGAGAACTTTAGTTTCTGATAAGCCAACTGAATTTGATTTCACTGGAGAGTTGGTTTGAGGAAAACATGCAAGAACAGAAAAACTAGTCTATAGGAATAACACATTAGTGAATAACAAAATGTTTACAATGAAAATAATCTGTGGTAAAAGATGTTGCTCCAGCCTAGGCAACACAGTGAGATCCCACCTCTATAAAACCGAAACTGTTAGCCAGGCATGATGGCATATACCTGCAGTCCCAGCTACCAGGGAGACTGACAGAAGAAGATCACTTGAAATGGGGAGGTCGAGGCTGCAGTGAGCTGTGGTCAAGTCACTGCACTCCAGGCTGGGTGATAGAGCAAGGCTTTGTCTCAAAAAAAAATTGTTGCTGTTATTTCTGTCACTTCAAAATTTAGAGAAGTTATTCAGTACAGAGTGCCATTCAAAAAGTAAAAATGTGTATCCTAAAGGAGCAAACAAGTCAGTGTTTTTTTAAATTACATTTTTTTTTCTTAAATTACCAAAAGAGTAAAGCTCAGCTTCAATCACACCAATTTACAATTATAGGAAGGATGAAAATTTCCCCAAATGTCCCTTTTAACAACATCTCCAAGGAAACCACTGCTAGTACTTTGGCATATTTGCTCCATGATTTTCCTGTGCGTTTTCTAACTGTCTCTCTCTCTCTTTCTCATACTTTTACCTTATATAGTCCTATACTGTTTCAATGTTATAACTAGGTATTTTTTTAAATAAAAAGATATAAATATATGGACTTTTTTCATTACCTCTGCAAATAATGGTATTACAAACAAAAAGTCAGAAACATCAATAACTTTAAGTAAGACCTTTAAAAGGCCATGCCTATACAGCTAGCTGACCACCCTTAGGTCCATGAATTTTAACACCTTTTTCTACCTGGGACATAAAAAATTGAAAGAGGTTGAAAAGCAGGTACCTTAACCTCATTTCTTGGGAAGGGAATACATTACTGAAACTCATAAAATTTTTCTTTGAAATTTTTCTTTACAAAGGCCGGGCGCGGTGGCTCACGCCTGTAATTCCAGCACTTTGGGAGGCCGAGGCGGGCGGATCACGAGGTCAGGAGATTGAGACCATCCTGGCCAACATGGTGAAACCCCGTCTGTACTAAAAATACAAAAATTAGCCGGGTGAGGTGGCACGCACCTGTAATCGCAGCTATTTGGGAGGCTGAGGCAGGAGAATCGCTTGAACCCGGGAGTCGGAGGTTGCAGTGAACCAAGATCGTCACTGCACTCCAGCCTGGTGACAGAACAAGACTCCATCTCAAAAACAAAGAAATAAATAAAGAAAAAATAAGAAATTTTTCTTTACAAAATTTGGACAGGAACTCATACTCTTATGTCTGTAAGAGTGGATACATGCCGTATCTATTTTAATCTATGGATTTTCAGAGGAGTTGCTTTCCTGGGGTGGGGGAAAGAGACCGCAACTCACATTAACATACTAAGAAATGGTATACAAAACATGTCTGATCAACTTGAGTGACCCCAACAGTGCCCAGAGCACAGAAAAGGACAATAGGACCCCAAATGGGAGGAAGAGTCTAGAATTGTGAGTCCCCAATTTGCAATGGGTCCTGTTGGTATGAGAACATAACTGATTTTGAAACTTATCCCAGTAGGGTACTGTGGGGGTGTTTGCATGGCCTGGGACTTAGTGGCTAAGAATGTGAGCATAGAAAAAGCTACAACATTTTCAGGTTCATGCAACCTTTGCTGTGGGGTATCCCCTGGCTGAGCAGAATAGATATATGAACACAATAGATATGCGGCAAATATTCATCTCACCACATGTAATACTGATGCCTGGGTAAATGAGGACTTCACCACAGAAGCAGAGGTGACAGTTGTGGTGGTAATTCAAGGTCAAGGAAACTGGCAACTCACTTAAGCTGCCTCTCTCAGTGGGTGTCTGGGGCCATGAGAATCTGTCATGTCTAGTTGTGTGGCAAATGGGAAAATCTCTTATCATTAACTACCAAGAGATTTTAAGGTACGTATGTCTTTTGCTGTGGGGCCTTTCCCCAAATTGAGCATCATCTCGAAAGAGTGGTGATGTTAGTAATGGTTCAGGAGTAGATTTCAGGTCCAAGTTGGTGCCGTGGCAAAGAAGTCAAAAGAGACTGGGAACATCATCAGTAGCAAAAGGGGCAAAAGGCCAGAGAACTGATCAGATAAGGTTTATGCGCATCCTTGGGAAACCTCAGATACATGCATTTAAAGAGATGCTCTCAATCAATAGACAAGTAGGGATTGGTAGCATCAAGATTTGAGTACTAACAGATATTAATGTTAATATTCATACATTGTATTCACCTTATTGTAAGTGTGTTGCTGAAGCAAATGTCTCTCACATTACCTAAGATCAGCCTTGAACAAGTTTTTCAGAGAAAATGAATTTATTTTTCAAGTCATTGTAGCTACTCTTAGTTTATGTATATTATCAGATAATGATTTGCAGCTTTTAAATGACTTAGAAAACTAAAACTTATTTTCTAAAGTCATAAAACTTTATTTTCAAAGAATTTGAAGTTCAAATTTGAATGAGATTATTATCAAAATAACGCGTTCTTTAGCTTTTTCCTTTATAAAATATTTATAAAATATTGTCAGGGTTTTTGTTTGCTTGCTTTTCTTTTTGCTACGGAAGTACTAGTTAAATATCCTTTATCCAAAATGCTTGGGATCAGAAGTATTCGCCATTTCTTTTTTGGAGGGATTTTGGAATATTTTCATTACTGATTGAGCATTCCTAATCTGAAAATCTGAAGTCTGAAAATCTCCAGTGAGTATTTACTTTGGGCATGATGCCAGCACTCAAAGTTTCACATTTAGGGGCATTTTGGATTTCAGATTTTTAAATTAGGAATGCTCAACCTGTAATACTTGCTTGGCTTTGAAAAATGTAAAGGTCAAGGAACGCATAAAAAAGAAGTGTCATCCTTAATTCTACTAATTCCTTCAAAAATATGCATAGCTAGTGATCAGGATGTGTCAAACAAGGGGATTCTTTTACTTCTACCTTTGTTCTTGGTCCATCTAAGGAAGTAATTAATACCCCAAATTCCTATGTCAGATACTTCGTTAAAGAAATTAACTTGACTATTCATAATCTCTCAAAAGGCAATGCCTGTGAGAATTATTCTTTCTATTTTTTGATCTGGAGGGGTTGTTTGCACAGTCATATGGTGCAGTAATATAAGCAGTAGGATGTCACCGAAATGTACAAAATTAAATATCAATGATATTGGTAGCTAACACATTTTGTACTTAGTATGTGTCAGGCTCTATTATTAGAACTTTGTATGTATTATATTACAAATGCCTCACAAAAACTCTGTGAGCAGATACTATTATTATCTCTATTTCACAAACAAGGAAACGAAGGCACGTAAAAGCCAAGTAGCCTGTCTGAGCCTACACAGCTAGAGTCCGTGGGTAACACAGGCAGATTAACTTTGTTTATTAAGTCTCTTGTAGAAAATTAGTGGATGGGCTGGCATTTAAGGGAAAATCTTGCATTTGGTATTGACTATTGACATATAATTCCTTGCATTTTTTAACTTTGTTAGTCTCTGAATTAAAATAGGGCATATATATGAAACGTGGCATTTCAAAATGCCAGTTAGCAAGCATCATAAGGGAATGTAACCCCCTATGGAAGACATCAATCGTTGGTGCCTCTCCAGTAAGGAGAAGTTGAATCACCGTGCTTTTGATTACAGATTACATTTCCACATCAATCTGAATAAGGAAGGGACATACTTTCTGACATTTTAAATGTTAGCATTAGGCAATGTGAAACTAGCTAATTTATTCTGGTCAAAGGAAAGAGGTATAGAATTGAGCATTATTATAAATTCATGTTAATTCCTAATAGTTCCTTTTCCAGGAATCCAAATTTAACTTCATGGTTTCGATAAATCTAATAAATTGTATGAGAACAGATGGAACAAATTATTCCAGATGCATGCAAATGCATGCATTTCCAGCAAATGGAAAGCATTATAATTCCACACCATCCTATAATAGATTTAAGGTATAGAAATGTGAAGCATTGAACCTTGTAGCTGTATAGCTGGACGTTTTATTCATGGTACCTTTACCAGAAATTATACCTGATATGGTCTGTGTTCTGCCAACCTTATTTGTTTTGCACCATGCGGTATAGGAGGTGGGGAAGATGAAGACATAAGAGAGAAATTTAACCACACAGAAATCCAATTCAGATAATTTAACATTATGTAAAAGATCTTTCTACTTAAAGCAGCACTTGACTAAAAGATACCAAAACTGAATTCTGTATTTCATCACAACTCACTGAACCTGGAAAATGACTACGAGCTGAGAGCCCCTCCAGCTGAAGGTGATAAATGACAAAGAACTTTGAGAGTTATCAGTACACTAGAACCTCAGCAGACCTAACTGAAGGCTCTTTCCTGAACAAAAAACAATAGGAATTTTCAAAAACCAATTAAATACTGACTTAGGAACTCATTCAGTCTTATCCAGGATATGGTTTTCAATCCTGAATTAGCAGCACCATAATGAACCCCACCTTTGAAGCACATTAAAACCCCTTGATCTTTTCCCACTAGAGTAATTCCTCAGTAAATTGCTTCATTGGTTTTGTTTCTTTGCCTGGAAGGAAATATACAATTCATTGTTCATGTTATTGATCACTGTAGTAGTCCTTGTATTTCCTCTAACAATTGTGTCTGTTCTTCTTCCATGTATTAACATGCTACATTGATTTTTCAGCACTTAAGATTTTATATTTTCATTTAAAATACAAATACAAGTATATGCCAAAATATAATTTTAATGCATTCTATTCTATATAACTAAAACATTCTAAAATTTTTCAACTTGAAAGGGGATTTTGTCACCTTTTGCTGGAAAGTTGTATAGTGGAGTTACTTCAGAGATTACATGTATTGCTAGCATCAAAATCATCTTTCAAGGGCTTAGGTACCAGACATCCTCATTTCATTAGATTCTCTTTATGTACTCTGTAGTTTTCATCTTCATGGCTTATCTGTATTATCCTAGTATTCCTACCTAAAGAATTTCTTCAATCTCTCTAACACATTAGAGATTGTTCTTGCAATCTGATTCTGTCGAGTCAATCATATTTCTTCCTTCCTTTAAGATCTGACCAAACACTCATCTCTAGCTAATTTTCTCTGATCAATTCCATTATTCTCTGATTTTGACTCATCTTTTAATATTAGCATAGTTAGATATATTGTTTTTGATGTATTGCTTTGTAGTTGTACTTTACCTTCTGGTTATCTTACAAGAATATTCCAAGTTTGCTGTTATTGTTCACAATAGCTCCAATATCTTTTGAAATCACTCACATCATCTATTAATAATAATAATGCATTTGTCCTTTTAAGCAAGGACAACCATTATAAGTCATCAGGGTTTTTCTTTTGGAGGGAACAGGTATCAATCCCTCCAGCTTTTAGAAGCTTCTTCATAGACACTTTACCAGAGGGACGCTGTAGTAAAAGCAAGTCGAAACCCGTATCTGTCAAATATCAAATAATTATTGGAAAGGAGACACAAAACCATAATACATCTTATTTTTTGTAAACTCAAGGAAGTCACTGATCTCTGTCCTCAGCCACTTTGGACCATCACATTGCAGGAATAAAATGTAAGAATCCAGGATAGTAGAATCTGTAATTCCCAGAGCTCTGTTTGTTTTGTTGTGGTTTTATCTCAGCTTTATTGAAATATAATTGAGAAATAAAAATTGTATAAATTTAAAGTGTACAAGGTGATATTTTAATATACATACACACTGTAAAGTGATTACCACAATCAAGCTAACATATTCATCACTCCACAGAGTTATATTTTTTTGTTTGTAGTGCTGAGAACCTTTAAGATCTATTTTTACCAAATTTCAAGTATCTAATGTTGCCACTGAAAGTAATGGCAAACTGCAATTACTTCTGCACCAGACTAATATTATTATTATTATTATTATTATTATTATTATTAACTATAGTTACCATGCTGTACATTTGATCTCCAGAATTTATTCATCTTATACTGAAAGCTTGTACTCTTTGACCAATCCCCCCTTTCCCTAATCCCCCAGCCCTTGGCAACCATCTCCAGTCTCTGTTTCTATGAGTTTCTCTTCAGATTCCACATGTAAGTGAGATCATGTGGTATTTGTCTTGCAGTGTCTGGCTTATTTCACTTAGGATAATGTCCTCTAAGTTCATCCATGGCAGGATTTCCTTCTCTTTTAAGGTTGAATAATATTTCATTGTATATAAACATAAATATAAATACACACACACCATTTTTTCTTTATCCATTCATTCATCAATGGACACAAGTTGTTTCCCTTTTGGCTATTGTGAATAAACTGCAGTGAAAATAGAAGTGAAGATATATTTTCAAGAACTGTTTTTAATTCCTTTGGATACATACTCAGCAGTGAGGTGGGATTGCTGGATCATATTGTAGCTCTATTTTTAATTTTTTGAGGAACCTGTATACTCTTTTTTATAATAGCTATAGCAATTTAGAATCCTATCAACAGTATAAGGGTTTCTTTTCTCCACATTCTTGCCAACACTTGTCATTTGGCTTTTTGATAATAGCCATCCTAAGAAGTGTGAGGTGATGCCTCATTGTGGTTTTGATTTGCATTTTCCTGATGATTAATGATGTTGAGCACAGCACTTTTTCATACATTATAAAGCTACAGTAATCAAAACTGTATGTTACTGTCACAAAAACCAACACATAAACCAACAGAATAGAATGGAGAGTTCAGAAATAAAGCCATGCATGGGTACAAAAGTACTAAGGATACACAAGGGGAAAGCATAGTCTCTTCAGTAAATGGTGCTTGGAAAACCAGATAACCATATGCAAGAGAATAAAATTGGATTCTTATCTTACACAATACACAAAGTTCAACTCAAAATAGCCTTATACATACATAATATCTGAAGTCGTAAATATCCTAGAGGAAAACACAAGAAAAGCTTCATGACATTAGTCTTGACAATGATTTTATGAATATGACCCTCAAAGCATAGGTAATGAAAAACAAATATAAACAAGTGGGTCTACATCAAACTACAAAGTGTTTGCACAGCACAGGAAACAAACAACAAAATGAAAAGGCAACCTACAGGATGGAAGAAAATATTTACAAACCATATATACAATACATGACTAATAGCCGAAATACGTAAGGAAGTCACGAAAATCAATAGAAAAACATGCGAACAAACACAAGCACCTAAATAAAAATGTGGGTGAAGGGCCTGAATAAACCTTTTTTTAAAGGTCACATGCAAATGACCAACAGATATCTGAAAAAGTGCTCAAAACCAAAGCTCTGTTTTGTCCAGTATCCCCACTCCTATCACAGAGAAATTTGTCACCTTACCTGACAAAAAAAATGAGATCATTTCATCAGCCTCAAAATAAAGGACCCAAGAATATATTCCCAACCAATGTGGGAAATCCCTGCTGGTAGAAGACCATCCAGCAAGTGACGTCATCACCAGAAAGGCATTAAGGGACACAGTTTAAATGTTGCAAAGGATTTTAAAAGAATCAGGAGTGAGATAACACTCAGAAATAATTTTTAGTTTTATTATGTAAGATAATATTACTTTGTCAATGTAAGAAAATATTTTTGTCTTTCAGAGTAGATGCTATATTTGGTTCTGCCTCCCACTCCCCCCACCACTATCCTACTTTATTTCACAGAGGAGTCATTTTGTGGCCTCACAAGAGAGTTGGCCAATTCTGCTGAAAGATTGGCATTGACATTTGCTTGTGGGAGTGCCTGAGGACAGAGAAACCTCCCAGCTTGCATGACTAGGTTGGATAACTTCTTCTTCCTGTTTGCCAATAAACATTATGTTTGGCAGAAAACGGTTAAAGATTTGCTCCTATTGCAGCAGGCTGCCTGTTAATGAGAGGGATGTAGTCTTCCCTTCCCATAGCTGGAGTCTTTTAACACATACTGAAAAAAGACTTCATAGCTTCTAAAGGATCAAATTGGCTTATGTCAGTTTATAACAATAGGATTTTATCATTGACTGGCCATACTGACCTAGTAGTAATAAGATACTTTTCTTCCCGAGCTGTCTCTGAAATAGTAGCTGCTTCATGAACATCTTGTCTGATGAATTATTTTCTTAAATGACTCTCTTTTCTCTCAAAATCTGAAGGTGTTCTAAAAATACTAGCAGTTTAATCCAAGGTCCATTTTGCAAGGACTCTCAGTCAGCATATTTTACAGAGAGAATGGCTGGTGGAGTCATTTTACTAGAAGACATGACATGGCTTGAATTCCCAAATCAGATCACTGCAGGCCAGGTAGCAGGTCTTCTCTTAGCACTTTTCTCTTCACCTTTCCATGCAGCAGAGGGCAGTAGTGAACTGTGCATTTTTCTATGCTTTATTTCCTTTTGAAACATAAGCCAAATACATACAAGAATAATAATACATTTAAAAAATAATATTTAAACTATTCCACATGTATAGTATTTTTGCTTCACTGAACAAACGAATTTACCTG
Source organism: Homo sapiens (assembly GCF_000001405.40). Taxonomy (NCBI): domain Eukaryota; kingdom Metazoa; phylum Chordata; class Mammalia; order Primates; family Hominidae; genus Homo; species Homo sapiens. The sequence continues at coordinate 39,714,442 of NC_000005.10, forward strand.
GGCCACAATCCAATAGATAGTAGCTAATTTTAGACTTCAGACTTGTGCTTGTTTGGACAACTTAGAATTTGAGTATAATGTTATATTGCAACTAGTCGTTAACAAATCAGGTGTGAGAAGAAATTAGACATTTCAGTGTTTTCTGAGAAACACAATTTCCTTAAGGAAATGTTGTGGCATAAATGTATTTTAGCTATATTTTAGGCTTAAAACATTGTGTTCTTCAAGGAAAATATCAAATCTTTCACAAAATTCTATCTTCTTTAAAAGTCTTTTTAATAAATTAAATAAAAATGATGTTTATTGTCAAACAACTACATGTATGGAACTAAAAAATTAGAGTTATGCAGTAGGAAAAAAAGCCCTCTGACTCACTTTTTGGTACTCACTATTTCTGTTTACCTGGGCTAGTCAATTTTAGCTTTTTAAAAGTTTCTTATTTTCTGGTATTTACCTATGTATTTGAAAATATCATGTTTATCCTAATATTTCCTTATTTTTTGTCTTAAATGTCATCTGTTGTCTTCCTAGTAAATAAGATGAAAAGTTAGCTCTTTTATACTCCTCTCTAATATCTCCTCTCCATATTCTTCCAAAATATCATTTAAAATTATTCAATCTTGGACCTTGTGCTTCACTCGTAGTAGGCAATTATTAACTATATATCTACTTGCAGGATATTTGAACCACTGAAAGGGGTTTCCAATAAAGAAAAGGTTATTCACATATATTTTAAAACATATGGAATGCAGCTAAGGCTGTGTTTAAGGCAACCTACAGGATGGAAGGCAACCTACAGGATGGAAGGAAAATTTGGAACTCAATCTTTTTTATGTCAATTTTTCCAAAATTGATCTATGGCTTGAATACAATCTCAATCAAAATTCCATCTTTTTTTGAAAATTTGTGCACTTTCTATAATGCAGATCCAGTATACTTATGGTAATCTCAAAAGAGAACAAATGAAAGCTATACAGTACCAGATGTAAAGACCTGTTACAAAAGCACAGCAATTAAGACAATGTAAGATTAGTACAAGCACAATCATACCAATGAACTAAAATATAGAGCCCAGAGACAGTTCCATACATGATATATGAGATGATATGTGACAAAAGCATTGTCGCAGTTCTGCGAGTTAGAAAGATCTAGGTCAACTGGAAATCTATATGGGAAATATGTACTTTGACCTACGATATATGGGATAGGCAAAAATTAGGGGTATATCATATACCTAAATATAAAAAGAAAAACAATAATTCTTCCTGAAGAAAATAGGGGAAAATCTTTAAGACCTTTAAATAGTTGGTGTTTCATGAAGATCTTCTTAAACAAAGATTTCTCGAACAGTGTGAAAACTCACACCATACAAAAAAGATTATAAGTGAACTGCATTAAAATTAAGAATTTATTTTTATTCAAATACATTTTAACATTAAGTGTTAAAAAGCAAAGCATAGACTCATATTTGATAAATTGTATTCAGAATAAAGAGCTCCTACAAAACAATAATAATAAAAAGACTGACAATTGATTTTTTGTTTTTTGTTTTTTTGGTTTAGATGGAGTCTCACTCTGTCGCCAACCTGAGGCTCTCGGCTCACTGCCACCTCCACCTCCCGGGTTCAAGCGATTCTCCTGCTTCAGCCTCCCGAGTAGCTGGGACTACAGGCACGCACCACCACGCCCGGCTAATTTTTGTATTTTTAGTAGAGACGGGGTTTCACCATGTTGGCCAGGATGGTCTCCATCTCTTCACCTCGCTATCCACCCACCTTGGCCTCCCAAAGTGCTGGGATTACAGGTGTGAGCCACCGCGCCTCACCTGACAATTGATTTTTTTAGAAAACAGGCAAAGACTCCTCACAAGAGAGTGTATTCCAATGATCAATAAGGATAACAAAAGGGATGTGCAAATGGCTAGGTACAATTGATTAGAGAATTGCAAATTAAAGTACAGTGAAATACAGATACACGTCTATCACAAGAGCTGAAGTTAGAGACTGTCAATGCCAACAAGGATGTGGACCAGCCAAAGAAAGTGTAAATAGTAGGAGCAAAGAGCCAGCACTACCCTTAGGCTAGGATAGCTGAAAGACAAGACCTCCTGGAAGTCCATTGGAAGAGAAACCCAGCAACTGCCACCTAAGGCCCAGTAGGGAGGGAACTTTCCTCTGCTAGCCAGTCTGTACCTTCCATTAAACAAACTAAATTGGAAGCCAGAGGGCGCTGGGTGCAGCTGATGCAATCTATAAGGTCAGACTCCCATAGCACAGAACTGAGTGGAGGGATGTGGTGACTGATCTGGAGGGGTAAACAAAGAGCCAGCAAGACTGTTCAATCATTAGATAATTTGTTTGCTCTCTCTCTATCAATGTAGCTAGCTAACCTAGCTAGCTATTTATTTTTGCCTAGCTGTTTCTGTTTGTTTACTTTTTGGTGGGAAAGTTGCTGCATATGTAAAGAAAATCAAATGGCACAAAAGATTCAGAATGACAAGCAACTAACATTTGTATGCTTACATGTCAGGCCTTTGCTAAGCTTATTTACAGACTTCAGGGCTTCCTGCTCGAGGTACAGTATGATTAAATTTTGGAGGTGGGAAGAGGATATTAGCTAAAGGCAGTTGCATATGCTACAATAGTAACTTTTTAAAAAAGTTTCAAAGGCAAAATACTTTTACAGTGAATTTTATTAAAATTTGCATAATCAAAACTTACAAGGGAAGAGAGACAAGCATAGTCTAACACTATGATAGTTAATAGTTAAATTAATTTGACTAATGGTCCCATTAATTAATTTAATAGAGCAATACTTATTTGATCGGAGTATTTATCATTTGAACAGCTGGCAATGATTTGTTCATCTTATTTTCTTAAAGAAAACATCTGCAGAGGGAATGTTAAAATAATGACTACATTTTGCAATTGAAGGTTTTTGTGTTAAGTGCATGATTTTTCCCCTGGCACGAAAGACATGTAGTTCATGGTAGCAGATGGAATATACACTGCAAAAAAATACTTGTCATAATCTAACCACCAAAAATACATTACATTTTTAATATATTTAATATTATTTTCTTCCAACATATTTACAAACACAACTTTTTTAAGAATTATGTTTTATGTATACATACCTAGGAGTTATTTCAGGTTCAGTTCCAGACCACTACAATAAAGTGAATATTGCAATAAAGTGAGTCACACAAATGTTTTGGTTTCACAGTACATATAAAAGTTATGTTTACACTATCCTGTAGTCTAGTAAGTATGCAATAGCATTATGTGTAAAAAAATGTGGAAACCTTAAAAAATACTTTATTGCTAAAAAATGCTAATGATCATCTGAGCCTTGAGAGAGTTGTAATTTTTTTGCTGGTGAAGGTTCTTGCCTTGAGGTTCATGGATGCTGACTGATCAGAGTGATGGTTGCTAAAGGGTGGGGTGGCTGTGGCAATTTCTTAAAATAAGAGAACAATAAAGTTTGCCACAGTGATTGACTCTTCCTTTCACAAAAGATTTCTCTGTAGCATGCGATGCTGTTTGGTAGCATTTTTCCAAGAGTAGAACTTCTTCCAAAATTAGAGTCAATCCTCTCTAACCCTGTTGCTGCTTGATCAATTAAGTTTATATTATACATATATATGTGTGTATTTATACATATATATACACATAAATTTATGTCACATTCTAAATCCTTTCTTGTAATTTTAACAATGTTCAACTCGTCTTCACCAGGTATAGATTCCATCTCAAGAAACCATTTTCTTGGCTTATCCATAAAAAGAAGCTTCTCATCTTTCCAAATTTGATCATGAGCTTGTAGCAATTGTCACATCTTCAGGCTTCACTTAGAATTCTAGATCTCTTGCTGTTTCTCCTACCTCTGCAGTTACTTCTTCCTCTGAAGTCTTGAATTCCTCGGAGTCACCCATGAGGGTTGGAATCAACTTCTTCCAAACTCCTGTTAGTGATATTTTCACCTCTTCACATGAATCACAAATGTTAATGGCATCTAGACTGGTGAATCCTTTCCAGAGGTTTTGAATTTACTTTGCCCAGATCTATCAGAAGAATCACTATATATGGAAGCTATAGCCTTACAAATGTATTTCTTAAATAATGAAATTTGAAAGATGAAATTACTCCTTGATCTGTGGGCTGAAGAATGGATGTTGTGTTAGCAGACATGAAAACAACACTAATCTCCTTGTACATGTCTATCAGAGCTCTTGGGTGAATAGGTGCATTGTCAATGAGCAATAATATTTCAAAAAGAATTTTTCTTTCTTTTTTCTTTGGAGGAATATTTTCAGTTTGTTAAATAAAAATGTTTTTTAGAGTGATACTTTTCACATTACAAAAATAAACCAAAATGAAGAAAAGGTCACTGTAAAATGACGGAAAATGATCTGTAGATTTGCTTTTAGTATTTCAAATAGCCGACAATGCATGTCAGAAAATGAATGCAAGATCACAACAGTCTTGTATTTACTTTGTATTTGAAGAAGATAGTGAAGTGGCCACATTCTATTTTCTTTTAATTGCTATTAATATGGTTGATCTGATTGGCTCTTCGATGAATTTCATCCAAGAAGTTCTCCAGTTGTTCTATTAGCATTCGTTTTTAAAACCTTGATGCTTCTTTAATAACATTTTGTAAAAATATTAGTCTTGTTTGTAAACTGCCTTGCACATGCTTCAGTAAAGTGAAGATTCTTTCATATTTTCTCCCTGGCTTTCAGATCTCTTTCATTATTTGTGGTTTTAGTTCGATATTGACCTCTTCATGGCTTCTGCAATGGATCAATTTCTTTCCTTTGTTGAGTGAAGATGCTGGTATGTTCTCTTCAGCACATTGTTCTTTATCTCTTGGCTCCTCATGATTTTCTAAAAATCCACCAACAGTGAGGTCATTCGTTCCTAAATTGTCATGACCAGGAGCCTCCATATGATTGGTTGGCCCTTCCAGTAAACTGGCTGGAGAAGATGTTGAAAATTCAGTATCCATAGCATTTGGTGTAATGTCTGACGAAAGTTGGTCTGCAACATGATTTTCAACCACATCATGTATTATCGAATCATTAGTGGTTTCTGAAATTTTATGAAGAGGAAGAAGCTTAATAAGATCTGGCTGTGCTTGAGTTGTAGGTGCAGGTGGTCCTTTTCCCCCGATATGATTGTTTACAACAGGATTCTGCTGTCTGCCTCTTAGTAGTGGAGACATACACTGACGTCTTTTAGGGATCCCTTGCATATTTGATTCTCCAGGTCATTTATGTTTATTTTGAGGTCCAGCCACAAATTCATCTGCTTCATCTGTCATCATACCCTTTTTATCCAGCTTAAAGGAATTGCCAAATGTATGTAACCTTTGCGGCTGATCAGGATCAAGTTCTCTTAGTGGAGAAGGTAACTTGCTTGAGGTATTCCTGGTAGTTCCCCATTTGTGCTATAGGAACACTGCACTTGATCTTCGTCCTGTCCTTTAAGAAATCTGCGAGTGTGCTTCAAAAGATTAGATCTCATTCTTGTTAAGTGATCCAAAAGATTTCGTCTTGGAATGTCATAAGCATTTCTAAATGTCTGTGGCTTCAAATCCTTATTCAGCAAAGCAACGTGGAACCCAGCGTATTCCTTCATATTAAGGTCTAGCAGTCTGTGAGGGACATCTGAAATTCCCTGGAGGAGCTGTTGAAAATCTTTCCTATATGCCCTTGATAAACCATGTGATTGGCTCCAGACTTTTATTTCAGTTTCCTGTACTCCTTTTTTGCCTACAGATCCAATGACTCGATCAGATTCTATTTTGGCCTGTTGACTCAGTTTTTTGAGGTATGAAATGACACTGTAACTAAGTCCATATTCCATACTGTCTGCTATTAGGTTAGGTGCTCCCATCATACTAACAGCTTTCTTGAAGGGCCCGAGATAGTAGGGAGGCACGGTCTTCAAATAACTTTCAAATGACTGTCTCCACTTCAGTGTTGGTTTTGCTTTATGCACTTTAAGCAAGTCATCTAAGAGGGGAAGGACTGGGTAATTGTAAGGCATCACAAATACATTGACACAGTTCAGTGCCATACTGGCTTTCAAGTAACCAAAAGGATGACCAAGTTCACTGTATTTTGCACTATTGCTGACGTACACCTGCCAACATGTTTGAGGAGATTTCCTTTCCAGGATAAATTGAGTCAGTGATGAAGGTTCCAACTCGTATTTGTCAAAAGGAAGTTTATCAATAACCATTGGTTCAGTCTGTACAGGAAAACTTCACTACAGGATGAGATGTACGAAGTGGTGGTGTTGGCGAATTTTGATCTGGCCAAAAAGACTCTGGAACAGGCCAATGACCTATAGGAACCCCAGTTTTAGGATTTGGTCTGACACATATGAGTTTGTGACAGTTATGCCAAGGCTGAGATCCAAAAGGCCTTGATATATCTGGCTGCCCATCTTCTACAGGGGAAGGATCCGGTCCTGCTTTTTGAAAGTTTATTACCACCCAACTTTGTACTTTCTGCACCAAGGACTCCAGACACTGATTAAGCATTCTTGGAGAACACACAAAATACGACCAGCCGTCTGGTGTGATTGCAGGGTCATCTAAAGGCACACCTGTCAACTGTTCTGATTCTACTGACATGGTGCCAGGCAACTGCAACACTAATGCAAAGAATCTCTGATCCCAAGGAAAAGGTTCCTTGGTCAATTCACTTCCAGGCAAAGGAGAATTAAGAGGTAAATGAAGCTCATCCTGGACTCCACTGGTGGTAGTCAACTTGCTCCCATCAGTAATTGTGATAATTATTGCTGGCTCCAAGAAAAAAGGGTTTCTTCCCTGCCCATAGTTGTCTATGCCAGTTGCTAATCTATTTAAATTTAATAAATCAAAAGCTGTCCTTAGGGATTGGCCAAGAGTCCTAAGTCCTTCAGCCTGAAGGTTTTTCAGTTCATTCATAAACGTTGCATGGTTTTCTTTCCATCCAGCCTTGATAGCACAGGGCGGCTCTTCGAAAGTGACGAGCATATACCTGTCTCCTCTGCTGGCAGGGTCCCGGGCACGGAGCCGAGGGACTAGAGGAGGAACAGGGCGAGCGAGAGGGAAGCACAGAGGCGAGGTTACCAGGCGGAAAAGGGGCGCCCAGCGGCCCCGCCGCCTCCACAGTACCGCACACGCAGCGGCCACCCCTCCACGCGGTCCCCCACACACAGATCGCTCCCCACGCACAGCACTGGGGCGGGAGCCCGGCCCAGGCCTAGCCCTCCTCGCAGCGCCCGCCCGCCCTCGCGTTGGGGGAGGGGAGGGAGGGGCATCTTTCTTTCTTATCAGCAAGTCTCAATAGTGGGCTTAAAATATTCAGTGAACTGCGCTATGGATAGATGTGCTATCTTTTAGGCTTTATTGATCCACTTAATAGAGCACAGGCAGAGTAGATTTAGCATAATTCTTAAGGGTCCTAGGATTTTTTTGAATGGTAAATGACCATTGGCTTCAACTTAAACTCATCAGGAGCATTAGCCCCTAACAAGAGTCAAACTGTTTTTAGAAGCTTTGAAGACAGGCATTGACTTCTCCTCCCTACGACAGACCTAGATGAAATCTTCTTCCAATATGAAGCTATTTCATCTACATTGAAAATCTGTTTAGTGCATTCATCTTCATCATTTATCTTAGCTAGATCTGAATAAGTTGCTGCGGCTTCTCCATCAGCATTGCTGCTTTATCTTGTGCTTTGATGTTATGGAGATGGCTTCTTTCCTTAAATTTCATCAACCAACTTCTGCTAGCTTCCAACTTTCTTCTACAGCTTCCTCACATCTCTGGGCTTTCATTGAATTGAGAGTTTGAACTGGGTTAGGCTTTGTTTCAAGAGAATGTTATATAATTGGCTTGATCTTCTGTCAAGAACATTGAAACTTTCTGCATGTCAGTAATAAGGCTGTTTCACTTTCTTATCATTTGTGTGTTCATTCAAGTAGCACTTTAAATTTCTGCCAATAACTTTTGATTTGTATTCACAGCTTGGCTAACTGTTTGGAGCAAGAGGCCTGGCTTACAACCTGTCTTGGCTTTTGACATGCCTTCCTCACTACGCTTAATCATTTATAGCTTTTTACTTAAAGTGAGAGATACGTGACTCTTCCTTTCACTCGAACACTTAGAGGCCATTGTAGGATTATTAATTGGCCTAATTTCAATACTGTTGTATCTCAGGGAATAGGGAGAATCTTAGAGAAGCATAGAGATAGGGGAATGACTGGTCTGTGGAGCAGTAAGAACACATACATGTATTAATTAAGTTTGCTTTCTTATATGGGAGTGGTTTGTAGTGCCCTCAAACAATTACAATAGTAACTTTAAGATCACTGGTTACAGATCGCTATAAGAAATACAACAATAATAATTAAGCTTGAAACATTGCAAGAATTACCAAAATGTGACACAGAGATACAGAGTGTACAAATGCCGTCTCTGTGTCGCATTGGGAAATGACACTGATAAACTGATAAAATTGCTCAGCACAGACTTGCCACAAACCAGTTTGCAAAAAATGCAGTATCTATGAAGTGCAATAAAGTGAAGTACCATAAAGTGAGATATTCCTGTAAGTATCCTTTGTTTTCACCTATACCACACGTTTCCCCATATGAACATCATTGCATAGATTTCTATTGTCCATATCAGTAATAATTTCTTAATGAGGGATTACTAGAAGTAAAAATACTTTATCAAATTCACGTTACTTATCTTAAAAATCTTGATACATAATAGAAAATTACCTCCCTGAAAGTATTTATCTATTTACACTCTTGGCAGCATTTCATCAGAATTCAGGTTCACAGTTTCTTCACCATTTTGTTCTTTGAAAATTTGATAGGCCAAAATCTGGTATGTCATTATTTTATTATGAATTTATTTGATTACTTGTGAGATCAAATATGTTTTCTTGTTTAACAACCAGTTTTATTTCTTCTGTTTTTTTGCTGTAATCTATTTAACTGAATCCACATGTTCTGTCCTTTTGGCTAATAGATATTTAAAATAATTATTTTTTAACAAAGAATAAGTATGCTAAACATTATTATATGAGTTTTGAATATTTTACTAGTTTGTCTTTTAAAGTAGCTTCTAATTTTTAACACTAAAACAATTTTGACTTTATATGTAGTCAAGTGTATAACTTTTTGTATAATTTTTAGTATTGGGGGATTTAATTTGGCTTAAAATTTTAATATTTAATCCATTTATAGTTTATTTCAATGTAGTTGTAAAGGGAGATCTAATTTTATTGTGTGTGCATGTAGACATACATATATATATTTAAAATTTATTTATTTTTTAAAATAGAAAACCTTTCCAAAAATGTCTAAAAGGAACTTATTTGTTCCACACTAAATTATTTTATTCTTTACACTAGCTATGTTGACTTTTTTTCATGCCTTACAGCTAGAACTTCTAAAATTATATTACTAATACTATTTACAAGAATCCTTATTCCCCATTGATTTTAATAGAAACACCTCTGTTACTATGCAATACTTAATTATTCCATCATAGTCTATAATTTGATTTGTTATTCTCTTTTTAATCCAAAATTTACTATGGAATACTTTTAATTTCTAAATTGTAATGTATGTATAGTGGTGAATGAGACTTAGTGGTTGTGCTTTTGTTATTTATTTTTAACTGAAATATATTTTGTATGTATTTGTCGGAAAATAGATAATTGTAAATTTGACATTTTACAATTTTTTGAGATATTCTTTGTGATTCAGTGTGTATATTTTTCTCCGTATGCCAATGGATACTTAAAAATGTGGATAATAAAGTTAAATTTACAGTTAATAGTATTACAAATTATTTTATATGTACTTTTTGTGTCCTTGATTAATAGTTTTTAAGAGGTGTATGTTATAATTATAGGTGCAAAAAAGCTCATAGTGGAACATGTCAATGCAATATAGCCACTAATTTAATGACTCTTACCTTGGATTCTGTGTTAATGTTTAGTAGAACTGCACTGTTCCTATTTGAGTTTCTCAGATGTATTTTAATCCACCTATTTACTTTAACATTTTATTACTATTTTGATTTAGGTATATTTCTTAAACTTTTGAGCTTTATTATTAATTCAATATGAGGTGTTTTTTTTTTGTTTTTTTTTTGAGACGGAATCTCGCACTTTTGCCCAGGCTGGAGTGCAGTGGCGCGGTCTTGGCCCACCGCAAGCTCGGCCTCCAAGGCTCATGCCGTTCTCCTGCCTCAGCCTCCCAAGTAGCTGGGACTACAGGCGCCCGCCCCCATGCCTGGCGAATTTTTTTGTATTTTTAGTAGAGACGGGGTTTCACTGTGTTAGCCAGGCTTGTGTCGATCTCCTGACCTCGTGATCCACCCGCCTCAGCCGCCCAAAGTGCTGGGATTACAGGCGTGAGCCACTGTGCCCGGCCCGAGATCTATTTTTAATAAGATATTTAATCTATATTAATTTCATAGCAAATTAGCATGCTCAAAATGAAATTCCTCCTTATGAATTTTCATTCTCCAGGAATTTTCATCTCAATAAATGACAGTGACGTTAATCCAAATTCCAGGGTACTCATCACTATTTCTCTCCCTTTAATACTTTGATAATTCAGTTCTGGCTGGGCGTGTTGGCTCACCCAGCCACCACTTTGAAAGGCCGAGGTGGGCAGATCACATGAGGTCGGGAGTTCACGACCAGCCTGACCAACATGGAAAAACCCCATCTCTACTAAAAATACAAAATTAGCTGGGCATGGTGGCACATGCCTGTAATCCCAGCTACTCGGAAGGCTGAGGCAGGAGAATCGCTTGAACCCGGGAGGCGGAGGTTGCGGTGAGCTGAGATCGTGCCATTGCACCCCAGCCTGGGCAACAAGAGCGAAACTCCGTCTCAAAAAACGAAACAAAACAAAAAAAAGAAAAAAGAAAAAAAAGGAAAAAAAAAGAAAATTCAGTTCATCTGCAAATCATGTTGACTATATCTCAAAAGTGAATTTCAATTCTGCCTCTGCCCATCTCCCTTGCCTAATAATACATCATTATTTCTCACTTAACACTTTCACAATGCTTCCTCTATTGCCTCCTGTAATGGATTCTTCATGTTGGAGCCAGAGTTATATCTTAAAGTCTTTAATCCATTTTAAAAATGTAACTCAGACTCTAAAATTCTTATGCTTTAAACTTTTCTATGAATTCTTTTATTTTGACCTAAATGCAAACTTTTTTTTTTTTTTTTTTTTTTTTGCATAGCTACTTTTGTATTCCTTCTCAACCTCAATTCTCTTTCTCAGTTGCTTCTGTCCACCCACACTGGTCTTTTATCTTTAAGCCAGCCAAGTTCATTCATACTTTAGGACCTTCATATGTACTTTTCATCTGCTTAAAATGTTCTTCAACCCAGCTTTTGGCATCTCAGCTCCCCTTTCGTATGTCATGCTTCATTTCACATGCCTTGGCCTGTGAGCCTTTCTCCAACTATTCTATGTAGATAAATCGCTCACTACCTCACCCAGTTACTCTAACACAATCATATTCAAACTGTAGAAGATATTCCCAGGGATATTCCAGCAATGATAGATTTAAGGAAATCTATCAATTCAATTAACTTCCATATATTTCACCATACCAGGTTATATGAAAAATCACTTGGTTGCCAAGAAAAAAAACAAAAGAAAGCTTTTTGTAATGTTTAAACAAGACACATGCATCTTGAAGGCCTCTTCTCTTATAAATAGTTTTCTTAATGGTGAAATATAGCATCGACAGAAGGGCATTTTGGCTCTGTTAGGAAAAGTTTTGAATTTAATCAAATGGTGGAGTGGACAGGTATAAGTAATCATTTAAAAAATCAAAGAGTGCATCATTCTTAAAAGAGGATACCAAGAGCAAAAGTAAGATAGCATAAAAGAGAGACATTGAATGCACACAAAATTTTAAAAAACATATTTAAAGTCAAGCAATTATCTTCAGAAATTCTTAATATTGTATTCATCTTTAAAATATTTTATCTTAGAAATTATCTTTAGAGTATTAAAGCAGCATTAGTTATTATGTTAATTCATATAGTTAGTCTCTCACTAGATATTCTTGAAGACTATCAAAATTTTCAATATACATTGGATAAAATCCAAGGATAAAACTTACATGTAATTTCTTTTAGCATTAGTGCATATTAACCAATAAGGTAAATAAAGCTGACCTAGTCAAATCATATCTTGATGTATTGTTTTAATTATAATGAATGTTCATCTTATGTCATAAAATATTTAATATTGTCTACCTTCTATTTAACAAAAAAGAAGTTACATGAGACGATGTATTTTTCTGTTATGTTCTATTATTACATACTAACATACACTTCTAATATTACATATTAGTACATAGGAAAAGTTTTATCATGATGTTTTATGCAATTATTGGAGTTATTACTGATTTTTATCAGTAAAAATTTTTGTCACTAAAAATATAAATTTTTACTTGTTTATGCCCATAAACCAAACATTAAAATTTTATATTGTACTCATGTTTATTAAAGATGTAACATATTTTTTATCATTCTCTATTATAAATAATAATTATACTTACTGAGACTGCATTATAAATTGAGCATGTAAAACAGAATAATATCTTGTTTTTATAATTTATAAAATTTGATAAATTTATTAAATTATTTCTACATCTCTAATCTTGACTGCTTTTTGGTAATATATCTTTTATGACATACTACAATTCCTTTCTTAGTGTTTTTATGGGACTTCTTGAGATAGACATCTTAGTAACACTTATCAGAAATTAAAAATAAATTCATTATCTAAAATTCAGTAAGACTAATCTGTATGTTTGGAACACAATGAGGATTTGATACACCAATTTAAATAATAGGAAAAATATTTTTTGTAAGTAGAATATGCTAACGCTGAAGCACCAAGATTTTAATTAAAATATATTTTACATACATATTATTTTATGAGAAATACTACACTGGTAAATATGTAATACATGCAAACATTTTGATTTTCAGAAGTGTTCTGAGCTTATTAGGTTAAATATGGAAATAAGCAATCCATAGAATTAATAGTCATTTGATAATTCTTAAAATGTCCATTATAGAAACTGAAAGCATGAATACCATAGTCATCCATCATCAACAAATATTTTTAATAATATATCATCTGAGAATTCAATTAGGTTTTCCTTCAGTGTCATTTTTGGCATGCAATTCAAAGACATTCGAATAAATAAATGAATTTGCTATAATACAACTCTTTCAATTACCATATAATTATTTTTGTCAACATGATTTCTCAAAGCTTATAGATATTAAAATAAAAAAAGACATCATTTACTGAGTTTCTAAGAATATATTTTATTTATTCATGACATGCAAACTACTGGAGAGTAGTGAAATCCTATTCATCTCACTCGAGGCACATTATATGTATTTGGTATTTAACAAACATTATAAAAATGCATATTTTATATTGTTTTGATTAATTGTATACTAATAATATATAAAATTATGACAATACAAATAAATGTTTAGACACTTTGTGTTGTCACAGGAAATAAAAATTAATATTTAATTCATATAAACACTTTCGTTACAAGAAGTATAAAAATGATCTAAGCTGGGTGTGGTGGCTCACGCCTGTAATCCCAGCATTTTGGAAGGCTGAGGCGGATGGATCACCTGAGGTCGAGAGTTCGAGACCAGCCTGACCAACATGGAGAAACCCCGTCTCTACTAAAAATACAAAATTAGCCTGGCGTGGTGGCACATGCCTGTGATCCCAGCTACTCGGGAGGCTGAGGCAGGAGAATCGCTTGAACCCGGGAGGCGGAGGTTGCGGTGAGCCGAGATCGCACCATTGCACTCCAGCCTGGGCCACAAGAGTGAAACTCCATCTCAAAAAAAATAAAAAATAAAAAATAAAATAAAAGTGATCTATTAAAGATCAGTTTCAATCTTCTGTAAGTGGTTAACCAGTTCTCCCAGAACCGTTTATTGAATAGGGTGTCTTTTCTTCATTGTTTATTTTTGTCAGCTTTGTTGAAGATCACTTGGTTGTAGCTGTGCATATTTATTTCTGGGTTTTCTATTCTGTTCAATTCATCTATATGTCTCTGTACCAAACCCATGTTGTTTTGGTTACTGTAGCCTTGTAGTGTAAAGCTGGGCAATGTGATACCCTTTGGCTTTATTCATGTTGCTTGTGATTACTTTGGCTATTTGGGCTCTTTTTAGCTGTTGTTGTTCCATATGAATTTTAGAATAGTTTTTTTCTAATTCTGTGAAAAGATGACATTGGTAATTTGATAGAAATTGCATTGATTTTGTAGAATGCTTTGAGCAGTATGGATATTTTAATGATGTTGATTCTTCCAATCCAGGAGTATGGGATGTTTTTCTATTTGTTTATGTCATCTATAATTTATTTCAACAGTAGTTGATAGTTTTCGTTGTACAGATTTTCACCTCCTTGGTTAAATGTATTCCTAGGTATTTTTTTGTGTGCGTGGCTACTGTAAATGGGATTACATTCTTGATTCTGTTCTCACCTTAAATATTATTGATGTATAGAAATGCTATTGATTTTTTTACACTGATTTTGTGTCCTGAAACTTTACTGAAGTCATTTATTATGTCTAGGAGTCTTTTGGAGTAATATTTAGGATTTTCTAGATATAAATCATATCATCAATGAACAGAGATAACTTGACTTCCTCTTTTCCTATATAGATAACATTTTATTTCTTTCTCTTGCCTAATTACTGTGGCCAGGACTTCCAGTACTATATTGAATAGGGGTAATGAGAATGGACATCCTTGTCTTGTTCTAGTTCTTGGGTATATGCCTTAAAGAAATTAAATCATTCTATCAAAAAGACACCTGAACTCATATATTTATCACAGCACTATTTACAATAGCCAAGACATGGACTCAACCTACGTGTTTATCAACAGTGAATGGAATAAAGAAAATCTGGTATATAAACAGCATGGAATACTATGGATCCATAAAAAAAGAACAAAATCATGTCATTTGCAGCAACATGGTTATAGCTGGAGATAATTATTGTAAGTGAATTAATGCAGAAATGGGAAATAAAATGCTGCATGCTCTCACTTATAAGTGGGAGCAAATATTGGGGACACATGAACATAAAGAGTGAAACAATAGACACTGGAGACTCCAAAAGTGGGGAGGAGGGAAAGGGGAACGGGCTGAAAAACTACTTATTGGGTATTATGTTCACTATTTGGGTGACTGGTTCAATAGAAGTCCAAATCACAGCATTATGCAACATATGCATCCAGGTTTCTCTTTTCCATAAACTTGCAAGTATACCACCTGAATCTAAAATTTAAAACAATAAAATTCCTTGGAGGAGTTGTGAGCAAAACAGATTGTGGACTACTTCTTTCTCTTGCCAACTTATTTCTTTTTTCACAGTACTTGGCATTTTGCAATGGATTACTTTATTTCTCAGAGGTTCTCAGGCATAAATAACAGACTGCACTCTGACAGGTATCAGAAGGCATGGGAATTGTTCAACATTATAGACACATTTTGAAATTCCCAGGAGGGTGAAAGATATAGATCCTGAGGCTATTAAACCAATAACAATTCCCAGCCACACCATGTGGCTTCTCACAATGATGGTACTGACAGTATCACTCACTCATATGACACTCTAACCTGTAGTTCCACCCCTGCCACCCTGGGATTCCATGTGCCTCTGCCCGCCCCTGCCCCCTGGCCTGAGTGACTCATTCACTCCAAGTATTTGCCTGATCTTTTGCTTGGGTCCAAATGATTGGTGGAAAATAGACCATGCACTTCTACTTACACCACAAAGGCCATGCACTTATACCAACCTACGAGGAAGTTGGGTATATCAGCTTTTTGTTTTATCTCTAGAAACTGACTGGGGCTCATAATATAGAAAATTACCAAAAATAAGAAGGAAATGTAATAATTCTGGACAATCATATAAAGATTCCTTTGTCTACTTCACTGGAGCATAAGCTCATTGAGAGCTGTAGCTTTGTCTTTCCCATTCCATCTACCAGAGTGAAGAGACTGTACCTTAAAAGATAAACTGCATCACTTCCATTGCATGGATTTAGGAAACAGAATTGGGGTAAGGAGAGAATTTTTTTTTCTAGCATCATCATTGAGTAGCACTTCTGTAACAGAAGGTCAATTGCCTCATATTTTGGTCGATACAGTCTAAAATCACTGAGCATGAGACATAGAAGGCATGAAATAAAAATATCTTCCTCATCTTTCTTCATGTAGATATGTAGATGCTGCATCCATCTTCATAGGAACCATAGGAAGACTCAATCGGCAACTTGCACTTAATTTCAGGAACAACACATGATTCATCAGTTTCTGAATTAAGCATTAACTCAGGCTTTTCAGAATATGCAGGGATGAGTACTGTGTAAACAGATGTGGTGTCTTCAGTGTTTTCACTAATTTGTATTCATTTCTTACACCCAACATATTATTAATCTATTTATCACACCATTCTATTAGCCCAGTGTAAACTAAAAGTGATATTACTGTTCTCTCACTTTTGCAAACATATATTATTGCTAAAAACACACCTGCAACCACTAATAAATGTTTTTCTGCTTATAGCACATTACAAAGGCAGTTTACTACACTTATTCTTGTTAATGTAAATCAGAAAGGCTTTATACTGACCTTTATTATGTATTGATGTGTTCATCCAAATTCGTACACTAACATCCTAATTCCTAGTAGCCCGGGATGTGACCCTATTTGGCGATAGATAGAGTCTTTACTGAGGTAGTCAATTTACAATGAGGTCATCTGGGTGGACCCTAATCCTATATGACTTGTGTCCTTATGAAAAGAAGAAATTTGGACACAGACATGCATATAGGGAGAACACCATGTGAAGATGAAGGTAGAGATCAGGGTGATGCTTCTGCAAGCTAAGGAACATCAAAGATTGCCAGCAATCTTAATTGCACCTTTTGAGTTACATGTTTCCCATGCATGTAGTGGGGTATGAGCTTCTTTTAAGGAGCCCTATTCTAGGCAGCCTAAAAATGAGAGGCTGGCTCAGAAGATGAAAAAGCTGAGTCAGACCTAAGGAAAAACTTTCTTTCAGAACTTGTCTTCCTGGTCTTTTCTTGGACTTAGTTTTCTCTCTTTCTCCTTTTTTTTTTTTTTTTTTGGAGTGAAATAGTCACATTTAAATAGCTGACATTCTATATCAGCCTAGAAGAAAAGGACCAAAGAAATAGCACACTGCCTTTATTGCTTCAAGTTTCTTGCAGGTCCATCTCATCCAGCCTCATTTACCAGGAGACTGCATTGAGGTTTGAGGGAAAATGCTCACCAAATATTGAAAAGCAGTTATGTGCTTGGCATTGTCCTAAACATTTCTGTTTCTCTCATGATCTTGAATTAAACTTCACAATGAGTCAAGGAATGTGGAGATTCCCAGTCTTCACTGCACATCATATGATCCTAATTCGGTGTATTTCTTGGGTTCTGTCATGATTTCTTTTTTCCCATTAATTTTTTCATGTCTGTATTACTTAACTCCACTTTCTCTGTGTGTAATAGTGAATCTCCTCATTTTGTCACTGGTGATGCCATTGTTTAGGTACTGCTCTCTTTCCATAAATTACTGTTATGTATTTTTTTCACAAAAATACAAAGTGAAATCTTTTTTTGTTTGTGTGTTTTTATCTATAAAAAGGGAATGGAAAACGGACCAGAGTGCTCACTGTGATGCTTACAGGCATAATAAAATGTTGTCAAAGCCTGTTTAATCCCTGCAGCAATTAAATACAGTTTCAGGATGACAACGGGGCTTTTGGCATAATCCTTTAGCACTTTTGGTGCTGCAGATACGTTATCGGAAAACCAACATCTTAGAAAGAAAGAATGTTGAAAGTTGTGTTCTATGCAAACCTGAGATAAAACCAGACTATATGAAGGTTTATAAATAAAATACATGTCTGTATTTGATTTTATTGTGCTTTTTACTATTTAATATCCAATTACTTATGTTCGTCATTAGATTGATGTTTCCATACTGAACTGTTTTTTTTTGTTGTTGTTGTTTTTTTTTTTTTTTGAGACGGAGCCTTGCCCTGTCGCCCAGGCTGGAGTGCAATGGCGTGATCTCGGCTCACTGCAAGCTCTGCCTCCCGGGTTCATGCCATTCTCCTGCCTCAGCCTCCTGAGTAGCTGGGACTACAGGTGCCCACCACCATGCCCAGCTAATTTTTTGTATTTTTTTAGTAGGTACGGAGTTTCACCGTGTTAGCCAGGATGGTCTCGATCTTCTGACCTCGTGATCCGCCCGCCTCGGCCTCCCAAAGTGCTGGGATTACAGGTGTGAGCCACCGCACCCTGCCTGAACTGTTTTTAATAAAACAAATGTACACGGTGTCACCAGGACTGCTACTGAATTTGCAGAGCCTCTTGCTCAAAAATCATTAAAAATTTCAAGACGCAAGAGCAGAGCATTGAACAAAATATGGGGTCTTTTTAAAGTGTGAGGCCCTGTGTGACCTCACAGATTATCTATCCATGAACTTGCTGTGGTTATCACTCTTAAGAAGAGCAGCAGGAAGGGCACTGTAAAATTGCCTTATCTTGAGCTGTTGACCTAAGCGGATTTTCTTTTTTTTTCAGATTTTTTTCCTGAAAAAATGCAAGCCAGCCTCTCTGTATAGCTTTCTCCATTACAATTGCCTCACACAGAGTGGACAACAACCTTTGATTTTGAACAGGGTACATAGATATTTTCCTTTTGTATTGATAGTTTACCTAGATTTTGAGGTGCGTGGCACTTACGATTCTTCAAAGGAGCGTATACATTACGAATTGATTTCTTCCTTATGCACTAATGAGATATGGATGATAAGGGAGCCCAGCGTTTTGTTTTCCAAATGCCATTCTTAGGTATATGCACAATTCAGTTTACGGGCTTGTGCCATAGGCATTTTCTTTTGCGTGCTTCTAAAAATAATCAGTGGTTTTTGAGTCCATGTGGTGAGGTTATGCTATATTTTGATGAAACATATGATTGCATGTTTTAAAACCACTTGGAAACAGAAGACAAAAAATTAGAGACTGATAAACTATATACTGTCCCTGCAATGTAGTACAAATTGCCAATTTGACAAGATTTAAATGAATGGACAATGAAATCTCTCACATAGTAAAATCAAGGCCTCCTGGACAAACATTTATTGAGAAATAATAAATGCAGCTTGAGCTCTTTTTATACTTAAATATAAAATGCACTTGCTTGCCATTGTGACTACTCAATACACTGCTGTTATAATAAACAAAAAAGGGAAAAATCAGTACAAAAAGATGTCAATGTCCCTGACAGGACTGACTTCACAGGCATGTGCCCTAAACAGCAGCACAGGGCTCTGCACTTTCAAGGGCCCTGTACTTTGTTTAAAGCTCAACTGTCACTGTCTTGAAATTGTTAATAATTCTTGGCATCTAAAATAATTAACAGAATTAGTTCCATTAACTTACAACATAAGAAAAAGCAGTTCAAAAAGTCCTAATTGACGTAGCAAAGCTCTAAGAGCAGAATGTTAGCTAATAAATGTAGAAGAATTGATAGAGTTAGAAAGCCTAATTTTGCAAACCCAAATGTAATTATTCATCCATGAAAGGAATATCAATCGGCTGACAAGGAATTGGATATATGTATAGTGCCCTAAAAGCACCACCATGGTAAAAGAGGAAATATTTAATGATGCAGTAGAGGAATTAGCCTCCCACAAGCTAATCTAGGGGTAACACTTACCATCACTAATGGTGTGTCAATCAGATATTGTATGTCTTCTGATTCAATGCTATACAAAGCACACACCATCACTTATGAGATTCACATCAAATATATTTAATTTGAATTTATCAAACCATAAGATATGAGATACATCTCACAGAAAATATGTCAGATCAATAAGCTTAACAATATTTCAAGAGGGTAAGCAATTCTAGATGAGGGATATTCTGCAAGACAATTTTCCTAGTTTCTGAGTAAGTCACAGTCGCAAAGAAGAGGATGTGCTTGACTTAAAAAAAAAGTACTTATAGTACATAACCATCAGCTGCCAAACATTGTCACATACAGTGGACAACAACCTTTGATTTTGAACAGGGTACATTGATCTTGTGCCCAATTTCTAATTGGGCTATTTGTTCTTTTATTTTCGAGTTTTAGGAGTTCTTTGAATATTTTGGATACAAGTCCTTTATTAGATATGTGTTTTGAGATTATTTTCCACTCTGAAGCTTATCATTAGATTATCTTAATAGTTTCTTTTGCAGAGCACAAGTTTTGAATTTTAATAAAGTTCAACTGATGAAAGTTTTTTTTTTTTTTTCAGGAACCCTGATTTTAGTACTGAAGAATGGTATTAGAATATGTATTATCAAACCCAAGTTCACATAAATTTTCTCTGATGTTTTCTTCCAGAATTTTTATAATGATGCATTTTACATTTATGTATATGATCTATGTTGAGTTATTTTTTGTAACATGTGAAATGACTTTGTCTATTTCATTTTTTTGCATACGGGTTCCCAATTTTTTCATCATTATTTATGGAAAAGACTAGCCTTTCTCTACTAAGTTGCCTTTCCTCCTTTGCCAGAGGTCAGTTAACTATGTCTGCGTGGGTGCATTTCTAGCCTCTCTCTTTCAGTTCCATTGATCTATGTGTCTATTTTGTCGCCAATTTCATGCTGTCTCGATTCCTGTAGTTTTATTATAGTAAATCTTGAAATCAGATAGTTTGAGCCCTCCAATTTTGTTCTTTTTCAGTGCTTGTGATTATTCTAGGTCTTTTGACCTTCCATATGAACTTTAGAGTCAATTTGTAGATGTCCATGTAATAGTTTGAGGACATTTTAATGAAAATTTCATTGAATCTATAGATTAAGTTGGGAAGAATTGACCTCATAACAATATTGACATACAACCATGAATAGAGTTTATCTCCCTATTTATTTACATCTTTGATTTCTTTCATTCGAGTTTTATAGATTTCCACATATATGTCTTGTACATTTCTTGTTAGATTTGTAACAAAGTATTTCATTTTTTGATCACTATTGTAAATGGTATTATGTTTCTAATTTTAAATTCCATTTGTTCATTGCTAGTGCATAGGAAAGCAAATATAACTTTTGTATATTAACCTTTTTTCTTGTGGCCTCACTATACTTGTTAACTAGTTCCAAGTAGTTTTTTGTACATTCTTTCTACATAAACAATCATGTTATTTGTGAAAAAAGACAGGTTTGTTTCTTCCTTTCCGATATGTATACATTGTATTTCCTTTTATTGTCTTATTGTGTTAGGCAGGACTTTCAGTACAATGTTTAAAAGGAGTGGTAAGACAGCCAGGTAGCTTGTATCTGTAGTCCCAGCTACACAGGAGGCTGAGGTAGATGGATTTCTTGCAGCCAGGAGTTCAAGAGCTGCCCGTGTCATATAGTGAGATCTCATCTCTCTCCTTCTCCTTTTTTTTTTTTTTTTTTTTTTTTTTTAAGGAGTAGTGAGATAGCATATCCCTGTCTTGTTTTCAATGTTAGGCAGACAACGTCCAATTTCCCACTACTTAGTATGATGTTAGTTATAGCAGAGGAATTTCTCCTCTACTCCCAGTTTTCTGAAATGTTTTATCATATATAGGTGTTGGATTTTGTCAAATGCTTTTTCCTGCACCAGTTGATATGATCATATGATTTTTCTTCTTTGGCTTGTCAAAGTGATGAATTACATTGATTTTTGAATGTTAAACCACCCTTATATACCTGGAATAACTCTTACTTGGTTATGGCACATAATTGTTTTTATACCTTGTTGGATTTGATCTGCTAATTTTTTTTTATTGAGGATATTTGCATTTATATTTGCTACATCTCATGTAGCAGATTATGGATCTCATTACAATATTACTTCTGCTTCGTTCTCTCTTTCTTATATTCCAATTACATGCATTCTATATATTATATTTTATTTTATTTAAAAGACTTTTTAAAGATGCGGTCTCACTATGTTGTCCAGGCTGGAGTGCAATCATAAATAATGCGGCCTCAATCTACTAGCATCTTACCATCCCACCTCAGCATCTCAAGTAGCTGGGACTGTAGACAGGGACCACCGTGCCCAGCTCATGGGTATCTTTAAAAAAATATATCCACAGCAATAGGATATTCCATTTAAAAAATACAAATATAACAAAAAACAGAAAAAAAAATCCTCTTTACATTTCAGTTTGGGATGTTTCCACTGACGTATCATCAAACTCACTGATCTTCCCTGGTCATGTCTAGTCTCCTAATGAGCCCATCAGAGGCATTCTTCATTTCCATTATATTGTTTTTATTTCTATGTCTTTTTGATTTCTTCTTACAGTTTCTATCTTTCTGCTTACATTAGCCATGTGCTCTTGCATGTTGTCTACTTTTTTTCTTTGGGGACTTTAACATATTAATTAGTTATTTTAAATTTGCTGATAATTTTAAAACCTATGTCATACCTTAGCATGGTCTTGATGCTTGTTTTATCTGCTCTAACTCTGATTTTTCTTTCTTTTTTTGGCACGTCATGATTTTGTTGAAAACTGAATGTGTGTGAGTAATATGGACTGCTGACTTTTCGTGTGAGAGTTTTTGTTAATGGGGCTAAGAGTTTGGGTATATTTAATATTTACTATAGCTGTCAGTGCCAGAGGCTTCAAATTCATCTGTTGCCTTTGTTTTGTCTTTCTTTTGAACTTTAATCTTCCCTAAGTATTCCTCCTTGCAGAGAGTTTGTGTCTTGCAGCTCTTCCAGCTGGAATCCACTATTATTATACTGGAGCCTGGTTGGTGTGGTGGTCAGTGAATGGGAGTGTTGTATAATCCTATCATCAAATCTCAGTATTTTTATGGATTTGTGTCATGGGCTTTGGCTTTCACAGGTATTTCTTCAGTGATGTAGATGTTCTCTCCCCTTAGATGAGAAAGGACATCTAGAGGTGCCGGAATGGGAGAAACACCTTCCCTTAACTACGATAAAGCTCTGGCAAATCTTTTCCCTTAGACCGACCTCTTTTATGGAGAATGCTCTGGACATAATTTCACAATGATTACTCTTCCTTTCTTGTTGCCACAGCCTAGAGAATATTTTTCTAGGAATTTTATTCTGAGATTCTGGTGAGGTATCTGGAGAAAAGTGTAGGAGACCCACGAAGACTACAGCCCTAGTGATTTCATACCCTAAGGTTAGTCCACAGCCAGCTTCTAGCAATTCACCAAAATTACCATGTAATGTTCTTAGCAGCTTAAGACTCCAGCAGCTTCTGCTCTAGGTAAGCAGATCTCTGCTATGACTATTCTCCTCTCTAGTTTTTAGGATGTTGGTTTGTCCTGCAACCTCAGTTCTCTGATGGGCTCAAGAAAAGTCAACCATTTTCAGTTTCTTCTGATTTTTCTTGTGGAAAGAACAAGAGTGGTAACTTCTAAGCTTGTTACATGTTAGTACTGACACTAGAAGTTTTAACTCTCATTTCTAAAACTCTCAAATTAACAATAATAATGACAATAATAATAAATAATAGTAGCAGTAATAGTATTAATTTTGAAGACACAGTTGCTTTGGATTTACTTACGCACTGTATTAAGAAGCTTCTCTGCTTACAATTTATTTATTCTTGCATCTCAGATCTTTCTTATTCCTTCTGGGACAATTTTTCTACTTAAGGTACATCTTTTTGTAGTAGTGACTAATTCTTATTTGTTTATCTTAATTCTATTATAATTATAGAGTTATTATTGTATTCAGGCCACAATTATAGATTAATAAATATTTTGTAACTGAAAGTTAAAATTCTTATTAGATATTTTTTGCCTCGGTGCCATTCAAAATATTGTTTCATTCTAAAAATTATTCTTTAGAAAACATCTCCTTCTTCTTCTAATTTTTCTATTTCTGTTTCTTCTCTTGTTTCTCTTCCTCCTCCTCATTCTATTCCTTCATTATTTTCTTTTCTGCCTTTATATATTTTCCTTTCTTCTTGGAGTCCTGAGTTTATTATAGGGAGACATTTCTTGCAGTTTACCCAGTATATAACTGACTGTATTAGTCAGAGGGTCCCTTGTCCTATATTTATTACCTGCAATATGTCATACTTCTTTTTTCTTTTTTTTTTTTTTTTGAGATGGAGTCTCACTCTGTCTCCCAGGCTGGAGTGCAGTGGCGCTATCTCGGCTCACTGCAACCTCCGCCTCTTGGGTTCAAGTAATTCT
Source organism: Homo sapiens (assembly GCF_000001405.40). Lineage (NCBI taxonomy): Eukaryota > Metazoa > Chordata > Mammalia > Primates > Hominidae > Homo > Homo sapiens. The sequence continues at coordinate 39,738,795 of NC_000005.10, forward strand.
CATGCCTCAGCCTCCTGAGTAGCTGGGACTACAGGGCATGCCACGACGCCTGGCTAATTTTTTGCATTTTTAGTAGAGATGGGGTTTCACCATGTTGGCCAGGCTGGTCTCAAACTCCTGACCTCAAGTGATCTGCCTGCCTCGGCCTCCCACAGTGCTGAGATTGCTGGCTTGGGCCACCACGCCCCGCCCATACTTCCTTTTAAACCTTATCCTCTACTATTCCTTTATTAAAACATCTTTTAAATATTTACTATGAGTCAGCATTCAACATTAATCCACTTAGTCCTTTCAGCAATTACAAAGTTAGGAATTGTTACTGTTTTTGTTTCACAGATGAAACACAAACACACACACACACGCACACACACACACACACACACACACACACATAGATGTTAAGTAAGGAGCAAAATTGGATTTTGAGCTCAGGCGTGTCTGGCCTGAAATTCATCTCTCCTGAGTATCATCACCATCTGACCTCTCAACAGAAATCCTCAGCCTGGGGTGTCTGCTCAGTCCTCTCCATTTGAATTTCTCCAACATTGCTACCTATACTATTCGCTCGACTTACAATAATTATGTGGATATTTTTATTCCAATACACATATAATCTTCTCTTTCAAATATGGTATTAATTTATCAAGAGCATAATGTGTATCATTTGCCATTGTTCATAGTAGTTGTCTAATACAGTGCTGAGGAAAATTAAGTGTTCAATAAATGCCACTTAAATAATGAGAAGAGTCAATTATGTCTCCAATCTTAAAAAGAACATACAGTGTTTTTCTGAGCAAACCTGTCAGAATGATATAGTATTTATTTTGAATTAAAAAGCACCCATGTAGGAATTAACTAAAAATAAAGGAAGGCCTAGGCCATGGAAGACAATGAGGTAAAAGGAAGAATGTTGTTTGGTATCACAACTTGCTATTAAAATAAATAACTATTGTCTTTTTTGTTCCTTTTCAATACATGTCAACACATCAGGCTTATATTCTACATTTCTAAGTGTATCTTCTTCTAACTGAATTAATTTATGGAAGTGTTAACATACCCAAAGTTACCACATTTCTCCAAGCCACCCTGGGTGATAATTTAAAAAGCAGGTATCAGAAATTTGCCTGTGGCCAGGACCACAGTCAATGTGTTGCTGGAATTACGGTAACGGGCTGGCTTCTTTTGACATCAACAGCATGCTTTTCTTACCGCAATTTGTTCCTCTATATTGTTTCATCATTATGAGTACTTGTTTAAAACCCATTTACAAAGCGGATTGCCAAGTATTGTCTAGAACTATCACAGGAGATTTAGGTGCGTGAAGTTCACGCTTGGTTGTTAGACTTTTAACTGCTTTTTGCATGCCAAGCATAGTTAATACTCAAAAATACCGTGCTCAAGGTGATGAAAGTTCAGTTTCCTCATGGCTGCCTTTACTTGCCTATTCTTCTCCCCACCCACCTTCAATTTTGGTTCCAGAAAACATACTGTCTCCCAATAGATTGTTAACATTCTTGGAAGCAATTCCAGTAAGGCTAGTTTTGTGGTGGTCTAATCCCTTCTAGCTGCACTCCAATTTGGCTTTTTATTGTTATTTCAAATAAAACGATTTTACTGCCTCACCAGTTCCTCTGTGTAGTAAAAGTCTTAGAATATTCCCGATGCTGTTTTTTGAAATGAATAAATTCAGCCTTGGGGAAACTGCGGTGAGATTTTGGTGGTTACTGATATCATGCAAAAGAACTCATGACGAACCCGTGATTCAGTCGCGGCTACGCATGCAGGCGTGTCTGTACACATACTTACCAGCCCTGAGACCTGGCGACAGTGGAGCAGCGCTCTAGGGAACCCGGCCAGCGGGCTGATGTCCCACGGGCTCCACAGAGTCCTCCATCATTTGCAACCACTCTGACGCAAACATGCTGCCAAACTGAAATTGAGAACATAGAAAACTTGACAGGACGATAGGGAAAGAAGGGGAGGAGGGTACATTAAAGAAGATTGGAAAAGAACAAAGAAAAGTAGAGATCAGTGTGGAAGGGCAACATTTCTCAACCATTATCAGCACTACCAGCCTTGCAAGACAAGATTCCCAGGGCCTTGTTCTGTCTTAACACTATAATACAAAACTCGAGAGCCAATCTCTTACTCCACTGAGAATCAATTTGTTTATGTCACTCAGGTATGATATTGAGAAAAATATTGAATTGCTTTTAGTGAACAAATACTAGTTTGTGAGTTCAAAGCTTAGTTTTGATTAGGCTCATGAGTAAGTTGATCTGTGAGACTATCCAGGATGTGCTGCATTGTGAAAATGTGTTTCCAGTTTTCATCCAGGCAGCCCTCTTTCCTGCCTTCTCCCTGCTCATCCAGACCACAATTACACTTGCTATTTGGAAGACTCTTCCTTTGAAAGCATTTAGAAGTATAAATAATGGTATGTTGGTTTCATCCGTCACAACTAAAAAAAAAAAATTACTTATTTTTTGATATAAGTACTTCTGTGGTATTTTAAAAATATTTTAATTATCGATTATTCTCTGGGACCCTGGGACTTAGGAATTGATATAACAGTGAACGCAATCTTGACTGTAATTTTTGGTTTGTTCTTCACAAACTTTCAGTGGCTGCAAAACAGTGTGAATTGAATTGGTCAGACTTCCTGTAAGGTAAGGTTAAAAACAGTTTAGGATTTAGGAATTGATATAACAGTGAACACAATGATCACTGAAATTTTTGGTTTGTTCCTTACAAACTTTCAGTGGCTGCAAAACAGTGTAAATGGAATTGGTCGGACTTCCTATAAGGTAAGGTTAAAAACAGTATGACCCAGAAAGCAGGGGACATGATTATAACCCCTGATTTTAGAAAAGTCACTATCAACTAGAGGTCTTAATGTGAGAATATAACTAATTTAAAAATCATATTTTGGGTTTTTCCCTCAAGTATTTAGGGTAAAAAGAATCTCATGTTACTTGTTTCATTTAGTCAGATTTAAAGTTCATAATTACACCATGGCACTCTATAGGTTTTTGAATCAATTGTTTAAGAAGACAGGTCACTGTGGTGTAATGTGTTGACACTTTCCTATTGCTGATTTGCAAAATTGGGAGTATGTTTATAAAAGGATAAAATAAGCATAGTTAAATTTTCCAAATTAAATAAAACACAGCTAATTTTAAAGTTATTTATTTCAGATTTGATATTCTACAAATATATTTTCCTGTAAACATTGATATAATTTTCAATATTTTAGAAAAATTAAGTTTTAACAAGTATATTAAATGATTTTACTACTTTGTTTTTATTTTCACTTTAGTTTACATTTCTGATGAAACTATACTTAAATTTGTTATAATGAATATATTTACATGTTATTTTTAATCCTTTATGTTGTTATTGTGACAATTAAAATTATGAAAACATTAACTACAATACTATAATTAGCTATTGTGCTAAAATTAAAGCAATAAAAGTAAATTTTATTGTGTAATTCTACACAATTCAGACCTAACTTCTGAATTTTATATATATTTTTATAACTCTTCTAAACACTACCGATACGTCTGCAGGGTGATGTATGTTCTACAATAATTTAATACATTATCTTTGATATTTCATTGACTTTTAGTTAAATATTTTACATTTTAGTGTTTTGAAGGTGCAGTTAGCAATGTAGGAGTGTGGGGTATCTTTTATTAAATAGTTTTCATTTGATTCATGCTGTTACAGACAGACATATGGTCCATGGGCTTCCATTTGTACTCTTGCTCCAGGCCCTGCGAATGTTGGGCAATTTCACTCAGTTTTGACAGACTAGACAGAGCATGAATTTTACCTTTGCCAGATGTGCAGAAAGGGCTGTTTCTTTGCAGATGTTTCATTAATATGAGAACCTTGAAAAGATCATATTTTCCAGTTTACTTAAACTTGAATAAATTATAGAAAGTAATTCATACAATATTCTAAACATGTGAGATAAATTATTGAAAAGTTGTTTGACCTTTTTTTTTTTTTAAACATGAGAAATTATATTCCAGTGACAGTCCTGGATATTGAGTTTGGACTTACGCAGTAATATACACAGCACCAATAAAGTAGATCTCATTATTATGATTTCACTTATTATTCATTATTTTTCTTTGTTACATATTGTATGTCCTTTTATGTGGGAGTTCTATGTAATGTATTATTTCCATTTGAAGAGTGAACACACTCTGAGGCTGTCTACAGAGGACCTTGGTGATGAATCTATCTAATCATTCATCATTTCTCTTCCCCACTGAACAGCTTGGCCTGCTTGACTCAGTCTTCGTGATTCAAGATGAGAGTCTGTCTGAGGCGTGCTTCTCTCATTGCTGCCAGAGGCCCTTAGTGGTGCTGCTGTGTTTCAGTGGACAACTTTGGTATCTTACTCAATTAAAAACTCTCCTTTTGATTATCATTCCAGAGTTTATCTTGAAATTTTCTATAGTTTATTTTTCTTTAATTTTTCTTATATGCCCAGAACTTTGCTTCTTTGGATCGTTTCCATCTTTACTTTCAAATAGTCATAATTTATAAGCTTTTGCTTACCTCACACTTTTCCAAGTTCAAGTAGTTTCACAAGGCATGGTGCCAGGGCATTGGGGTATGGTGCTCTACCATTAAGTAAGGGAATTGGTGACTGGTTCCACTCTGTGTTTCACAAGTTCTCTGGACAATGTCTTTAGCTCTCTGGGATTCTAATACTGTCTGTAGAATTAGTACCAGACTAAATGGGCCTTTAGGTCACATGTAGCTCTAACATTTCCAAATCGTTACTATTGTTTCAGATACCCATTTGTCCAGTTAAAGAATAGCAGATATATATTTATACCAATATGTAAGTTGCTACATAGAAGGAAGAAGTAAAACGTTAACTGCCTCTTTTTAATGTCGAAGAATACCACATAGTTTTAGAATTGTAGGAAACCATGAATGATGTGATGTTCTTATTGTTTGTGTGTTTGTGTGTGTGTGGGGGGTGAGTGTAATTATATAAGCATGGTTTCTTTTACATCACATCCTCATTTTGTATGCTTTAAAGAGTTCTTGCATAAGATTGTCCTTATATCACTTGTCCCTCTTCCATTGAGATGTTAGTTACTCATCTCCAATTTAAAACTAAGAGTTTTATTGGAATGTAACTCACATAGCATACACTTACACCCATTTAAAGTGTACCATTAAATGTAGTTTATCTTGGATTTTACTTTTTAAAAAGTACTGATAAGGTATACTTTTTTTAGAAAAAAGTACAGTACAAGATAAGCTACACCTCATGGTCAATGTGTGATTGAGTTATAGTTTTATACAGGGATTGGTTAATGCCATAAATTAGGAGCATACTTTCTGTTTTACTTATAAGTGTTTTGTAACGACCTCTTCCTCACCACACTGGAATACACACATGCACACATCATTTTTGTTGAGTTGGAGAGGACAACAATGATATGAAAGCATAATTTTTTAGCTATATGTTGTGTTAATGTTTTTGAGAAAACAATATTATACTACATCTGGTGTGATATAACAAAAAATAAGCCAGTTATTTAGTAAGCGTAGGATCCATTCAGCAGTTACAAAATAAGGAAGATCTTCCGGGTGCTAAGATGCTCTGGTTTTAGTCATGCTGTTCATGGGCAACTTTCTAGCTCTGCACTCTGTTTCTACCATTTAAAGAAAAGAATAAAAAATAACAGCTTTAATATAATGTAGTTTACACATTCTCCTCCAAATATCCAGTCCAGTTTTTAGAGATTTTATTATCCTCTAAATAGTTATTACTATTTTCAGGCTCTCAGAAACAATATTCTCCAAGCTGGGTAATATGTATCCCTGAGGTGATAAACTTTTCAAGGGTAAATGGCATGAATAATATTTTAAAAATTTATTACTAGATCTTCAACATTTATATGTACACTATCCTCTGAGTGTATCTTCCTGAGAACTAATCTGTGACCCAAATAGCCCCCCTAAAAAATCACTTGTATTCCCTTTTTATACAATAAAGGCACATTTCTTATCCACTTTGAATCTTACCTTGGTACATGCCACCAGGTGGCAAAATCTTTGTGTCACCAAAGAGGTGATTTGAAATATCAGTGAGAGTGATGAGAAAATGAGTGACGCTAATGAGTTGGTAAGAAATCCTTTTGCAGGTTTACTGGTTTTAAATTCTTCGCTTTCAAGAATATTTAAGGAAGGTAATACAATTGCCAGCAAATAGAACATTAAAAATAATTTTGGTGAAAGATCATTTTGTGCCTTTTGGCATAAAACTTGAATGGAATTTAAAGAATTGAGTGATAATGCCCTGGAAAAACTCTTTGGACTTCTATTTACTTAGTACATGAACATAGACTCTTAGCCTTTACATTTATAAAAGCAAAAAAAATAGGAGTAGAATTTATACAGTCTAATCTAGAAAATAATGATATTGATAAACATTTAAACCCATTGGATAATAAAGCACCACAAAAAAATCAATAACAGATGTATTTCCAAAATTGTTACTTTTTATGATTACTAATTTTGGATGTGAAATATATATAATAGTTACATTGTTTTGATCAATTGTGAACTAACACAATTATTGTGATGACTTTTCAATATGGAACTTTCTTTTTAACACTCAGACATTTATGGTTCCCAAAGAATTTAAAAATTTTAAATTCAATATGTACATAATTTTGCTGAATAGAAGTGTAAGTGATGACCGTAAGATTTTCAAGCATAAAATTGTATTACATTGAGATAAAACTCTGTTAGAGGGGAACAAGAATGAAAATTCTAACTCATAGGGAAAAAGACAAATATAAAGTTTACAACTATTTAAGAGATTGTTTATATATTTATAAATGTATAATGGTGAGTATCAAATCACTATATTATTTAGACTGTTTTGGATACATTTAAGAGAATCATCTTATTCTGTTCATGCCACTATAACAGAATACCACAGACTAGGTCATTTAAAAAGAAGACAGCTGTAGTTTCTCTCAGTTCTAGAAACTGAAACGTTCAAGATCAAGGTGCTGGCAGGTTCTGTTGTCTGCTGAGGACTGCTCTCTGCTTCCAAGATGGTTCTTTGATGCTGCATTCTACAGAGAGGAGAAATGCTGTGTCCTCACATGGTGGAAGGTGGAGAGGGATGAGTGAGACAAACTCTCTTTTTTTATGAAGGCTCCAAATCCCATTCACAAGGGGAGGAGGCTTCTTGATGTAATGAACTCTTAAAGGCTCTACCTTCTAATACTATCAAATTGGCAACACCTGAATTCTCGAGGAGACACATTCAAACCACAGCAAGATTTATAATAGCTTTATTTTAAAAGCTAATATTTATAGTATACTGTAATTTACATATTTTGCAGGTAATTAAACTTCTGTTGAAAATTTTATTTTGACTTCTAAATGTGTGGGGGATTTCTCCAACATTCCTTTAGAATTAAAAGAACAAAATATGATATTTATTTACAAAATCATCCCATATCTTATAGCCCCTTTTAAAGATAAGAAATGAATGAAACTAGTAGCTCAGCTACCCAGTAAACCTCTAGACATCATGAATTCATAAAATTATTAAATATTTTTTATTAATGTAGTCCAGACATAAAATTATTTTTCTCTAAATAAGATATTTCATGTTTGGTTTTAAAAATTAACTTTATTATTCTATAGTGGCTCGGTACTGTTGTGCTTTAGAGTATATCCTTGGGGGCCTTCATTCCATTCAATGGTACTGTCTTAAGTTCATTTGTGTTGCTATAAAGGAATACCTGAAGCTGGGTAATTTATAAAGCAAAAAGGTTTACTTGGCTCATTCTTCTTCAGGATGTACAGGAAGCATGTGATATCGTATGGCTCTGTGTCCTCACCAAATCTTATCTTGAACTGTAATCTTCACGTGTCAAGGGAGAGAGGTGACTGGATCATGGGGTCGGATTCCGTCCTGATATTCTCATGATACTGACTGAGTTCTCATGAGATTTGATGGTTTTATAAGCATCTGGCATTTCCCCTGCATACACTTCTCTTTCCTGCTACCATGTGAAGAAGGTCCTTGCTTCCCCTTTGCCTTCTACCATGATTGTAAGTTTCCTGAGGCCTACCCAGCCGTGTGGAACTGTGAGTCAATTAAACCTCTTTCCTTTATAAATTACCCAGTCCTAGATAGTATCTTTATAGCAGTGTGGGAATGGACTAATACAGCATGGTACCAGCATCTGCTTCTGATGAGGGTCTCTGGAAGCTTCAACTCATGACACAAGGTGAAACAGAAGCTGGCATATGCATATCACTTGGTCTTGAACTCCTGGCCTCAACCAATCCTCCCACCTTGGCCTCTCAAAGTACTGGGATTACAAGCATGAGCCACCACACAAGGCCCAAAGATCACTTGGCAAGAGAGGAAGCAAGGTGGGGGAGAAGGTTTTAGGCACTTTTTAACAAGCAGCTCTCAGTAGGAATCAATAGAATGAGAACTCACTCGTTTCATTACTGTGAGGGCAGCACCAAGCTATTCATGAGAAATCCACCTCCATACCTCCCACCAGGGCCTGCTTCCAGTATTGGGGATTAAATTTCAACATGAGACTTGGTAGAGCCAAACAAACCGTATCTAAACCATAGCAGGTACCCACCTCAACTAGTGCCTGCCACACTTTCTAGGCCATTATACATTCATGATGCTTCTCTGGCTTTCTAGAACTCCAAATTAATCTTGGCCTCACTGTGCACAAATGTAGACTTCTATTTTCTAAATTCTATAGACATTATACCCTTGTGAGTTTTTTTCTTTATATTAATTAGTTAATTTATTTATTAATTTTTGGAGCGCTCCTGCTATCCAGCAGTCCATAGTTTTGATTATTTCATAAATATTGCATAGAAGGGAGCTATCTAACTTGCTTAAGAGCTATAAAAAGATGACAAAATACTGATAATAGAAGGAGGGTTCTGGGAAGATGGAAGAGTAGGAAGTATCAAGAATCTGTTTCCCTACCTAACCAACAATTGCACTGGTAGAATCTGTCTGATATAATTATTTTGGAACTCTAGGGTCTATTAAAGCCTTGTAACTTTCAGGGGAAGTGTTGGATGGCAAATTGTAGTTAATTTGGATTGCTCTTAGTGTTTAGCTCAGCAGCAGCTACCCATCCTCCACCTCTAGCCCTGTGGAAAGCAGCCATGCACATGTTCCTAAAGCAGCTTACATGCAGCTTGAGAGGGCCAGGGTGAGCAAGCAGAACTCTACTCCAAATGTTGGAGATCCGTGTTCTATGTTCTGATCACTGATTGCTGTTACTAATCAGGAAGGTGCAGACATCTAGGTGGTTAGCTGTTGTTGTACCCCTCCCTCATTGTTGCAGCGTCTCCCTCTCAGGCTAAATAAATATACTTAGCATTTAAAGGGCTGAGGCCATTCCTCACCCCTTCATTTTTTTCTTTTTTCTTTTTCTTTTTTTTGGGGGGGGAACCAGATATTAAAGACTGGGACACTCAAACCAACTATATACATATAAGGTGATTTAGAAAGCTACCATACATGCACAGAGAAAAGCAAAGGCCCATTAAGAGATCTGAGAAGAGGCTAGGTGCAGTGGCTCATGCCTATAATCCTCGCACCTTGGCAGGCCAAGGTGGGAAGATTGCTTAAGGCCAAGAATGCAAGACCAGCTTGGGCAGCAGAGTGAGAACCAGTTACTAAAAAAATTAAAAGAAGTTACCCAATTGTGGTGGTGCACACCTGTGGTCCTAGCTACTCGGGAGGCTGAGATCACTTGAGCCCAGGAGTTCAAGATTACAGTGAGCTGTGATCACACCATTGTACTCCAGCCTGAGTGACAAAGTGAGACCCTGTCTCTAAAGAAACAAAAGGTTGGATGCAGTGTCTCATGCCTATAATTGCAGCACTTTGAGAGGCTGAGGTGGTAGGATTGCTGAAGGCCAGGAGTTTGAGACCACTCTGGGCAATTAGTGAGAGCTCCATCTCTACAAAAAATTAAAAAATAAAAATTAGCTGGGGATGATGGTACATGTTTGTAGTCCCTAGCTGAAGTGGGAGACTGAGGCAGAAGGATCACTTTAGGCCAGGGGGTTGAGGCTGCAGTGAACCATGATTGCGCCACTGCACTCAAGCCTGGGTGACAGAGTGAGAAACTGTCATAAAAAAACAATACAAAACAAAACGAAGACCTGAGAAGACCTTAAGTTTACACCTCAGGCTGATCTTTAGCATAAACACAACCTACAATAAAAACAAAAGAAAAACAACAAACCTTGGGGAAAGGAACAAATCTGATTTTCATAGTTGCCACATTAGTAGATTCAATTGTCTGGTTTTCAGGAAAAAATCACAGGGCATGAAATGGCAAGTATGGCCTATTTAAAGTAAATAATAATAATAAGCCAACAGAAACTGTACCTGAGAAAAATTAGATGGCAAGCCTTCTAAAAAAGAGAAGGCAGAAGAAAAAAAAATCAGTGAGCTTAAAGATAGAACAATAAAAATTAACAGGTCTAGGAAATGGAAAGAAAAAAGATTTAAGAAAATTGAAGAGAGACTGTGGGACCTGTAGGGCACCATCAAGCAGACCAACTTACACACTGGGAGATTCCCAAAAAGAGAATAGAAAAAGAAAGGGGAAGACAAATTGTTTGAAAAAATATGGTCAAAAACATAACCAAATTTGATTTTAAAAAAATGAGTATAAATATCCAAGAAGCTTAATGTTCTCTCAGTAAAATGAACTCCAAGAGACAAGCACTGACACACATTATAATCAAACTGTTAACCAAAGAGAAAAATCTTGAAAGCAGCAAGAGAGAAGCAGCTTATCACTTACAAGTCAGCCTCAGTAGGTTTATGAGAAGATTTATCATTAGAAAGTTAAGAGATCAAAGGCAGTGAGCTAATATACTAAAGTGCTAAAAGAAAAAAATTAAGAATCATTTATCCACAAAAACTGTGCTTCCAAAGTGAGGAAAAAATTAAAGTATTCATCAATAAACAAAAGCTATAGGAGACTGTTATCTCTAGGTTTGCCCTGAAAGAATTTCTTTTAACTTTAGGTTCAGGGGTACATGTACAGGTTTGTTATGCAGGTAAAGTGTGTCACGGGGATTTTCTGTACAGATTATTTTGTTACCCAGGAACTAAGCCTAATAGCCAGTAGTTATTTTTTTCTGATCCTCTCCATCCTCCCACCCTCCAACCTCAAGCTGGCCCTGGTATCTGTTGTTTCCCTCTTTAAGTCCATGTATTCTCATCATTTAGCTCCCACTTGTAAGTGAGAACATGTGGTATTTGGTTTTCTGTTCCTAAGTTAGTTTGCTAAGGATGATGGCCTCCAGCTCCATCCATGTTCCTGCAAAGGACATGCTCTCATTCCTTTTTATGGCCGCATAGTATTCCATGGTGTATATGTACCACATTTTCTTTATCCAGTCTATTATTGATGGGCATTTAGGTTGATTCCATGCCTTTGTTATTGTGAATAGTGCTGCAGTGAACATAAATGTGCAAGTGTCTGTATTGTAGAAAAGTTTATATTGCTTTGGGTATATACCAAGGAATGGAATTGCTGGGTTGAATGGTACTTCTATTTTTAGCTCTTTGAGAAATCTCCATACTGTTTTCAACAATGGCTGAACTAATTTACACTTCCAACAACAGTGTCCTGAAAATATTTCTAAAAAGAATCCTGCAAGTTGCAATGAAATAACACTAGGCAGTAACTCAAAGCCATTTGATCTCAGTAAAGGTGAGTACATGAGCAATCATGAAGGCTATTATTATTGTAACTATGGTTTGAAACTTCACTTTTTGTTTTCTATGATTTCAGAGACTAATACTAAACAAAAAACAATTATTAGTGTAAAAGCTAGTATTATTGCAACTTTGGTTTGTGATATGGTTTTGCTGTGTCCCCGCCCAAATCTCATCTTGAATTGCAGCTCCTATAATCTCCACATGTCGTGGGAGGTTCCCACTGGGAGGTAATTGAATCATGGGGGTGGGTTTTCCCATGCTGTTGTCATGATGGTGAGTAAGTCTCATGAGATCTGATGGTTTCATAAAGGGTAGTTTCCTTGCACATTCTCTCTTGCCTGCCACTGTGTAAGACATGCCTTTGGTCCTCCTTCACCTTCCACGACTTGAGGCCTCCCCAGTCACGTGGAACTGTGAGTCCATCAAACATCTTTTTCTTTATAAATTACCCAGTCTCAGGTATTTCTTCATAGCAATATGAAAATGGACTAATACAGTTTGTAACTCTACCTATTTTCTACATTATTTCAGTGCATTTTTAAAATAGTGCATTTAAAAAATCAGTAGTTCACATTTTTGGACACAGGATGTATAAAGATGTAATTTTGTGACATCAATACCTAAAGGGATGGGAACAGAGATGTAAATCAGCAGAGTTTTTTTTATTTTATTGAAGTTAAGCTTGTATAAATTCAAATTATAGTGTTATGACTTTAGGATGTTAATTGCAGTCCTCTTGGTAATCATAGAGAAAATAGTTATAGAATATACACCAAAGAAAATGAGAAGGAAATTAAACATTTCATTACAAAATACCAACTAAACACAAATATGTAGTAATGCAGGAAATCAGGAACCAAGAAGAGGTAAGGCATATACAAACAAATAGCAAAAAGACTGAAGCAAATCCCTTCTTATTAGTAATTACTTTAAATATAAATAGATTAGACTCTTCAGTTAAAAGACAGAGATTGGCAGAATGGTTTTAAATAGACTCTTTTTACTTTTCTAATTCATCTTGTAATGTTAAGTGTAATCTTTTTTAAGAACAATCTTAATACCTAAACTAATTGTAAAAGCAATACATTATAACAATAAATACGTGCTTACAAAAACAATAATGTCAAATCACAAGCAATAGAATTAATCATGGCTTACATTTATTGAGTTTGTACTATGTGCCAAGTACTATTATAATGGTTTATACTTAATTAGAAATAACACTACTTTAGTTCTCATCTTACAGGTGGGGAAATTGAAGCACAGTTTGCAGATTTACTCAAGGTTACACAGTAACTAAATGATAGCCTAGTCTGATAACAGAATTTAAACTGAACTGCTATGCTGAGATATTAGCTGTGATTATTACTAGTTTTATATATAGAATATTACACAGAAGATTAGCCCTCCAATTTTCTAATCTATGTATTTTTAAGTGGTTTGCTCATAAAAATAATATAATAAGGAAGAAGTGGTTCAATCTCATACATTCTAGGTAGAGGACCACAGATCTTTTCATTGGTGCAGTCTATTTGTCTTCAAAATGATGATATTCGTTACATGAGAGACCAGTGTGGCTAGGACTGGGCAAAAGATCACCACTGTTAAAAGGCTTAGGGTCCAAATTCTACAGATTCTACAGACTGTAGAAATTAGAAATATTAGAAAGTCATCTGCATGAATAAATCACATGCCTAGAAAGGCAGTGAAATACAATGCACTTTTCAGTTGAAGGGTTTTTATTTTTCCCCGTGCAAGCTTGAATTAAAAAACCAGTCTGAAATTAGATTTTGTTGCCAACATTAATCCCAAATTTTAGAAAAGTCAGAGCGTGTTTCTTCAAGTTGATTTATGCCAGCCTCAACTATGCCAAGGGAGAAAAAGTGGACCAAATTTTGTGCTTGAAATATATAATGTAAACTGACACTCTGAAGTACTTTTTTAATGTCACGAGAACTGCAAATGCATGTTTTTTGCTCTGAGGCAAAAAGAAAGGATTCAAAGACAATGATTCTTGATGGTTTCTTTTCCCTTATTGAGAAAACATCTGCCAGTTTTTACATACATTTCATCATAATGCACTATTTCCTCAAATATCCTTCATAGAAAATATCACTAACCATTATTATAAGATTATCACAATAGAAAGATAATTTCATAGATATGATGACAATAATAAAATATGAGTTAGGGCAAGGAAGTTTTAGACCACAATAAAAGAAATTGAAATCAACCTGAGTATGGCAAAATTATAAGGAGAGCATGGCAATGTGATTTAACAAGCGGCTAATTTAAGATGAGTCCCAGAAACAGAAGGAAAATGCATTAGATATTATGAAATAAGACAAAAACCAATGGGCTAACAATTTTAGAATCAAATGATTCTTTTCAAGGTTTTAAGATCATAGATAGAACACTCATGACTGTACAAAATGGAAGATCTGCAAATCACATACCATATATATTGCTTAAATATTTTTAACTTTATTTTTGATTATAATTTAAGACCTTTTTAGAAGGAAATCAATATATACTTTGGATTTTATAAGTGAAAATTTATAAAAGATTGTACAGTTGAATGGAAACTTCAAAGCAGTTCAGTCCAACCATCATTGATTCATTATTCGTGCGTTAAATATCCTGTCATTCCTTCAACAAGTATCTGATTAATTAACTGGGTACAGCAGTAAATGAAGAAAAGTGTCTTCGTGGAGCTTATATATTGGCAGGGAAACAAGGACAATAAATAAGTAAATATGTAAAATGGTGATAGGACTAAGCAGAAATAAAAGGTAAGGAGAGGTCATAAAAAGAATGGAGATAGTTGCTTTATTAAATAAGATGATCGAGGGAAGGTTTCACTGAGAAGGTGACATCTGAGTAAAGTCTGAAGAAGATGAGGAATGACATCTCCAGATACCTAGTCGGAGAGCTTTTCAGGAGCAGCAAATACAGTGGACTTGAGATATCTGGGCATTAAACATAAGTGTGCATGTGTCTTTATAGTAAAATGATTTATAATCCTTTGTGTATATACCTAGTAATGAGATTGCTGGGTCAAATGGTATTTCTGGTTCTAGGTCCTTGAGGAATCGCCACCCTGTCTTCCACAATGGTTGAACTAATTTACACTCCCACCAACAGTGTAAAAGCATTCCTATTTCTCCACATCCTCTCCAGCATCTGTTGTTTCCTGACTTTTTGATAAATGACATTTTAACTGGCATGAGATGGTATCTCATTGTGGTTTTGATTTGCATTTCTCTAATGACCAGTGACGATGAGCTTTTTTTCATTTATTGCAGCAGTATTCACAATGGCAAAGACTTGGAAGCAACTCAAATGCCCATCAATGATGGATTGGATAAAGAAAATGTGGCACATATACACCAGGGAATACTACACAGCCATGAAAAAGGATGAGTTCATGTCCTTTGCAGGGACATGGATGAAGCTGGAAACCATCATTCTCAGCAAACTAACACAAGAACAGAAAACCAAACACCACATGTTCTCACTCATAAGTGGGAATTGAAGAATGAGAACACATAGACACAGGGAGAGGAACATCACACACCAGGGCCTGTCATGCGGTGGGGGGCTGGGGGAGGGATAGCATTAAGAGACATACCAAATATAGATGATGGGTTGATGGGTGCAGCAAACCACCATGGCATGTGCATACCTATATAACAAACCTGCATGTTCTGCACATGTATCCCAGAACTTAAAGTATATATATATATATATATATATATATATATATATATATATATATATATATAGAGAGAGAGAGAGAGAGAGAGAGAGAGAGAGAGAGAGAGAGAGAGAGAGAGAGAGAGAAAGATATCCGGGCATTAGGCCAGGTACCAGCAGTATAGAGAATGCTGAAAGGCCCACTATATGTAGAAAAGTCATTAAAATGTGTCTTTCTTTATTGTACTGATGCAGGATTTCAGTAAGGGACACCCATTAGGTGTGTGCAGTCCCCAACAAATAGTTTTTGTGCACCTCTGTGTGTATAAACAATTTGATTAAAATATATTACCTTTTTATGGGTCGAAGTGTGAAGATTTAGAATGATGGATAGGTGGAACATACTTAGGTTCATTGTCTGTGATCATTCTGGCTGCAGATGGGCACCGATTTTTATATAGCCCCTGTGTTCCCAGCGCTGGTATGTAGACCCTTACTTGAGTCTCTTTCTACCATCCTGTTAATTTCATTACCCATTTTCTATGCCCCACTTCCTAATCATCATTCTCTAGCTCTTTGCAAGATTCTGTACAATTATCATCCAATTTTATTTGACAAACTAATGGTACTTGCAATAGAGACACCAGTTAGGAGACTATTACAATAATCCAGGGATAGCTGATGGTGATCAGTTGTGTCAAATGCTACTGATAAGTGGCATAATATGAATACTGAGAAGTGATAATTGGATCATCGATCCTCTGTAGTTGTTCATGCTGGCTAATGAGTGAATACTGCACAGAGTGGCAATTCCTTGCTAAATCACTCATTCCGTATTTCCGCAGGTCTGGCCAATGCCTTTGTGCTTAAGGGCACACAATGTCTGAAACATAATGTTTAACTACCAGATGTGTTCATGCACCGTTTAGTTTTTATCTTTTGATAGCACCATGTGAAACATATCAACATGGCAAATCTTCCTTTTTCACTGAGCCTGTTAGACTGATTCAATGGAGACCTTGGAGATTGGTTCAAATAAACCTTAAGTTATTGTTGCCTTCTTGCCAAGGGCTAGAAATGGAATTGATGATTTAGTCCGCAAGGTAAATTAAATAGGCAATGGAATTAGCAGAATGGTAGAAAGTGGCCCAACTAAGGATCTGGATACCAGGGGCTGTAAACAAGGGGACTATACAATAATCAGTAGCCCATCTATGGCCAGGGTGACCTCAACACTGAGCCACATATCTGATTCTGCAAGAAGTACCTACATGCCTTTTGCCTAGGACCATAGTTGATCTCAGAATGTGGAGCAATTCAAACTCATAAATAGAGGTAAATAAATACATTTGTCAGGCAGTTTCTGATGTCAGAACATGGTGCAGGAGGCAGTAGTTGTGGAATGACTGTAAGAATAGACTTAGAGCTAGTCCTTATTCCAGCAGATGTTTGTTTTACAAACAGAAGGCTATTACTTGGTTTACATGAAGTAATATATGTGAAATATTTTACTATATAAATTTTAAATATGATAAAGCTATCTCATGATAGTTCAGGGAGCTGTATCTTTCATTTCTGTCATATATTTTATGGCATTTTCAGCTTTACTGAAGATATTTCTGGGAAATAAGGTATAGGGCTCAAAATAACAATCAAAGCTGAAGACAGTAGACTTTTCTTTACGTGTTTTATTTTCTTAAACTAATTTTAAAGAAATAACTAGAGAATTTGGTTCAGGTTATAAATAAGAAGCATCCAGGGATAAGACCCAAGCATGAGTCAGCATGAGTCAGCAGTTCAGTAAGCCTGGGAACTGGAAATGAGTTGGAATGTAATAACTTCTATCACTTTAATATGAATAAAAGCTTTTGAACTCCTGAAACTTCAAATGCTTGTGGTTGTCTGTTTGAAGACAATTTTGTAATACAAAGTAATTCAGGGAAATATCTTCAGACAGGACAAAAAGTTGCTACTGTGTCAAATTAAAAGAAATATTTTATTTGAGTGACTCAAACAAGATGAAGTAAGAACTTCTATATGAAATCTTGGAGCATCCACAATCAGTGAAAGCTTGGATTGTCTAAAATGAAACTCAAAATAAACCATTTGAGGTGCAGATTTCAACAAATTTAATATTATCAAACAAGGGGAACTTTCAAGTCTCCAAACATTGTAATCATATAAAGAGGAGACCCAATTTTTTGAGGAAGATAATGACATTTTATTTCATTAATGTCTTCAAATCTATGAAATCTGGGTACTACGGTGATGATGGGAAAGATCTCAGAGTTCACTGCTGTGAATTCCTGTCATAGAAAAGCAAACAAACAAGCAAGTAATTATCTATTACCAACTATCAAGCTAATTAGAGATGAAAACAGGGACATAGAAAAAGTATAAATTATAAGTGATAGTAATATTCCAAGTGATAGTCACAGACCAATCAGAATGGGCAGCACGATCATTCAGAACGGACGCCAACTATAGCTAACCAGTAGGGCAATACTGGTAAGTATTTGTTGAATATTTGTCCAGGTTATGAGTAAATTCATCTAGCAAATTAAAAATATTAATATAAGTCAAACTTTAACTAAGTTAACTAAGTAACTCTCCCTTTCATGTACAAAAATTGTATTTATCTCTATAAGTTGAGATTTGATCACTGTCTCAGAAGCAATTTGGAAAAACATACTAATTTTTTAGATTGATGAGAAAGAATTAAATTATAAAATTTTTAAAAAATAAGCAAAATAATTCAGATGGGATAAACATCAAGTAGCAATGATTCCTCAGAGCTTTTTTATGTGTGGTAGCTACTTATTTGGCTATAGTATAAGACTCAGAAACTGGCTCAGTTTGTAGGATATCTTCAACAGAGGGGCCTTAACTAGAGTATATGCTCTCCTATGTCTTTGAGTAATGTTCTGTGGTTTGTTTTGAATGCTTAGTTAGGGAGATAGGATCAGCATCATCAGTTCTTTATTTATGGTGTTCTAACTCTAAAAGCAGCAAATTGGAATCACTGATGTGGCAGCTGATATCTTTCCCCATGTCTAAATCATATTGTTGGCGGTAAATTAGATCTTGATGATCCTGGACATATTCCCAAGCCTCTTCTGATCTACTTGTGTTGTTGGCCAGTGCTAAGATAACAAGAGTTAATAAGTCACAATAAGCCATTCATCTGAACAGGGAATTGTGAAGAAAGCACTGTAGAGGGGGAGTTTAGAAACAAGCAGGAGCGCCTTTTTTTTTTTTAACTCTTACGTTTCAGTCTGAAAGGCTTTTGGATTTTATACATTGTTACATACTTACAAACTACACAAGACCTATTCTATTTTTTTATTCTAATAAAGTATGGAAGTATGATGTACTTAAACATAGGTAAAATTCAGTCTTGCGAGATGAAAAAAGTGAATGTACTTAGCACTACCGAACAGCGTACTTAAAAACGGTTAACATGGCTGGGTGTGGTGGCTCACGCCTGTAATCTCAGCAGTTTGGGAGGCCAAGGCGGGTGGATCACCTGAGGTCAGAAGTTCGATACCAGCCTGGCTAACAAGGCGAAACCCTGTCTCTACTAAAAATACAAAAATTAGCTGGGCGTGGTGACAGGTGCCTGTAATCCCAGCTACTTGGGAGGCTGAGGCAGGAGAGTGGCTTGAACCTGGGAGGGAGAGGTTGCAGTGAACTGAGATCGCACCATTGCACTCCAGCCTGGGCAACAAGAGTGAAACTCTGTCTCAAAAAAAAGAAAAAAAAAAGGTTAACACGGAACATTTTATGTTATATGTATTTTACCACTTTTAAAATGCTGAAAAAATAGGCAAAAGGTAGCCAAAAAGCAATGATATATGTTTGGAAACTTTTAACTTACTTCACTCATGGAAGTTCCTACAAAGAGTGTAAAATATCTTTAGTTATGTAACTTCTTAGACAGTCAGCCCCTTTAAAGCACTCATAGTAACTTATTTCCTGTAGGTTGGTTACATGAAGAGGAGGATTTTGTTTGTTGGGTTCAAGAACGATGTGTCCCCAGTGTCTAGAAAAGTGCCTGGCACAGAGAAACCACTCAATAAATATGAGGCCACATTTCTTATTGTCTAGTAGTACATGTTATCTGCTAAAAATTAAAAAAAGAGAATATATATATATTATTATGACTACATTCTAGAAGACATTTATTATAAGGCACTGTTTTTTAAACATAACACACAGTCCATTTCAACTTTTTTTTTTTTTTTTTTTTAATGAAGACACCCTTTACATGCCCATTCCAGTATCTCCCAAATCAACATTCCACACCATTCACTGCTCTCGGGAAATTTAGCAGATGTGTTGAGCACAAAAGAATTTTGGATTCCAGCAAGATTGGGAAACTGGATTATACCTTCCCACTTTTCTTCACAGCAGGAAATTTCATGACTTTTATTTACCCAATGAGCACTGAGTACGCCTCAAAAGAGGAACTCCAATATGCTTCCCAAAACTTTTAAATCATACAGCAGTGCTGGGGTGGTGGCTGACGCCTATAATCCCAGTATTTTGGGAGGCTGAGGTGGGCGGATCGGCTGAGGTCAGGCTTTCAAGACCAGCCTGACCAACATGGTGAAATCCCGTCTCTACTAAAAATACAAAATTAGGTGGGTGTGGTGGCGGGCACCTGCAATCTAAACTACTTGGGAGGCTGAGGCAGGAGAATCACTTGAACCCCGGAAGTGGAGGTTGCAGTGAGCCAAGATCACGCCACTGTACTCCAGCCTGGGCAACATGAGTGAAACTCTGTCTCAAAAAAAAAAAAAAAAGAAAAAGAAAAAAAGAAAAAAATCATACAGTATTGAGAATGTGTACAAGACTTGTTAAATATTTCCTGAAAAGAATGTTTCCCAGGCAGAGTATTCCAAAGAGTTTAAAAAATACTGCCTCATCTAAAAACCAGAGGGTTGATTCTAAGTCAGTGATGCCATCTGTTAGGTGGAGCCATGTTAAACAACTAGTTAGTTGGCTGATGTCACTCAGAGAGATGTCTTCCCTTTGGACAATCTAATCAAAGACAGTTTTATAATTTACAGAGTGGCAAAGAAATGCATAAATCCCCTTTCAGTATTAATTTAGCCTTCTGACAGTGAGATATGCTTGGAGAAACAGCATTCTTAGGGCTATTCATTTTCAAGTCATATACATTCTCCTAGCAGTCTTCCTTCCTGCTATTTTTATCATAACTCTCCAATATTCATTTGCAAAGATAAACACAGTTGCCGTATTTCTAATCTTAAGCCATTTATTTCAGTTAAGTTTCTGCAAAGTGAGACTAGTGGTTTTTTGTTGAGGATCAAGTAGAAAAACATGTTATGTGGTGTCATGTTTTTGTATTATATTTAAAATATATCTCAAAAAGATTTAGGTATAATTAAATTCTCTAGTTAATGTATACTCCAAAAATTCTGTTTAAATTGATGCTAGTAAGATGCAGCTGAAATTTAAATCTAGGTTTGCTGAGCTGAGTTTTGATTCTCCTTTCATTGGGCTACAGCTATTTGCACTCTTGCTAAAAATATGATGTAATTCAAGCAATTCAGTCAATGTAGTTTTGTGATGAAATCTTAGAAAAGGGAATTGTCAGATCAAAGGAAACATACATTAAAAATTTTGATATATAGTGTCAAAATCTTTCCAAAGGCTGAGTCAGTTACATTTTTCATGTGGGAGTTTTTGTTTATTCATGCCCTAGACAACTATGTATATTACTAGATATTAAAAGTTTTTAACAAATTGTTCCTCCAGTAGTTTAGATTTCTTAAGTGGTAAGTTATTTTGAGGACTTTAAAATGTTTTTTTAGACATGTATAGTTCTATTTTTATAAAATATCTTGTCTTTCTGTTCCTTTTACAAGAACTATTAGTTTCGAGACTGTCTCCAAAAAAAAAAAAAAAAGGTTTTTCTTATTGGTTTGTAAAATCTCATTGTATCTTAAAAATTAGCCTTAATTTATTGACATATAACTTAGTGTGGAATCAAATTTATACTCATGATAACACTCTTCCTAGTCACTTGCATGCCTCTATATATTCTTTAGTAGGAAAGAAGGGTACAGAAGTTATAGCTAACACACTGGGAATTCAACATAACTGGTGTATTTCATCTGTGCCTTTCTTTGCCTGTAGCACTATTTGCTTTATTTCCCATCAGAACTTTCTTTTTTGTCGAAATATGGATATGCTCATGGGAAAGTGTTACACATGGAAAAGTCATCTGCTATGAATGCCACAGAAGAAAACAATTCGAGAAATATTTATCTAGCATTTTATCCCTTTTTCCAGTTTGGAGTGGGGAGGGGGGCTGGATAGAGGTAAACAGAAGGAAGTGGGAGAGAACTCAGATGTATAGAGGTCAGATGACTTAAGAATCACGAGATTCAACAAAACCAAAGAGAGAGACGCTTTAGATTCCTTAAATTTTCACCCCTTCCCTGATACATTAGTTCTGTTGCCCTGGCATTCCATTTCTTCTTCAGATGCAAGCAAGAAAAAACAGCATCCTAAGAAGCTCCACAGCATTCTTGATATGGTTTCCCATAAAACCCCCTTGATAATTAGCTAATATGAAGCATTCACATGAGTTTATTTGGGAATTGGCTGATGTTTTGTTTTCCCTGTTGCTGCTGTTGAAATAGTTTGAGTCTGAAATCATTATGGCTGTGGTTACATTTCTTTGGCCAGAGGATGTTGTGAAAGCCTCCATCACCACAGAAACAGATGAATATTCCCCTGCTCATACTGGAAAAAAGTGAATTGGTGACAGCAGCTCAAGCTGCTACATGGGAGGCCTTGAGCCATGACTTGGGCTCGTGAGTTCATGTACCCAAACACAATGATCCATTTCCTCTCCTGCTGGACCCAGGATCCTTTGTGCACTGACCAATATTTGCAAAATTTTTTTAAAATTATTTTTCAGATTTCTGATGGCTTTTGTAAAGAAAGGATGTTCTCATTTATCCCGTCTGGAAAAAGAAACCTCTTTAATGAAGCTGAGGATTAAAATTCCTACGTTCTGATTTTTCGAGTTGTAATCTTTCCACTCCTGTTCCAAAATAATGAATGTAATAACACAAGATTTATAAACACAAATAAGCAAAAAACAACAAAAAAAGAAATGACTCACTATGTCAGCAAGGCCATATTAATCCTGTTGACATTGTAGTGAATAGATAGTTTCTTTTATATAAACTTATGTTTTAAGATCTTTAAAAGCCTTGGTTTAATTAAAGGTAACAAAAAAGAACAAAGGATCAATGATTTTAATATATACAGATAACATAGTATTTTGTGATTACTATAAATTATATGAATTTATATGAATCATTCATCTTTATGATATTAAAAAAATCAAATATGGGCCGGGTGCAAGTGACTCATGCCTGTAATACCAGCACTTTGGGAGGCCGAGGCAAATCACCCGAGGCCAGAAGTTTGAGACCAGCCTGGCCAACATGGTGAAACCCCATCTCTACAAAAAAATTAACTGGGTGTGGTAGTGAACGCCTGTAATCCCAGCTACTCGGGAGGCCGAGGCAGAAGAATCACTTGAACCAGGAAGCGGAGGTTGCAGTAAGCCAAGATCATGCCACTGCACTCCAGCCTGGGCAACAAAGCAAGACTCTGTCTAAAAAGAAAAACAAAATCAAATATGCAATGCAGCAGTGTGGCTGAACTCGGCTAACTTCAGAAGATAGGTCTTAGTTTGGTGTCTTAGTCCATTTACTGCTATAACAAAAACACCATAAACTAGCTGACTTATAAACAACAGGCATTTATTTCTCTCAGTTCTGGAAGCTGGGGAGTCCAAAATCAAGATGCTAGAAGATTCTGCCTCTGCTGAGGGCCTGTTCCATCTAGATGGATTCTTTTTATTTTTTGGAGACAGAATCTCACTCTGTCGCCCAGGCTGGAGTGCAGTGGTATAATCTCAGCTCACTGCAACCTCTGCCTCCCGGGTGCAAGCAATTCTCCTGCCTCACCTTTCCAAGTAGCTAGGATTACAGGCATGCACCACCACACCCAGCTATTTTTGGTAGAGACAAGATTTCACCATATTGGTCAGGATGGTCTCTAATGCCTGAGCTCAGGTGATCCATCTACCTTAGCCTCCCAAAGTACTGGGATTACAGGCGTGGGGTACCGCGCCTGGCCTAGATGGAGTCTTGTCGTCACAGGGTGGAAGGACAAGGAAACTCTCTGGGGCCTCTTTTATAAGGACACTAATGTTGATGATGAGGCTCCACCCACATGATCCAATCACCTCCCAAACACCCCACCTCTCACTACCATCACCTTGGGGGATATAATTTCATCACACAAATTTGGGCAGGATACAAACATTCAGACCATAGCATTCGGCTATTCAGTTAACTCAGTCATGAGTCTTTTGTTAAACGTCAGTTAGCTTCTCTAAGCCTTAATTTGCCCATCTCTAAAATGAGGCTTGTTGATCTCTCAGCTCTTTCTAAAATCCATGCGTACATGTTTCTGCTCAAAAGCAAATGTTTAGGAAATCTCCATACCCACAATCCCAATTTTGTAAGTGAAAAGACTAGTTAGAAGAGCTTAATTTACCATCTCAGAAACATAAACAATGTCCAATTAAGTGTTATTTTTAGTCACAGATAGCTTTTGTTTTTTGAGAAAATCGAGAAAACGACTCTTTCATTGCAAGGATGCTATCTGTTGCATAGTTTAATATTTTCTTTTAAAATGTGGTCACAGTCCTGAAAGTCTTCTGACATATAGTAAGATAGTATCTTTGTTTTCCTTGTAAAGAATGGTTTCATTATTTTTATTTTAAAAATAGAAGTTCTTCAAACAAAATTCAAACAATTCCAAGAAATTACAAAAAAAGATGTGAAAAATGACCTCAAATGCCACTACAATAAAATAACTAGTATTAGCATTTGTGCACATCTTTATAAGTATTTTCTGAGAATTAGTATATAGGAAGAGATAGACTAACAGGAAGGCAGAAAGGAAGGATGACAAAAATACGTAGGATGTATATTCCAGCTGTATAGCATTGATTTTATAATATTGTGGTCTTTCTTTAACTTTCATTTTAGGTTCAGGGGTAGATATGGAGGTTCATTACATACATAAATTGTATGTTGTCAGGGTTTGGTACACAGATTATTTCATCATTCAGCTAATCAGCATAGTACCTAATAGGTATGAATAGATTTTCAATCCTCGCCCTCATCCCACTCTTCACTCTCAAGTAGGCTCCAATGTCTGTTGTTCCCTTCTTTGTGACCATGTGTACTCAGTGTTTACCCTCCCTTATAAGTGAAAACACATGATTTTTGGTTTTCTGCTCCTGTGTTAGTTTGCTTAGTATAATGGCCTCCAGCACCATCCATGTTGTTGCAAAGACAGGATCTAATTCTTTTTTATGGTTGCGTAGTATTCCATGCTGTTTATGTACTACATTTTCTTTATCCAGTCTATCACTGCTGGACATTTAGGTTGAGTATATGCCTTTGATATTGTGAATAGTGCTTCAGTGAACATACATGTGTCTTTCTAGCAGAATGACTTGTATTCCTTTGGGTACATGCCCAGTAATGGGTTGCTGGGTCCAATGGTAATTCTCAGTTCTTTGAGAAATTACCAAACTGCTTTCCACAATGGCTGAACTAATTAACATTCCCACTAGCAGTGTATAAACATTTGTTTTTATCCACAACCTCATAAGTATCTGTTTTTATTTTTTTAAAATTTTTAACAATAGCAAGTGTGACTGGTGTGAGATGGCATCTTATTATTGTTTTGATTTGCATCCCTCTAATGATTAGTGATGTTGAGCATTGTTCCATATGCTTGTTGTCCAGGTGTTTGTCTTCTTTTGAAAACTGTCTGTTCATGTCCTTTGTCCACTTTTTAATAAGGTTGTTTTTTACTTGTAAATTCATTATGTACTATTTTAATAAAATTTTGAAGTTCATTTTTTTTTAATCTCATGGGATACACAAACTGAATTTGAAGTTCAGGAAACCCTGAACTGTTAAATATTTGTCAAAATTTTAATTGATTCAATAATTATCATCAATTTTTTTTCCAAAGCTTCTCCAATTTTTAGTATTTTATTTTAATTCATCTCTTGATTAGCCAGATTCTAGCATCCATGTAATTTTTCAAGAAGGGCTCAGATCGCTATAGTCCCCCAACTTTCTTACTTAAAAATCATCAAAGTCTTACCTTTATGCTTGAATTATGATTTTGGTAGCTAAAATTATGAAATAAGATTTTTCCTCTCTGAATTCTATGTTTAATAGTTATAGTTGCTTTGTATCATGTCACTAAATGTCACTGATAATGATTGTAAGTACTTAGAACAATGCCTGAAATGCATATAAAAAACCCTATGTCAATGTTTTTTAATAGAGTCTGAGACCAGACTTTTTGAAACACCTTTATAGTATTGCTTAGTTTGTCAGGAGGCTTGAAGATATATATATATAATGTTTTAGTGAATTGAGCAGGATCTTCCACACTATCTAGTATTCTGCGTTAGTATTTGTTGGAAGAAAATACACCATTT
The DNA here is from genome assembly GCF_000001405.40 of Homo sapiens. Taxonomy (NCBI): domain Eukaryota; kingdom Metazoa; phylum Chordata; class Mammalia; order Primates; family Hominidae; genus Homo; species Homo sapiens. The sequence goes on from NC_000005.10 coordinate 39,764,876, forward strand.
CAAAAAATAGATTACTTTTTCTCTTTATTTTAGGGAATTTTCTTCTACCGTCTTTCTGAGTGCTTTTTCCCATTGCATTTATTGATGTCTCCATTTCAGTGACACCAATTTTGCTTAAACTGTTACAATTGTTTTTCTTCCGTATCAATAAACATCCTACCTCTTAAATATTTGTGTATTTTGCTCCTCTGTTTATGCGGTTAACCTAAGCCTTTCCGTATAAGCAAAAGTTTAGTCAAGAATGTTTTTCCTCTTCTTGTTGTTTCTAATTAATTTATTAAGTACATGGGCAAGACTGTTGCTTTCATTCTTAAGATGTTTCTATAACCCTGTAATCATTATTTTTATTCTATTATTTTATCATCATTTCTTCTATATCCAAGTCTTATTGAAACCATGCTTTTATAGTGCTCACAAGGGGACCTACTTCTGTTCCCTGCATTACGTTTTTTCTAAAAATTTTTCCTGTGTTTTTTCTACTTCTTGTTCCCCCCACCCCCTAGCTAATTTCTCCCCCTCTCTCCCTTCTCTAGTGCATTTGCATCGTTATCAATTCTTTTCATTTTGCTCAGGCTTGTTTCGTGGAGCTTTGTCAAAAGCTTTAACTTGTTCTGGAATTGTATGGATAAAATCTATTTGGCACTCTTTCTGGATCATCTGGGAAGATTCTTGGCTACAGATTGAAGACTTGTAATTATTTGTGGCAATATTCATAGGCTGAGAATGTGAACCTTGTGGAAACAGAAAGAGAGATCAGCTTGAAACTGCCCTTGGCAAGGGAAAGAGACTTGGGCTGTGCTCTAATTTCTTCTAATCTTTCTTTAAAAGCCTGTTCCACCTGATTAGGGGTGCATCCTATTTCTGTGATCTTTAGCTCAGTCTCTAAAAACATGGCAAAGCCTGTGGATGAATAGTCAAGATATGCTATTTAGTGCTGAAGCCTTAATACCCTAACTCCCAATATTTCTTATTTACAACAAAGTCTGATGAACTTTTCTCTTTATTAATGCCTCCTACAGTCTCAGCTGATGTTTCCTTCAATCTCAGCTGATATCCATGGTGGTATGTAAGACCTGCTACTCTTAGGATTCTTCAATTTTTTCCTCAGGTTTGTGTTCAAAATCTCATTTTGTTCAATTTTTTTTTCAAACACTGGGCTGCAAGGCTACATTCTCAATATTTTGTTTAAGAATTTTCTCTTTTAAATGCTACTTCCAGGAAACATTGGGAATGGAGTCATACTGTACTAGAATCTTCCATTCTTTTCCTTGACAACCATTTTTCAAGTGGTATTTGGTCCTACCTATCTCTGAGTGAATTTGAATTGAGATTTTATATATACACTTTTTTTTAACAGTTTTTTTAAGTATTCATGTAAGTGTTGGGAGAGAAAATTTCTCTATCCTGGTTTTATTCTGCCAACTGTTTCTTGAAATTAAAATGGTGTGTTTTTTTTCTTTGTAATTTTCTTCCTTAATCCTTTTCTTTTTTCATGTTTTTATGTTATTATACGTTAACTTATTGTAAATTAATATAATAACATGATTTTTAAAACTACAAACTTGATTAAAAGGCACATCTTATTTCTATTCTCTATCCTGCAAATTCCCACCCACCTCCCATAAATAATAACTGCCATAACCGCACATATATATTTTCAAATGTTACTTATGCATATAAAAGAACAAATAACTATAGAATTTATATTTTCTACTTTACACAAAACATGCCATGTTATGTACTCTGTCATGCTTATTATTTTTTCAATGTTTTAGAGAGTTTTTCACATTGGAACATAGAAAGCGCCTTCATTATCTTTTTAAAATTTTTTATTTAAAGTTAATGGGTACATGTGCAGGTTTATTATTTAGGTAAACTTGTGTCATGGGGATTTTTTGTACAGATAATTTCATCACCAGGTATTAAGCCTAGTACCCATTAGTTATTTTTCCTAATTCTTTTTCTCCTCCCAACCTCCAGTGGGTCCCAGTGTGTGTTGTTCCCTTGTATCTGTCCAAGTGTTGTCATCTTTCTGCTCCCACTTATAAGTGAGAACATGTGATACTTGGCTTTCTGTTCCTGCGTTGGTTTGCTAAGGATAATGGCTTCCAGTTCCATCCATGTCCTGACAAAGGATATGATCTTGTTCTTTTTATGGCTGCATAGTATTTCATAGTGTGTATGTACCACATTTTCTTTATCCAGTCTATTATTGATGGGCATTTAGGTTGATTCCATGTTTTTACTATTCTAAATAGTGCTGCAATGAACATATGTGTGCATGTGTCTTTATAACAGAACCATTTATAGTCCTTTGGGTACACACCCAGTAATGGGATTGCTGGGTTGAAAGGTATTTCTGTCTTTAGGTCTTTGAAGAATGGCCACACTGTCTTCCACAACAGTTGAACTAATTTACACTACCACTAATGGCCAAGATGGCTGACTAGAAGCAGCTAATATGCGTGGCTCTAATGGAGAGGAACAGAAGGGGTGAGTAAATACAGCACCTTCAACTGAACCATCATTATTTTTTAGAACAGCATCAAACTCCACCTTATGCATATGTCATAACTTGTCTTCTATTGGTAGACATTTGTTTTGATTTTAATATTCTGATGTTATAAATAATATTAAAAACATTATGCACAGTTTTAAGTTTGATGTTCATAGAGGTTTAATAGTTTACATTCTCCATCAACTATGTATGCGTGTCTGCCTATGACTTCACCAATAGAGTTTATCAAACTTTTAGATTATTTCATCATTTGATAAGTGAAAAGTGGTATGCAGTAAATCCTCGCTTAACCTCATCAATAAGTTCTTGGCAACGTTTACATTAGGCAAAATGACACATAATGAACAAAACCAATTTTATCCTAGGCTAATCGATATAAACAAGAGTTAAGTTCCTATGACATATTTCTGTTCACAAAAATGTCACCAAACTTCTAAATAAAGACCAAAACATTTCTGATATTAAACATTGAAATAAATTTCAGCTATACATGCATTTAAGAAAGATTAATAAAAACAAGTGAGATAATGATTTGCCCAGTTGTCCCAGTTCTGGGTGGGGTTGGCCAGATTCTGTCTTGGCAGGTCAGGGTGCAGAGTGGGAGCCAATCCTGGCCAGGACGCCATCACACTGCAGGGCACACTCACATCCACACCCACACTGGCTCTGAATGGGATCCTGTAGACGCACCGATTCACCCAACATCAAGATCTTTGGAATGTAGAGGAAACCGGACTCCCCAGAGAAAACCCACACAGACAGGCAGAGAACTGGTAGACTCCACACAGACAGTGGCCCCAGCCGAAAATCAGTTTTACTTTCTAGAATGCTTATAAAGAAACAGCATTGAATGAAACAATGTTATTAGAGGACCTGCTGTATTAGCATAGTTTAAATTCATGCATATTTTGTTTTAAATATGTTTAGACATATTTTCATATGTTTAGAGGCCATTTATATTTGATTTTTCTATTTGTTGGGTTCTTTGTATTTCTTTTAATTTCAACTACTTTGTATATATTATGCAGACATCAATAGCTTATTCTCAACTCAGTTGGTGTGTTCTATATTGAGACAGTTTCCTATCTACAGTATTAAGTTTAAGAACCACTGGATTAGGGGAAGTATACATTTATTTCTGTGTGTATAGAAATATGAGTTTAATGAACATACAAATATTACCACCATTTATGTTGATTTTATCATCCTGGGACTACAAAAAGGGTTAAATTTCCTTTTTATCTCCTATTATGCCATAATCCTTCACTCTTCTCAGTGCTGAAAACTGATTTTCCTCCCAGTACTACATATTAATTGGCAAGCACTAACTCCCATGTGATATAGAACTAGGTAGTTACCTTACAAAAGGTAGATAGACCAAATGGTCCTGGTAGAGAAAGGCAAGTTCTGCCAAGGCCGTTTTAATTTTTATTCTAGAAGGTAGACATTGATCCCAATCTCAGAAATGACATTACTTCAATTTTCTAAAAACATATTTAGATTTTACAAAGGGGAGCCTGATGCACACAAAACCACAAACATGCACACACATTCACACCTGATAGCCAGAAATTGTATACACAGTTTATCAATGTATGTATATATGCTATCTTCCTTACATTTATGTATCCATTATGTTAAAAGAGTAGAATTTAACACAGAGTCAGCAGTGTAGAAATAAAAAAGCACCTACTTTTTCATTGCACTTTCCTTTAAAGTCATTGGGGTTACATTTTGCTGCCCTTGACAGCAGGGAAAGTTTTATAATTTTAGAAAGTATCTTAGAAAGTTTCATAATTTTAGTTATTCTTAGAAAATTCTGTGGACTCTTTCCCAAGAGGAGTCTCATTTCATAATTAAGATTATTATCAAGTTTAAGCATCACAATTTCAAATAATAATGAAAAGTAAACTTTCCCCCTTCCTCAGCAGGGAAATCAGAGTGGGAAGCTGCAGTGGGGAGGTGGTGGCAGAGGGAGGGATGGGGAAGTTGGGTCGGCTTCTTCTTTCCCACCCGGAGCCACCTCTGGTTTTCCGAGTTGGAAAAGTGAAAGGGAGCGGAGTAAGGATACCAAAGGTGAAGACGGAAACGTCTTTTCTTTGACAGAGTCTCACTCTGTCAGTCAGGCTGGAGTGCTGTGGTGCAGTTTCGGCTCAATGGAACCTCCGCCTCCCGGGTTCAAGCGATTCCCTGGCCTCAGCCTCCCGAGTAGCTGGGACTACAGGTGCGTGCCACCACACGGGGCTACTTTTTTGTATTTTTAGGAGAGACGGGGTTTCACCACGTTGGCCAGGCTTGTCTGAACTCCTGACCTCAGGTGATCCGCCCTCCTCGGCCTCCCAAAGTGCTGAGATTACAGGTGTGAGCCACCGCGCCCCACCAGGAAAGGATTTCTTTGGCTGGTACTCTGAATCCTGGGGTTGGTGCTTTTATGCATGTATTTATATACATAAATGTATAACCAATGGTAGAATTGATCTTTCTAATTATTGGACAAATAATAGGTTAATTAAGATATGACCCTGAAATAGCTGATTAATAATTCAGGGGAAAAATAAACATTATGTCACAATGTACTGCAAAATAATATCATAGATTTAGAAAGAAATTCTAGCAAACCAAAAAAAAAATTAAAAAGCATACTTAAAAAGACTATGTAAATATTTACCTTACTGAAGCATGGGAAAGGTCATTCTCTGCATAGAGGCATGAAAAAACAGGTCATTAAATTATGCTTCACAAAAATTAAGATATTCTGCATATCAAAAATGCCACATAAGGGATAGACAATGTGAGAAAAAAATTACAAATAAATTAATAGATAGGAATAGTTAGATATCCTTCTTAAAATAATTCTTGAAAATCGTAATCTCAATTGAAAAATTGCATATTCAATAATGTTTGGAAAATGTTTAATGGTACAGAAAAATTTATCAGTTAAGATTGCACAGGCAATCAGTTGACAAAAACATGCTATGAAATGTCCATCAAGGTTCTGTGTGATGGAATTATGGACATTTTTTAATGTTTTTATATTTTTTCGGAATTTTCTTTTATATACAGAAGAAGTGTTTCATTTCTAAAAATACAAAACTCTAAAATAAAGTAAGCACAATTACTGATATTCATTAAATCCATTTCAGGGGAATGGTGTGGGGAGATATTTGAATAACATATATGTTCTTCCTCTTAGATTATTTTTAGAAATAATCATGCTTGTTCTATTGAAAATATAATGGGAATTATTCATTTCAAAAAGACTGTGCTTGCAAAGCTTGTTTGCATTTCTAAAGCTGTGTATCCTATTATAGTTTTGTAAGGTTACAAAAATGTCACAAATGGGAAAAATAACACAGTAGGTTAAGTGTTGCCCTAAACTTCATCACTGTATATCTTTCAGTAAATCATTTTACCTTTCTACCTTTTAGTTTGTTTATTAGACACCTGAGCTCTGAGCTTTCGCTTAAGTAATGTTTCGGCATGTCAGGGAGAATCTTGATATGGGCAGCTAGGAGTGAATTTGCCTGGAGGGCAGGGAACCATTGAGGCCATAACTTATTCCAATATTAGCAGGAAGTCAAGTAGGGTAGTGATGCTTATTAACCAAGTTTTAATCATGGGCACGGAGGAGTAAGGCTAAGTATACATGATTTCTTTTTTGAATTTGTTTCTATTCATTCCCATAGTCTTGTGACTTAAGAAAGTAACAACACACAAATAAAAACCACAAAATACAGGTTTTCTAAAAATTCTGTAAGGTAATATAACATGAGCTCCCGTAGTAAGAAATCCAATTGTTTCTCACAGCATCAGTGGCTTCCAAGTAGCTGCACAAAGTCAGGATAAGTGATGATGCCTGAGAGCTATGATGCTCACAAAAACCAATTCGGCCGGGCGTGGTGGCTCACGCCTGTAATCCTAGCACTTTGGGAGGCCCAGGGGGGCAGTCAGGAGATGGAGACCATCCTGGATAACAAGGTGAAACCCCGTCTCTAATAAAAATACAAAAAATTAGCCGGGCGTGGTGGCGGGCGCCTGTAGTCCCAGCTACTGGGGAGGCTGAGGCAGGAGAATGGCGTGAACCTGGGAGGCGGAGCTTGCAGTGAGCGGAGATCGCGCCACTGCACTCCAACCTGGGCGACAGAGCGAGACTCCGTCTCAAAACAGAAACAAAAACAAAAACAAAAAACACTTCAACTACGCTCATGAATGGACCCTCTCAGAGAAACTTTAGAGAGGAAGGACTTTTGCAGAAAGTTATTAAAAACACTCCAGCAGTTGTGGGGAAACAGCAAGGATCACATGAATGCTAATTTTACTTGAGTCACAAAGATACCGTATGCGGAAGACTTTTAGGAAATATGGATATTAAATGAGTATACAAAATGTGTGAGTGTACAAAATATGAATTTGGTCAGTTCAGACACAATGTGATCAATTGAAAAAGAATAAGAAAACAAAGCTCATTCCTTGGATTGGGTGTTCACTTACTGATCTCTCTTGCAGGGGCTACAAACTTTTACTGTTAGTGCTCTGTGAGGCAGCATCTAGATAAGTAGAGCAATTGTAAAAAGATTTTTTAAAAACAAAAAGAATTTGAAAAGGGAAAATAAGGTCAAATTCAAATTGTAAACATTACTTCAAGATATCTCCATATGTATAAACAAACAAACACATATAATTGATGTAAATTGGGTTATATTATGCATATGATTTGGCAACTTCACATTTTTTACTCAGTGTTATTCATTGGTAGCTTCCTAGAAGATACATATCATTCTATTTAGAGGCTATATAGTATTTCAATGTATGGACAGATCATACTTACTTAACTAGTCATGTATTAATGGAGATTTATGCATTCAACAACTCTTCATATAGAATACATACTATGTAGTTAGCAACCATGCTGGACATTGTGGTACTATGATGAGCAAGGGAGAGATGATTTCTGCTTTAAAAAGCATATAGCTTGGTGCAGGGCTTCAAAATAAACATTCAGAGGCAAAAAAAAAAAAAAAAAACTGAGAGATACTGATCTCTTCTGCCCTTGTGGCAACTGGATAGGGCCTGAGAGCCGGGGAGCATGTGATTCAGTTGCCACTGGCCCTGAGCAGCCCTGTGTAGTCCTCCCTGAAGCAAAGAAGCAATTAACAATGCAGCTTGTGGCTCTAGTAGGCTGTGAACAAAATGGTTGCACCATTCCATTACACAGAGGGAAACGGTGAAGGAGCTGCTCCCCTCCCTGCTCTGATCCATTCTGCAAGTCAGAACAACCAAATAGACAATGCATGATCCATTCTGCAAATTAGAACATCCTGAACATTTAAGAATGCTTGATATAAAAACAGTTTAGTTGAATTAAAAATATACATGAGCATAATCAAATTTCAAGGTTTGAATTTGTTGAGGGAAGAAAAAGAAAACCTATTAAATTCCTTAAGTATAATTTCAACTATTTTGTATACTGATAAAAGGTGATATAAAGATCACCTTTACTGAAACAAATTCAAATTTCTCATTTAAAAAATATTGGAAAATATTTTATTTGCTCCAAAATTTAGTATCTTCCCTGCTTTGAATTCTACTTATTATAAATATATGGTATAAAAATAATAATGGTTTCACTCAAACTCCATTAGGAAGCAGCTAAATACCCTAGTAGCAGACTGTGCCATAGAAATATTAGCAACTTCTTCATCTGCGCTATCAAATGACAGGGTGGGAAGCACTGGTCTGCTTCTTAAACTACCTGTAATGAAGGATATACATATTACAAATCATATATATATATAATATATATAGATTATATATGTATATTACATAAAATATCAATGAAAATATATGACTAAAAATAAAAAGAAAAATGACATAAATACAAGCCCCCTTTCTAATATTAAGGTCCATATATAAAATTTCCTTGTCAAATTGTTATAAAAGTTTAATGCTTACTCTCATATTTTTACCTTATCATGTCATGAACCTGCTAAGAAACCAGTCTGCAGACCAGAAATAGAAAATGGACCAAACTTTGAGTAACTCTGCTTTGTTACTGTCAGATTCAAATTTTGAGCTATTAGAAGCAATACTACAATTCATTCTGTTAGGCATACAACTTAATAAAGTTTTCTGATTAATTCTTTGCAATAAACTCTTAGAAATGGAACAATAGAGTCTTCTTTTGTCCTTCAATTATAAATATATATAAATCAACTTGTTTTGCTGACAGCATGATATGTTTTGTTACTGTACATGTGGCTGTGGTCTTTACTTTTCCTGTTGTTAGTTTTATATATCAGCAGAGTATGCCTGTTTTAATATTAAAAGTAGTGTATACTAGAATAGCTAAAATGATTTTGAAAAGGAATAAAGTGAGAGGAATTAATCTTCCCAATATTAAGGCTACATTAATCATGACCGTGTAGAACTGGTGGAAGGATAGAAACACAGATCAGTGGAACAGAACAGAGAAGTCAGAAATATCCACACATGTATACACAAGTAATTTTTGATAAGGAAGCAAAAATAATTCAATGAAGAAGGAATAGCCTTTTCAATAAATAGTGCTGAAGCAATTAAACATCCATAAGCAAAAAAAAAAAAAAAAGAACCTCGACATAAGCTTTATACCCTATACAAAAATGATCTCAAGATGGATCCTCAACTTATATATAAAACATAAAGCTATAAAACTTCTAGGTAAAAATTGAAAGAAAATATTTAAGATCTAGGATTAGGCAAAGAGTTGTTAGGCTTAACACCAAAAGCGTGACCCATAAAAGGAAACAAACGATAATCATTTGGACTTCATAGAAATTTAAAAATGTGTGCTCTGAATTACCCTGTTAATAGGGAAAAAGAAAAATTACAGATTTGGAGAATATATTTGAAAATTACACGTACAAAAATGATTGTTATTTAGAATATATAAATGATTCTCAAAACTCAAAATTTAAAAAGCAAGCAGTCCAAATAAAAATGGGCAAAAGACACTTGACTGCACAGAGTATATGGATTTCAAAAAAACACATGAAAATATGTTTAACATCTGAGTTTGAATCTGAGGGTTTAGGAGAACGGGTTAGCAACAGTGCTCAAAGAAGCAGCTATGAAAAATGTTATCATCACCATCATGATCATCATCATCATCATCATTAGCAGTTAGAGAAGTGCAAAGTAAAACCAAAATGAGATATCACTGCACATCGGAGTAGCTAAAAAAAAATTGTGAAAACCCTAAATGCTAAGGAGGGTGCAAAGACACTGGATCATTCATACATTGTGTTTAGGAATGTAAAATGGTACAGCAACTCTGAAAAAATAGTTGGCAGTTACTTTCAATACTAAAAATAGACTGACAGAGCAATTGCACTGTTAGACATATATCACAGAGAAATTTTAAAAATTCATGCAGAAAATTCCTCCATGATTGCTTATGGCAGGTTTTTAAAAAATGCTAATAGACCAGAACTGGAAACATCCCAGATGTCCTTCAGTGAATGGTGCACACATGTCATGAAACACTACTCAGTAATAAAAAAGAAAGAGCCTATTGATACACACAACAGCTAAGATGAAGCTCATGGATGTTATGTTGAGCCAAAAAAGCAATCTCAAAAGAATACATACTTTGGATTAATTCATGATTCCATTTATGTAACATTTGTGAAATAATTATAGGTACGGTGAACAGCTTAGTGGTTCCTAAAGGTTAGACATGTGGCTATAAAGGGGTAGGACGAAGAAGTCTTGTGGTAATGGTGCAGTAAAGTGTCTTGATTGTTGTGATGGTTATGCACACAGAGAACTACACACACACACACACACACACATGCATAGTGCATGTATAACTGGTGAAATCAGAATAAGCACTATGAGCTGTAACAATGACAGTTTCCTGGTTTTGATGCTGTACTATAGTTACACAAGATGTTAATAATGGGAGAGGCATTAAAATGTTAGATAGAGCTATATCTGTATATATATGTGACATCATAAATTTTATAATTTAATATTTACTTTTCTAATAAATCACTTGGATATTAAAAAAGGAAGTCACAAAATAATGTGAGAAGTTTGGGAAAATTCTCAAAACAGAAAACAGAAAGCAAGACATTTACCAGTATAAATCATATGTATATTGATCTCTCAGTTATATATCCTTAGTTTTTGATGAAGAAAAAATGAGGAAAATAAACAAAAGCCTAGTAGCAGAAATGCCAGGCAGGCTGGTGACTCAGTACTTGGTTGATTAAGGCACTCAGCATTCCTGAGAGTACTGTTCGAATTCATGACTTATACAGATGATTTCAAAAGCTTTATTAGGTAATGCAAAGGGACTTTCTACAAACAGTTTATTTTTATCCAAAGAATTTTCTAGAATAATTCTGAAAAAGGATAGTGCAAGATTAAAGGAATGGGCATCAAGTTAAATAGATTGTTTTTGAAATGATACCTGGGGATATTCATACTTTACTCACTAAGACTTAAAAGAATTCCCACTTCCCATCAGCGATAGCACCATTGCTATGATGGAATGACCAGCCACTCGAATAGTTCCCTTATGGTGTTCTTTCCCCTGCATCGAATGTAAAGCCTGGGGCTTTCCATCCCTGGTGTATGCTGGGTCCAAAGGAAAAAGAAATCCAGAGGTGCCTTGAGAGGGAAAAAAAAAGCAATTGAAGGGAAGAGAAAGAAGATGGTTCAAGTGAGAAACAAGGAAACCTTGTGTCCTCTTACAAGCTTGTTAGAGAATGGCAAGTACCCAGAACGCAACTAATGGCTGTAATTCCCTGCCCTGCCTGTTCTCAAAGGCTGAAGACAGAAAAAGCATTCCGGGAATAGGAAGCAGACACCTCCATAAGAAAATCTATGTGGAAGAGCTTCTTTTTAGCCATCTCAAGTGAGGCAACTCACCCTTAAGAGCAGCCATAGGGTGGCACATGTAGTGTGTAGGGAAGGGATAGTGGATCCGAACTCTGTCTGTATTCTCCCTTGACTCTTGCATTAAATCTAATATTTGGATTTTTGCTGATGAACCTATGTGATGACATAATAGACATTTAGAGCCATAACTTTTACTAAATATAGATTTGTCATAATTTTAAACAGTAATTCTTCAGAGGCCACATAAAAATTTTACTTGGACAAAAGCACATGTAGGCCATTAGAAAATCCAGTGAGCAATACATTTCCAGTATCAATTACTTTTGAGAGGATTATGGAGGTAGCTGTCCAGTCAATCCTCCTTAACCAATAAATAATAAAAGACAACTCATTTTCTTTATGATCAAACACTTAGAACACTTCATTTTCATGCTTCTGCCAAAAGAGATGAAATTCTGAAGTGTGACTAGGTAGTGAAGCCAGTTGAGACAGCCTGTTAAGAGTAAGAAAAAAATAGAGAGAGAGAAAGAAAGAAAAAGAAAAGAAAGAAAACACTAGCTACCAATATTTACAGGAATATTATTCTCTTATTCTTTTTTTTTTTTTTTTGATGGAGTCTTGCTCTGTTGCCCAGGCTGGAATGCAGTGGCGCAATCTTGGCTCACTGCAACCTCTGCCTCCTGGGTTCAAGCGATTCTCCTTTCTCAGCCTCCTGAGTTGTTGGGATTACAGGCACCTGCTACCATGCCCAGGTAATATTTGTATTTTTAGTAGACACGAGGTTTCACCATGTTGGCCAGGCTGGTCTTAAACTCTTGACCTCGTGATCTGCCCGCCTCAGCCTCCCAAAGTGCTGGGATTACAAGTGTGAGCCACTGCTCCCAGTATCTCTTATTCTTAATTATTTTTTGAAAAAAATAATAAACACTGGAATTCATCCTCCTGGTGAGGGCTAGTGAAACCCTAGCTTCACTACTTGCTGACTGTGTGAGCTTGAGTGAGTTACTTAACCTCTCAGGTGTTCATCTAGAATAATGATAATAAAACAACTTGCCTTATACTGTTGTGAAGATTAAATGAACTAATACATGTTCTTACTTTTATAATAATAAAGGTGTTAGAAACAGTGACTGCTATGGACTGAATTATGTCCCTCCAAAATTCATATGTTGAAATTTTAACTCTCAGTCCTTCAGAATCTGGCCATTTTTTTTTTTAGCAGTTTCTTCAAAGAGGTAATTAAGGTTAAGTCAGGCCATTGGGTTGGGTCTAATTCAATGTGACTGGTGTCCTTAATAAGAAGCAAAGATTAGGACACAGCCACACACAGAGGAAAGTCCATGTAAAGGTACAGGAGAAAGACAGCCCTCTAACAAGGCAATGAGAGAGACCTCAGAAGAAACGAACCCTGCCAACACTGTGACTTTGAATTTCTAGCCTCCAGAACTATGAGAAAATAAATTTCTGTCTTTTAAGCCACCCAATAAGTAGCACCCATCTGTGGCACTTATTGTAACAGCCCTAGAAAACTAATACAGGGACAATAAAACAGTTTTCTAGACAACTGGACTTTAAAGATTGTTGTCGTATCTATAGAAATTTACTAATCCTCTCAAATATCCTATTTGATAGTTTGTGGTATTGTAGAATATAATTAAAATTGGCATCTACGGTTTCTGTTTGCTGAAGAGTTCACATTTTATCTGCCTTTCTGCCCTTTTGTGATAAGATTTATTCTTGTAGTCACATTTTGTTTTTCAAACAACATGTTTAAAATGTTTCTCTGACACTGAAAAATACACCCTGCCTGAAACTGCTAGCTATACTCACTGTGGAATCTATGGGTCAACGAAAGATAGGGTTTACCAGCTATGGACAAAGAAGGAGCTATGAAAAATATCATCATCACCAACATCATCATCAATAGACAGATGTTGCACCCATTGAATATATTCTTGTTTGTAAGGGACATTTAAAATTTATTAATAAGGAAAAATTATGGCATTGATAAAGAAAACAACAAATAAATGAATATCTATAAACATATGTCATCAATGAAAGAAATATGTATAATATTATACAACATTTTATTATTAAATATTAATATGCAATCAAATATAAATGTAATATTTAATTAAAGACAATTCAATCAGATCTATAAGGTTGAGAAATTCATTATGTCTTTAAGTGATTTCCCTACTTAGTGGTCAAATAAAAATTTATTAAATTTTATTGTTTTATTTTTTGTTTTTATAGAGATGGAGTCTCACTATGTTGCCTAGGCTGGTCTCAAACTTCGGGCCTTAAGCTATCCTCCTGTCTCTGCCTCCCAAAGTGCTGGGATTCCAGGTGCAAGCCACCATGTGCAGGCTTTATTTAATTTTAAAAAGACTTCAGACTCAATATATTTGCCTGATGAAATTATAAGTACTGTCTAAATGAAAATATAGTACGTAAGCCTCAACATATGTACCAGGTAGATTGTATCCTATTTAAATCTTATATAGAAAGCAAAACAATAAAAATATTTCCCCTTTGATGTAGTTGAGCTCATACTAACTAGCATTCTTGAATACTTTCAACTTGAAAATATTAAAATTATACTCATGTAAGAAGCAAGACCAGTTTTGAGTTTAAACACCTAATAACTCATTTTAAGAATGAGCACTTAAGTATATATCCATTTTAAATATTTCTAAAAGCCTTATAAACATTTATTCATATGTACATGTATCTCTAATTGATAAGAATGATTATAAGTAAACTCTGGATATATTGTAACAAATGTAGTTTGAATGTGTGTCCGCACCCAAATCTTGTGTTGAGATGGAATCCCCAATGTTGGAGGTGGGGCCTGATGGGGAGTGATTGGATCACGAGGGCAGATTTCTCATGAATGGTTAAGTACCATCCTCTTGGTACTGTCCTCATGATACTGAGTGAGTTCTTGTGATATCTGGTCATTTACAAGTGTGTGGCACCCTCCCCTGCCCCTGGCCTCACCAACACACGCACACACACGCACACCCTCTTCTTTCTTGCTCCTGCTCTGACCATTTGCCTGCCCCCTCTTTGTCTTCCACCATGATTGTAAGTTTCCTGAAGCCTCCCCAGAAGCTGAGCAGATGCCAGCATCATGCTTCCCATATAGCCTGCAGAACTATAAACCAAATAAAGGTCTTTTCTTTATAAATTACCCAGTCTCGAGTAATTATATATTTTCTTTATAAAAATGCAAGAATGGACTAATATAGTAACCAACGGATATCACTGTTGCTTCATAACATAATCAAACTACTGTTTTGACTATTATAAAGACAAGAATATATACAGTGCACATACCATTCCAATAGTGATGTAGTTAATCAACACTAGTAATATTTAAAGACATTATCAATACCATAAATTACAAATGTGAACTGAGCTTTCTCCATGTAACAAGTGCATTACTGATTGCTACAAAGTTCACAATTAAGTAGAATACATATTCTCTATTATCAGGAATCTCATAATCTTGTCAGAAGATATCATGAAACTGTAATAAAAAAATAAATATTATCCGGCAAGGACACTGAAGTCCTGATGAGACTTCTAACTGTAACAGAACAGAGTCAGTAAGTCTTCTCCTCAAACATCACAAAAAAAGTATAAAATTGGACAAAATTGTTGAACAACCATTTAGCTATTTGTGCCTAGTGTTTCATTATTGGAGTGCTAAGCATGTGGGTTGTGGATATTAATCAAAGGCAGACACATTGAGAAGTGTTTACTCATGCAAAACTGCTACAGCTTCATGTAAGGACAGTGAAAGTTGGACCTTCTTGCCCAAGGGTGCTCCCACAGCCCACCCCATCTCAGGTGGAGAGAGCTGTTCCTTTTTACTCACATAAACCTGTCCTTGAAAACCAGCAGCTTGGCTACCAAAAGGAGCAAAGATGACCTGGTGAATGGCGTGAAAAGCTGTGGGTGTTTTTGTTTGTTTGTTTGTTTGTTTGTTTTTTGTTATTTGTCTGTTTTTTCCACTAAGAGTGGCAAACTTTGTAGAAAACAAATGAGGTAAATCTGCAGCTTTTCTAGCCTGCAGTTACAATCCCAGTTCCCTGAGAAAGACTACATAGCAATTTAGCAAGGAGATCATGGAAATGAGAGAGACATGGAAAGTCCAAATAAGCTCTCCAGGCATCACTGAGTGACTGGGAATTTGCATACAATTGCAGGAAAGACCCAAGGCAGCACAGTGGAATGCTAAAGCCAGGGAAACTTGAGAACTGAATGAATATTAAATGTGCTCCTTAACTCCCACAAGGATCTATCAGCAGAGGGTGGAGGCCTTATACACAAGAGGCATTTCAGTAAAACCTCTGCTTACATCATTGGCTGACCTCTAAGCTCTGTGGACATAGAAGTGAAATTTTAAAAACTGAGCAAAGACAGCAACTACCTGCTTCTGAAAAGAAAGATTCCACAGTTTAAATCTAACCAAACAACAAATAAACAAAGTGGAAAAACACCCCACAATAAAGTAAAATAAAACAAAATCCCAATCCTTCAAAATAATATCTAAAATGCTCTGTTTTTAAATGAAAAATAAAATTATAAGAAATACCAAGCAGAGGTTGCTGTGAGCCGAGGTAGCGCCACTGCCCTCCAGCCTGGGCGTCTCAAACAAAAAGAAAAAAAAAAAAAACAAAAAAAACAGAAATGCCAAGAAGCCGAAAAGTGTTACTTCTATTCAGGAAAAAAATGCAATGATTAGAAACTGACTCAAAGTGGACCCAGATACTGGATTTATCAGACAAAGCTTCAATAAGTTATTTAAAGTATATACAAAGAAGGAAACTATGTTTAAGGAATGAAAGGAAAATATGTCAATGACTTTACAAATTGGGTATCTTAACTGAGAATATAAACTATAAAACACGAAAAATTCTTGAAAATTATAATAACTGAAATTCAAAATGCAGTAGATGGGCTCAAGAGTAGATCTGAAAAGACAAAGGAATCCTATAAAAATTGTCCAATGTGCAGATCATGAGGTCAAGAGATTGAGACCATCCTGGCCAACATGGTGAAACCCCATCTCTACTAAAAATACAAAAATTAGCTGGGCACGGCAGTGCATGCCTATAATCCTAGCTCCTCAGGAGGCTGAGGCAGGAGAATCGCTTGAACCTGGGAGACGGAGGTTGAAGTGAGGCGAGATCGTGGTGCCACTGCACTCCAGCCTGGCAACAGAGCTAGAGTCTGTCTCAAAAAAAAAAAAAAAAGAAAAGAAAAAATTGTCCAACGTGAATAATGTATAGAAAAAACAGGTACACAGACCTGTGGAACAACTTTGAGCATACTGTCATGTGTGCAGCGGGAATCCCAGAGGGAGAGGAGACAGAGAGAAAAAGTGGCAGAAAAAGTATTTGACAAGACAATGTCTAAGACTTACTAAATTTGATTTTAAAAAAATCTAAGAAGCTCAGTGGACCCCTATGTAGAATAAACATGAAGAGCTCCACACTATCGTCAAATGACTGAAAGCCAAAACACAGAAGAAATCTTAAAAGCAGCAAGAGAAAAACAAATCATTATGCAGAGGGGAACAAAAATATAGTAACTGACTTCTAAGTAGAAAGAATGTAAGCCAGAATAGCATACTTAAATGTAGATGAAAAAACCATGGATGCAGAATTCTATGTCCAATGAAACTATTTTTTAATTGAAGAAACATGAAGATATTCATAGACATACAAAAATTGATAGAATTCATTTCTGGGAGACCAGCCCTACAATGAAGACTGAAAAAATAATTCAAGTTGAAAGGAAATGACAAAAGACAGTAATTCAAACTAGCATGAATAATATAGAGCAACAGAAATTGTAAATAAGAAGTTAAATACAACAAATTATATCTGTCTATCTATCTATCTACCCACACATACATAATTTGCTCTATCTGTACAGATATATGTACACATAGATAGGCAAATAGTATACTGGAGCTATTTTGGAACAAAATTGTCATATTCCACTGGAATTAAGCATCATCATGCTGAAGTAAATTGTGATAAAGATATATATTGTAATACTTGAGCAACCACAAACAAAATAACTAAAAAATTATAGCTCAATCAACTAAGAAGCTAAAAATGACAGTCTAAAATATTTTTTACACAAAAGAGGCAGTAAAGAAAAAGAAATGTTAAAGACGTGAGAGAGAAAACCAACAGCAAAATGACAAGCAATGCAACCATACTGACATTACAGTAAATGTGAATTGACTAAGTATTCCAATCAAAAGGCAGAGTTGCACCTATCTGCTGTCTATTAGAGACAAACTCAAGAGTCAAAGGCACAAATTGGTTAAAATAAAGGATGAAAAAGATATATTATGCAAACAATATCCATAACAAAGAAGAAATGGCTGCATAAATCAGACAAAATAGACTTTAAGACAATAAATATTACTAGGGAAAGACAGAACTATTTCTAAATGCTAAAAGGGTCAATGTACCAGGAAATATAACAATTATAAATGCATATGCCCCTCAGAATAGTTCCTCAGAATACATGAAGCAAACCTGAGAATGGAAAAGAGAAATAGATAATTTAAAATTTGTGGGTGGAGATTTCAATATTTTACTCATTAACATGACTAGAAGCAAAATAAATAAGGCTGTAGACTTGTAGAACACTACCAACCCATTTGGCATATATAGGACACACCAGCAAATGACTGAAGAATACATGTTCTATTCAAGAGACTTGGAACAATATCCAGGGTAGATGATATGCTAGTCTGGTGGATTCAATATTATTAAGATGAAAATTATTCCCAATCAATTCATAACATCAACATAATCTCTATAAATATCTCTGAAGGCTTATTTTTTTGGTGTGTATAGGAACTGACATGCCGATTCTAAATGTATATGGAAATTAAAAAGTCCTAGCACAGTCAAAACAATTTTAGAATTTAGAGTTAAAAAAAAACCTGTGGAATATTTAGCATATCTGATTTCCAAGCTTACTGTGAAGTTGCAGTAATCAAGATAGTGTGACATCATAACAGTAGATTTACAAGTCAAAGGGAAGAGAATAGAAGCCCAGAACTAAACCCTCACATGGTTAAATAATTTCTTTTAATGATGCCAAGACCATTCAACAGAGAAAGGATAATTTTTCAACAAATCATGCTCAAACAACTGGATATCCATAGGCAAAAATACGTAGATCCTCACATCACACGCAAAAATTAACTCAAAACATGTCATAAATTTAAATATAAGAGTTAAAAGTATAAAACTTCTAGAGAAAAGCATAGGAGAAAATCTCTTTACTTTTGACAGGGAAATTTTTATTTACATACGACACTAAGAACATAATTTGTAAGACAAAAATCTTGATAGATTGCACTTCATAATTAATTGAGAGTACTTTACTCTTTAAAAGACAATATTAAAGATAAGAAAAACTACAGGCTGAGATAAAATGTTTGTAAATCATCTGACTTTTACATGACTTATATCTAAAGTATACAAAGCCCTTATAACTTGACAATAAGAATCTCATGATTGAATTTAAAAATGGGCAACAGACATAAATAGAAAGTTCACCAAAGAAGATACACAAACGGCTACTGAGCACATAAATAGATTTATTAGTCATTAGGGAAATGAAAATTAAAACCACATGAGATAGCATTACACATCCAACTAGAATGACTAAAATTAAGAAGAGTAAAAATACCCAAGGTTGGCAAAAATTTGGAAGAACAGAAACCCTCACATGGTGCTGATGCACATGAAAAATGATAGTGCCATTTTGGATCAACATTTGTCACTTTCTTAAATAATTTAGCATACACATATTATTTGACTTAGAAATTGCAGTCTCAGATATCTACACAGGATAAATTAAAACATATGTCCACACAGACTTGTATATAAATGTTCATATCAGCATTTTTCATAATTGCCTAAAATTGGACACAATTCAAATATCTATCAAATGAGGAACAAGTAACAAAATGTAATACTTCCACACAACGGAATACTACTTAGCAATACAGAGAATTATTGACATATGGCAACAACATAGATTAACATCAAAACCATTACGCTTAGGAAAAAAAATTCAGACACAGAATTCTGTGTTTTCTATTATTTTATTTAGATAACATTTCTGGAATAAGCAAAATTGCAGAGATAGAAAGCATATCAGTGGTTTTCTGGGCCGAAAATGGAGCAGGAACTGACTACAAATGGGTATGTGGATGTTTTGGGGGGTTGTTATTCATGTCCTAAATCTAGATCAAAATTACAATTGTACAACTGTACAAGTTTACCAAAAATTGTCATACTCTATATTCACAAGAGGTCAAATTGTGTTTTTCAAATTATATCTCAATAAAGCTGTTAAAAATAACAGCCATATTATCTATAGATCTTTTTTTACTATCTTTGAAAATATTCATTTGTAATTTTATTACTGAGGACAAGATTTACAGTTCAGTAAAATTGATATCATTGCCTATATTACGCCCTTTTATAAATTTTATTTTTAATGCTCTGAGAGTGTATTTATAAAATCAGAAAAGTGCTTTTCATTTTTGATATAGAACTCATAGCCAGCATTTATGTTTCATAACATATAGAAAATATATGTTAAGAATAAAAACCAAAATAAATTTGTTTCATTGATTCCTAACCTGTGTTTGATCAATCTTTGAGGTCCGTGGTGATTTCAACACTGAAAAAATAAATCAAAGATCACACACACTAGAAACAAATGTGTAATGCCATAACATATGCCTAAGAGACTACTCCCAAACCATCCAGAGTTTCTCTTCACTCCAGAGGCATGAGAAAGTCAGAACATCTGAGAGAAGACTGTTGCTGTGGGAAGGGGCTTTGAAAATTTGTTTTCAATTTTAAATGGCCAAGTTATTGTGTCCGGAACTGGTTCCTTCCGGTGGGTTCTTGGTCTTGCTGACTTCAAGAATGAAGTGGCGAATCCTCGTGGTGAGTGTTACGGCTCTTAAAGATGGTATGTCCAGAGTTTGTTCCTTCAGATGTTCAGATATCTCCGGAGTTTCTTCCTTCTCATGGGTTCCTGTTCTTGCTGACTTTAGGAGTGAAGCTGCAGACCTTCGCAGTGATTGTTACAGCTCTTAAAGGTGGCACAGACCCAATGAGTGAGCAGCAACAAGGTTCATTGTAAAGAGCAAAAGAACAAAGGTTCCACAGTGGGGAAGGGAACCCAAGGGGGTTGCCACTGCTGGCTGGGGTGGCCAGCTTTTAATTCCCTTATTTGATCCTGCCCACATGCTGCTGATTGGTCCATTTTACAGAGCGCTCATTGGTCCATTTTTACAGAGCACTGATTGGTCCGTTTTACAGAGTGCTGATTGGTGCATTTACAAACCGTTAGCTAGACACAGAGCGCTGATTGGTGCGTTTTTACAGAGGATGATTGGTGCGTTTACAAACCTTTAGCTAGACACAGAGCACTGATTGGTGCATTTACAATCCTTTAGCTAGACAGAAAAGTTCTTCAAGTCCCCACCCCACCCAGAAGCCCAGCCAGCTTCACCTGTCATTATGATGAGGCTAGAAAGAGTCTATTTCCGAGCCAGTTATCAGCATGGGTAAAGAGAACTCCTTTTAAAATTTGAATTACATAGTAGCTAAAGACATGTTATTAACGATACATTGGAGTTCTGCTATACAGACCATTGTCATGTACAGATATGAAAATGTCTTTTATTAATTGAAAGTACTGCTATAAATTTTTCAGGTGTCAGAATAATGCATGTACTGTTACAGATAATGATATATTTTGTCATATTCTTTGGTGTTTTAGGCATTGTAAATGCATAGTAGTATCTATTTTGCTGTGTTTAAACTACTGGATATACTTTCTTTTTTTATTAAGTCATAGTGCTTTCTTCAACGGCTTAAATTATTCACCACAATCAACACTTTCGTGTAGCAAGTCCAAAATCCAGTATGGCTGAACTTCCATTGGAGAAGGGGTTCATGTCAAGTTGGAGACAGCAGTCAGCTCTAACTATCTCTTCAACATTTTCTTCTCCTTTCCCCACACCTCACATTTAGAGACAGGGACATGAAGTAAGAGAGTCTGCTATGATTAACCTTCTAAGCTTCACCCCGAGCAGAGCCTGGTTCAGAACCTGTTGTGTGGACATGCTGGGAGAATACATTTCAGTTTTCCATGAGGTAGATTTCGGTGTCATGCTGTTAGGTAACCAATTTGAAGTGTTCATAGTAAATTTTTGTAAGCTTTCCAGAGGAAAAGCTCTGGACTTGAAGCTAGACATCCTGAGTTTTAGTTCCACTGCTTACTAGCTTCCTGTCTGAATAAGTTATGACTTCTTTGAACCTCTGTATTTTCATGTGTGCATTGAGAATCTTATGTAATTAGTTATTTGTGATGTTCCTTTTTTGAGACAGAGTCTTGCTCTGTCGCCTGGGCTGGAGTGCAGTGGTGCGATCTCACTGCAAGCTTGCTCACTGCAAGCTCCGCCTCCTGGGTTCACACCATTCTCCTGCCTCAGCCTCCCGAGTAGCTGAGACCACAGGCGCGTGCCACCACACCCAGCCAATTTTTTCTATTTTTAGTAGAGACGGGGTTTCACCGTGTTAGCCAGGATGGTCTCGATCTCCTGACCTCGTGATCTACCCACCTCGGCCTTCCAAAGTGCTGGGATTACAGCTGTGAGCCACCACGCCCGGCTGTATATTCTCTAACTTTTATGACTTTAAGCTTGATGGTGTTGCCATACACCAACCCCTTCTCACTTTAATCATAGGGAAGATTTCTGCAATGTATGAAGCATACAGGAAGACAGCTCTGTGAAATTATCATTCTAGGAGAGAATCTTGGGAGAGAGATGTAAAGAGATTGTACATTCTATTCTTCATGTGCTTGCACTTGTTTCTCCGTCTCTTTAAATGTCTGATATGAGGCTTCATGGTGTTTTATGTGTGTGGTCAAAGTTGGAGTGATCAGAAGGAACAATGGAGAGGAAACAAGTCTAGTTACTCTGGTTCAATGATAGTTTAGGCACAGTAGTAGAGATTTGCACCTTCAATCCCTGTCTCTATCCACTAACAGTCTTAAGAAACACAATGATTTCACTGAGTTAGGTAGGTGCTAGATGAGAAATCTATCCTGATCTTTTCATAACAAGTCTCATCCTTTCCCTGGATAGTATCAAAGGCTCATTAAGCATCAAAACTCTCTTTCTCTGACCCCTCTCCCCAAGATTGAAACAGTCTCTTTCTCTCTCAATTACAACATGTGTGACCAGTTTATAGGAAAATGTTTATAAACTTAACTACTTAAAAGCCGCTGATGATTGGAGGAGCCAAGATGGCCGAATAGGAACAGCTCCAGTCTACAGCTCCCAGCGTGAGCGACGCAGAAGACCGGTGATTTCTCCATTTCCATCTGAGGTACCGGGTTCATCTCACTAGGGAGTGCCAGACAGTGGGCGCAGGCCAGTGTGTGCGCGCACCGTGCGCGAGCCGAAGCAGGGCGAGGCATTGCCTCACCTGGGAAGCGCAAGGGGTCAGGGAGTTCCCTTTCCGAGTCAAAGAAAGGGGTGACGGACGCACCTGGAAAATCGGGTCACTCCCACCCGAATATTGCGCTTTTCAGACCGGCTTAAAAAACGGCGCACCACGAGACTATATCCCACACCTGGCTCAGAGGGTCCTACGCCCACGGAATCTCGCTGATTGCTAGCACAGCAGTCTGAGATCAAACTGCAAGGCGGCAACGAGGCTGGGGGAGGGGCGCCCGCCATTGCCCAGGCTTGCTTAGGTAAACAAAGCAGCCGGGAAGCTCGAACTGGGTGGAGCCCACCACAGCTCAAGGAGGCCTGCCTGCCTCTGTAGGCTCCACCTCTGGGGGCAGGGCACAGACAAACAAAAAGACAGCAGTAACCTCTGCAGACTTAAGTGTCCCTGTCTGACAGCTTTGAAGAGAGCAGTGGTTCTCCCAGCACGCAGCTGGAGATCTGAGAACGGGCAGACTGCCTCCTCAAGTGGGTCCCTGACCCCTGACCCCCGAGCAGCCTAACTGGGAGGCACCCCCCCAGCAGGGGCACACTGACACCTCACACGGCAGGGTATTCCAACAGACCTGCAGCTGAGGGTCCTGTCTGTTAGAAGGAAAACTAACAACCAGAAAGGACATCTACACCGAAAACCCATCTGTACATCACCATCATCAAAGACCAAAAGTAGATAAAACCACAAAGATGGGGAAAAAACAGAACAGAAAAACTGGAAACTCTAAAACGCAGAGCGCCTCTCCTCCTCCAAAGGAACGCAGTTCCTCACCAGCAACGGAACAAAGCTGGATGGAGAATGATTTTGACGAGCTGAGAGAAGAAGGCTTCAGACAATCAAATTACTCTGAGCTACGGGAGGACATTCAAACCAAAGGCAAAGAAGTTGAAAACTTTGAAAAAAATTTAGAAGAATGTATAACTAGAATAACCAATACAGAGAAGTGCTTAAAGGAGCTGATGGAGCTGAAAACCAAGGCTCGAGAACTACGTGAAGAATGCAGAAGCCTCAGGAGCCGATGCGATCAACTGGAAGAAAGGGTATCAGCAATGGAAGATGAAATGAATGAAATGAAGCGAGAAGGGAAGTTTAGAGAAAAAAGAATAAAAAGAAATGAGCAAAGCCTCCAAGAAATATGGGACTATGTGAAAAGACCAAATCTACGTCTGATTGGTGTACCTGAAAGTGATGTGGAGAATGGAACCAAGTTGGAAAACACTCTGCAGGATATTATCCAGGAGAACTTCCCCAATCTAGCAAGGCAGGCCAACGTTCAGATTCAGGAAATACAGAGAACGCCACAAAGATTCTCCTCGAGAAGAGCAACTCCAAGACACATAATTGTCAGATTCACCAAAGTTGAAATGAAGGAAAAAATGTTAAGGGCAGCCAGAGAGAAAGGTCGGGTTACCCTCAAAGGAAAGCCCATCAGACTAACGGCGGATCTCTCAGCAGAAACCCTACAAGCCAGAAGAGAGTGGGGGCCAATATTCAACATTCTTAAAGAAAAGAATTTTCAACCCAGAATTTCATATCCAGCCAAACTAAGCTTCATAAGTGAAGGAGAAATAAAATACTTTATAGACAAGCAAATGCTGAGAGATTTTGTCACCACCAGGCCTGCCCTAAAAGAGCTCCTGAAGGAAGTGCTAAACATGGAAAGGAACAACCGGTACCAGCCGCTGCAAAATCATGCCAAAATGTAAAGACCATCGAGACTAGGAAGAAACTGCATCAACTAACGAGCAAAATCACCAGCTAACATCATAATGACAGGATCAAATTCACACATAACAATATTAACTTTAAATATAAATGGACTAAATTCTGCAATTAAAAGACACAGACTGGCAAGTTGGATAAAGAGTCAAGACCCATCAGTGTGCTGTATTCAGGAAACCCATCTCACGTGCAGAGACACACATAGGCTCAAAATAAAAGGATGGAGGAAGATCTACCAAGCCAATGGAAAACAAAAAAAGGCAGGGGTTGCAATCCTAGTCTCTGATAAAACAGACTTTAAACCAACAAAGATCAAAAGAGACAAAGAAGGCCATTACATAATGGTAAAGGGATCAATTCAACAAGAGGAGCTAACTATCCTAAATATTTATGCACCCAATACAGGAGCACCCAGATTCATAAAGCAAGTCCTGAGTGACCTACAAAGAGACTTAGACTCCCACACATTAATAATGGGAGACTTTAACACCCCACTGTCAACATTAGACAGATCAATGAGACAGAAAGTCAACAAGGATACCCAGGAATTGAACTCAGCTCTGCACCAAGCGGACCTAATAGACATCTACAGAACTCTCCACCCCAAATCAACAGAATATACATTTTTTTCAGCACCACACCACACCTATTCCAAAATTGACCACATAGTTGGAAGTAAAGCTCTCCTCAGCAAATGTAAAAGAACAGAAATTATAACAAACTATCTCTCAGACCACAGTGCAATCAAACTAGAACTCAGGATTAAGAATCTCACTCAAAGCCGCTCAACTACATGGAAACTGAACAACCTGCTCCTGAATGACTACTGGGTACATAACGAAATGAAGGCAGAAATAAAGATGTTCTTTGAAACCAACGAGAACAAAGACACAGCATACCAGAATCTCTGGGACGCATTCAAAGCAGTGTGTAGAGGGAAATTTATAGCACTAAATGCCTACAAGAGAAAGCAGGAAAGATCCAAAATTGACACCCTAACATCACAATTAAAAGAACTAGAAAAGCAAGAGCAAACACATTCAAAAGCTAGCAGAAGGCAAGAAATAACTAAAATCAGAGCAGAACTGAAGGAAATAGAGACACAAAAAACCCTTCAAAAAATCAATGAATCCAGGAGCTGGTTTTTTGAAAGGATCAACAAAATTGATAGACCGCTAGCAAGACTAATAAAGAAAAAAAGAGAGAAGAATCAAATAGACACAATAAAAAATGATAAAGGGGATATCACCACCGATCCCACAGAAATACAAACTACCATCAGAGAATACTACAAACACCTCTACGCAAATAAACTAGAAAATCTAGAAGAAATGGATACATTCCTCGACACATACACTCTCCCAAGACTAAACCAGGAAGAAGTTGAATCTCTGAATAGACCAATAACAGGCTCTGAAATTGTGGCAATAATCAATAGTTTACCAACCAAAAAGAGTCCAGGACCAGATGGATTCACAGCCGAATTCTACCAGAGGTACAAGGAGGAACTGGTACCATTCCTTCTGAAACTATTCCAATCAATAGAAAAAGAGGGAATCCTCCCTAACTCATTTTATGAGGCCAGCATCATTCTGATACCAAAGCCGGGCAGAGACACAACCAAAAAAGAGAATTTTAGACCAATATCCTTGATGAACATTGATGCAAAAATCCTCAATAAAATACTGGCAAACCGAATCCAGCAGCACATCAAAAAGCTTATCCACCATGATCAAGTGGGCTTCATCCCTGGGATGCAAGGCTGGTTCAATATACACAAATCAATAAATGTAATCCAGCATATAAACAGAGCCAAAGACAAAAACCACATGATTATCTCAATAGATGCAGAAAAAGCCTTTGACAAAATTCAACAACCCTTCATGCTAAAAACTCTCATTAAATTAGGTATTGATGGGACGTATTTCAAAATAATAAGAGCTATCTATGACAAACCCACAGCCAATATCATACTGAATGGGCAAAAACTGGAAGCATTCCCTTTGAAAACTGGCACAAGACAGGGATGCCCTCTCTCACCGCTCCTATTCAACATAGTGTTGGAAGTTCTGGCCAGGGCAATCAGGCAGGAGAAGGAAATAAAGGGTATTCAATTAGGAAAAGAGGAAGTCAAATTGTCCCTGTTTGCAGACGACATGATTGTTTATCTAGAAAACCCCATCGTCTCAGCCCAAAATCTCCTTAAGCTGATAAGCAACTTCAGCAAAGTCTCAGGATACAAAATCAATGTACAAAAATCACAAGCATTCTTATACACCAACAACAGACAAACAGAGAGCCAAATCATGAGTGAACTCCCATTCACAATTGCTTCAAAGAGAATAAAATACCTAGGAATCCAACTTACAAGGGATGTGAAGGACCTCTTCAAGGAGAACTACAAACCACTGCTCAAGGAAATAAAAGAGGACACAAACAAATGGAAGAACATTCCATGCTCATGGGTAGGAAGAATCAATATCGTGAAAATGGCCATACTGCCCAAGGTAATTTACAGATTCAATGCCATCCCCATCAAGCTACCAATGACTTTCTTCACAGAATTGGAAAAAACTACTTTAAAGTTCATATGGAACCAAAAAAGAGCCCGCATCGCCAAGTCAATCCTAAGCCAAAAGAACAAAGCTGGAGGCATCACACTACCTGACTTCAAACTATACTACAAGGCTACAGTAACCAAAACAGCATGGTACTGGTACCAAAACAGAGATATAGACCAATGGAACAGAACAGAGCCCTCAGAAATAATGCCGCATATCCACAACTATCTGATCTTTGACAAACCTGAGAAAAACAAGCAATGGGGAAAGGATTCCCTATTTAATAAATGGTGCTGGGAAAACTGGCTAGCCATATGTAGAAAGCTGAAACTGGATCCCTTCCTTACACCTTATACAAAAATCAATTCAAGATGGATTAAAGATTTAAACGTTAGACCTAAAACCATAAAAACCCTAGAAGAAAACCTAGGCATTACCATTCAGGACATAGGCGTGGGCAAGGACTTCATGTCCAAAACACCAAAAGCAATGGCAACAAAAGCCAAAATTGACAAATGGGATCTAATTAAACTAAAGAGCTTCTGCACCGCAAAAGAAACTACCATCAGAGTGAACAGGCAACCTACAACATGGGAGAAAATTTTCGCAACCTACTCATCTGACAAAGGGCTAATATCCAGAATCTACAATGAACTCAAACAAATTTACAAGAAAAAAACAAACAACCCCATCAAAAAGTGGGCGAAGGACATGAACAGACACTTCTCAAAAGAAGACATTTATGCAGCCAAAAAACACATGAAAAAATGCTCATCATCACTGGCCATCAGAGAAATGCAAATCAAAACCACTATGAGATATCATCTCACACCAGTTAGAATGGCAATCATTAAAAAGTCAGGAAACAACAGGTGCTGGAGAGGATGTGGAGAAATAGGAACACTTTTACACTGTTGGTGGGACTGTAAACTAGTTCAACCATTGTGGAAGTCAGTGTGGCGATTCCTCAGGGATCTAGAACTAGAAATACCATTTGACCCAGCCATCCCATTACTGGGTATATACCCAAATGACTATAAATCATGCTGCTATAAAGACACATGCACACGTATGTTTATTGCGGCATTATTCACAATAGCAAAGACTTGGAACCAACCCAAATGTCCAACAATGATAGACTGGATTAAGAAAATGTGGCACATATACACCATGGAATACTATGCAGCCATAAAAAATGATGAGTTCATGTCCTTTGTAGGGACATGGATGAAATTGGAAACCATCATTCTCAGTAAACTATCGCAAGAACAAAAAACCAAACACCACATATTCTCACTCATAGGTGGGAACTGAACAATGAGATCACATGGACACAGGAAGGGGAATATCACACTCTGGGGACTGTGGTGGGGTCGGGGGAGTGGGGAGGGATAGCATTGGGAGATATACCTAATGCTAGATGACACGTTAGTGGGTGCAGCGCACCAGCATGGCACATGTATACATATGTAACTAACCTGCACAATGTGCACATGTACCCTAAAACTTAAAGTATAATAATAATAATAATTAAAAAAGAAAAAAAAAAAAAAAAGCCGCTGATATTTGTTTAGAGTTTTTAGGCCAACCAATTTAAATGGATACTTAATTGAAAAGTACAATTATTTCTATGGCTTGGCAGAAAGCAATCTTAGAGCTCATTAAGAATTGAATGTCAAAGGAGAGGTAGGTGGGCAGATCACTAAAACACAAATTATGAAACAGATTTCCACGAATAGTTTTGCCTAATTTTCCCTGTACTTGCTGCATTTTCTTGTTTAAAGTCATTGGAATGAAGTGCTGTGTTTCTAAGTGTTACAAAAGAGTGAGAATGATAATACATTTTATCACATTGGGAATTATCTTTCTTACCGATGGTATGCTGTTTGCCATGTCCTTTAAATTAAGCATTGTAATAAATAGATTAAGGAAGATCTTTGTACTTGGAATTATAGTTTTGTAGAGCATGTCTGCTATGCTTTGAATGTCTCCTCCAAAACTCATGTTGAAACTTAATCTCTAATATGGCAGTATTGAGAGGTGGGGACTTTAACAGGTGATTGGATCAGGAAGGCTCTGCCTTAATAAATGAATTGAGTCACACATAAATTAATGGATTAATGGGTTAATAGATTAGTGGTTTATCATGGGAGTGGAACTGTGGATTTATAAAAAGAGGAGGAGAGACCTGAGCTAGCACATTAACAGACTCAACCTCCTTGCTATGTGATGCTCTGCACCTCCTTGCAACTTTTCAGTGTCCCCACCAAAAAAGAGGCTCTCACAGGATACTTTCTCCACTTTGGGCTTCCTAACCTCCTGACTGTAAGAAATAAATTTCATTTCTTATACATAACCCAATTTCAAGCATTCTGTTGTAAGCAACAGCAAATGGACTAAGACAGTGTCTGTGGAAAGAAAACTGCTTCTGCCTTCCAAGGCAAATATAATTACCTTGGTATTCCAAGTCACTAAGAATCTTCCTCTTGGGAAGCAGCTGGGTGGGTGAGCTCATGGGGACAACACTGTCAGGAGCTGAGGAACTTTTGCAGCTGCCTCCACCAAGCCAAGTATTTCTCTTCTGACTCCTAAAGTCAACACTGAAATCCTTCCGATTGCTTTCTGTCTCCCGCAGAGAGATTTCCTTGAGCAGGGTGAAATCTGGCCCAGAAATATCCAGCTTCAAATCTTAATGTTTTGTGATGCCAGTCAGTGGGTAAATGTGAATACAAGTTGGCAATCTTTTGCCTTAGTTAGACAGTTACTGAAGTTTAGCTATACTAGGCAGACATAAAAAATGCTTCCGAATATTCCACATGCTTTCTTTAATTGTATTTCCCTGAATCTGCTCTAGGAAAGCTTTTTTTAGCAGATGTTCCGACAATCTGGAACTGCCCTAGCAATTAATTTTTATAGCCCACGGGTTGAGAATGTGTTAAATGGAAATATGCCTACTGGAAACATATGTGTTGTTGACACTTTTTATAGAAACAGCTAACAGTATATTGCAGCAAACACATCTCATTTATGGGAAGTTAACTTTTTTCCTCTCTGGAGCATTGCTCGGACATTCTTCTTCTATTCTATTGCCACGCAGTTTGTTAAAATGTTAAATATTCTTTGCTTTGAGCATTTGAGTTTTCTCACTGGGATCTCTGACACTAACCTTCATATATATGTGTGTGTATGTGTGTACACACATACATATACACACATGAGTAGATATGCAGGTGGTTTCTTCTATCCCTGCTGTACCTCTGACCACTTCATTAAGCTCCTCAAAGTCTTATTCTCTATCTTTACTCACTTGTATCAGTAGACGACCATGGATTTTGAGATTTCAAAACTACTAGTTAATTTTCTCCATTCAAACTCCCCGTTAGTGTGCTTGCCAACTCTAATGTGTTATTTCCTCCCCTGGAAAGCATGTATATATAGGTACTTCAGAAATTATTAAAAAGATTTTTATCATCCTTCAGACTTCCATCAGATTTGTGCTCAAAATTTACAGGACAAACAGTAATGAGAATACCAGAAACACTGTTTTATGAATTTTTGTTGACTCTTTACAAATGTATATTGGTTATAAAAGGATTTGTAATTAATTAATTAAATTTCTTCATAGATTTTCATTTTAATAATTATTAATATTATTTTATTCTGTATGTCCTTCTTATTCGCTGGGAATCTAAGGAATACAATATCACATTTCATCTTCATCTAATGAGGGCTGAGAGTTAAATTTCTTGTAAACATCAGGGAGGCTCAGAAGTGCAACTTTTACTACCACATAAAAGTATTCCCCAGTCTAAACTGTTCTAGATCTGAATTTCTTTCTGTTTACTCCTTTAACTAGCTTTTCTTGGAAGTACTGATGTTTTTGTTTTTCTTTTCAATTAGGCTTCTCTAACCTTGAAAAGGCATGAGCAGGCCCTGAGAAAATGAGTAACCAAAGAAGTAGGAGGAAAACAAAGAGAAAGGCTGGGCACTGTGGCTCACCCCTGTAATCATAGCACTTTGGAAGGCCGAGGTGGGCAGATTACTTTCAACATGGTGAAACCTTGTCTCTACAAAAAATACAAAAATTAGCTGGTTGTGGTGGTGCACACCTGTAGTCTGAGCTACTTGGGAGGCTGAGGTGGGAGGATGACTTGAACCTTGGGAGGCAGAGGTTGCAGTGAGGTGAGATTGCATCACTGCACTCGAGCCTGAACAACAGAGACTCTGTTTCAAAAAGAAAGAAAAGACAACACAACAACAAACCTAAGAAAAAGTGGGTTTTCTGGGAACTGAGGCATAAAAGGAATGATTAACTGTGTCCAGTGCTGATGGATGTCAGCCTGCAATGAGGACTGAGAAACTGCCATTGACTTAGGAACATGGGGGTCATTTCAGTGGAGTGCTGAAGACAGCTTAGTTGGTGTGGATTTAAGAAAGCGAAGGAGAGGCTGGGCGCCGTGGCTCACGCCTGTAATCCTAGCACTTTGGGAGGCAGAGGAGGGCGGATCACGAGGTCAGGAGATCGAGACCATCCTGGCTAACATGGTGAAACCCCGTCTCCACTAAAAATACAAAAAATTAGCTGGGCATGGTGGCAGGCCCCTGTAGTCCCAGCTACTCGGGAGGCTGAGACAGGAGAATCGTTTGAATCTGGGAGGCGGAGCTTGCAGTCAGCCGAGATCGCACCACTGCACTTCAGCCTGGGAGACAGAGTGAGATTCCGTCTCAAAAAAAAAAAAAAAAAAAAAGAAAGAGAAGGAAAAAAGTTGTAGGCAGGAAGCATCGGTAAGTTCATATAGAAATTTTGCAGTAAGGAGAAGCAATGAATGCAAGGAGAAAAGCCACCTAAGGTTTTTAATTTTTCTTTAATAGGAAATAATTTTGAACAGTAATATTAATATTTCCTTCATTGAAAATTTATGATTCGAGGAAGAGAGAAGGAAAGTCATTGGAATCACATTTTCAAGTAGGTGGGATGACATAGACTTCAGGGGGCTGGTTTGGCCTTCATAGGATCACAGAAAGTTCCTTATGGGGAGGGCAGACTGAAGATGTGGTAGATGGTTAGATTTTTGGTGGGAGATTTCAGAAGGAACTTTATGGTTGCTTCTGTTTCCTCCATGAAATAGGAAGCAATGCTCTTGGCTATTTTATATAAAGCCTTTGCACAAAGTATAAATCCCCTTCATGCCGTTCTAATACAACTACTGGCAGTACCTGTGTCTAGACATTGCACCCGACATGTACTTCACTTCTGTAATAATTTCTTTCTCAGTTGATTTCTTCACTTTGTGTGTGTGTGTGTGTGTGTATATATATATATATATATATATAAAATTGTGGCTTCATACTCAATCTAGTACTCCCCAAATAAGGAAAAGCTTGCAGAGTATACCTGAAAGTGATGACCTAGTGTGTGTATGTATATTTATTTCCCTCAACTATTTTCCAAAGGACTTTGAGAAGTGTTGCTCCAAAAGGCACACACATAATAGGCCTGAGCATATGCCTCTGGTGCACTGCCTCAGTCTCCTGGGCCCTCCTCTGAGTTCAACCACAGCAGCAGTAGAGATTCTCTAAAAGCTCAGACTTGCCTTAGCATCCTTGTGTCATCTTCCTACCCAAAGGCCGTTCTGAAGACTAGCCTGCAGCAAAAATAGCCCAGGAGCCCCAATCAGTGCAGAACAAGGAACAATGAATGATTTCAGTCTTCTTTACATGAGAATTTGTTTCACTGCATAAAATCTTCATTCTTGTCCTTCAGGGGCAATTCCGGACAGCATGCTATACACTTCTTAGGAGGATCTAACCAAACTGAGCACTCGCTGCCCTTGTCCCCCATGAGTGACTTTTCTAACAGACAATCTGAACCCAGATACTTGACTTAGGCTCTGTTTTCTGACTATTTAAATAAAAAGAATACTTAAAACCACAGAAGGAGCTGTAAAAGAAGATAAAATACATCTCAGCTAATATAGATAACAATATTTAGAAACTAAATTTTAATCTGAAACTCCCTGGTAGCCAAAGCTCATAGAAAAAAAAAAAAGAAAAAGATGGACAAATGTTTACTATTTTCTTACAAAAAGGAGCATACTGATTCATTTGGAGAAATTCATTTACCTCTTGGGGAAGAATTATGATATAAAGAAAAGACAAACATGGGTAAGATATTATAGTACCTTAAAATGAAACATTGTAGTGGGGCAGTCATATTTGTCACACTTCTCCATCAGAAAAGCTGAGATCTTAAGGTGGTTTATGCACAATTCAGTATATGTGATCAAGGATATATAATGCATCTTAAGTTTGTCATCTGCATGCTTCTGGTCATTCCAAAATTTAAAAAATCATGCTGTACTATGATATTGCTATATAAAACCCTGATGCCTTTTTAAAAAGGTAGAATATGAAAATCTAAATCTGGTTAAATATTTTCTCTTGTTGTGTAAACCTTAAAATAAGCCAATAATGCTTTGATTTGATTTGTAATTAGTCTGGCAAACTTCTCTCCCCTTGGAAATAAATGCGTAGTCTAGATTTTAGTCCAAGAAAAGGCAAACATGTCATACCTAAAACAATAGTGTCCTTCAGGTTTAAAAAAATATGTTGGCTGAGATAAGAATGCCTTGACTAGTTCAAAAATATGGGTTTTTTTCCTATTGCTTATAGCCAGCATTACACAACAAGAGTAAGCAAGCTACTGCCTGACTTTTCTATGTAGCTAATCAATCTACAAATAGTAATTTTGTGAAAGATTACAAGCAGAAACTTCTATCAGTGCACTCTGCTTAGTTTGTAGAGTGAGGTGTTTTGTTGTTGTTGTTGTTGTTGTTGTTTTCTGAGGAGTCCAAGACCTATTTGAAACACTAGTTCAGGGCCTCCAGCATATGTTATTTCTTGTATTCAGCTAGTGTTCCACCACAGAAACAGAACCTGTAGGAAACATATATCAAGATGTTGGAGGCTAAGCAGTCTGAAATCCACAGGGCAGCTATCAGGAAGGGCAGGGTGGAACTTTCAGACACCAAGTGAAGCTGCCTCTCAGAAGTAGAATTTCTTCTTTTTCAGGGAAGCCTCAGCTCTACTCAAGGCTATCCAAATGATTGAAGCAGATCCACCCAGATTATATGGAATAATCTTCCTTATGAAGGTCAACTAATCATAGTTTAATCACGTATACAAAGTATTTTCATAGCTACGACTATGTTAGTGTTTGACTGAGTAACAGGACTATAGCCTAGCCATGTTGATATATAAAGCTGGCCCTCACACCCTGAAAGAATCATAAACTCTCAGGCTGTAGCAACACAGAAGCAGTCTTGCAAAGTTTGTTTGGATAAAATCAAGTGAGAAAAAATAATTGTGAAAACCCTCTTGGCAGTGTCTTTCTGAAGAAGTACTTTGTGTTTAATATAGTCTCTTCAAGTATAGCACTAATCTATCTTAAATATCCAAATGATTGTTATTAAATGTCTCAGGGTCTCCAGGGATTTATGACTGAATTGGACATTTTCTCTGTAGAATCTCCATAGACATTCTGATTTCTCAGGAGATCTTTGGTGAACTGACTGAATATCCTTGGATAAATATCAAAAGATGAAAAAATTCCCCTTCAGAGAAATCACAGTAACAACTATTACCATGGCCGCAGAGACGTTTGCATTTGCCAAATTTCCAGGACATACACCAGAAATATCTCTCATGCCACATGGTACATGTACTAATAACACTGGGACACCTGTGCTAAAAACTAGTTGGTGACAGTGTGACACTGGCCCATGTAAAGATGATCTGACACCCTGAGAGCTCACTAGCGAGATTTCTAAAGCAACATCTTACTATGTCATATCTTTACCCTTGAGGTTCTTTATGCCAGTTTACAAGTTTAACTTGCATTCCTAAGACAATGGATTTATCTGGGAAGGTTATGTGGTCCAGCAATCATAAATATTTTTAAAAGGAAATAAGAATGGCTGGGCTGTGTTATATGATCACTGTTTAATAGGATGTTAGCTGTGCAGGTTCTTGGCTGTTGCATTGTTTTGTTGGTTATAGTAACTAAATCCGGGGAACAGGCTGCTGAGGAATAAAATTACATGGGGGATAAGAACAGAGTTGACATTGCACAGCTAGTCTTGAAAATCTCTCATGGGTATGCAGAACCAAAACATTTGGGAAAAAAAAATAGAAGGACTTACAAGAATTACAAATCGCCTGTGAGAAATGTGAGCAGAGAATACAGTCCATTGTTATAGACTCCTCTTTTGCCTTTAGCTGGCTTTTGTGTGTTACAAAAACTCAGTTGGTGGTAACGTGAATCAGTTCATTATCATGGTTTGTTTTCCCTCCCTGCCATTTTTTGAGGGGATGAGGATTATGCCTTTGAAAATTCCCATATTTCATTCCTGGCTTTTTTGGTAGCTTTGTTTATATTACAAATGTTAGAGGTATAAAAAACTGCTGCCCATGCAGAATAAAAAGATATTTGGTGCCAATCACCTTGACTCATTGTCAATCTATATTCATAGCTGAGTTGTTTGTGGGATTTCAAATTGTACTGACATTCTAAATATCTTCCTGCATTACCTTTTAAAATAACTACAGCTGTGAAGTTAAGGAAATAACAGAAGTTCTAAATTTAAAGTTGGACCTAACATCGTACTTTTAATTGTATTATCCCTTCAGGTAGGCATTATAAGAAACTACACATTTATGTGATAAAGTTGTTATCATATTCCTGGAAATTTACTTGTTTGAATTCTCTTCAGAGCCTGCATTAAAATTTTCTGCATATTTTTCAAGAGAGAAATGAAATATGTATAAAATTTGGAGTCAAGTTTTAAGCATAGTTACCAAGTAAATAATTCCACCTCTAATCAATAAATAATTCTGAAATAATATGAAGTTGAAGCCATACATGGATATAGATTACTTAACAAATCTTAAAATAATTTTTAAAGATGATTTTCCAAAAAGTTCCTTGACCTGTGACACACATATATATTTTTGCAAAGGCACACCACCAACTTGGATATCTGTCATTGGATATGTTCATTTTAGAAATTGACTTCATATGTGTAAACCTTTTGTTAGGTATGGTAAATTGCTTATATGTAATTTAAAGTTACCAATATATTATCATTTTACTAGGGAGTCTGATAAGATAAATTATTGATAGAAAGTTTTCATGTTCACCCATATCCAGTTTTTCCCTCCTTCTAGAGACATGGCTGGATTTCAATTTTCCACCTGCTTGTAATTAGGCAGGGCCATGTGACTAGTTCTGACCAAGAGGTGATGAGGGAAGGTGATGTATGTAACTTCCTGGCTGAGACAGTATAAAGCCCTTGTGTAATTTCAGCCTCTGTTCTGCTGCTGCAACCAAGATGACCACATGTTCTACAAGATGCAGCTAAAAGGTTGTGAAACGTACATCAACTCTGACTGACTATGAAGCACCAAGCCCTATCCATTCTGCTCTTGATATGTCAGTTTAACAACAAATGGCTTTGTTGTGCTTAAGTATCATGTCTTTGTGATTGTTGTTAGCACAGTAAAATGATGGAATCAGACAAATACTGTACATTTTATATATTTTCTTACTTTAGAATTTAAAGAATGTTGAGTGTCATTTCATTTTATGGTAAGACCTAATTAACATATTATTTCCATCCTGCGTGGTCCCTCTTTCACTACTAGTCACTAGTTATCAAGTAGAACACAGGCAGATAACAAAAGTACTGGGGTGACTATTCAAAGGGACTTATCATTATGGTTGCGTAGGGAAAGCAATCTTCAAGAATCCCTAAAATATATAAAATTCTCTATTCTACTTGGCTGATGCAGAATTAGATTATTCTTTAAGAGTCTTTCTAATAAGGAATTGGCTTTCCAAACTTTAGCTTAAATTTAATATTTAGGCAATATCTTATCTCATAGAAGATAATGTCAAATACTGAAAACAATTTTTACTAACACATAAAAGAAAGAATATCACCGTGCTGAGATAAGAACCCTGTCAACATGGAGAGAAGAGATAACTTTTGATGGGAGGTATCATTTAGCAAAGATCTTGAATATATTCCAGTCCTGTTCCAGATGGGCATTCCTCTGTGGAAACTGACACTCTGCAAACAAGATGTGTCATAAGAAATCAATTCTTTGCAGAAGAAAAGGGGCCTAAAAAGGAACTAAAAAAGCAAGAGATATAAGGGAAGGAGCCCATATGCATCTATTTCATATTTCATATTTTTTTGAGATTCGGGTCACTATTCATACTGACTTTGATTCTGTTCTTCTGTTTTTATCTCTAGCCTCCTAGACTACTTACCAAGCATTCTTAAGAAGCACTTATAAGTTTAATTTAGTGATGATGCTAATGAAGATTCATCATACAAGCTAATAATTACAGCCACACTTTTAAATCCCTTTTTGGAGATTTTGTTTTCCAATTCATCTCATGCTAGTCACAACTTGAAAATGACCAGATTAGGAACACGTTGAACCTAATAAAATTTGGGAATAATTTCCATTATTTCTTCAGTGGTCATGCTAACCTTCTTCCTCTAGTTGGAGAGAGGTATTAGATTTTATGAGATTGTCTTAATTTATTGAAAGTGTTTTCTTAAAAACCAAATTGCAGGCCAGGCGCGGTGGCTCACGCCTGTAATCCCAGCACTTTGGGAGGCCAAGGCGGGCGAGGAGGTCAGGAAATCGAGACCATCCTGGCTAACATGGTGAAACCCCGTCTCTACTAAAAATACAAAAAATTAGCCGGGCGCGGTGGCGGGCACCTGTAGTCCCAGCTACTCGGGAGGCTGAGGCAGGAGAATGGCGTGAACCCAGGAGGCGGAGCTTGCAGTGAGCCAAGATACCGCCACTGCACTCCTGCCTGGGCGAAAGAGCGAGACTGCGTCTCAATAACAACGCCAACAAAAAACCAAATTGCAAGTATTGGCTGTATAGTGGCCTAACCAAAAGAGGCTGTAGTTATTGAATATGTTGTCATAAAATACATTCATAAGACAGTCTGGAAAAGTACTGCTGCTATTTTTTGAAGCACACTCTTTGATCAAAAGTAAAACTTTCATTGTCTTAGTGGGGCTGTTTTTATTTTAAAAGAAATGACCTTCATACATTGCAACTATTGGTTATAGAAATGAAGCAATTAAAGTAATACTAAAGCAGCAACATTAAAATAATTAGTAACACTAAAACATGAACATTAATATAATTAGTCACAATAGTGAGAATGAGTCAAAGACTTCAGCAAAAGGCACATACCCAGTGAATATTTTATTACTTAAAGTAAACACGTAGGTTTGTTCAAATAAATAAAAGTGAATTCCTGGATATCATAGAGAGACTTGAGTATCATTTTTGGGAAACTCAGACTAAGTTATAATGCCTTTGGCTGTCTAAACATAATGAGAGGATAGCATTCGGAACTCAGTCATGCCAGAAACAAAGTGAGACAGAAAATAAAGCAATTACCAGTACTTTTATTTTCAGTTATAGCTTCAGGGTCATCTTCGGGAAATCTGTAGCGTCATGCACGAGAAGGTTGTGCAGTATTCATATGTAATCCATTCAAAAGCTCCTTGAAAGGTTCTAATTTGTTTCAAAGTCCCTGAACACTATTGTCAAACTCAACGTTATAATACAGTAGAGAAAGATGAGATTATCTCCCTTTGTATTAGCCCACTAGGGCTGCCATAACAAAATACGCAGACTGGGTGGCTTCAACAACAGAGGTTTGTTTTATCACCACTCTGGAGGTTGGAAGTCTAAGTTCAAGGGCCAGCAGGTTAGGTTTCTCCTGAGGTCATTCTCATTAGTTTGCATATAGTCGTCTTCTCTTCGGGTCCTCAAGTAGACTTCTCTCTGTGCATGCACATACCTGGTATCTCCTCTTCTTATAAGGACATCAGTTATGTTAAATTAGGGCCCACCCATATGACCTCATTTTCTATTAATTACCTCTTCAAAGTCCCTATTTCCAACTACAGTCACATTCTAAGGTACTGGGGGATTAGGGCTTCAACCTGGGAATTCTAGAAGTGGGTACAATTCAACCTGTAACCACCGCACAGATATTATGTTAGCAGCAAATATTTTCAGGTTAAGAAACCAGGGAGCAATGATTTAGGAGGCACATAAGCAATAAGTTGCTGGAGCGCGCCCATACTAGCTTGAAAGAGCTGATGGCAACATTTTCAGGAATTTTGTAAGCTGGTTGTTTAAAACAGCCAGTATTAAAAATTAAATTTATATAGTTACAATTAAATGACATATGAAAAATAAAGTTAATGCCCATCACTCCTAATTGTTTACTGTATTTTGCTATTTTCTATGCTCTTGAAGTTTCACCTTCATTGTATTTGTATGGTGGAATTACTGTGTAATGATGTGCTAGTCTGCATCTCTTTCCAACTTTGCTGACATCATGTTGGTAGCCTGAAATCAGACATTGTGAGAGTATTGCTCTAAATCAGGACTGTCTTTTTTTCCCCCAGAGATCCAATTGTTAAATATTTAGCACATCTCTGATCACAAGGAAAAATATTTATGAGAATTGAGTATTCTGAATAGAAAATAGTTAAATCTGGAAGGGGAAATCTCTCATTTTTATTGTTGTAGACATTGTACAAGGTGGGGTGGAATTGAAAGGTAACCATTAAGATTAAAAAGCACATCAAAATGTGTTCACAATATGTTACATTGAATGAGTCTAACCATAAACAGCAGAACTTAGTAGTGAACACCATGAATTTGGGATGGAAATCTTGTTCTGTCATGTATTTAACTTCATTACTTGATCTCTTTCAGCCACAATTTCCTCTTTTGGGATGTGGGAATAACACTTGCTTCCTGAAGATGTTGAGAAGAATAAATAATGCTATATATGTAAAGTGCTTAGCATATGACTGGCACATTGCACAATGCCTGAGAATTACCTCCACTTGGAAGAAGGTGACATTAGTAAAAATCCATATTTATAGGATGCATGATCTTTGACAGTCACAAAAAAGCAGGACTTGTTGAGGTATGGAAGTCATGGATAACAAAGGGAAGCTTAACCATTGAGCACAGAAATAGGTAAATTATTACCTAGTTACCCACTTATTTGTAAAACAAACAAATAAACAAAAACCATTATTTTCCTTTGGAGAGGTGTTATTCCCTTCTTGCCTATACCCTATGTATATTCTTGCAGATGTGAAAGTCTGTTTTCTTTACAGGCAGATCTAATCTGTTTCTCAAGCTTTAGGTCAGTGATAACTTGATGAATTTTATGATAGAAATATTTGGAGGCCTTAGAAATATAGCTCTTAAATCTAAGACTGTACAGCATTTCATTAAGGCCCCAACTGCTGCACTTTGAAATCCATCAGTGCATTTGTGCAGAAGACCTGCTTCCATGAGCTTCTCTCAGCCAATGGCTAAGCTAGGCAGAAATACTAAAGGGGCTCTTTCCTGGGAGACATAAAACTCAGACGCAAGACTCCTCTGATGGACTGCTTGAGCTGAGAACACCCCATCAGCCTTGCTAAATGTCTGTAGAACTTCACTGTAATCTAAGATCCATCCAGCTAACCATTATTTCTTTTTACTCTCCTTCACAAGCATCAGATCTAAATTGCCATGTAACAGCTCTTTCAGTCTCCTCTGACTCCCTCTATATTTTCTATTATAGGCATTTCCACTAATAAATATCCTACATGCCTAATTCTGTCTTGGTGTCTACTTCTCAGATGACCGAGACTAATGGTACCAAGAGTGATCCAGGAAAACAGCTGTAAGAGTGAGATTTGGGACTGGCTTATCTACTGCCCAGCAGGTAAAAAGGACACCTTCCTAGTTGGTAGGTGGGACATGAGGAGTTCCTGGAACACAGTGACAGCTTAACCACCAAAAACCCTTGGAGAAATGTCTTCATGGAGGAGAATGATATAGCAACTAAAATAATGAGAAAATTCAAAACATATGAGGAGAGGGAAGCCCACAAAGACAGGTGGTTACTGGTTACTGAGAAGTTACACTGATGACATGAAGAAGGAAAATGAGAGACTGAAGGCCTTAAAAAAGCAGTTGATGGCTACGTGTAGAACAAAAAGGCCTTAATAAAAGTCTCTTATCATCTACAGTGAAAGATGAAGCCCAGCTGAGTGGCAGGCTGAGGATCTAATTCATAGAGTCACAGAACTCCAGAGAACTTTAAGTGCTTAGCTAAGGCGATTCCATTATAGGAAGATAAGAGTCCTGGTGGGAAAAACATGGGGCCTAAAATATGAGATGATGTTATCTGGCCGAATGCCTCTGTGGAGCCTGGCTCTGCAGCTCCTCTGAATCCTCTAGGCTTGCAGATGTGGCCCACTCTTTCCTAGCAAGAACTAGCACTCTGGTTTCAGAATATACAGAAGAGGTCACCCCACTGTGAGGCAACAGGTATCTGCTTCAGAAGCTGACCCCACATCCTGTCCTGGCTACCAGGCAAAAAAACTAGTTATATCCCAATATGACATGGATGGAGGAGGTATTATGCCTGATACAGGAAGAAAGAGATGACACTTCAAATGATTGCAAGAAATTAGCTGGTATGGGCTGGGTGCAGTGACTCACACCTGTACTCCCAGCATTTTGGGAGGCTGAGGCGGGTGGATCACCTGAGGTCAGAAGTTTGGGACCAGCCTGGCCAACATGGTGAAACCCCATTTCTATTAAAAATACAAAAATTAGCTGGGTATGGTGGTGCATGCCTGTGATCCCAGCTACTCTGGAGGTTGAGGCAGGAGAATTGCTTGAACCTGGGAGGCGGAGGTTGCAGTGAGCTGAGATCACGCCATTGCACTCCAGCCTGGGTGACAGCACAAGACTCCATATCCCCCCACCCCCACAAAAAAAAAGAAAAGAAAAGAAAAACAAAACAGAAATGAGCTAGTATGTACCAGCAGGAATCAGGAGAATATCTCTGTTCTTGACTTCTTGAGAGAGTGCTTGGTAAGACTGGTTAAGCAAGAATTCAATGACTTGGGGTCACTTTCTCAAGACACAGGATTTAGCACCCTGGTAAGGACTTCAGAGGATAATTTTTATGCTGAGATGACTCTTAAAAGTTTGGATGAAGTGATTGTCACAATTCAGCAGTAGAAGTGCCTGAGTTGCGTTCGCAGACAGCAGAGGAAGTAATAAGGAGGCTGAAGGAAATGTGTATGTTGGAATGGATATGCTATATGAAGCCAGAATATCCTACAGATAATTGTGTTCAACGGGACAAACAAGAGAGACACATCATTCACCAAAAGCATCAGGAATATGCTTGTAAGAAGGACACCAGCATCATTAAGTTCAGTAATGACTCTTCTCTGCAAGCCAGGACTGATGGTAGGACAGGCATTCACAAAGCTGAGTGATTAATATCCATGGAGATGCAGCCATGAAGTAACAGAGTCCAGGTGGGGGTAACCCAGCTGCCAGAATCCAGGAGGCAGCAATGACCATAATGACCATTAATGTGGGATGAACAAGAAGATTTGGCCCAAAGGGAGTTGTGAATATGGTTAATAGAATATTGGTATCTATGTATAAAATAAATGGACAGTTCCCATGGATGCTGCTTAACGTTGATAACCCAAAAAAGGGCAAGAATGGAAGAGCACGATGCTGAGGATGACTCCTCCAATAAAATATCAAGATCCCTTGCTTGCTGCTAGTCTTGAGCAAGCTATTAGATCTGGAATCCATTACTTGAAAAAGTTTCTGCATCCCTAGGAGATAGGGTCTTGATTTAGTCAACCTGCCTACAAGTAGCTGGTTGGTCTGCTGAAGAAAATGTTCTATATCAGAAGCTCTGTGTATGGCTCTGCTGCTGAATATCTGAACATTTAGATGCAGTAGTACCTGGCTGGGTCTTGGGGCAAGTAAAAACCCTATCAGCCACTGTGTATGTGACTTCCATGCCTGTTCTGGAGTGGCCAATAATGGAAGTGGTTAAAGTTAACTGTCAAGCTACCTGTATATTTCTTTCATGATGGATGAACATGTGAGACAAATATCTTCATGCTTCCCATCTACTTTCACATGTACATGACTTGACTCTACCTGAGACTTCCTTGTGTCTCATCTTCTAGGACTTTTCCTTCCAGGTTCCTGTTCAGATGGACAGGCCACTAGCCTGAACAATGATTCAAGAGTCTCTATATATTCTCACTTCAGGCCACTTCAACACAAAGTAAATAACAAGGTACTTAGCTTTCAGCTCCTTCCATTAGGAAGTTTTTCCTCTCTATTATCTTTCATGGCCACATCTGAAGGGGGTATAATTTAGCTGGCATCCATTTATGACTTGTGCCCATGTACCAGACTAGCCCATCATAAACCAAGCCTAGGCTCACTTTTTAAAATATTTCATGGTCATATAAGTCTTATAAATGTTTGCTCTTCCATTTCCTCCAAGAATTAGATTCTGAGATGGATTACATGTACAAGGATGATATTACACAGAAATGGCCCAAGTAGGATAAAATGGGAGGGAGCCAGAGAAGTATGGAAGAACCATCAGACAGAGATGCAAGATTGACCCCGGGTGAAAAAGAGACGGAGAGAAGGTTGGGTAAAAGGATTTTAGACTTCAGTGCAGTCTAAGGAAGATTTGACAAGTCCCTTGAGGGATCCTCAAGCCAAAGCTGTCCATCAGCAGTACCGTGTTGTCCAAGAAGGAGTGCTACAGCATTCCTGTTATACTCAGTCGCTGGCCAGGAACAGTCTGTGAAAACCGTGGCTTCTGTTCTAACACAGTTATGGATTTGAGAGCCAGGCTCTGATGTCCTTGCTCAGTTACGCTCCCCATAGTTGGAGGTCTAGGCACATGCTCTTGACCACCAAACCTGGTACAAACATCTTTAGTTTAAGGCTTACTAAAAATGTAAGTAAGTCTTTGTTTTAGGACTCCTCAGAACCTTCAACATGCTATTAATAATTAGGAGTTTTCAAGAGGGATTGTCACATTTTCCCAAATTTATTGGACTTCATATTTCTTTAGAGATTTCCTGTGATTTAAACTTTTGAGAAATATTGCTATAGAGTGGTCTTAAAGATGAGATAATATGTTCTCTTTGACAAATAATAAAAAATAGTATCAAGATGCTTATGAAGACCAGAATTAGAAGTCAGTAACCAAAATGAATAAGAACATGAAAATAAGCCTTTGAACCCAAATGAATTATTCTCCAAAGAATTAAACCAAACCAAACCTACATACAAACAA
This sequence comes from Homo sapiens, assembly GCF_000001405.40. Classification (NCBI taxonomy): domain Eukaryota; kingdom Metazoa; phylum Chordata; class Mammalia; order Primates; family Hominidae; genus Homo; species Homo sapiens. The sequence continues at coordinate 39,809,420 of NC_000005.10, forward strand.
ACAAAATGGATCTGTTTTAAACTACTATTATTAAAACTCCATACCAGGATTTAGTTAATTAAACATTTTCAAACAAGTGAACAATGTATTAATGTGGGAAAAATTAAATGGTCTTATTGTAAAATATTTTTAAAAGATCATAGCCTGATTATTTTAACTTACATATTATTAAATAAAACATTCTTTTCTTTAGCTTTATTGTTAAAATTATTTTAATAATTATTTATATGTAAATTCATATAACTAACACACCTTTATCTTATTTATCTTAAATATATTTTCTAAAATCTTCTGTATGCTCATCAATTCTATAATTGTCTTTTTTCTCAATAGAGAGTATAAATGATTCTTTTCATTCAGCTTCTGTTTATATTTTAACTATTTGTAAATTTGTATAGAATATGTAAGCCTTTAAACATTCTTTGAGGGACAAAATGAATGAAATGTCATATGGAAATGATTTTATAAAGTATTTTTTATATGCAGGGCTGTTTCTTCATTTTGTCTATATCTATATAACTTAGCACTTGGCAAAAGACTAAACACCAAATTCACTACAAATTAGATTGACAAACAACTTCTGAAGGTTCTTTATTGGAATTTGTAATGTCTCTGTTTTAATGTGTATATGGCCTCTAGGATTCCCAAAAAGTTAAAAGCACATACAATTTGGTTAAATTAAACAATACCCGGTACAAATAAGTTTATTGCTTAATTGTTTTCTCCAAAATTTTATTTTGTTTTTTATGCACTGTTAACTATTGGGTTTATTGACAACAACAAAATGACTAAACTTTCTGTTGAAATTAAAGCAAATGTTGGCACCAGCAATGAGAACGGTGATAAGTGATGACATACTCACCTCTCACAAAATAGAGCTCTTTACAGGAGCACATAGGGAACTCAGACTTGCCTGTCAGTTCATACACATTGCTGAGTTAGTCAATAACACTATATTGTGTTATCTTATCTTAAGTAGAAAATAAAACCCAGGACAGAACTAATTACCACATACATTTTCCAGCATTAAAGTTAAAGTTAAAGCAGACTGTACTCATGGAAAAAGCACGGAGCTAGGTGAAGTTAGAAAATTTGTATGTAAGTTCAGGCTACAGTGCCTATAAGCTAGAATGACTATCAAGTTCAATTTAAAGCAGCTAAAGTCACAGTTGATGATTTTCACATGATGAAATATTTCTTAACTATGAAATTTATATATAACTGATTGGAAGGGTTGAAAATAATCAAGTCACTCTGCATGTAGATAGAAATTACCTAGTATTTCTGCATCTCTTTTATCTATAATAAAAGAATAGCATCTTCTTGGTTCATTGTAGTCACTCTCATTTTTCTGGACTATATTTCTCTTTGTACCTTTATATAATTGTGGGGAACTCAAGAATACCTGTGTAGAACAAGATTGTGTAACTGTATTAACTACTTAGCTAGCATCTTTTAATCCTTAGTGATTTTTTTATTGTTGATTACCAGATATGAAGCTGTGGACTCAGGGGTATTTTTAGGATATTTAATTTTTTTTATTAGCATATATTGAGCTCTATGCATTTTTGCCTGCAGTTCTATGATCTTTGACAAATGAGTAGTCTATAACCACAAGAGTCATTCCCTCTACTTCCCTCTGGTAGTCAAAATCTGTCCCCCATCTTTCTACCTTGGCTACTATTGATTTTTTTCTCTGCTCCTATAGTTTTGCTTTTTCCAGAATGTCATATAAATGAAAGAATACTACACAGAGCCATTTGAATTTGGCTCCTTTCACTTAGTACAAGGCATTTGGATTTTTTCCAGTATTCAGCAATTACTTAAAAACTGCTATAAGCATTCATGTACAGGTTTTCTGTGAACATAAATTTTCACTTATTTTGGGTAAGAACCGAGGGTTGGGATTAAGGGGGTCATAAGGTAAGTGTTTGATTAACTTTATAAGAGACTACCAAATTGTTTTATGAAGTGGCCAAATGATTTTGCATTCCTACCAGTACTGCAGGAGAACTCCAGTTGCTCCAAACTGGAGCAAAGTTTGGTGTTACCAGTTTTTTAAAAATTTATTTTAGCTACTCAAGTAGGTATATAGCTGTATTTCATTCTGTTTTTATTTTGCATTTCCCTTATGACTAATATTGTTGGGCATCTTTCCATGTACTTATTAATTATTCATGTATCTTGTTTGCTGAAGTATATACTTAAATGTTTTGCCCATTTCTTTATTAGGTTGGGATTTTTTTTTTTTTTTTTTGCTGAGTTTAAAAAATTCTTTACATTTTCTAGATACAAGTCTTTTGTTCACATATGTAATTTGCATAAATATTTTCTTTCAGTCTGTGGCTGGTCTTTTTTTCTTCTCTTAACAGTATCTTTCACAGATTAAAAGTTTTTAACTTTATTACTCAATTATCAAAATTAATTTTATGGATTATACTTTGAAGTGATATGTAAGAACTCTTTGCTGAGAAAAGACAAATGTTTTCTCTTAGTTTTTTCTAAAATTTTTTATAATTTTAGCTTTTGCATTTAGTCTACAATCCAGTTTGATTTAATTTTGTACAGTTGAGCATCCCTAATCTGAAAGTCCAAAATCTAAAAGTCTCCCAACTTTGAAACTTTCCGAACAATATGTCACAAGTAGAATATTCCACATCTGACTTCATGTAACAGGTCACAGTCAAAACTTTGTTTCATGCACAAAATTTTTAAAAATACAATATAAAATTATCATCAGGCAATGTGTATAAGATGTATATGAAACATAAATAAATTTTGTGTTTAAACTTGGGTTCTGTCCTCAAGAACCCAAGCTGTCTCATTGCATATATGTGGATATTCCAAAATCCAAAAACATCCCAAATCTGAAACATTTCTTGTCCCAAGCATTTGGAGTAAGGGATATTCAATCTGTGTAAAGTGTGTGAGTTAACATTAACTTTCTTTCCTTCACTCTCTCCTTTCTTTCTAACTGCTCTCTCTTTCATTTGTATGTTCAATTGTTTCAGCACCATTCGTTGAAAAGACTATCTTTTCTCTGTTGAATTGCATTTGTACCTGTCCCAAAAATAATTGACTAGATTTTTTTCCAGTATTGACCAATAACTAAAAAAAAACTGCTACAAGCATTCATGTACAGGTTTCCTGTCAACATAAATTTTCATTTATTTTGTATAAGTACCTAGGAGTGGGATTAAAGGGTCGTAAGATAAGTATAGGATTAACTTTATAAGAAACTATTGAATTGTTTTCCAAAGTGGCCAACTCATTTTTCATTCCTACTACCAATGCAGGAGAGCTCCAGTTGCTCTGCATTCTCACCAAAACTTGGTATTATCAGGGCTTTTAAAAAGTTATTTTAGCCATTCAAATAGATGTATATTTGTTTCTCATTCTGTTTTTATTTTGTATTTCTCTTACGACTAATATTGTTGGGCATCTTTTGATGTGCTTATTAGTTATTTGAGTATCTTTTTGCTGAAGTGTCTACTTAAATGTTTTGTGCACTCCTTTATTAGGTTGTTTTCTGTGTGTTATTGCCAAGTGGGAATATTTCTGGATTCTATATTCTAGTCCATTATTCTGTGTCTATCTTTTCACATCACTTTGAAGTGAGATAAAAATTATCAGACTGTCTTGATGACTGTAGCTTTCTAGTAAGTCTTGAAATCAGGTAGTGTGAGCCTTCTAATTTTCTTTTGCAAAATTGCACTGATGACTTTAATTCCTTTGCTCTTCCTTGTAAATTTCACAGTCAAACTTTTTGATACCAAGAAAAAATCTGCTGGGGCTTTTTCTGACACTGCATTAAATTTATAGATTAATTTGAGAAGAATTAACATCTTAACAATATCAAGTCTTTCAATATATGAACGCAGTACATTTATACATTTATTCAAGTCTTCTCTTCTATAAATCAGTATTTTTTAGCTTTTATCATACAGATACTGTACCCTGTTTTTTAAGATTTATTCCTAAGTATTTGATTTTTGGCAAATTATAAAGAGAATTTTATTTAATTTCAATGCTTAACCGTTCATTGCTAATGTATAGAAATGCAATTCAGCTTTGTATATTGATTTGTACTTTTTGAACTACTAAATTCACTATTAGTTGTAGGAGCTTATAGATTTCATAGAAATTTATGTGTAGCTAATCATATTGTCTATGAATAACGGTGTTCCTATTTATTTCTTTCAAGTTAGTATGGCTCTTATTTACTTTCACTGACTAGGACCTCTACTCTAATGTCTTTATATGATTATAATCCAGCAAGGAAGGAGAGTCCATATAGCAAAAGTAAAGACAGTTGCTGGAGGAAATAAAACCATTTCATGTTGGTAACTTCAATGGATTGAAACTATTTAACTAATTATACTATATTAAGGCAGTTGAACTTTGTTTGTTGGACAATGGGAAGCCATATACTAAGAAAATCTCTCTCAGAAAAAGCTGACATGATCTACAGTTAGCATACAGTCTGGTACTGACTTTACACCCAGAAATAAGCTACAGAAAAGGATGAGTGTAAGAGATTCCTCCCACCCCCACCATGGCCGGGCGCGGTGGCTCATGCCTGTTAATCCCAGCACTTTGGGAGGCTGAGGCGGGCGAATCACTAGGTCAGGAGTTCGAGGCCAGTCTAGCCAACATGGTGAAACCCTGTCTCTACTAAAAATACAAAATATTAGCTGGGCGTAGTGTTAGGCACCTGTAATCCCAGCTACTTGGGAGGCTGAAGCAGAAGAATCGCTTGAATGAGGGAGGTGGAGGTTGCAGTGAGCCAAGATCGCACCACTGCACTCCAGCCCAGGTGACAGAGAAAAAAAAAAAAAGAGATGCCGCCTCCCCCCACCACCCCACATCCAACCTCTTTCCTAGGGAGGTATTAATCCAAGAAGGTATAGTGAAACTCCAGGTCTTTTCTGAGTTAGCAGCTGTAAATGAAGGAATTCTAATCTAGGATATCGGGGTGACAACAAAGCTACTCGGGGGAAAGTAGCTGAATATTTAATACATGGATAATAAATAATTCTTTCATGAGTTGGATTGAGAGCAGAAATCTATGAGGTTCATTGTAAAATGAATAAAGTTTAACTTGTCTTGAGTTCCAGAGGTAAGGATGGCTAACTACAGATATTTTGGGAGGTAGAAGAGGAAAGAGGGAAGAAGTGAGGTTTGTTCCTGATAGCCTCTCACTTGCTGAATTCACTGGAGGCGAATGGAGCAACTGAGGTTGATAGAATATTGACAGTGTGGAATATTTCTTGGCATGGGGAAAAAGAACAAGGATTGACTATGGATAAATCAAACACTAGAAAGTGTTTTAAAATCTAAAAATGTTTGGAAATCAAACATTTTTAATTTCAAAAATTATCAGAGGTACAGAGAAAAGCAGAGCAAAATGGGAAGTAAGAGTCCAGGTAAGCAGCCAGAGGATCTTCAGGAATTGAAGATTTGCAGGAAACACATAGGAATCCTGGAATCAAGTACAATTCATTCCACAATGCTCAAACCTAGAATATATTTCTTCTGTTAAGATATGACCCAATCCAATGATTAGTGACAGAAAGATGTAGCAGCTAGTGATTACCAATATTGATACATTTATGTATGTGGATGAAAGAGTAGGGACTGTGTTTTGTACACAGAGGTGTGCAACATTCAAATCTTGGTCTTGCCATTTATTAGCACCATGGCTTAGATCTTATTACTTAAACTTCTTCATTCAATGCTTTATTTTCTGTAAAACTGAAATAGTAATACCCATCTCAAAGAGTCCATGCAATAATTAGGGGAACTAACATAAACAAGATAGTTTTTTGATAAATATTACTTATTTTCATTGTCTCAAAATATTAAAATATTTGAAGTACTAGCCACTGATAGTTTCAGAATTTCTATTTGGAGTTCGTGTGGATACCAATCTAGATGGAAGGCTGGGGGCTAGGAAACTTCTCTTGGGGTTGTGTTTTTATAGCAAGCGTAGTGTTTTTACATAGGTGTTGTATTTATTTGGGGTGTCTTTCATTGGTCACATGGCTAGAGATAGCAGGAAGGGCTAAAGCATCCTTCATTTTGCAAGCTTTCTTTTGGCACTGCTGTTGGCCCTAAAGTTTGCTGCTTGGTGAAATAGACCACATCTCACTATTTTTATAGACCCCAGTTGGTAGTAAATGTGTGTACCAGCTAAAAAGGTCACGGTGCAAAAATAGTTAGTTATACTGCTTGCTTGCTGAGGGACTAAGCTGGTGACATCTATTAAATCATTCTGAAGACAAAGATTTCAAGAAGAAGACAAAGGTTCAGAAGTGCTGCTTATTAAATCTCTGAGATCATGGTTTTGTGTCTCACGGGTGTTCATAAGCCTCAATGACTGCAGCTAATAGGCCTGAGTTTTACCAACAGGCTTTTCTGGGAGGCACACAGAAGAATGATTGAGCAACTTCTGATGGTAGGATTCTGACTGTTTTTAAGAGCAATACTTGGGCCGTTGTAAACATGCTCATGAAGTAAGAAAGTCTTCTCTGAAAGCAAATCAAAGGCTCTAAGGAGAGGGTCAAAGTTTAACTTTGAAGTGAGATAAAAACTATCCTCTAAAACCTATGTGTAGAGTTTGACTGAGTCAGACTATCAGAAAACTCTGAGGATCAGAGAATAATCCACTGATCCTGCCCTGGAAAGAAAACACAAATCATAACAATACAGTATCTGGATATTATCACTTATCTGCAAGGTTAACTTTTTAATATGGATTGTCTACTATTAAAGAAAAGGAAATGCATCCACGTACACTCATGCAAATTAAGGCCTTATAGCCTTATAATAAGGGCACCACAGGATGAGTGATCAGGAACTACAAGTTTTGTGTTCAGCATTTAGTTGCCTATAGCAACCAAAAAGAAATACTCAATGTTTCAGGGATTTTGGTCTACTTTTACTGCTGCCCGGCAGCAAATTGGCCAATTCTGAAGTTTTCATAAATTGATTATAGAAGCTTTTGGACTTTTCTTCAATGCCCCGTTTTGTTCTTCTCTACCTTTCTGCTATGAAAAGTCTTATTTATGCTGCTACCTATTTTCTTCAGTTTTCCCAAGCAAGATTAAAAAATCCTCAAAATGAACATAAGTATTAAGTGGTTGTAATTCTGACATTTGTTGCCATGATGTTTGCCAGACTGTTTGGACTTAGGTAACAGGCTAAGCAGATGTCTACTTTCTCTCTCACTATTTCATGACTCTAGCCTGAAAGTTTGCTTACAAGGATGAGTGACCCCAGATAAAGGGGTGCAATTAGCTGTATACAATGAACTCTAAAGGAATGCTCAAAATAAAATTAGTTTTAATGAATTGGAAATAAACATAAGCCTGACGGCACTTTTTGAAGGGTGGAAAAATATGAAAAACGAAGGGGGAGGTGGCTACATGATTTACTCAAAGTGAAATTCTCTGCTTTAGAGTCTAAATTGCATGCCCTTTCAGAGGTACAAAAGGCGCATATATATTATCATTGTTTAATCATTCTACTTCCTTTATTTAATGTCATCAATATTTCTCCATTGTCTGTGCAAACTACTTAGATGGGGTTTTAGGGACATTCAGGCTTTAGTACCATTCTATGTATCCAGGCTTTTCTTTTCAGTCTCCCTAAACAAGCTGTACCGGCCGGGGAAAATAACTCTGACTTGTCAGCAGAAAACACACAGTCCTGCCTCTACTCATTTTCTCATGCTGATTCCTCTGCCTAGAACATTCCTTCCTCAACATCTTTGTTTTGGACCTTATGTGGCCTTCATAATTCACAAAATGTGTCAGAGGTTTATCCTTGATATCCCCAAAACTTTTTCAAATTGAATAATCTATGTATTTTCCATAATCTGCTATTCAGATAATGTGAATCTAAGGCTCTGAAACATAGAGGGTAGCTTTCTTGGGGTTACAGAATCCTGGAGCCACAGCAACCTGAGACTACAACATCCTGGGAGTACAGCCTCCTTGAGGTATATATAGTATCCAAAGGGCAGTGCATTCTGGACGTCTAACATCCTGGAGGTACAGCAATTTCCAAAGATAAAATTCAGAGATTGTAATATCACGGGGACACTCTCAGATTCCTGGGAGTACAGCATCCTGCTGGTACAGTGTCCCAGGTGTATAATCTAGCCATAGAATTGGGATAGGACTTGCTCATGAGTTCAAGAAAATAGAGCTGAGAAAACAGGTAGTAAAAGGAAGCATCCGGAAGAAACCCCAGAACCAAAGGTAAGGTAAATTCTGGGCTGTAAATGTGAAAGAAATAAATAGAGGGAGACAAACCTTATAAAGCAATGTATTAACAAATAGGAAATCTAAACAAGAATGTTAGAATCAGAGCTTGGAAAAACTCTGCACTTTAAAGCAGAGTTTTTCACTTTGAATGACTCATGTAGCCATCTTTCCCCTTAGAAGGATGGGTGAAGCTGCAGATGCTTTCTCTAGAGTCATTCTATTATTGTCTGCATTTACTTTCACTGTTAGTATAAACTTCAATCCATGGTTTCCAATTGAGGTAGGAGGCAGGCGGGACTTGACTCTGGACCAAATTGAAGACTGGCAGAAACTGGGAAGAGGCCCCTCGAAAGCACCTTTCCAGAAGACACACACACTAGCACCGTAACAGTTTATCATTGTTATGGCAACACTCAGAAGTTACCCCCAGTTTTCTAGCTAATTCTGAATACCCTGCCTCTTAATTAGCATTAAACGTGGGTATAAATATGACTGTAAAACTGCCTCTATGTCGCTACTCTCAGCACCCTGCCTATGGTGTAGCACTGCTCTGTAAGAGCAGTCACAGAGCTGTAACACTGCCATTGCCTCAATAAAGCCATTTTCTTCTACCCTTGGCTCACTTTTGAATTTCTTCCTGGGTGAAGCCAAGAACTTGCCCTGCATCACAGTTAATTCATTTTTATCCTTCTCATGTTTAATTTACTTGAAATTAGACAACGTAATCCACAAAGCTATGTGGTTATAGGCAAACAGCATGAAGTCACAATGTCCTGAATTCAAAAGAGAGAAGGAAAGCACTATTGTCAGAAAGAACGCTTATCTATTCCTGAATCACAAATTATCTTAAAACCTAGTGTCCTCAGACAACAACCGTGGTATGATGTCTTAATGTTTTTATGAATCAGGAGAATACCAAAGCAGGCTTGGCTGGGCAATTCTTCTGCTTCATGTGGTGTTGACTGAGGTCACTCTATGGTACTCAGCTGGTGGACAGAGTCATCTGTGCAGTCCAAGATAAATCTATTTACATGTTTGTTTCCTTATCTGGAATGATTGGAAGACTTGGGTCAGGTGGGAATGTCCAGAGCACCTGCATGTGTTTCCTCCGTTAGTAGTGGTCTCAGGATAGTGGGATTTCTTACATGGAGCCTCCGGCCTCCCTGAGGGATGTACCAAGAGCCACGAAGTGGAAGCTGCCAGTCTCTTAAAGCTTGGACCCAGAGACTGGACAAGTGTCATTTATGTTATATATTACCAGTCAAATAAGTTACAGAGCCCCCCAAACTCATGAGAGGAGTATCAGATAACTAGCGTGCATCCTTAAATCACTAGAATTGTTAATCCCAGGCCTTCAGAATACCCTCTGAAGATATTTGATGTATATATTGGGTGAGAATGCCATTGTAGTTCACATATTACCAATTAATAAAGGTTGAATTATTTTTTTCTTTAAAGGATTAACGGAAATAGAAATCATAATATATTGTTCCCATACACCAGCGGATCGTTGTATGCACAGCCTGTTGGAAGCAATGCCAGAGAAGTATATTTTGCTTAAATATTGACTATCACAATATTATTACATTTTACACTAATATACTTACTCCCTTCAACTTGAATTTCACAGTGCTTTCCTACACCCTGAAATGCTTCCTTCTTTTCTCCGTGTTCTCTCCTTCTCCCCGAACTAGTATGTGCTTTATGTAAATCTGAGGAACAGCAAAATTTTACTGAACAGAAAAATGTCCATGTTCCTTTTTATTGTGTGTCCATAAAATAATGGGAACTATTTTTCTGATTTACCCTTCATACTGTCTCATCTATAGACATCACTACCCTCCCCAGTCCCCATAATAAGAATAGCTGAATAGCTGAATAATTGGCAGTGAGAAATTCCAAGCATTAAAGCACTAAGTCAAACAAATTTGGAAAGTACCAAGACTAAGCTTTTCACTCAAGTTACATCATAAAAATTGTTGCCAATCCATTTATTCAGGTACTGTACAAATATTTAAATATTTATTGTGTTTATAAGTTTTCTGCCCAGAGCTGGGTAGGGAAAACACAAAAGAAAGTAAAACATGCTCACTGTGTTCTAAAAGCCAGTATTTCTGGGCTAGGCATGGTGGCTCACGCCTGTAACGTCAGCACTCTGGGAGGCTGAGGCGGGCAGATCACCTGAGGTCAGGAGTTCAAGACCAGCCTGGCCAACAGGGTGAAACCCTGTCTCTATTAAAAATACAAAATTAGCTGTGCATGGTGGTGCATGCCTGTAATTGCAGCTACTTGGGAAGCTGAGGCAGGAGAACTGCTTGAATCTGGGAGGCAAAGGTTGCAGTGAGCTGAGATCACACCACTGCACTCCATCCTGGGTTCTTAGATAATGTCTGTATTAGTCCATTTTCATGCTGCTATAAAAAGCTGCCTGAGACTGGGTAATTTATAAAGGAAAGAGGTTTAATTAACTCACAGTTCCACATGGCTGGGGTGGCCTCAGGAAACTTACAATCATAGCAGAAAGGGAAGCAGGCACGTCTTACATGGCGGCAGGCAAGAGAGGGTGCTTGTGAGAGTGCAAGAGAAACTACCATTTATAAAACCATCAGCTCTCATGAGAATTCACTGACTATCACGAGAACAGCAAAGGGGAAACTGCCCCCATAATCCCATTACTTCTCTCCCTCAACAAGTGGGGATTACAATTTGAGTATGGACACAGAGTCAAACCACATCAATGTCTAATTATATATTGAGGCAGTAAGTTTAAAGTTTGCATAACCCATACTTGAAAATGCTATGGGGTCAAAGATGGTACTCTAGCAAATTTTTCTCAGGTTAAGAAACTATCACAGGCTTTAGCATAGAATATCTCCACAGGTAAGCTTCAATAAGATGAGAGCCTTATCTATTGATTTCTTGCATCACAAGTAATATGAGTAGTAATATTACACAGGTCATAAAGAGAAATTACTTAAGGGGCAGTTAACCAGATTAATAGTTATGTACTTTTTAATAGTGACACCTGTAGTTTACCATTTTTGCCACATCCCTTCAAATCTCTCTGGAAGTAGCTACTTACTCTGACAGCAGCTCTCATTTATCTATCTGTAATTTGCAATTTTTTATAGCTTACTTTATTGGACCAACGACTCCTGTTTATGTTAGTAATAAGGAGGAGCTCTGGATAATTTTCCTTGATTTGAGTATATATAATCATGCTCTGTTTATTGACAATTTTATACTTGTTCTAAGTGAGTCTCTCTTCTTTCATTTATCAGGTTTTACAGAACTGTTCACTTTAAAATATGTCTTATCTGTTAGTCCACCACAAAATTATGAAGTTCTTCAGTGTATACTTGGTATCTTACTTATCTTTAAATTCCAAGAAATTATAAGTTCCTAGTCCATAAAAGATACTCAATTTATTTTAGATTAGCAATTAAATGAATTAACAAAATAATTTGATATCCTTGAACTCAAAGTAAATGCAAATTGAAAGTAATAGTAATTCATTAATGCTGCATTGAAAGTAATACTCATTTTTATTTTAGTTGATTTACTTCTTAACTGCTTTCAGACACTGAACCTCGTTAATCAATAACAACCCATTACAAGGAAGTTTTTGAGTGTTGAGAGAAAAGAGGAAAGTTTGCATCGGTGAAAAAATGGTATATCATCTTTTGCATGTTATGGTTATGAGTGGCTTAATAAAGGAGAGAACTATTTTCAGAAGTACAATATCTCACTCATCTCACTAATAACACTTGCTGATTTTCTTTCTGCTGCATCTGGCACCAAGATGATGCTAATGGCATACCAGCAAAGTTGGGTATTTTGTTGTTTTTGTAAATGCCAGGTTTTTGTTGTTTTTGTAAATAGCAGTAACAATAGATTCAAACCGATTCATCTATAAGCTCTCCCTTAGTACTACTGTTTGTGACTAGGGAAGATGGATCTGAGATTTTGCCCATAGATAAAGCAACTCTAAGTTTTCAGAATAAGAATAGCATTTAAGCAGCGACTTCACTGTTATTTTGTTCTAAGAAACCTAGGTAATGATTTTGAGAATGTATCAACTGTCTTTAAAAGTGATGCTCAAAAGACTGTAGTTAGAAGAAAATACACAAATGCATGATAAATTGGAGTACACATAGGTGGTAAAGTTCTAAAAAATGCCTCAAGAAACAGAAAAGACATGACCTATTAGGAAAATATTTGTAATACACATAGAGAAATGGGTGAATTGTTTGGAGTCACAGTTTATATAAAACCAGCAAGAAAACAAGTACCAATCCAATGGAAATATGGATAAGGGAGATAAATAAATAAGTCGCAAAAATAAAAATGGGCAAATAAATGGTGAATTTCACTTAACATTATAGAAATACAAATGAGAAAAGTGATTCTAATCCATAAATGCATTGCCAAAAATAATACATTTAGTATTATTTATTACTGGAAAAACTGTGGAATAGCAGGGCTCTCATACTTTGTTGGTAAGATAATATATTGGTGTCATATATTTGGAGAGTAATTTGATATTTAACAAGGCCAAAAATCCACAGATTTTTGACATACTGTAATGAATCACTTTATAGTTATTCTTACAAAAGAACCCTAGGATAAAATGAACCTTATTTTAGCATTGTTAAAATCCTTATTTTAGCATTTTTAATTATTGAAAAAATTAATTAATTGTGCATTTCAAAATAGCAAGAAGAGAATAATTAGAATGTTCCTAGCGTGAGGATAAATATTTAAGGTGGTGTATGTTCCAATTACTGTGATTTGATTATACGAATGTATCAAATTATCACATGTACCCTGAAAATATGTATACCTAATATGCATCAATAAAAATAAGTAATTTTTAAAATGTAAGGAGGCACCAAAAAAACTCAATAATCCAGATGGATAATTTTTTGACATCAAAATTAAGGGCCGGGCGCCATGGCTCACTCCTGTAATCCTAGCACTTTGGGTGGCCGAGGCGGGCGGATCACGAGGTCAGGAGATCGAGACCATCCTGGCTAACGTGGTGAAACCCGTCTCTACTAAAAAAAAAAAAAAAAAAAAATTAGCCGGACGTGGTGCCGGGCACCTGTAGTCCCAGCTAGTCAGGAGGCTGAGACAGGAGAATGGTGTGAACCCTTGAGGCGGAGCTTGCAGTGAGCCAAGATCATGTCACTGCACTCCAGCCTAGGCAACAGAGCAAGACTCCGTCTCAAAAAATAAATAAATAAAAATAAAATAAAAATAAAATTAAGGCAAAGAATCCATAAGGAACAAAATATCAAAATTTTAAATAATGTCAAGTTCAGTAACAGTGCCATACTGAGCCTGAGGCGGAAGGAAAAAAATCAGTAATAGTAATCCTGTCTCTAATAAATTTTAATATTTACACTTAGGCTCAAGGTGAGTGACTCACTCACGTTGCCCTAGTCCTGGCCCTGGCCCTGGCCTACCTCCACTTGATATGTTTTGCTGTACAACAGGCTGTTTGCCGTCCTGAAATTATCATTAGAATGTCTTCTTGCCCAACATTTAAAATGTGCTTAGGGTAATAAGAGCATAAACCACAAGCACAGCCAATTTCAGGCAAAAAGACAAACACTGGTCACCCATAGTCATGAGTTGTTTAAAGGGCCTCCACCAAGCATTCAAAATGGGGTGTGTTCATACAGTATTCTTATTACATGTGCCTTCAACATGAAACTAGACCCATCTTATCTAAATCGACACACAGAAAACAACCCTGATTAATGTTATCATTTTCAATATGTACTGTACTTCTCATAGGAGCTAACAGCATTTGAGAAAAATCTGCATGCAAGGATAAACTATATAATAAATGGGTTTTGATTAGAGTAAAATACATGGAAGAACTTTTGGGGACAAGGGAAAGTACAGTAGTTCTGAATATTCTAGTTAACTATTTTGGGAGAAACATGCCAAATAAATTATTCAAGATTCTCACTCACTCTTAAAAAACAAACAAACAAACAAACAAACAACAAAAAAATGATGACTATGGGCCTCCTTATCACCAAATCTAATATTACTTACTCTGGCCTCATTTTTTTAAATGGTCTGAAATGTTTGCTAATATTAATTACATTTTACTTTCTTCTGATTGGACCTCTACCCTCTTTGCCTCTTCTGATTTGATTCACAAAATTTAAAAACTCCATTTGGTTTTCCTCCATCTTTATAGTTTCTCCACTGGGTTCTTTCTTCTTCCTTTTGTACACCCATCTACATGTTTGTTTGTCCCTTTCCAAACTGTAACTGTGACATTGGTTCTCAAACCCTTGTGGAATATTAGAATTGCCTTGGAAGTTCAATCCCAGTTCCAGGCTGCACTTCAAACCAATATAATTAGAATTTCTGGGATGAAAACTAGGCATTATTTTTGTTAGGTTGTTTTTTAATTTCTAAGAGATTCCAATAAGCAGACAAGGTTGAGAACAAATACTGTACTTTACTATCTAAAGCATGGTCATCGCATCATCACCTAGAAGGTTATTCGAAATACAGAATCTCATGCCTTTCACTCCAACCTACTAGAACACAAAGTGCAGTTTTGAAATTCCAGATGATTCATATCCACATTAAAATAAGGAAAACATTGATTTAGATTACTAAATGTTAGCACCTATCCTAATTTATCTCATAAGGCCCAATCCTGTTTCCACTGTCATTTGCTTGTGGAATATCTTCACCTGTATATTCTAATGAGGACCTTGAATTCAACTTGAACTAACAATTGAACTAATCTTCTTTGTTTCTCCAATCGTGAATCATTTTTTCTTGGTCTTTATCCCGCTAGTCATATGTCTATTCATCCTGGCTTTATACCTCATAAAGCTTTTTTTTTCTTTAAATCCTCCACACACAGTCTCAATGTCTGTTTATATTATGCTTTTCCATATCTTTCATGTTTTATTCCTTTTTATTTGTACCACTAATTCAGACATAATTGCCTCTCACTTAAACTTTTAAGATAGCTTCTTGATAGTTCGTATTGCCTTCTGTCATTCATCATTTTAATTTATCATGCATAGTTGGGTTAGCTTAATCTCCCTAACACACATCAGTGTCAGCTGGCAAAGAAGAGGTTAACCTAAGAGTAGTGATCTATAAAAGAGACTTCTCATCTTACCTGAGCTCCTCACTTGAAAATTTCACTTTAATTGAATTATAAACTACCACCATCTTAATGACCATATTAAGGGAATTTTCACATTTTCTGATTTTTTTGGAGATAGAAACTAAGTGATCAAAAAACAGTGCAGATTAGCAAAATCTAAAGCAGTCAGTTTGAGAAAGCCACAATACCTTTTGAGAGTAAATGTAATCATAATTATTTTCACTTTCTATTAATTTAGAAAGAGGCCTGTAGCTCTTCTTTTCATCATTTATAATTCAACTAAGAAATTGGTAACATTTCTAGTTGCAAGTAAGAGTATTTTATGTATTTCCTCAGCAACATAATGTAATAGAATTAGTTGTTCGGATTATGTTATTTTAATAAGTTCAAGCTTTTGTTTAACCAGTAACTATGCCATGCAAGAATAATTAAATGATCTGAACTTGACTATAAATTCAATCATTAAAATGTAATTTTCTACTGATCTTAATCTTTACCTTAAAAAAGAGAATAAACTCAAGCTTAAAAAGGATGATACTTTGTAATGCTTATGCTCAATTTAAGTAATGAAGCAAGACAGTCTTAACAAAAAGGATCTTTAGGATTTGCTGTGTTGCCCAGACTCCCAGACTAACCTCAGACTTGGGGCTCAAGTGATCCTCATCCTCTCGTCTTAGCTGCCGGAGTAGCTAGGAGTACAGACACACTCCACCAAATCCAGCTTTCTTAAGGTTTTAAATAGGAAATTGAATGAATGCAGCTGAATTTCAGAAACTCAGTTTGTAGATGTGTTTATATGAAGAGTAAGTGGAAGGATAAAGGGTGATTATCACGGATAGACTTTCCATTAAACACTATTTTTTTAATGTGTGGGTAAGGGAAAGATAATAGGACAATACAGGTTGGCAGAAAAATGCCAGGTGTAGTCCTGGCCTCAGTTAGAAGCTGGGCCTATGGGAGGATACCTCCTGGGTGGAATTACCTGACTCAAAACAGTGCTCTTGCATGTTTACTAGTCATATAATCTATTAAGAGTATTGCAAATGGAAAATCTTGAGTCCTTGAACTGCTTTTGAGTCAATGAAGGAGCTTGAAAAAGTTTATTTTCCATTTAATTCTATTTTCTGATGGGCAAACATGCTTCCTCAATTCTCAGGAACAATGTGAGATTACACATTTAGATACTCTAGAAAGGGAGGCAATTAAAACCAAGGCATAAATGTTTTCTATATCATTTTTTAACATAGGAAAAGAAAAAAAATGCTTTCAAAATATGTGCTTATAAGCTGTGTATTTTGACATTATTTAAATCACAAGATTAATCCATTTCCATTTCCAGTGGTTACTAAACCGAGACAGATCCTGCCGATTTAACTGCTGACTAATGAATGATAATATGACATAAACTTTTGATTGCTACAGACACAGCTGGCAGCAGAATATTTAACAAAAGTAAAACCACAAATTCGAACCAACAACAATTTAAAGAGTGAGTCCTCCTCCGGGAAGGAATAGGGACAGCATTTGGGGAGTCTCCCTTGCCCCAAACTCTGCAAAAATTGTTAAAATATGAAAATTTGTAAATACCAAAACAAATGAATCTTTTCAATTCTATAAAAGTTTCAGTGAAACTTTAAACATTAGCCAAGTAATGAGCCTATGCTTGAGTCATGGGACCAAGTGGTGGGGTCCAAACCATCTCAATGTTTCTGAAGGACCTCTTTTCTTGCCTTTTTTTTTGCTGCTTACCAGCTCCTGTGATTGGAGACCACACAGCACCCAGAGAAAGGACAGAAATCAACTCTTGACACCTCAGATCTAAAAATGGTGTCATCTTCTGGAAATGTGGAGAAACAAATGAAGCAATGGGAACATTGGTGCAGCTTGGAAAAACAGCAAGGAAGCAGTGACTTTCAGAGGGTGTGAACAGCTGTGATACTGAGGGGGCCTGACTGCACTGTGGAGTTGCACAGAGAGGCCAGGGAGAGGAGCATTCCATGCATCTATCTTGGTTACATGTGTGGCCTCTTGTAGACTCAGTGAAGCATTTGGGGAACTGGGCTCCTTAGTAGACAAGATAGGCCACGCTCAAGCACACGGTGAAAAAAATGTTCGTCTAGTCACCGAGAAACTCCATACAACTCAGATTTACATGTTCTTTAGATTCAACAGCTCTCTATTCCTGCCTTCCTCCTGTACTTTAAATAATAAGTCTAGTTAGTTGCTGCTCCCTAAATAACCACCATCTACCATACCGCATGTATAATTCTAACAAAGTGCTGCTTGTGATTTATCCAAGCCCAGCAGATACGTAAAATTTTCCAAATTTAATTCAGGTCAATTTTATTTGACATTTACTGCCTTGACAAAAAGAAAAGAACAACAAAAAAATAATAATCCTTCCAATATGCAGCTTGATTGGAATTGCCATTTTTCTGAGGGGGAAATTCAGAGGCACCAGTGACTCCTCTTTTTCCTTGATTTACACATCTGTTCATTTAGCATATCCTATTGCATCTACTTCCTAAGTATTGCTTGATTCAATTTCTTCCCTGAACCTGCTGTAACTGCCTCAACTCAGGTCCTACACTCTCTTGTTTACTCTACTGGTTTTCTAACTGAACACTATGATTTTAGCTTTTCTTTCCTGTGAATTACACACTTTATCTTATATGATTCCCAAATTGGTTATTCCTATAAAAACCTGAAATAAATTAAAACTAAAACCAAGTAAATACAAACTTCCAAGGCTTCATAATGCCTGGAGAATGAAGTCCAAACACCTCACTTAGCTAAAGGTACCTCATAATCAACATTTTGTTCTTTGTGCTCCCAGGTCAAGTAGAGTTTGAAACATAATAAGCAGTTCATAAATATTTATGGACAGTATTTATAGAGGAAGTCAAAAGATCTGATGTCCTAGAAAGTCTACCCACTTAATATTTCTTCTACTGCACTGTCGCCATTTCATATGAAGCCATTTAATTAGGTACCTCTCCTTATAGAATAGCCAAGACAAAGTGAAAAAATACTGCAAACTGGAAATTTATTTTTTATAATAATCTTCTGGGAATTCTAATATAAAAAAACTCACTGTCAAGTATACATTTTTTTCTCAGTCTTCTGTCTAGGGGCAAGATTTAGTAAAGGTTATGTTGATTATATTTGATGTATATTAAAGTTAGTATTTTTAAAAATGATGTTCTTTGAATGAAGGGGTGGCCTGCCCCTCCACACCTGTGGGTATTTCTAGTCGGGTGGGACGAGAGACTGAGAAAAGAAATAAGACACAGAGACAAAGTATAGAGAAACAACAGTGGGCCCAGGGGACCGGCGTTCAGCATACCAAGGACCTGCACTGGCACCGGCCTCTGGGTTCCCTCAGTTTTTATTATTATTTTCATTATTTCAGCAAAAAGGAATGTAGTAGGAGAGCAGGGTGATAATAAGGAGGTCAGCAAAAAACATGTGAGCAAAAGAATCTATGTCATAATTAAGTTCAAGGGAAGGTACTATGCCTGCATGTGCACGTAAGCCAGATTTATGTTTCTCTCCACCCAAACATCTCAGCGGAGTAAAGAATAACAAGGCAGCATTGCTGCAAACATGTCTCGCCTCCCACCATAGGGCGGTTTTTCTCCTGTCTCAGAATTGAACAAATGTACAATTGGGTTTTATACCGAGACATTCAGTTCCCAGGGGCAGGCAGGAGACAGTGGCCTTCCTCAATTGCAAGAGGTTTTCCTCTTTTACTAATCCACCTCAACACAGACCCTTTACGGGTGTCAGACTAGGGGACGGTCAGGTCTTTCTCATCCCACGAGGACATGTATCAGACTATCACATGGGGAGAAACCTTGGACAATACCCCGCTTTCAAGGAAAGAGGTCCCTGTGGCTTTCCACAGTGCATTGTGCCCCTGGTTTATTGAGACTAGAGAATGGCGATGACTTTTACCAAGTATACTGCTTGTAAACATTTTGTTAACAAGGCACATCCTGCACAGCCCTAGATCCCTTCAACCTTGATTTTATACAGCACATGTTTTTGTGAGCTCCAGGTTGGGTCAAAGTGGCTGGGGCAAAGTGGCTAGGGCAAAGTGGCTGCGGCAAAGCTACAAATTAACAACACCTCAGCAAAGCAATTGTTTAAAGTACAGGTCTTTTTCAAAATGGAGTCTCTTATGTCTTCCCTTTCGACATAGACACAGTGGCAGTCTGATCTCTCTTTCTTTTCCCTACATTTGAATACACATCAAATGAAAATAAGCTACAGCCTTTTTCTTCATCAAACATATATATTAGCTAGAGATTTATTGCTGCATTACCATCAAACAATGTCTCTCTTTGGATTTAATGATTTACTTTGAGGACGAGTCACATTTATGCATTTTATTACATTTGTTTTGTTCTGAGTATCTTTGAAGAGTGCATATAAAACTTGCAGATTCTTCTTCACTTGATTTTAATTAATGGTGAAAACTGATGAACTTCATAACCATCTAAATGTTTTCCAGCACCTGCTTGCTCTACTTGAATATGTATTTCTCTCTCATAGTCACTTGGATTATTATATTCTTATTTATGTATATTTTATGGGAAATCGTGGGCTAAATTTCAGTTACTAATGCAGTCCCCTTTTGAAATCCACTGATTTGAGATGCATTATCTCTTTGATTTATTACACACAAATTAAAAATGACAAGTGATATTTAAGTTTCTCACTGTTTTATGAACAATCCAAAGTACACTGGTATTTCCTGTAAGCTCCTCAGAAGAAGAGCAAACACTATTATTCCTATTTCACAGATGGCTGTTCCTGGATAGTCTAGATGCTTATCTAACTGATTCTCACAATACAGAAAGGGAACTTCAAAAGGCAATGAATGAAATTCTCCAAAGTCTTTTTGGGAACCAGCAATGCTATTTAGTAGCTGTGTGACCTTGAGTAAACTTGCAGTCCCTGTGGATCTCAGATTTTACATCTTTAAAACAAGTGGATTGGAAGATGATTGGTAAGGCCTCTTCCAACTTTAAAATTGTACAAGTTTAAATCCTACTTTACATGATAAAATCAAGTATGTCCTATGTAAATATGTTTTACTGATAATTTGGGGTAAAGAATAAAACTTAGCCACATGACACTTCATATACACACACATATATATATACGTATATATATATGTGTGTATATATGTATATATATGTGTATATATATGTGTATATATGTATATATGTGTGTATATATACACATATACACACACACACATATATATATTTAGATGTGTATATATATTTAGATGTGTATATATTTAGATATATGTATACACACACACACACATATATAAATATATATATATATTTAGACGGAGTCTCACCCTGTCGCCCAGGACGGAGTGCAATGGTGCACTCTAAGCTCACTGCCACCTCTGCCTCACGGGTTCAAGTGATTTACCTGCCTCAGCCTCCCAAGTAGCTGGGATTACAGGCATGGACCACCATGCCTGGCTAATTTTTTGTATCTTTAGTAGAGACAGGGTTTCACCATGTTGGCCAGGCTGGTCTCAAACGCCTTACCTGGTGATCCACCCACCTTGGCCTCCCAAAGTGCTGGGATTACAGATGTGAGCCACCGCTCCTGGCCAGGCGCTTGATATTTTTATAGCACTTTAGAATAGTTTCCTCATTCATGGCTCTTATTTAAAAAATTATCTCCTCATACAACAGAGAGTATGTTAAGTCAAAGAATTTTAAATCTGAAGTTCATTTAGTATGACTACCATTACATTTTAAAGTTGGCTTTCATGTTCATTTATTGCTTTTATACCATATTTTATTATGAAAATTCTCAAATATGTAGGAAGGTCGACTTATATACAATCTACATTCTAAAGTTAACATTTTGCTCCATTTACTTTATCACATGTCTATCCAAAAATCCATTTATCTGTTCATCCACCAATCCATCTTATTTCTGACACATTTTATTTTGTTTTATTTAATTAATTTATTTATTTATTTAGAGACAGAGTCTCACTTTGTCACCCATGCTGGAGTGCAGTGGTGCAATCTCAGCTCACTGCAACCTCCCTCTCCTGGGTCCAAGCAATTCTCCTGTCTCAGACTCCCGAGTAGCTGGGATTACAGGCACGTGCCAGCATGCCCGGCTAATTTTTGTATTTTTAGTTGAGACAGGGTCCCACTCTGTTGGCCAGGATGGTCTCAAACTCCTAACCTTGGGCAATCCACCCATCTCGGCATGCCAAAATGCTGGGATTACAGGTGTGAGCCAGCACGCCCAGCCCTGACACATTTTAAAGTATAATTAATTGCAGATATCTGTACCCTTCACCCCTAACACTCTTCAGCATGCATATCATTGACTGAAGTTGAATATTTGTTTATAGCTCTATGTTTTTTAGTTTAAATTGATTTACAGTGAGTTACACACATGTTAAGTACTACATGTGATAAATGAATAAATACAAATATCTATGTAACTGAAAGCTTTGTCAAGATAAAGAATATTGTCTTTTCCCCAGAAAGTTGTCTTGTGCCCCTTTCCAACTGACCTCTATATACATCTCTCATAAGCAACTACTGTTTCAATTTTTTCCCCCAGATAGTTTTAACTATTGTAGAATTTCACACAAATGAAATTATATAGTATGCATTTTCTGGGTAAGGCTCCTTTACTCACCAAAATTTTTCGTATGCATCCACATGTGTGTATCAGTGGTCCATTCTCTTTTATTGCTGAACAACATTCGTTGTCTGAACACATGGTAGTTTGGTTATCTATTCTGTTTTTTATGGTCACATGGGCTGCTTCCAGTTTTTATCTAATATAAAAGAAGCTGTTATTTACATTCGTGTACAAGTCTTTGTGGGCATATATTTTAATTTCTATTTGGTGTGACTACCTAGAATCAGGCTTGTAGGGATGGATATAGGGGGAGAAGTATGTCTAGTTGTATAAGAATACTGGAACTTTTCCCAAGGTATTTGAAGCATTTTCTACTCCAACCAACAAAGTTTAAGAATTTTAGTTGGTGATATACTCATCTGCACAACTCATATGTTGTGTCTTAAAATTTTAGTTATTCTAGTAGTGGTGTAGTGGCATCTCATTTTGATTCTAATTTTAATTTATCTGATAACTACATAATTCACTTTCATGTACTTCTTGGTTATTTACATATTTTGTACAGTGTCTGTCTATTCCTTTGCCAGGTACACACATTGTGAATATTTTCTCCTGTTGTTTGGCTTGCCTTTTCATTCTCTCAATTGCATCTTCTGATGAATGAAGGATTTTAACTATGATGGAGAGTAACATTATTTATCCTAAATAGAAAATTATGTTCTCTTATATTGATTAATTTCTGTGGCCTTCTGAGAAACATCTGTTTACCCCCAAATTTCAAAAGCCTTCTCTTATGTTTTCTTTGAGAAACATTACTATACTTTTAGGTTTTATGTGTAGGACTATAACCCATCTTGAATTAAATAGTGTGTGTGGTATGAGGTAAGGAATGAAGCTAATTTATCTTTTTCTGATAGAGCTATCCAGTTTTTTCTGATAGAGCTATTCCAGTTTCGTAGATGTGACTTTATTTTCCCTATTAGATTTCTTTAGTGCCTTTATACAAAACCAAATAATATTGTAGGGGTGAGACTGTTTCAGGGCTCTTAATTGTGTTCTATTGATTTATTTGTCTACCCTTATGCCAGGCTATACTGGTTTTCCATGTTTATGGAAAATCTTGAATTAAGGTATTGTAAGTACTCTACCTTTTTTCTTCTTTTTCAAGATTGTTCTATTCCTTTAGTTCCTTTGAAGTTCCAAATAAATTTTAGAATAAAATTCTGATGGGATTCCAATTGGGATCAGATCAAATCTACAGATGAATTTGAGTAACATTGAAATCTCAAACATATTGAGTTTAATGATCCATGGACATAGTATATTTATTTATTTTAGTATATGTGAGGAAAATTAGTAGTAGATACATCTGTTTTTAGAAGCTAATGTGTCACAAAAATGAAAAGCATAGTAGAAAGCAGAAGAAAATGTTGGGTACTGTATTAGTTAGTTCTCATATTGCTATAAATAAATACCTGAGACTGGGTAATTGATAAAGAAAAGAGGTTTAATAGGCTTATGGTTCCAGAGGCTGTACAGGAAGCATGGTGCTGGCATCTGCTCAGTTTCTTGGGAGCCCTCAAAAAATTTACAATCATGGTGGAAGACAAAGGGATCCATACACATCATATGGCTGGAGTAGGAGCAAGAGAAAGAGTGAGGAGGGAGGTGCTACACACTTTTAAGCAACCAGATCTTGTGAGAACTCACTATCATAAGGACAGCACCAAGGGTATGGTACTAAACCGTTCATGAGAAGTCCGCATCCATGATCCAGTCCCATCAGGCCACACTTCCAACACTGAGGATTACAATTTGACATGAGATTTGGAGATTTGTTGGGGCCACAGATCCAAACCATATCAGGTACAGAAAGGGAAGGTTAGAAAATGTGGTTATGGCTTATATTAAATATTTAGACCACTCACATTTCTCATGAAACAAAATATTAAAGATCGTGAAAAATCTTTATGAGTCCTTTAGATACAATATAAAGCCAACTATGAAGTAGTAGATGTTTCATTGTGCAATGGCATAGCAACTTTATTGTTGGTGTGGCTCATTTGTAAGATAAAAGAATGATGAGTAAAATAAACTTTCTGGAAACTCATTTTAATCTTACCTAAGACATTCAAAAAAACCAAATACTTAAGCTCATGCATACATTTAGGTTGCTGTTTGGAAGTTAACATACTTATCTTATATCCATAGTTGTTATGGCAAAACCAGATCCAGCTGGCTTGACTAATGAGAAACAATGATGGTCACTTAAGGTACTGAATTGGATTCTTTCCTGATGTTTCTGTTTTATATAACATGCTAAATAATGAGGATACATAGTTATTAATTCTATATTAGTTGATACTCTTATTAATTACATAAACCTTGTAATGAAAGTATATTAAGATAACTTATTATAAAGAAAACTAAAATTTTAAAGTGGAAGAAAGACTTTATAATGGTTTCAAATTATTTACATACAAGATAGTCCTTGACTAAATAAAGTCAAACGAGTTGAAGAAGCAACAACTAACATATCTGTAATGGTTATTGTTCTCTGAGTTCTGCTGTGTTCACTAAACACTCCTACCCCAAACCCATATCATCTCTCTTCTGTAACACACCAAGTTTTAACAGAATACTCGTGCAGAAAGTTGAAGTGGCTTGCCTGACTCCCAAAGCAAATGTAATTCATATTAGGACTCCGGTCTCCATAGAGCATATTTCCGTATACTGCACAGCTTCCTGAGTAATTGAAGAAGATGGTTAAAAGGAATTGCCTGAATATATGTATTTCCCACCCTCTTTTGTATTGGTATATCCATAGGATTTTTAAAATTTTACCACTACACAGATCAACTCTAAGTCAGATCCAGAAAATCTATCAGGTTATGTTGGTTACATTTTTTTGTTTATTGTTTTTAACAGCTTTCCAAAATTATAACTGAGCATTAGAAATCTAATGCATTAAAGCTTTTTGTAAATTGTTTTGAAGAATTTTTGAAAATCAAATGGAACTTCCCATCCTTCCCATAAATGCTTCCTCCCAATTCTGGAGCATGAGTTCTTCCTTTTTTGCAGAGTTCCATTTTAATCCTTTTCATATGTATAAGAGAAGCACGATACACTTTAGATTGTAGATATATCCCAGATCGTATTTGTCTTAATATTTTATTTTGCTTCTATCAGGTAAATTTGTCTTTTATAGATCATTTCTTAAATCACACAACAGATGAGCAATGGTTGTCCATTTATTACACTGAAACAGTGAAAAACAGCATATGGTTATGTGTTTTCTTTTCTAGTCTATGCATGAAATGTTACATTTTAAAATGTGGAATCTGTGGCTTCTTTTAATTATAATGTAATAATAACAGTTCTTTTTTTAATAACAATAAAGCTGATAAAACAACTTATATGTCAGCTGCCTAGCCTCTCATTTCATACATAAGAAACTGAGAACCAGATATATCTAGTAATATGTCCAAATTCCTATAAATAATAAATACTTAGCTCAAATTGAAATTCATCTGTGTCTTCTGTCTCCTAAAGTAACATTGTTTCTATGACAGGAGAGGGAGCAACAATACATATATCCATTTACTGTCAAAATAGGGCAAGCAACTATCAGGAGGACCCCAAATGTGCCATCTGGTTCCAAACATATTCCTCCCTGGCCACATTGTATAACAGCAGCCTTAACCAGTATTCATTTCCACAGCCAAAATAACTCTTCTGCCTGCTGGTCCAGTATATTCAATCAAGCTTAGCAATAGTCATCCAAGTTTTTGGCCTTACAGATACTATTTCCTTCATATTTCTCAAAAGCCTGATATACTGCACCAGCTAATGAATTTCCTTCCACCACAATCTAATCCCAATTAACCCATGGTGGACATTTTAATAATTACAGTACTACTTTCTGCTAGGGACTACCTGTGCTCCACCTACCACCAGCGCCTGGTCCCCATTACCAGCGGGCAAATGGTCTATCCCGTTTCAAAATTTAAAGTCTTACAGAGTTTGTTTTTCAGGAAGCAGATTGAGACAGCAATTAAGGCAGCTGCAGAAGTTCAGCTATGATTCATTCTCAATGGAGGTTTCTGTTAACTTTACAGGGAATTACCAAGTTGGGAAAAGCAGTCAGCATTCACACCCTCACATCAATTAAGTCATCAGTTGTAGCCAGCCTGGCAAGGTAGCATGTCTTTAGTGATCTGGATCTCTTCAGTTAAGGCAAGTGGTGGGGGCTTCCAGCTGAAGACTTTCTTCCAACAGTGGGAAGAATAAGTCTGTGGCCAGTGGGGGAATGAATCTTTCATTCCTAAAGGGGATATGCATGGCCATCAGAGTGTTGACCACACTTCCTTTGAAAATTCATAATTCATCATTTGTTCTTTTTCTAATACCATGGTTATCTATGTATATATTATCCTGTTTACTAGATGGGAGACACGTTGAAGATTGGATGGTAGTATTTTCAACTTTGATCTGCTCGGTAACGTCAGTCACTCACCTCTGCATTATTAAGCTGCATGAATGTAAGACCTATGTGCTTTCAAAATATCCTTATATCAAATTGAGAATTTCTGCTGATGTAAAGGCAAACCTGCCCAACAAATGCTCCATTTGGCTCTTTCTTTCCTTTTCTCTTGCTGGTACCTTTGATTCTGTTTACACATACAACTATACTGTAAAGTCATTCTTCCACTCTGGCTCAATTCTGGCTTTACCCGGAAATCTCTCTCTTCTCCTCTATTCCATGACCACTTTTCCTGTACTGAGCTGCTTGCAGTAAACTACTCTTGCTGTGCATCACTTATTCAAAACTTTACTTTTAGTACAGAGTCTTCTACCCAGAACATAGTAAATACATGTTGAATTAGAAAAGATCTTGCCAGAGGCATTTTGTAAACTCTTAGATATTTTATTTTTAATAGGTAAATCTACAATTTCTCTTAGCTTATTTTATTATAATGTGTGTGTATATATGTGTGTGTGTGTGTGTGTGCCTGTGTGTGTGTCTGTGTGTGTGTCTGTGTATAGATTATGGAAAAGATAAAATCTAAATTGAGACAATCTAGCCTTTATCTTTAAATACTTTTCCACCTTAGCCTGAAACTGTATGCATATTGGATGTTCAGAACTTCTTTTTATTGACTCTACATAAAATCCAATGCATTGAAGACTATCCAACACCTATGGAAAGATTAATCAGGTTACTTACCGGGTGGCCAGCTCTTTAGCAACCAGAAGTACAAACTGACCTCATATATACCTACACTGCTGTTTGCTCAGGACAGTCTACTCCAAGTCTGAGAAAAATGGAAGGAAAGATAAGCTTTTGCATTGTCAAGCTTATACTTATAAACATTGAATCAATTCTGGTTCAACCAGAGCTAAATAAACATTTTACTAAGACTTGAAATAAAAAGTTAGGAAAAAAAACTCTACACATAGAATTTGGATTAGGCCTGGAAACTTTAGTACTTTTTAATTTTGAAAAAGTAGTAAGCAGTATTCCCTTAATAATTGTCCTCTCTATTCATGCAGAAACCTTCTTTACACTGCTTCATTAAAACTTTGGTTTTTTTTATTTGTGTAAGCTTGCTAGTCATAGTATGGTTAGATGACAGGCCCTTAGCAACATGTTTGTTCTCCCTGTAGAAGCTAACTAGTTAGTAGTTGATGATATTATACTGCTAATGAGCAAGAGACTGACAAAATTTCATTTGAAAAAACAAACATGTATAAAAATAAAGCTCAATTAAGTTCAGATAGCAACTTTCCCCTGAGGAAATTGAGAATATATGCTCTTGTTCTATGTGGAATCAATAACCTAAGAATATTTAGCATTATGCTATGATAGAGTGTCCACATGCATGAGTTATGAGTTAAGAAACATTCTGATGATACTCTCCAGCATCCAAAGTTATAAAGATACTGAACTAAAGAGCAGGAAGGAGCCTGACTGTTGAAATGAATAGGAAGTTGTTACTGGTATCTAACAACTCTTTAGTCTCCTACACAAATGGTCATTTCTGTTGTTTCATTATCTAACATTATTTTATCACAATATAATCAAACAAGGAATTGCAGCAATACATAAAAATAAAAGGTTAAAAAATTCCCACATTTCTCTAACAGAAATAATTATAGTAAACATTGAATAGACATTATTATCCCAAGTATCCCTTTAAAAATAGAGGATAGATATGTGAATAAAGTATTTTTATAAAAATAAAATCATATATCATGCTATTTTTAATAAAATGTATTAAGATTTATTTTTATTATATTTAGCAGAGGGGTAAGAGAAATTTTAAAAAGTGAAGGAAATGGTGAAGTTAAGATTGTTTTTAACACCATGAGATGGAAGCTATTACAATTTTTTTAAATAAGAAAAAATGGACATTTTAGAAATACTATTTATCTTCCAAAAATTAAAAACTAATTTATATCAATTTTCTCTCTGCTTTGAATACAAGAAAATTAGCACACTATACTTTTTCCATCTCCCTCTACCCATTCCTCAATTTTCTTAACTATACTGTAATGTTAAGTTGCTATGATATATAATATTTGCATTCTTCTGTGCATATAGGTCCCATTATTATTTATTCTTAATTCTGCATTCAAAGACTCAAACATTGATCTTTTAGCAAAGATTGTCTATTATAAATTAATTTATTTTTCATTTATCTTCATTGTCTAATTTGATCATTAAGAAATATTTTAGAGAAAGGCTCCTGAGTGCTGCGTCCCTTCAATTCTTTCATGCTTGAGATGTTCTCTGACTTTAATACATGAAGAATAATGTGACTAATTATAAATTTAACTATACTTTCTATTTCTTAGACCTTTTAAAAATGTAGATATTTGATATGGTTTGGCCCTGTGTCCCCACCAAAATCTCATCTTGAATTGTAATCACCACATGTTAGGGAGGGACCTGGTGGGAGGTGATTGGATCATGGGGGTGGTTTCCTTCATGCTGTTCTCATGATAGTGAGTGAGTTCTCATGAGATCTGATGGTTCAAAAGTGTGGCACTTCCCCCTTTGTTCTCCCTCTCTCCTGCCACCATGTACAATGTGCTTGCTTCCCCTTAAACTTCTGCCATGTTTGTAAGTTTCCTGAGCCCACCCCAGCCATGTGGAACTTTGAGTCAATTAAACCTCTTTCCTTTATAAATTATCCAGTCTTGGGTAATTTTTTACAGCAGTGTGGAAAGAGGCTAATACAGAAAATTGGTACCGGGATAATGGGGTCCTGCTATAAAGATAACCTGAAAATGTGGAAATAACTTTGGAAATGGGTAATGGACAGAGGTTGGAAGTTTGGAGGGCTCAGAAGAAGACACGAAGATGTGGGAAAGTTCAGAACTCCCTAGAGACTTGTTGAATCGTTTTGACCAAAATGCTGCTAGTGATATGGACAACGAAGTCCATGCTGAGGTGGTCTCAAATGGAGATGAGAAACTTACTGGGAACTGGAGCAAAGGTCACCCTTGCTATGCTTTAGCAAAGAGGCTGGCAGCACTTTGCCTGCAACCTAGAAATCAGTGGAATTTTGAACTTGAGAGAGATGAATTTATGGTATCTGGCAGAAGAAATTTCTAAGCAACAGAGCATTCGAGATATGACCTGGCTTCTTCTAAAAGCATACAGTCATATGTGTTCACAAATAGATGATCTGAAATTGGAGCTTGTATTTGAAAGGGAAGCAGAGGATTCTCCTATGCTGTTCTTATGACAGTCAGTGAGTTCTCATGAGATCTGATGGTTTAAAAGTGTGGCACTTCTCCCCTTGTTCTCCCTCTCTCCTGCCTCCATGTAAGATGTGCCTTGCTTCCCTTTCACCTTCCGCTATTATTGTAAGTTTCCTGAGGCCACCCTAGCCATGTGGAACTGTGAGCCAATTAAACCTTTTTTCTTTAGAAATTAGTCTCAGGTGGTTCTTTATAGCAGTGTGAAAATGTACTAATACAGTGTTGCACTGTTGTTTTCTTGTATGGCATGATAGCAGAAAGATGTGTAAAGCCACCCTGATATTTCCTCCTTATAAGCAACTCACTTTTCAATTTACATATGTCAAACAATTATTTTCTAAGCTGTGGCTTAGTATCAACATATACTTAAGTCTTTTTTTATAGCTATGCATGCCCTATGATCTATAGATTCATTTCAGGAGAAATGTCAGCTAGTATATCTTTAAATGGTTTTAAAAGACACCAATTGCTCTGATGTTGGATTGTCTTTGTCCTTCATTTCCTCTTGATTGATTTTATTCATTGTTGCCTATTTCCTCCATTCTCTACTTTTATTGTAATTATCATTTTTCCAGAGAAATGATAAAAAATTAGCTCTATTTTTAAGATACTCTTTATAATCAATATACAGTTTTGTAACAATGCCATTTTAGTTCTTAATTTTTCCCCTATTTCAATAATATTTCTTTAATGTCACTCTGTTATTATAAATAATCTCATTTTTGAGTAGTTTTTCCTAAAATTTATGTGTTCTTTGAATTCTTCTGTAACATAAAGACATCTTTGAGTTTTTCTTATAGTGTTTGGATGATTTTTTTTTTCAGACTGAGATCTTCATCTATCTTTTGCTTAATATTTTTTCTCCTTTTATATTTTTATTGTAAAATATGTGTGTGTTTGCAGTGACATTTCTTTATATCTTGCTCACCCAGACATTCTATATGCTTTATTTACTTTGAGTAATCTCTCTTTGACTTACTTACCCTTTTTAAGATCTTTAACATGCAATTTGAGGAATAAATGTTGCCTTCTAAATACTTCACTCAAATCTGAAGGTACACAATTAGGAGGAGACAATGATTATCTGGAATTCTGTATACTCTTTGCTGGAAAACTTTACTTGTCCTTTTGAGATTTTTTTTTAAAAACGCTAAGTTTAGAGCAGCTGATGTTATGGGTTAAATTGGGTCTCCCCCAAAAGATGTTGAAGTCCTAAGCTTCAATACCTGTGCATGTGACCTTATTTAAAAATAGGGTCTTTGCAGATGATTAAAATGAGGCAATTAGGTGGGCCCTAATCCAATGCGACTTATGTCCTTATTAAAAGAGAAAGTTTGACATAGAAACAGACATGCAAGTAGTGAGAATGCCATGTGAAGATGAAGGCAGAGATCAGAGAGATGAGTTAATGAGTAAAGAAATGCCAAAGGTTTTCAACAAACCACGAGAAGCTAGGAGAGAGGCATGGGACAGGTTCTCCCTCACAGCCTGCAGGAGGAACCAACCCTGCCCATACCTTAATCTCAGACTTTTATCCTCCAGAACTGTGAAACAATATGATTGTTTAAGCTACCCAGTTTGTGGTACTTTGTGTCAGCCCTCCTAGGAATCTAATACATCTAGTTAGGAGCATTTCTTTTTCTTACAGGGAAAAAGGAAATTCAGCTTTGGTCCATTCTTCCAGTTTAACCTGGAGGCCTAAAAATTTGGGAAAAAAACTTTTAAAAGAGGGAGAGCAATAAGTATAATCAAATAATGAAAATTCAAATTAAGAGGAGATGGGTAATTGTTGGGTGGAGATAGAAAACTTTACCTTGAGTTTTTTCTTTACTTCTTACCTTATTCTTCAGATTGCAATTACTTAATTTGTTCTGAAATGCCCATGAATCTTAGTGATACATAAGTTATAGAAACATTTTTATTCTATAGATTCAACTCAAAATCTTTATCTGGATTCCTGGTTTGATGTAGAATACTCTTGGAAGACTAGATGACTATGTGGTATTGAATATAGCAAGTCTTGTCCCAGGGGTTCCCTGAGCTCTGGGAGTGGATCCCTGATATGGATTCCTGGTTTGATGTAGAATACTCTTGAAAGAATAGACGACTATGTAGTATTGAATGCAGTAAGTCTTATGCCAGGGATTCCCTGAGCTCAGGGAGGAAATCCCTGATACAGATGGCCTCTGTGCGGGTGTACCTTCTTTTCAATATCATTGGTCGCAAGTTGATATTGATTAAAAGGAAGAATGCAGGAAACAAAGCATTCAGTATTTTCCCACCTGGCCTTTGGATAATGTGTTTTATTACTGTATATCACTATCATACATTTCTTAGATCTAGGAACAAGCCTTCCTCTGGCGAGATAAAAGGGAACTTTCTAGGAACAGAGTCAAATATGTCACTTTTAATCATACAAATAATAGTAGTTCTAGAAGAATTATAGGCTGGTTTAAAAAAATAACAGATGATTTTTCAAATTTTTCTCATATTTCCTTTTTCTTCTGAAGCAATAGTGACCAATGATAACAATTTACCTGTATAAAAGTTATTGGCCTGCAAAAATCCATGCTAAAAGCTTCAAGCCAGCTTTTACTTCACTTTTATCCAAATTGGAGATAAAGGGATAAAGGAAAGAAATTGATACGATACTAGAACAAAATAAGAACTGAAATTCTCAGGCTTCTCAGTTAAAATTTCCTGATTTCAAATTGTAATTCCACTTGCTCTTTTTTTCTAATTGCCTACATAGTTAAGAATAATAATTTTTCTTAGCATTCCCCAACAATCAAAGAAGAGCCACTACTTAATCTTAGTAGAATTGTATTGCACCAAAACCAAATAAACAAAAGAACTCAATTACTATGAATAAAAGCTTGGCACTGCCTCTTCATTATAATTGGTATCAAACTAATTAATGTCATTTGAATAAACTGATATTCACATATTACAGAAAATTTTGTTTGGAGAATATTTCTATTCCATTATCACTTGGAGTTAAGTTGTCTGTAGCTTCTGTTTGCACATTAGTCTGTATAGGGCAATATATTTAGGGGCTAAGACTACTATTAATATAACCTCTGGCCCTGGCAGCATAGGTTTTAATTATGAAGTTGTAGCATTTTTGATGTGTTTAAGCACACACAGTATCGGAAAACTCAACTAACAGTACACTAAACAAATATAAGTTTTTTATTTAATTATGAAAAGACTGGAGGTAGTTTTCCTTTTATTATTGGCTGGCTGAGGGACAGAGTGGTGATGTGAAGCATGATGGCCTTTTTTTATTCAGAATGCGAGGGAACTGCAGAAACAAGCATATGGCTAATTTTGTAAAGAGAGGCAGGGAGACAGGATTTGGGAAGGCTTATTGAATCAGTTATTCCTCAGGAAATAAGATGACAACAACACGTTTTAAATGTCTTTTCTTTTACTTTAGCATGTTTCCTATATTTATTAGCAAGCTTCTATTGAATAATAAATATTTATTTGTTTGATTATCCTCCTTAAATTTAGGATGTTCAAAGCTCTGATGTTTTTCTACTTAGAATATAATCCAAACTGACTCCCTGGTCAACTTATTTTAGATTCTTCTAGCATTTCTATTTGAAAAAAAACTTTTGTAAAATATTTGCTGACTCTGAAAGTTGGTGTTTTACTTGAATTAGTCAAAACAGACTTAGAAATTTTAATAAAAAATATGCTTGTCATATACTCAAATCTGATGTATATTCTGATCCTTTTAACATAAATATTTGTGTAATTAAAAGCAAAACACTGGGGACGGCAATGACAAAGCCAGGATTAGTAAGAAAGGAGAGAGTCTAAGAAGTTATTCAACAGCTCTGAACTGATTTTAAAACTCAACAGTGGCTCCTGAGGATTTCCCTCAGGGTAGTCAAGTTATTAGACTCTGTGGGTTAAACTAACAACAGGAAACCCTACATGAAGAGACTGAAGTTAATATTTATATAAGCTTTGAACTGTTGGGGCCCCTTAAGTAAAAAAGCTATGTAATATTATGGGAAAATTAGTTTTGATCATTGTTTCCCATAGAATTGGAGTATGTTGAATTTTCTTATAAATATTTAATGAAAATATTTTAAAATATCAGATTTACTTGGGGAGTAAATTGTGGAAGGCACTCAAGGTGCTCAGAATGTCAAGATGTTTTTAAAACCATAGTAATAAAAAGAAAGAAAAAAGATTAACGTTGTTAAAAAAAGCAATTACATTAACTTGAGAGGAAGAAGCAAACCTCCTGGACTTGAGTCCTGCTGAGTCTAGCAGAGGGTTCTTTTTAACATTAAATCTCCACAGAATCTGCGGCCTGTAGGTGATTTAGATAGAAGAATACACTAAATGCCAGCATTTGGACATGTTTTTGGAAACATTACAGCTTTGAAGTAAAGTGCTCGCTAAAGATAGCAGAAATGAATGGCATCAACACTTTACATGATTATCTTCATATGTGCATAAAACAAAATGAAACAAAACAAAAAACTTATTTCCAGCAAGCAGGCACAAGACATAGCAGGGAGAACAGATGTTTGAAGGCAACAAAAAGCAAAGCCTTTTATAAAAAAAGGAAGACAGAAATTTTCAAAGATTGGATATGTTATGTGACCTACACCTGCCCTTGTCACCTGCCTTACTCATTTATTCCCTCTGAGAAAGAAGGTCCACACCCCAGAGAAAACTTAACAGTCTGATTTGTGAGTCAGAACACCTTGTTTCCTGTCCTTAGCGTGGCCACACACCTTCCCAGAGCCTAATTTCCTTATCTACACAGTGCCTTAGAGCACTCTTGTTTTAATTTTTAAAAAATTAATTGACATGCAATAATTGTACATATTTATGGACTACCTAGTGATGTTTCTGTATGTATAATATATAGTTATCAGATCATGGTAATTCATATCTGTATCATCCCAAATATTTATTATTTCTTTGTATTGGGAACATTCAATATTCTCCTTCTAGCTATTTGAAATATTTTTGTTAACTATAGTCATCCTACAGTGCTATAGAACACTAGAAATTGTTCCTCCTATGTAGCTGCGATTTTGTATCCTTTAACAAATCTCTCCCTATGGCCACTTCTCCCTACCCTTCACAGTCTCTATTGTCCTCTGTTCTACTTTTTACTTCTATGAGATCAACATTTTTTAGTTTTCATATATAACTCAGAACACACAGTGTTTAACTTTCTGTTCTTGGCTCATTTCACTTAATATAATGTTCTCTAGTTCCATTCATGTTGCTGCCAATGAAAAAAAATTATTCTTTTTATGGCTCAGTAGTATTCCACTATATATGTATGTATGTATGTATGTATGTGTATTCATACATGTAGTATATACAAATGTTGGATGTGGATAAAAGGGAACTCATATACAATGTATGAGTTCCCCATATACGTATGTATACACACATACTTGGAATACTATGGCTGCAATAAACATGGGGGTGCAGATGCCTCTTAGATATACTGATTTTCCTTTCTTTGGATAAATGCCCAGTAGTGGGATTGCTGGATTATATGGTAGTTCTATTTGTAGTTCTTTGAGGAACCTCCATACTGTTCTCCAAAGTGATTGTACTAGTTTACATCCCCACCAACATTGTATATGAGTTCCCTTTCATCCACA
Organism: Homo sapiens; assembly: GCF_000001405.40. NCBI lineage: Eukaryota > Metazoa > Chordata > Mammalia > Primates > Hominidae > Homo > Homo sapiens. The sequence goes on from NC_000005.10 coordinate 39,844,909, forward strand.
TCCAGCATTTGTAATTTTTTGTCATTTTGATTAAAACCATCCTAACTGAAGTATGATGATACCTCATGGTGGTTTTGATTTGTATCTCCCTGATGATTAGTGATATTGAACCTTTTTTTATATATTTGTTGGCTGTTTGTATACCTTTTGATAAGTGTCTGTTCAGCTCATTTGCCCATTTTTAATTGAATTATTTGATTTTTGTTGTTGTTTGAGTTCCTTGTATATTCTGGATATAAATTCCATTAGATTGAGCATGCAAATATTTTTTTCCCATTCTGTAGGTTGTCTTTTGATCAACTTTGTTAATTGTTTCCTTTGAGGTGCAGAAGATTTTAGTTTGATATAATACCATTTGTTTATTTTTGCATTTGTTGCCTGTGCTTTTGAAGTTTTATTTATAAAGTTATTTCCCAAACCAATGTCCTAAAAGCATTTTTCCTGTTTTCTACTAGTAGCTTGGTAGTTTCAGGTCTTACATTTAGGTACTTGATCCATCTTGAGTTGATTTTTACATAGGGTAAGAGGTGAAGATCAAGTTTTATTTGTCCAAATATGGATATCCAGTTTTCCCAGTATCATTTGCTGAAAAGATTTTCCTTTTCCAGGGAGTGTTCTTGGAGTCTTTGAGAAAAATTACTTGGCTGCATATATGTGGACTAATTTCTGGGTTCTCTATGTTTTTTTATTTGTCCATGTTCCTGTTTTTATGCAGTACCATGCTCTTTTGGTTACTATAGCTTTGCAGAATATTTTGAAGTCTGATACTGTGTTGCCTTTAGCTTTGTTGTTTTTGCCCAAGATTACTTTGGCTATTCAGGGTTTGTGTGTGTGTGTGTGTGTGTGTGTGATTTCAGGGTGATTTTGTGGTTCCATACAAATTTTAAGATTTCTTTCTATTTATGTGAAGAATGTAACTGGTATTTTGATACGGATTGCACTGAATCTATAGATTGCTCTGAGTAGTATTGTCATAGTAAAAATATTAACTCTTTTGATTTATGAGCCTGGATTGTCTTCTGTTTGCTTGTATCCTCTTTAATTTCTTTCATCAGTGTTTTGTTGTTTTCTTTGAGATCTAAAACTTCCCTGTAGTTTTCCAAGAGATCTTTCATTCACTTCCTTGGCTAAATTTATTCCTAGGTGGGTTTTTTTGGTAGTTATTATAAATTGGATTGCCTTTTTGATTTCCTTTTCAGAGTTTTTTGTTTGTGTATAGAAGCTCTACGGATTTTTATATTGATTTTGTACTCTGCAACTTTACTTATTTGTTTATTGGTTCTAAGAGTTTTTTGGTAGAGTCTTTAGTTTTCTGTATATATAAGATTATCTATGATTTTGTGCAGGCTGAGAAGGGTAGGACAGAGAGCTAAAAGTACTCTAGTCTATCAGCCCAGGTTCATCCTTTTTTATGAGTAACAGCATTTTACCACTGTGACCCCAGTGAATTCATGGCTCATTGCTCCTACCAAAATGACAGGTTTGTTATTGGTCACCCTGCAGAAATTGGTTTCAGCCACTTGTGAAATTATTAAAATGTGTTTAAATTGGAAAAAAGTGCCACATGCATTTGACCAATTGCAATCTGGACAAAGAGGAGAAAAAGTAAAGTGTGAACCTTTATGCTTCCATAGTGCATGCAGACTCCAGGCAAAATTGAGTCACATGTAAAGGCTGGTTTTGGCATTAGTTCATGCCTCTTCTCAGTGCATCTCTTTTGTTCTGCCCCATTGTCCTAAAGCTATCCAATGATTGTTAGGGAGCTCCAAATTGCCTGTTCTATCTGCTGGCTGGTTGTGCTCTTGTCTGACCAAACTGGCCCCAGTTTCTCATCCCCAAAGTCGCCCATATGGAGAGATATCTTTTTTTTTTTTTTTGGAACAAAGGTTAGTGTTTACAATGGTGATGTGTTGAATGGTGAATCTACTTGCATTAGTGTTATTTTGGGTTACTTGCCTATTTGAGTTATTTTAATATCCTGCCATTTTAGTAACTCCTGGTTTATTTATTATTTTATTTTTCTAAATTTTCAGCTCAGGGGTACATGAACAGGCTGTGCAGGTTTGTTACGAAGGTCAATGTGTGCCATGGCGATTTGCTGCATAGATCATCCCATCACCTAGTTACTAAGCCCAGCATCTGTTAGCTATTCTCCGTGATGCTCTCCCTCACTGCCCCAACCCTCTGACTGGCCCCAGTATGCATTCCCCACCTTCTTGTGTCCATGTGTTCTCATCATTCAGCTACCACTTATAAGTGAGAACATGTGGTATGTGGTCTGTTCCTGCATTAGTTTGCTAAGGATAATGGCCTCCAACTTCGTTCATGTTCCTGCAAAGGACATGACTTCATTTCTTTTTATGGCAGCATAGTATTCCGTGGTGTATATGTATATTTTCTTTATCCATTCTATCATTGATGGGCATTTGGGTTGATTCTTTGTCTTTGCTATTGTGAATAGTGCTACAGTGAACATATGTGTGCATGTATCTTTATAATAGAATTATTTATATTCCTTTGGGTACATGCCCAGTAATGGGATTGCTGGATTACATGGTATTTCTGCCTCTAGGTCTTTGAGGAATAGCCACACTGTCTTCCACAATGGTTGAGCTAATTTATACTCTCACCAACATTGTAAAAGTGTTCCTTTTTCTCCACAACCTCATCAGCAACTGTTGTTTTTTGACTTTTTAATAATAGCCATTCTGATTGGTGTGAGATGGTATCTCATCATGGTTTTGATTTCCATTTCTCTAATGATCCCTGCTTTATTTTAAAAGATATTTTAGATTTGGGTTCCCAAAAAGAGTTTGAGACAAACGCTTGTTTTCAAGTAGTTCATTTGGAAAGAAGAGAGAATGGAGAGTGGAAGAGAGAAGGAAAAAGCCAATACAAGAATATTTTAATTACCTACTACAGGTGGCTGGGGATTAATCCAATGTCGTTGTCTGAGGAGATCTATGAAATGTGCCTCCAACCTGTCCATCCAGGGGACAAGGTAGAAAGAATTGATCCATTAGCTCCTGGTCCCATTGGTCAAGGATGGGTTAATTTGCATTAGTTCTGCAGCCTTCCCAGTTGTGCCAGCCTGAGTGCTAAGAATGTCCTGCAGCATCAAAGATGCCCCATAGCAAAAGCAGAACACTGGGATAAATCTGAGGGAGGAGCTGACAAGGTGCACCTGCATGAAACAGTGACGGTTCCGTGAACTGGTTTTTGCAGGAGTAGCTGGAGTAAGAACTGGAACAAATCTGAAGTAGTACATAGTTGGCTTTGAATACACTAGACAAAGCCAGTCCTGATACCCTGAGCTGGCAGGGTATCAAGGTGCACAGTATAGTGCTGGATAAAGCACTTTCCCAAGGGAAGAATAACTGAATAGCAAAGCCAGAATATCTCTTCCCTTCCACTCTGCTTCATTACAGGAGATGCCTGGGTGATAAATGAGCCTCCTTGGCCATACTTTATTCTTAGATGAAGCGTGTTCTAAAATGTCACCAACTGTTCAATAAAATAAATAAGGGTAAAAATGTTACATGATCTATAATAAAATCTAAATTGCAGGAAAGTTCACGGAGTAAAATATTTTGGTTTCTTCATTTTTCATGGTTTTGTCAAAGGAAGGCTCTGAAACACTTTAAGAAAAGTAAAAATTGCTTTAAAATGAACCAGAGTATTTAAGTGGCTAAAGAGTGAGTTCAGAAATCTAAGTCCATGGAATTTTGATGTCAAAAAAGTAGGAAGTTAAAGATTTCTTAGCCTCATCAAGTTATATAATCCCAGCTCTCCTCCATCTTTAGCTTTGCCTGGTTAGTTCATCATTTCTTCTTAGCCCTCCATTCTAATCTGATCTCCACCTTTTATTCAAGACTCCACCTTAAGCCCTTTCTCCTACATTAAGCCATCCTTGAATTTGTCAACTTGCATAAGCCTCTACCTTTCTTCAACTTTATTGGTAGCAAAATAATTTGCCAGGTTTTCTAAACTGCTGCTCCACAGACTGAGCAGACAGAATATTTAATAGCACACCTCAGTTTGCTTCACTTCTCTTTCATTGATGGCAATTCTTCTCATCTTTACTTAATTACCACTGTATACTTTATATGATGCATTGTATAGGTTGGAAGCACCAGTCAACCTTTGACAAACTGAACATTCATTTATTCAGTCACTCATTCAACAAAAATATATTGAGCACTTACTCCAGAGCAGGTGCCTGGGCTGGGAGCCATATGGATAAAACTGATTAAAGTTTATTAGTCTGTTCTCATGCTGCTAATAAGGACATACCCATGACTGGGTAATTTATAAAGGAAAGAGATTTGATTGACTTACAGTTTCACATGGCTGGGGAGGCTTCACAATCATGGTGGAAGGTGAATGAGGGGCAAAGTTACATCTTATCCACGGCGGCAGGCAAGAGAGCATGTGCAGGGGAACTCCCTTTTATAAAACCATCAGATCTCATGAGACTTGTTCACTATCATGAGAACAGCACAGGAAAGACCCGCCCTTATTATTCAATTACCTCCCACCGGGTCCCTCCCATGACACATGGGAATTATGGGAGCTATAATTCAAGATGAGATTTGGGGGGAGACACAGCCAAACCATATGACAAAGCATGCAATTTCACAGTCAAATTCAAAAACTGAAGCTGAATGACATCCTAAAAAGGAAACTGGGAGCTGAGGCAGAGAATAACAGAGGTGGACTATATATCAAGTGTTTTCTGGAAAGGTGACATTTGAACTGAGTCCTAAATGATACAAAGAACCTATATTCAAGGAAGGGGGCTATAGGAGTAGAGTATTTTATTATAGGAAGAGGGCAGAACATGGGAAATGCCCCTGCATTGAGTGAGCGTATAAAGGGGAGGGAGAGTGCTTGATAGGAGGTTGGAGGGATGAGCAGGGCTACCTCCTGCTGGGTGAGGGTGTGTCTTTTTTATAAGTGTAAGGAAAATCCCATGAAGAAACCTATGCAGAGACATGGTATACCTAGATTTGTTGTAAAAGTATTGGTGTACTGCCCCGTGACAGTTGGTTTGGAGAGGGCAGAGATGGAAATGAAGGGACCAGTTAAAAGGGTGTGGTTCAGGCTAGTGATGATTGGTGGCCTTCAATAAGAAAGCAGAGGACAGACCCAAGATGTATTTTAAGACAAATTATCAAATCCTGAATAAAAATAAATAAAAGTATTTTTCTTAATATATACTACCTTAAGCATAATTTTATTTTTTTGTGTTGTCTTCTCTCATTCACCAAATTACTAGCTCTTCACAGTAAGGTCAATTTCTGATACATTATATTCTATGTTTTCCTTAAATTTCTGAGAATAAGATAGAAGTTCAAAAATATTTGTTATCATGTTGATTTTATATTAAATAGACTATGACATATTTTGTTGAAATCATATTAGATGCCAGAGTAAAATGTCTTGAGTAATTTCAAGTCCCTCTGATGTAGTTTTTATTATTTTGTTACTTGATGAACGGATGCTAAAAAAAAGAATGTTGACTTTGTGGGTATTTCATAAAAATGGGAAATCTTTCTGCATGGTTTAGCATTGAGATTGCCAAATTCTTAAATGCGGTTTCCAACAGAACACAAACTTGGAAACTAAAATACAGCACTGCGTGCCCTTGCATTTGTAACAGATCAAAGGATTCATAATCTATGTACATTCTGGATAAGTTTTATAAAAATAAAGTTAAAATCTGCCCAACAAAGTCCAAAGCTGAAGGCATACACCAGCCACTTTGTGGCAGACCACGTTTTCTGGGAAAGTTCTGAAGGGGAAAGTGTCATCTGCGCACTTTCCTTTCACATGCCTTCTCACTTAGTGGCATTCCTTTTGTCTTTATGTACCAAAATTTACTCTCAGGTATAAGGCCAGTAAATTTATTCACACATGGCATAAAAACACTGAAAGAAATTCTTGAAGGATTGTATTTTCCAGGAATATTTGGTACCAAAACTATTTCTGTAGAGTAATTATCAGGTTTGTAAGGGGTTAAAGGAACAGTGCTTTTCCCATGGAAATCTCCCTGGAAGGGGAAATGATGACTCTGCCTACTCCTCTGACTTACATGAGGTCTAGGGAGTGTCTAAAACCAAAAACTCCAGAATAGATTTGGCTGAGGACAAGTTAGGAGGATCCTGGCATCCCACATATCCAGGAGCTTCCTTGGAATTCAGAGGTCCCCTATTGCCAGCATCCCCCCGTCTATAGCATATAAAGAACTGCAGAAAAGTTATACTGGCTTAAACCATGGGAGTCTTATTTAGCAGTCCCTCCTTGTAACTGGAAGACTTAGATGTGAAAGGGAGGTTATTCTCTTCTTGTATTTTGTCAGGTTTATCATTTATGCTGTCTAATATTTGGAAGACAGTAGATGTTTGGAAGTGTCAAGTGACAGCTAGAAGACACTTTGGGATTAAAGACTCAGTGTGGGAATCAGGGTCCCAGCATTTATTCACGGTCCCACAACAGCATGAGTCTGGCTGTTGGATCCAGGTTGGGCTGCATGGTTCTCTCCTTTTTGAGCAGCACATTGCTGTCCTGTGATTCTCTGGTTCTGCTCCTAACCCTGATCTGACTGGGAGCTTTTTATGTAATGTTCTTTTTTTTTTTTTTTTTTTTTTTTTTTTTTTGAGACAGAGTCTCACTCTGTTGCTCAGGCTGGAGTGTAGCGGCGCGATCTCAGCTCACTGCAAGCTCTGCCTCCCAGGTTCACGCCATTCTCCTGCCTCAGCCTCCCAAGTAGCTGGGACTACCCACCACCATGTCCGGCTAATTTTTTGTATTTTTAGTAGAGATTGGGTTTCACTGTGTTAGCCAGGATGTTCTCGATCTCTTGACCTCGTGATCCGTCTGCCTCAGCCTCCCAAAGTGCTAGAATTACAAGCGTGAGCCACTGTGCTCGGCCTATGTAATATTCTTGACATCACCTTTATGGAACATAGTCCATGACACTAGCTGCTTCCTTTGTTTACCTCTTTCATAGTGACAAACTTTCATATTTGAACAGCGATTATCATCAGGAGCCCATCCTATACCCATAGTGTCTGAACCTTTAGTAGTCCTCTCTTCTATACCTGTATAAATCTAATAATGTGGAAGCTTTTTGCAAAACTCTAGGTCATATGAAATTTCTTTTTATCATAAGAAATGTCCAATTTCCATTTACAGCCATTCATACCTCAGAGCTATATGAGGCCAATATCCCTTTTACTTATGAAAGCCTGTCAAATATTTGGGGTCAGCCACACTGTCTTCACTAATTTGTCTTCATTAAACTAAGTGGCTCCAACTATTTCAACCACTGCTGTTAAGAAAGATTTTATGACTTTTTGCCATCCTGTGTGCTCTCCCAATGACTTTAGCTTTTCAAACTTTTCTTTCAATATGTGATGTGCCCAACAGAACACCATAACTCAAAGTTCACCCTAAATAGCATAGAAATGGCAAAGCCTTCTCCTTCACAGTAGGTCTTATTCATGTTATGGTGGCCCTTTCTTATTTCTCTGATCATTTCTCAAGTGATGATATTTATTTTCGATGATTTGGCCTAAAAACTCTTAGTCTTCAATGTGTTCCTGCCAAGCTCTTTGCATACTCTTGAATTATTATGATTTATTTTGTGAGCGTAAAACTTCAATTTATTTTATTTATCTCTATTTAAAAATAATTTCTTATTTACAGTCACTTTTTTCCCTTTTTCTTTTCCTTTTTTTTTTTTTCATATATCTGCTATGTATGTCAGTCACTGGGCTTGTCAGTGGAGCAGTAAGAAGATAATGTTGAATTCAGTATCAAGGGGCCAAATTTTCAGTGCTTATAATCTAAGGGAGACAAAAAGAAGTCACTATTTTGTCAATTACAAATTATTGTAATGAGGATTCTAAAGGGACAACTAAGGGCAACTAAGGAGGTAGGACAAGGAGAACTTTCTGGACTAAGTGGCACCTGAGTTAAGGAGTTAGCAATATGAAGGAGAAGAGGAGGAGAAATTCAAGTAGAGAGATTTCTTATATAAAGTTCTAGACAGGAGAATAAGCATGGTGTTTTCTAAGACTCATAGAGAAGAATAGGTGGGGCTTTTACATAGAGTAAGAGGTAAACCTTAAGGAGAAATGATTCTAGGAATATAAATAATTTCCAAATCATGAAGAACTTTGTATTAAAACCTGGAAGGAATTGTTGGCATTTGAAGAGTTTGATGGGAGGGAGTGATGTGATTATTCTTGTATTATAGAAAAATCACTTTGGCTGCCATGTGGAAAATAATTTTTCTGTCTCAAAATAGGGAAATATGATAGAAAATTATGGCAAGAATGTAGGTAAAAGATTATGGTGACCTAAACTAGGGAATTGTTAGAAGGTATGTTTAAAGGACATAAAAAATATAAGAATATTTGTTATGAAGACATGTTTGTTACGTTAGATGACGTTTGACCAATAGAACTGATAGACTCAGGCAGTGGTGTATTCGTAGATAAGTAAAGAATGATAATTAGCCCTAGCTCAGAAAAGCATATTGGTTGAATTATCCACTGAAAGAAGAATTAGAACTGGAATAGAATAAGAATAAGGGATTCGTTCTGGACATATTAGATTTATATTCCTAAGGGTCATTCAAATGTGGATATTTAATAAGCAGTTAGGTATATGAGTTTGGAAATCAGTTACCTGTCCTTGGATGTAAAAGAATAAATCTGTAAGTCCTGTAGACCACCGGCTGTAAAGAGGAGATAAGATATAGGATGGAAGCAGAAAGTGGACTTTTTAAGGTAGGAAAGATAAGAGCAAATTTAAGTGATAAGGGGAACATGTGCTTTGTAGACAGAGGAGACTGGACAGTTGCAAAATAAAACAAAGTGCTTCTAAAAGCAATTTTATTCTCTGATGCATCCAAAAATGGCAAACTAGATTTTGCTTGTCATTCTAGTGACTACTTTCTCCCCATTTTCATATTTTTAAAACAGTTTTAATGTTAAAAATAATGCTTTATTTTTGAAAACTGTCTTTTTCTTCATCCATTTATTTATTCCACCAATATTTACAAATGCTGATTAAATATTATAGATACCCGGCCAAGTGTTGGAAATAGGTGAATAAGATGTAGTCTTAGCCTTCAAAAAGGCAAGAACGTATATAGAAAAGATATGAATAATCACTGTCTTTGGTGCTTGTTTTGCCTTCTGATGCTTCAATGGATAAAGTTAATTCATTTGAAAATAGTAGCACTTCAATAGTTGAAGATACTTATTGTAAACCCATTTGTTTCTTCTAGCAGTGATGCAAAACCTGATGATGTTCAAAATGGAAAACAAATCTTTTATTATTATGGTAGCTATTTATAGTGTGAGCTTTTAAAATGTGATAGAAGAATGAAAAACAATACTCTTAATCATGATCTGATAAGTACAGAATAATTGATCTAGACACAATTAATCCCTTATCATATTAAAATGGCACAAGTTCTTTTTTTTGGCAACTGAATTTTGTTGTTGGCAAATAATGAGATTTCAGTCAGTTATTCTTGGATTTTATGCCCAACTGTTAAGCCAATACTCCCCAATTCTGGTTATATGCAGTTGATAATTTGCAATGAAAATATATGACTTCTCACCTATTAATTTTACATCTCATCTCAGTTTATATCATTGTTCCAAATTAGATTAATCTTTAAGAATTTCATTGTTATTAAATGCATTGCCAATCATTTCAAGCTTTCCTTAGACAATTTGTTAATTTGTTTTGATATCAAAATTACCTATTAAGACATCAAACAACAAAGACTAAATATAAGTATGTGTTGCATGTCACTTGAAAATTATTTAGCCTGCTATCAATAGATTATATAATGTTCTCTGGATTCTTTTGGTTTAACTATTTGGAAAGTGGCATAATAGAACTCATGTAAGTTACATTTTTGCCACTTATACTAAGCATTATCATAAGAGACTTTGAGATTTCTGATGGAAATTCCAGACAGCCTGAGATTTAGAGGGCATATGTTAACCACAGGTAAATAATCCACCATTTTTCAGTCAAAGGTTAACTTAACAGTATAAGGTCAGTGGGTCATAGAACTTCCATTGCCTTAACTAAAGAAACCAAAACCAAAAACAAAACAAAAGAAAAAAATAAAACCACCTCAAAACTTAGCAAAACAAAATATAAACAGTTTTCTCAACACACATAAAGACTTATCCTACGCAAATTGTGATTTTTCTGACTTTGATTTTTGTGTCTTTGCTTTGAGATTTTAAATGTCAGCCAACAATCTTCTTGGCTTCTTTTTCTGGCATCAGCTCCCCTTGGCTACTTTCTAAAACCTCATGGAGACTGTTTGCTTCCCTATGCTACATCAAATTAGGAGTTGAATATAGCTAAAAGACTAAGAACGTTCCCAATTAATATTCTGATTACAATGTAAAAGTTTTAAGCCATAATCTACCTCTACATTTTAATAATATTTCTGCCATAATATATTAATATTGCTCATCATTGTGTCTAAATTAATTTTAAATAACTATGGTGAAGTTCTTTTAAAGTTACTTTTTTTATTTAAAGAAGTAGACATGCATTCAATATTGTAGAAAATTTAGAAAATAGAGAAAAGGGTGAAAATAAGCCAGCTGTAATTGTTAACATTTTGATAAATGATCACATTTCAAATACTGTTTACAAAATATTGATCATGTATGACAAACTTACTTTTTTCACTTGGAAATACATCTTCAATTTTTTCACAGTTTCTTAGATTTTTTCCCGTCAAACAATGTTGAGGAGAATAGAATTTAATCGTATGGATATACTGTAATATATTTAATCCATGTTTTTATTTATATATCTTTATGTTTACTTTTCACTATCTTCATATATTATAGAATAAATCTTTGTATGTGCCTCTGATTATTTCATGGGACATATTTCTAGAAGTAGAATAACTAGGTCAAAGAAATCTACATTTTTATGATTGTGATAAACAGTTGTAAATCACCTCCACCAAGGTACCATTATCACCACCTATATGACCCTTTATCTGTATTATTTGTATTAATCTACTTATTTTGTAATTTATTTATCCATTTATCTATCCCTCTATCTTTCCATCAATCTATCTTATTTTGTGAAGCATTTCAAAGTAAATTGCCAATGTCAGTATGCTTTTTCCTAACTACTTCAGCATACATAATTAATGTGTGCTCAAGGTCTGTTTATGTCTCAATTGTGTGCTCAAGTTATGTCTTTTAATATAAAAATACATGTATCATAAAAGTATTTTTTTTGCAGTTTTGACTAATGCATATCCCCTTGTAACTGAAACTTCTTTGTTTTGCTGTACCTTTACAAAGGCATTGCAAACATTCTTCTTACTTCCATTTTTGCTCTCTTTCAGTCCATTTTTCACATAGCAATTAGAGAAACTTTTTAAAAATATAAATACAGCTTTGTTATTCCCCTGATATCAAAATCCTTACCATGGTGTATGAGACCCTGCATGATCTGATGTCAGCCTCGTCTCTGCTTTCTCTTGCCTAGCTTCCCTGGGTCTTCCTTCTTCCAGGACTTTTTGATCAGTTTATTTCCCCCTGCCTGGAGCACTATAGCTCTTTCTCTTGCTGAACTAACTTACTGACTTCATATATCTCTTCTTCAAGGAGGTCTTCCCTGACAGCTTCATATATCTGTCCCACTCCTCCCTCTCCACTGTTAGTCTCTTGGATCAGCCCTTGTTTTCTGTTCTTCAAGCCCTTACTATAGTATACAATTAATATTCTGCATGATTTCTTGTTTCATGTGTTTCTCAACTACTAGACTGTGAACTTCACAATCCATGTTTGTGCACCACTTTCATATGCCCTGCTTTAGCACCAAGTTAGGCACAATACTACACTCTTAGCAAATTATACAACAAATGAATGAACTGACAAATCCTTAAGTTTTGCCTTCTCAGACATAAGCTGCTGAAAAACCCTCTAGTAAAATTTCTATCGCCTGCTTGTTACATATATTTAAGCAACATATTTTAAACATGACTAAAATGTGCAAGTATTTCAGAAGATATAAAATAAAGAGAAAGAATATTGTAAGTTGTGGCTAACAGCAGGAAGAAATTTTCAGTCCCGATCTTTCCTTAGTGACATGATGTTTTTCCATTTAATTTTGAACAAATTTTCTGTCTCAGCTTCTATTTATATTTTTTCTTTCACTTTAATGTGAGAGGTTTAACATACCCTTTACACATAATATTACTTCATCAACACTCTACAAGTTAAAGAAAAGACACGCAATACACAACTATGAAGAAACTATTACGACACAGAAGTTATTAAGGAGGAAATTATTGATTTTACTTCCTGCTTCATAGCACTAGTTCAGCAATGATACCAAAAGCTAAGCCAACTCTTTAAATCTTTTATGATGTGTGAATAAAAATATTTTCTAATTACAAAGTTCCAACTGCATTTTACTTAGAGAAGTTTCTTTTCACCAACCTTTTCTGTATACTCTGACCACATGATTGTCAGAGTGGTGTTTTGAGATTTTAAATATGTGATAATGAATCATATTTCTATGCCTAATATTCTGACTTCTGGAGAAGAAGATGCAAGAAGTACTAAATTGCTCTGTGGTGGAGATGAGTAAAGAGGAAATTTCATTTTACCCATTCTATTCTGCTGAAAAGGAAGGAGTAGAGAATTGGGGGTCATGATTCATTCCCTTACTTTTCACTCCTATATGCAGTTCCAAAGTATTATTTTTCACCAATACAGCAAGGTGGCAGGCAAATGGATGTGAATTAAATTTTTAACAGCCTTGTCATGTCCCTATGTAATGAGTTTTATCCAATCCATGAAGAAATCCCATTCATCTTTTGAAAGAACTCAGACTCTATTGTAATTCCCTCACAATATAAGAGTTAAGAAAATAGATTTGGGATCAGAAAGGCTCAATATATAGTCCCAGCTTCACTACTAAGTACTTTATGGCTAGTAAAATTATAATTTTGCTAAATCTCAAGTTTACTAGCTGTAACAGTAAAATAATACTGACCTCTCAAAAGTGAATTCTAAATATTAAAACACATGATATATTTAAATTACTTTCCTATTTACCTGAATGTTAGTCACTGTTGTTTTTGTTGATGTTGTTTTTATTCTCATGGAGTAGATTTTACATTCTTTCATAGGAAAAAAACAATATTATAAAGTTTTCCTAAATCGACCAAGAAAACAGCCAGATGAGTTCGAAAAGAGCAGTTCATGTATTCAAATTAAAATTAATTTTCTTCCTTGGTTAGACAGAATGTTAAACAGTTATATAACATGTATAGTACTGACTCATGCTATCATAAGTTGTTCTGTGGCATACAACAAAAGATTTTTTAAAATGTTGACAGGCTAGGGACATTGTGTTTTCTAATTCTTGCTTAGCTTTATAATATTCAGTATGTGCACTAATTTGACAAAGCTAAAATGGAATTCATAAAAACAGATTTTTCAAGTCTTCAGAGATGAACTAAATCACTTATTTCAACAATGAAAACATTCTTTTAGTTAATCAAATAGATTACATTACTTGAGGGATCATATGCCTGATTAGTGTCAAAGACAGGTCTCCAGCTTGGTCCTTATCTTAAATGAAAACACTGGCAACATTCAAGCCAAACACTGTTCTTCTAGTCTCCCAATTTGAAAGCCATCTTTGAATTTTCTCTCTCTCCCATTTCTTATTGTATTAGTCAGGGTTCTCTTAGTGGGACAGAACTAATAGGATATATGTGTGTGTGTGTATGTATATATATATGTCTATATATATATATATATGTCTATATATATATATATATATATATATATATAGCTTAACATACTGCTGAGTACATAGTAGACTTTCAGTAAACACTTTCTGACTGAAAACTGATAGTCAGGACTTATTCTTAGAAGGGAATATATCATTCTCTATAAGAAGTTGTTGATTTTCTCAGAGATTTGTTAATTAAACACACACACATGCTCATGCACCCGCACACACACACATATACAATATATGTATATTATATATATGTATATTTTATATATATATGTGTGTGTGTGTATATATATATATATATATATATATGTGTGTGTATATGTATACGGGAGTTTGTTAAGTATTAACTTACATGATCACAAAGTCCCACAATAGGCTGTCTGCAAGCTGAGGAGCAAGGAGAGCCAGTCCGAGTCCCAAAACTGAAGAAGTTGGAGTCCGCATCCAGCACAGGAGAAAGATGTAGGCAGGGAGGCTAAGCCCATCTCTCCTTTTAATGTTTTTCTGCCTGCTTATATTGGCTGGCAGCTGATTAGGTTGTGCCCACCAGATTAAGGGTGGATCTGCCTTCCCCAGCCCACTGACTCAAATGCGAATCTCTCTTGGCAACACTCTCACAGACACACCCAAGATCAATACTTTGTATACTTCAGTCCAATCAAGTTAACACTCAGTATTAACCATCACATTTTTACATAACCCAGCACTAACCCTGGCTGTTTATACCTTTGAAATGTCTATCAGGTTGATCTATTCCTCTCTGTTCATACCTAAATTGCTACAAAAGCCTCCTTGCTGGTGCAAACATTTTATTCCCCTCAAATTTATCCTAACCAGAATTACCAATATTTCTGTAATATGGCTTTCATAATGTCTCTTGAGTGTTCAAAGAAATTCAAAGGATTGTTGCTCATTATTTTACCAAAGTGATTGGATAATTCTCTGCCCATATTTACATGTCTTTAGGTGGCTTTTCCCAACTTGTCTTATTTGTGATCTTGTCCATTTAGAAACTTTGCATTCAGTTGTGTTGGTTTCCTTGCTGCCTCCTGCATATGTCATCCTCATTTGCATTTCTGAGTCTTTATTTGCAAAATTTTCATAACCATGTCTCCATCCCCATCCTAGTCAATTCATCTAGATCTTTCTTATCCTTCAAGGCTCAATTACATTATTTTCCTAACAATGTTTCTGACTACAACACATTTATTGCTTGTGTACTGGCTGCGTAGTTCAAAGTTCCTTGTCTTTCTATTATTTTATTCCCAGTGGTGTGCTCTTTAATAGTGGAAGAGGAGGTTGGTACAGCCCGTTTTTAAGCAACTTTACAGTTAGATAGAATGTTTAATTCAGAACAGTGTTTGAGACCTTCATTTCACTTCACATATCCCAGTCCATAGAGGGAGAGGGAGACCTCTCTAGTCAATACATTTCCAGCTCTCCTCAAGTTGGAGTCCTTCAAACTGAAATTTAAGGTCATTCCCAATGACCACTACTCTGTGGTCACTGAATTTAAAAACCTCTGCCTTTGCTACTTAATGAACAGGCAATGTGTGTCTTCTTTCTCTCCATGGTTTTTAAGTAACTTGAACATTTCCACTTTATTCAATGGGCACCTCTTTTCCTCAGCCTTTGGGACAACTTTGAACTAGTTACATCCATCTTGTTCCACCTCAGATAAGCCTGAGATTGGAGGTAGAAAACATCTTGGACTATGATAAACAAACATTGCACTTCTCTTTTTACATTTTATTTTATTTTATGTTTTTTCAGATGGAGTCTGACTCTGTCACCCAGACTGGAGTGCAGTGGCACGATCTCGGCTCACTTCAACCTCTGCCTCCGGGGTTTAAGTACTTCTCCTGCTTCAGCCTCCCAAGTAGCTGCGACTACAGGTGCACACCACCACACCAGGCTAATTTTTGTATTTTTAATAAAGGTGGGGTTTCACCATATTGACCAGGCTGGCCTTGAACTCCTGACCTCAAGTGATCCGCCTGCCTCAGCCTCCCAAAATCCTGGGATTACAGTAGTGAACCACGGCACCTGGCCGCATATCTCTTTTTATAGCTTCTGGATCTTACTGTAGAAGAATCTCTTTCCCTCCCTCTATCCTGAGTATCATCACCTTATACTTCTAGGTGTCTACCTTGATTAGGGACATGTCAATCTTGAGGATGGAAAAGAGGAGAGCATGTGCCAGCCTGAAGAAAGGGAGAAGAGGAAAAAAATTATCTACCTGACCTACCTCACGCTTTAGTGTTTTCTTTTTTTAAGTAGATAGTAAACTCCATGGAGGCAGGAAACTTTTCTCTGAATTCTTAGCTTAGCATACTGCTGAGTACATTGTAGACTTTCAGTGAACACTTTCTGACTGAAAACTGATAGTCAGGACTCATTCTTAGAAGGGAGTATATCATCCTTTATGAGAAGTTGTTGATTTTCTCAGAGATGTGTTGATTAAACACACATGCATGCTCATATGTACACACACACATACACACACAGACATGCAGGGTCGGAATGAAATAATAGATCATGAAGCGCTGGCCGATAGAATAGGATCAAAGTAATATGTTTTAAAAAACTTTCAGGGTTTAAAATGCCTTACCAGTTCTTTTCTTGTTTGTACTATCACTTTCCACATTTGTGGCTCTTATTTTATTGTGGCATGAAGATAATGTGAAAAAATCTCGAGAATTTTATAAAGTATTAAATGTTGGAAAGAAAGAAATTTCTGCATGAAAATAGAGACTATCACAGTTCAAAAATAGCATCACTCTAATAACAATGGTCATGTTGGCAGGGTGGTAAATACCATGAAACCAAAAGGCTTAGGTGCTGCCTAAACATGCTAAATTATCCTCGCTCTCTAATTGAAATGTCATCTCTGTTTAGGGACAACATACGTAAAGTCTTCCATTTGTGATTCAGATTCCCCTGTTGCTAAGAAAAAATTGTAAATGCTTTGTTTATTCTGAAGTATAAGATTTCACTCTGGATGTCGAGTGCCCATAGTATCTAAAGCATCCTTCTTTTCCATTTTCTTTAATTATGTCTCTAGAAACGAGCAGCCATGTGTTGAGACAACTGCTACTTTAGAGACAGCACCAAACTCAATGGGTCAGGATGTAAGAGCAGCTTTAGAAGCTAATCTAAACTCAAGAGTTCAGGTTCTAACATGGATTTGTGAAGTGAGCATGGTTTGTTTGGTCTGTCCCAGGTACTATTATTATTTTACAGGTAAAGAAACGGAGGTTGCCCAAACTCATGCAGCAAATAAGCACTGCTGGTAGAACTTGATTCTTGATATGTCTGGGTCTACAGTCCTTGTTCCAGACCCCTCTACTCCATGCCCTCTTTGCACGGGGAGGCGCAGACTCAGGATCATTACTCTGGCTCTCTCTGCTTTTCTAGAAAAGGTGAAAGATACCCTGAAATATTTTTCCAAATTGGTTCCATTCTCCCCATCTCTTTCAACTCTGAACACAAGAGACAGAAATCATAACCAGAGGGCAGGATAAGAGAGAAGATAGAAAATAACTAAGAGGAACTTGATTAGGTATGAAGGGTGAGAGGGAAGAGGAACTTGATTAAATATTAACAGTGTAAGAAGACGAGCTTGACTGGATATCAAAGATGGGGGAATTCTTCATTTTCCCCTTCGTGGGATTCTTTGCCAAAACTAGGCTCAGCAGGCAAAGGAAGAGGCCTCATAGAGAAAAGGGCTCAAAAGAACCTGACTAAAGTTTGACCAAGAAAGTTACTGTCAGTAATGTACACTATGATGTTTCCTTTCTTGTTCGTTTTATCTCTGTTTGAGGAGGACAAAATGTAAGATATTAATACTGACTTAAAAAGAGAAGGGACATCACAATGGGGTTTCATATACTAGGCATCTGGACTTGAAGTTCTAAAACATATGTATTGTGACTAAAGTCTTGAAACTATCTGAGTTGCATTTTCTTCCAAAGAGACACCCATATGGAATATAACTTCTTCCCTCCCTCCTCTTCTGTTCCTTCCTTGAAGTTTTAAATACAATGTCAAAGAGAGAAAGAATCCCAAAGATTATCTGTTCCAATCTTGTTTTATAGATGACAAGAAAGCTTTCAAAAAATGGAATAATTAATTTAAAAAAAGCTAATAAAGAGGTGCTTTGATTTGCTCATGTTTGTCCCAGACATTTCTTTGTTCTACAATACTGCATTCTTCCTGCTCTAGCAAGTAGAATTTGAAGATCTAAGACTTTTCCCTTTATTACATTTTATTCTGAACATTATTTTAATAGCACTGTTACCTTTATGAACACTTTATTGGATAATATTTTTATTTTTTAATAGTATTACATTTGTTTTGCCCTTAATTTTAGTTAAGGATTTTCACTATTAATACTACTGGATTTTCACTATTAATACTACTAATGGCTCTTTGGGCTACTTTATGGAGTACAAACCTAAAATAATTTTGAATTTGCAAACCTGTAATATAAGATTATATTCAAAAATCTAAATTTTGGGGAAAATAAAAGAAAATAAACATTTTAAGAATAATTTAAATTTACATCAGCTAAATTTTTCAGTGAAGTTACACATATTATTATGTGTGACATAAGCTTGTATATGTTTTATAAGACTTTATAAGCTTTTAGATGTTTTTGTTGTTAGTAAATCAGAAAAAATCGAAGATATAAAATTACATTTTATAATCTCAGTGGCATAATCTGCAACTAGAGTGTTAATATTCAATATCTAATTTAAAAAAAGGAAATCTGATTTGACACAAAAACTAATACAAGTAACATTTGCCTCAACAAAAAAGGGTACATCAATTCATAAAAAAATACTTTCAAATAAAGTTTATTTTATTTTTTCCCAAATACCCCAAACTTGAAAAAAAGATTTGAATATTTAACTTTGACCATACAATTTCATACCCATACAACTTCACCCTGCTTTAGTCACTTCTTATTTAGTTTTAATATTCTTTTTGATTCTTCGTTCCAAATCTTGGTAAACCTCTTAAGATCAGCCAGATAATAAAGAACACCCTCAAAAGGGTCAGCGAGTCTTTTATAAACAAATTCTTGGCAAATAGATGTGTATATTCATAAGGTTGCCAGGTTTCCCCTAGGTTGAAATAGCAGCCTCAGCAGGATCGTGATACGTGGAGGGGCTTGAAGAGGGGTGCTGGTTATTTCTGGAAAATTTTAATTTGCGTCTGTGCAGTTAAAGTGTGTTTATCATTTCTTTACTTTTCTCCACTCCTATTTCATCTTGCCTCTCCCTTTCAACTTACTGTTCTACTCTTTACACCCACTTCCTTGAGAAAAGCACACATGGAGAGAGTGAGACAGTCAGCAGGGAGCTTCATCCCAGTCCTGGTTCCTGTGCTGGCCTTGGCTCAAGCAAGGGGAGGAGCTAGAATCCCAGGCAAGGCCCAGGATCAAACAAGGGCTCTCCCCTCTTGGAATCTGCCAATGGGGCTGCTCAGCAATAATTATGCTTGGGTCCCTTTGAATCGGGGGATTGGACCTCATGAGCTTCTGTAATTTTAAATCACACTCAAGAGATGTCCAAGGGAAATTTGAGACTTTAATAAATAATCGTTATTTAAAATCAGTGTATTCTTTACTTTGTTCTACTGCCAACACACAGGGCTAAGTTCTACTGCCAACACACAAAGGAACACAAAGGGTTCCTTTGCTTACAACGGAGAGAAGAACGTTCAGGCTCCACTCAAGCCTCATGCATGGCTAAGGAATTCATGGTTGAAACTGGGGTCAAGTAGTAGACGTACGAATTCAATTCCTTCTAAAATTCTACTTCTATCTGACTAGAACTTCAGGCTACAGTCTTAAACTTCAACCATTATAGTAAAATTTACAAGTCCCAAATTTCTAAGTCAAAGTGTAGGTCAATTGCTTCACTTACTGAATGCATTTTGCCTTTTTAAAAAAAATTTGTACTTTAGGTTCAGGGTACCAGTACAGGTTCGTTATATATATATAGGTAAACTACATGTCATGGGGGTTTGGTGTACAGATTATGTTGTCACCCAGGTAATAAGTGTAGGACCTGACAGGTATTTTTTCTGACCCTCTTCCTCCTCCCACCCTCAACCCTCAAGCAGGCCCCGGTGTCTGTTGTTTTTCTCTTTGTGTCCATGTATTCTCATTGTTTAGTTTCCACTTATAAGTGAGAAATTATGGTATTTGGTTTTACTGTTCCTATATTGATTTGCTTAGTATAATGGCCTCCAGCTCCATTCATGTTGCTGCAAAGGACGTGGTTTTGTTCTTTTTATGGATGCATAATATTCCATGATATATATGTACCATATTTTCTTTATCCAGTCTACTGCTGATGGGCGTTTAGTTGATTCCATGTCTTTGCTATTGTGAATAGTGCTGTAAAGAACATACAGATGCGTGTGATATGATAGAATGATTTACATTCCTTTGGGTGTATACCCAATGATGGGATTGCTGGGTCAAATGGTAATTCTATTTTAAGTTCCTTGAGGAATTGCCACACTGTTTTCCACAATGGTTGAACTAATTTACACTCTCATCAGCAGTGTATAAGTGTCCCCTTTTCTCTGCATCCTCGCCAGGATCTGTTATTTGACTTTAAACATAATAGCCATTCTGACTTGTGTAAAATGGTATCTCATTGTGGTGTTGACTTGCTTTCTTTAATGATTAGTGAGTTGAGCATTCTTTTATATTCTTGTTGACCACATGTGTGTCTTTTTTGAAAAGTGTCTGTTCAGGTCCTTTGCCCACTTTTTAATGGGGTTGCTTGTTTTTGACTTGTAAACTAATTTATTTTTCACACAGATTCTGGGATATTAGACCTTTGTCAGATGCATAGTTTGCAAATATTTTCTTCCATTCTGTACGTTGTCTGTTCACTCTATTGATAGTTTATTTTGCATGCAGAAGCTCTTTAGTTTAATTAGGTGTGACTTGTCATTTTTTGTTTCTGTTGCAATTGCCTTTGGAGTCTTCGTCATGAAATCTTTGTCAAGGCCTATGTCCAGAATGCTATTTCCCATTATCTTCCAGAATTTTTATAGTTTTAGGTTTTATGTTGAAGTATTTAATCCATCTTCAGTTTATTTTTGCATATGGTGTAAGGAAGAGGTCCAGTTTCAATCTTCTGTATATGGCTGGTCAGTTAGGCCAGCACCATTTATTGAATAGGAATTCCTTTCGCCATTGCTTGTTTTCGTCAGCTTTTTTGAAGATCAGATGGTTGTAGGTGTGCAGAATTATTTCTGCTCTCTATATTCTATTACATTTGGTCTATGTGTCTGTTCTTGTACCAGTAACATGCTGTTTTTATTACTGTAGTCTTGTAGTGTAGTTTGAAGTGATGCCTTCACTTCAAAACGTGATGCCTCTAGTCTTGTTCTTTTTGCTTGGTATTTCCTTGGCTATTTGGGCTCTTTTTTGGTTCCATATGAATTTTTAAATCCTTTTTTCTAATTCTGTAAAAGTGCCATTGGTAGTTTGATAAAAATCACATTGAATCTGTAAATAGCTTTGGGCAGTGTGGCCATTTTATTAATTTAACTCTTCCTATCCACGAACATGGAAGGATTTTACATTTGTTTGTATCATCTCAGATTTTTTGAGTTATGTTTTGTAATTCTTGTTGTAATGATCTTTCACATCTCTGGTTAGCTGTATTCCTAGGTATTTTATTCTTTTTGTGGCAATTGTGAATGGGATTGCATTCCTGATTTGGCTCTCAGCTTGGATGTTGCTGGTGTATAGAAATGCTGCTGATATTTGTACATTGATTTTGTATCCTGGAAGTTTGCAAAAGTTGTTTACTAGATCAAAGAGCTTTGGGACAGAGACTATGGGTTTTTCTACATATAGAATTAGAAACATTTTTTCTTATTGCACACTTAATTTTTTTTCTGGTTCATCTTTCTACATAGTATGTCAACCTTAATTACTTCAAGTAATTTTAAGACCTATCACAACCACATGATTATGGAGAATATGACGTGCCGCATTTCGACAAATAGCAAAATGTAGGTCAAATCTGATTTCAAAAGGGCATTTTTAGGGTAGAATGTTTTATTCTTTGTCACATTGCCCAACCTATTCATGGGGGAGGGATTAAGCTTCCATTTTTCATAGTACTTGATATTTTTCTTCAAATTCTTTTCTACAGTGTTATCACATATTTTCCAATTTATTGTTTTAATGCTATACTTATACAAACAACAGGCTAAAACCGGATATGGATGACTTCTATTTAAAGCTATTATTTTGCTAGTTACACTTCTTTAGTATAAGATTCATCATGCGGCAATGTCTTCATATGTTTCTTCTGCAGGAGCCTCCAAAGGCACAATGGAGTAGGTGAAGAAAATAATATAAACTGTTTCAATTTTCAAAGTAAGCATCCTTATGGCCAGTTTGTTGTACATGGAACAATTTAGTTGAAGAACAATATATTACCCAGATAAATTAAAGAGTTATTCTCTCTCTTGGGCTTAATAGTTTACTTATATGTAGAGACAAAAAAGTTCTTCACTAAAATTATTTGGTTATTGTATTGATAGGTGTGTGTGTGTATGTGTGAAATTTTGCACAGTTTATAGCTTTTAAGCTAGATGGCTATTTTTAAATGCTTCTAAATATTTTCATCAAATATATACATATAGGAATTTAAAATTGAAATCCATTCATAAATGCTAATATCAAATCCTTATGAATAGTTATTCTTTATCCAACATATTTGAATGTTCACTCTGAGCCATCATGATATTCCTAGCATGCAAAATCTATCCTTGAAAAAAACCCAATGACTCCTAATCTATGGGCTTATATTTGACTTATAATGATTTATAATCTATGGCTTATATTTCTTTATGGGGAAAAAGAGACTATAGGTAATAAACATGATAAACAAATTAAACAGTATATAGAAGTCAGTTACTGCTATAAAAATAGAGCAAGTTAGGGGTATTAAGAAAGCTGGGGGGCATGGGTGTGTTGTAATTTGAATAAGGTGGTCAAAGAAGGCCTCATGAAAAGAGGAGATTAGCAAAAGATTTGAAGAAGGGGAGGGAGTGAGCCATGTGAATATCTGAAGCAAGATTGGTCTAAAAAAAATGAAAAGTAAGAGCAAAACTCTAAATTTAGAGTCAGCCTGCCATGTTTTAAGAACAAAAGGAGGCAAGAGTAGCTGTAGAGGAGTGAGCATATGAGAACAGGGTAACAGGTAGTAGGAGTTAAGAACATATGGTACCTTGTAGCACATTATAATGTTGTTGACTTAGTATAAGTAAAACAGAGATCCATTTAAATGATTTTAGCAGGAATGTTACATGACCTGACATGCACATACACTGGATGTGTCACCAATTTGTAAGGAAACTAGGCAAAGGTGGATTGTGAGGATAAATGTGGGAGATAAGGTATGTTAGGCTGGAATCCAGATGGTGATGATGGCTCAGACAATGGTGGCAGAAATGGAGATTTCAAGAAGTGGCTTTAGACAGGATTATGGGTAGTTTGCCAATTGGATGGCTGAGATTCTGAGTACAGATGACAATGAGAGGGTAAATGTGGTTTATCTGATTGCTCCAATTTTCTCAGGCAAATAGGAACTAAGGTCATCAGCTGAGAGTGAGAATAGGAATGAGTTCTTGGGAGTTTCCAGAGAAATGACAAGCTATCAAATAGTCATTTAAGAGAATAAGAGACTGAATGGATTAGAGAACACTAAAATGACTGTCTGAGAGTGTTAAGGACCTGCTATGAGGTTTATACTTTTGAATATGAAGTGGAACCAGTTCAGCATGGCTATGTATTTTTCTCCACAAGATTCAGCCGTACCTGGACTGGTACAGACGGAACAGAGAGTTGGTTTTAACCAGGATTATGGTTTTGCCAATGGGTATAAGGCAAAACGAAAGAGCACCAAGGGAGTCAAAAGTATGTGCAAGATTGATCACAATGATTGGCTACGGAATCCAAGAACAGCAAGCACATATCAGTGATATTGAAATGGTGACAATAACAATGAGTTGGCTCATATAAAGGGATTGAAAAATTTGATGAAATAAGTTGAAAATTTAGGAGGTGGTGAAGTGTGGGATGCATGAAATTGAAATTATGATGTGTTGCACTTATTGATAATGATTAGGTCTAGAATATTACCATGTGAGGGAGTGGCTGAAATAGGGTGCAAATCAAGATTACAGGATTGAAAGGGGTTCAGTTTGATGATCTAATATTCATGCTGCATTTTCAGTTGGTGACTTTTATAATTTTTTATTTCTTTTTGTTTCCTAGGGACATGATCAGAAAGAAGGGAGAATGATCAGAAAATGAATACAAGGATCAAGGGGGATATTAAACCCTCCTCCATGTGCAGTGGTACACCCAGGGGAGGCATGCTCTAAGTTCCAATGTGTGCTTCACTTTTGATAATGGTAGAAGGACTAAGTTAACTCAGCATGAGTGGATTCTCTTTTTATCTCTATTTATTGTGTGTGTTTTTTTAATTATTTAGATTCACAGGGTACATGTAGAATTGTGTTACATGGGTATATTGCATGATGCTGGCAATTAGCTTGGAAATCTCTAAACCGATTTCCACAGTGGCTGAACTAAATTGCATTCCCACTAACAGTGTATAAGCATTTCATTTTCACAGTAGTCTCACTAACATCTGTGATTTTTTTGACTTTTTAATAACAGCCATTCTGACTAGTGAGACATGGTTTCTCATAGTGGTTTTAAGTTGCATCTCTCTGAAGGTTAGTAATGATGAGCATTTTTTTTTGCAACTTTTCTTGTAGGTGCAGGGGGGTACATGTACAGGCTTGTTACCTGGGTATACTATACCGTGATGCTGAGGTTTGGAGTTTGAATGATCCTGTCATGCAGGTACTGAGCATAGTAAGTCCCTCCCTCATCTAGTAGCCCCCAGTTTCTATTGTTTCCATCTTTATGTAACTGAGCACCCAGTGTTTAGCTCCCACATATAAGTGAGAATATGTTGTATTTGGTTTCCTGTCCTTGCATTAATTCGCTTAGGATAATGGCCTCCAGCTCCATCCATGCTGCTGCAAAGGATATGATTTTATTCTTTTTTATGGTTACATAGTATTCCATGGTGTATATATACACCACATTTTCTTTATCCAATCTACCATTATTGGGCACCTAGGTTGATTCTATGTCTTTGCTATTGTGAATAGTGCTGTGATGAACATGTTATTACATGTGTCAATTTGGTACAATGATTTGTTTTCTTTTGGGTATATACCAAGTAATGGGATTGCTGGTTCAAATGGTATTTCTGTTTTAAGTTCTTTCAGAAAACTTCAAAATGCTTTTCTCATTTGCTGAACTAATTTACATTCCCACCAACAGTGTAATAAGTATTCCCTTTTATCTGCAGCCTCATCAGCATTTGTTATTTTTTGATTTTTTAATACTAGCTATTCTGACAGATATGAGATGGTATCTCATTTTGGTTTTGCTTTGTATTTCTCTGATAATTAGTGATGTGGAGTGTTTTTTTCATATGTTTGTTGGCTGTAGGTCTCCTTTTGAGAAGTGTCTGTTCATGGCTTTTGCCCATTTTTTAATGGGGTTTCTTGTTTTTTTGCTTGCAAATCTGTTTAAATTCCTAACAGATTCTGGATATTAGGCCTTGGTTGGATGCATAGTTTGTAAATATTTTCTTCCATTCTTTAGGTTTCTGTTACTCTGTGTATTTACTTCTGCTGTGCAGAAGCTCCTTAGTTTAATTAGGTCTGACTTGTCAATTTTTGTTCTTGTTGCAATTGTTTTTGAGGACTTAGTCATAAATTATTTCCCAAGGCCAATGTCCAGAAATGTGTTTCCTAGATTTTCTTCTAGCATTCTTCTAGTTTTAAGTGTTACATTGAAATCTTTAATCTGTCTTGAGTTATTTTTTGTGTATGGTTACAGGTAGGGGTCCAGTTTTATTCTTCCACTTATGGCTAACCAACTATCCCAGCACTATTCATTAAATAGGGAGTTATTTCCCCATTGCTTATTTTAGTCAATTTTGTTGAAGATCAGATGGCTGTAGGTGTGCAGCTTTATTTCAGGGTTCTCTATTTTATTTTGTACCAGTATCATGCTGTTTTGGTTACTATAGTTTGAAGTCAGGTAGCGTGACGCCTCTGGCATTGTTCTTTTTGCTTAGAATTGCTTTGGCTACTCAGACTCTTTTTTGTTTCCACATGAATTTTAGAATAGTATTTCTAATTCTATGAAAAATGATGTTAGTAGTTTTATAGGAATAGCACTGAATCTGTAGATCGCTTTGGGCAATACAGACATTTTGATGATATTGATTCTTCAAGCAATCCATGAGCATGGAATACTCTTCCATAAGTTTTTTTAGCAGTGTTTTGTAGCTATTGTAGAGATCTTTCACCTCCTCAGTTAGATATATTCCTAGGTCGATGTTTTTTTGCTATTGCATTTTTGTTTTGGCTCTTAGCTGGAATGTTATTGTTGTATAGAAATACTAATGTTTTGGCTGGGCATGGTGGCTCACACCTGTAATCCCAGCACTTTGGGAGGCTGAGGCAGGCGGATTGCCTGAGATCAGGAGTTCGCGACTAGCCTGGGCAACATGGTGAAACCCAGTCTCTACTAAAATACAAAAAATTAGACAGGTGTGGTGGCATGCACCAGTAGTCCCAGCTACTCAGGAGGCTGAGGCAGGAGAATTGCTTGAATCCAGGAGATGGAGGTTGCAGTGAGCCGAAATCGCACCACTGCACTCCAGCCTGGATGACAGAGTGAGACTGCATAAAAAAAAAAGAAAGAAAGAAGAAAGAAAGAAAAAAAGAAAGAAAGAAAGAAAGAAAGAAAGAAAGAATGTTTTTTGTACATTTGTTTTATATCTTGAAACTCTACCGAAATCTGTTATTAGTAACTTGAGGCTTTTTGCCAAAACTTTAGGGTTTTCTAGATACAGAATTACATTGTCTGAAAAGAGAGATCGTTTTACTTCTTTAGCTTATCAGAGATATTTTTATTTCTTTTCCTTGACTGATTCCTTTGGCTAGAACTTCCAGTAATATGTTGAATAGGAGTAGTGAGAGTGCACATCCTTGTCTTCTAGTTCTCAAGGGGAATGCTCCCAGTTTTTGCCCATTCATTATGATGTTGATATGGGTTTGTCATAGATGGCTCTTATTATTTTGAAGTATGTTTGTTCCATGCCAATTTTTTGAGGATTGTTGTCATAAAGGGATGTTGGATTTTCTTGAAAGCTTTTTCCATGTCTATTGAGATTATTGTATGGTTTTTGTTATGAATTATTTTTATGTTATGAATTACATTTATTGATTTGCCTATGTTGAACCAAACGTGCATCTCAGGAATGAAGTCTACTAGATCATGATGAATTAGCTTCTTAATGTTCTATTGGATTTGGATTGCACGTATATTGTTAAAAATTTTTGCATCTGTAATGATCAGGGTCATTGGCTTGTAGTTTCTTTTTGATTTTTTCCTTTTTTTTTTTCATTATGTCTTTGCCAGGTTTTGGTATCAGGGTGATGCTAGCATCTTAGAATGAGTTAGGGAGGAGTCCTTCCTCCTCAATTTTTTGCAATAGTTTTAGTAGAATTAGTGCCATCTCTTCTTGGTACATATGGTAGAATTTGACTGTGAATCCATCTGGTTTAAGGCTTTTTTTGTTTGGTAAGGTTTCTTTATTACTGCCCCAATTTCAGAACTCAGTGTTGTTCTGTTCATAGTTTTAGTTTCTTCCAAATTCAATCTTGGGAGATTGTATATTTCCAGGAATTCATAAATTTTCTCTATATTTTCTAGCTTGTGTGCATAGAGGTGTTCATAGTAGTCTCTGACGATCTTTTTTTTTTTTTGTGGGATCGATTGTAATGTCAACTTTGTCATTTCTGATTGTGCTTATTTGTATCTTTTCTCTTTTTTTCTTTCTTAATCTAGGTAGCTGTCTATTGATCCTGCTTAACCTGTAAAAAAAAAAAAAAAGCCCACTTTTGGTTTTTTTATTCTTTGTATGGATTTTTGCATCTCAATTTCCTTCAGTTCTGCTCTGATTGTAGTTATTTACTTTCTTCTGCTAGCTTTGGAGTTCATTTGTTCTTGTCTTTCTAGTTCCTCTAGTTCTGATGCTGGATCATTAATTTGAGATCTTTCTAACTTTTTGAGGTAGACATTTAGTGCCATAATCTTTCCTTTTAACACTGCTTTTGCTGTATCTCAGAAATTTTGTTACTTTATGTCTCTGTTCTCATTTATTTCAGATTTGTTTTGATTTTTGCATTAATTTCATTGTTTACCCAAAAGTCATTTAGGTGCAAGTCATTCATGAGAGGAGGTTTCACTCTTTTGATATACTGTAATTACCAAAATAAGTTCAATTTAAATCATATTTTCACATACTATTGCACTTCTAAAAACAAGCTTATGTATTATTCATATTAAAATAATATTTGAAGAGGCTGAAGATTCTACTGCCTAGATAAGAACCATGGAATTATCTACTCTAGTCTTCCTTGTCCATTTCTACACAACAAAAAACTGAAACACAATGTAGTTTTATCAGTAGGTAACTTCTGCACACTTAAGAGCACCAGGGTTACACTCATCATTTGTGTATTCACTTATTCAGCAAGTATTTGTTGTGTGCCTACTCTGTGACATGCCCTGTCCTGGGCCCTGGTAATATGATTATGCTATCCTTCTTAATGCTTACAATCTAGTGGGGGAGACAACAATTAGATATGAAATTTTGGTAGAGTATTGTAAATGCACTGAGAGGGAAAGAAGTAGTTTTATTGAAATATAAAGACAGCTCACTGTGAACTAGTGACATCACTTTCTAATATGTGTTGTATTTTTCTCTTAACTTTGAAGTAACTCCTGAAACATACCACATAGCCTGTATTTCAGAATCTCAGCTCTAGTCCAATTTCTTCAATTCACAGTTGGGCAAATTGTGACCTAGAATGCTTTCGTGACTTGTCCAATTACATCAGCAAATGTGGGTGGAGCAGAAGTAGAACCTGCATCTCTTGAGACCAAACCTCAAGCCCAGTTATCTTTTCACTAAGGAACTGTATCCGAGTGGCTTCAGGTTTTCAATGTGAAATGATAACACACTGTTTGAAACTTACTTTTGGATAAAAGCCAAAGTTAAAACCAAACAAAATTTTGTTAAACCAGTAGTTGAAAAGAATATTAATTTCCTGCTAAGTTAGTATTTATTTCAGCTATTGGGGTGGTATTATCACAGGAAAAATTGTGCTTTTGGTTTAATTAATTTTATCAGATGTCAGTGAGGATAAAGTACATTTTTTTCTCAAGATTCTGGTTTAAACTCTTTTGTAACAATTTATTGAGGCTCAAATCACCTTCTGTTTGGACAGAGAACAGATGACAGTCTGGAAATCATGACTTATGAAATAGAAGTCACCAAATAACCACTAAATAATAAGAAACACTAAAGAAGAAATGGCTGGGCTTCTGTGTAAAATAAAAAACATTAAAAACATACAAGTACCCTGTCCAACATTGATTCTTCTTCCTAATTGCAGAAGAACATAGCTCACTTAAATGGCTGGTCCAAAAAGCAGATTTTCAGCAAGGTTGTGATCATTTTGAACTGAATTAAGCAGTGGAGTCTTAAGATATCCATTCAGTGTTCAGGAGACCAATAAACAGGAGGCAATAAACATATGTTTAATTTTTTCACATAAACTAAAACTCTTGGGCATTGTGAGATATTTTTTCTTTCTAGAAGAATCAGAATTTTCATGTTTTCACCAGTTAACAGCTTCTATGTTAACTCAGGAAGTTCTGAAACTCATTGCTTTAGTGCTAATAACACCAGTTCACAGCATTTAAGTGGAAAAAAAGTGTTCTTATTCCTCTTGACTATAAATTGTTTTTGAAGGCATCCCTTAGCCAATACACACACACGCAAACACACAACCTTCTCCTTGTGGGGGAAATAAACTTTTCAAATGTTAGTGTTTAAGTGGTATAGTTGGTGCTAAAGTTCAAAGGAAGAACTAGATGAAGAACTAATAAATACAAAGGTGGGGGACAAAAATGTTGAAAAATAAGAAAATCAAACAGTTTCATGTACTGTCTGTTCATAGGCATGAGTTCACAGGCAGAGTGTTTTATATGTCTATTATTAAAGGTTGGGAGAGAATAAAAGCCACTAAAGGGAAAGAAAAGATTGAAATTAGGGAAAAAAAAATAAAGCACAGTTTCTTTTTCTTTATTTTATTTAATTCTTTTATTATATTTTATCTTTAACATGCCAGGCCATCACACTCTTCCTTAATTAATTCATTTCTTGCAAAAGCATTGATATATAAGTAAAGTAAAATTTATTTTCCTTTTTTGTTCATTTGTTCTAATAATAAGGATAGAATTCCTCTAATATTGTCCAACTTGATTATATAATATTGTGTTTTCTTCTTCATTCACACATTGATTCTTCACATTATTGAAACAAGATAAGTATATAACACTTAAAAAAGGAAAGTCCATATCGGCCAATAAAATAACTCAAATAGATTAGAGAATCTAATCTATTGGCTAATCCATTGTGTGTGTATGTGTGTTGAATAGATTGTGTGAGTGTGCATATTGGCTGAAAGATAATCAGATTATTATACTGGCTAATATGGACTTTTCTTTTTTAAGTGTTATATACTTAAAATTATTAGATTAGATTCTTTAATATATTTGAATTATTATATTGGCTAATATTATGATCCAGTTATTGGCTAATAGGATCCAAGCCTTCTGATCATTAAGCCTTCAATCATCAGAAATTTAGATGAAGAGGGTTAATAGTGATGATCTGTCATATTTGAGACCTGGAATTCAAGAAGGAAAATATTTGATAAATTAATTTACTACAAGTTTATTTAACTAATAAGTAATTATACACTATTCACAATGTAGCAGGCATTGTTTTCAATGTTTTAGAAACATAAATTAATTTAACCTTTATAACAACCCTGTAAGACAGGATGTAGTATTTTTAACCTCATTTTAAACAATGTGAAACTGAGGGAACTAAGGTTAAGCAAAGTACTAAATATGACAAATCATGTAATGTGGTGATTATCCTTACTCCACAAGCCATGGTCTTGATCACTATGGTATACTTTCTTGAGATAAGCCAAAAGAGGGTTTCGCGTGCTTTGAAATGTCTTAAACTCCCCTGAATTTGGACCCAGAATTTTGTACAACTACACCTGTAAGTATTTGATGGGAGTGAGGTTGAGATTTTGTAGTCATGATCCATATCTTTGATCAGTTTTATAGAAAAATCTAAAACAAGATTTACAACCCTGGTAAAGGGAGAATTTTACTGATCTCCAATCAAGGAGACAGTATAAAACCCAACTCTACTTTGTGTTTCCCACTCTAGAAATGAAAGCCTAGACTATTTTGCAAGTGTTGTTTTCTCATTTCACTTGTTTTAACCCACAGAATGACCAACTTTGGGATTGACCACCCACGTGCAATTTTAAGAATCACATACAGCATGCCATTACCAAAGAGCTATCATGTGGGAAATAGTTGAGAAATCAAGCTTCATTACACAGAAACCTGGGGAAATATTCCAAAGTCTTGCAGCCAGAGGCAATCATCAAACTTGTGTGTATTTTTACTGGCCACTCTGTATGGAGGAGGAAGGTCTTATCTTAGGTTGTTTGGGCTGCATTAACAAAATTCCATGTAATGGGTAGCATAAAACAAGAGAACTTTATCTTTTCATAGTTCTTTAGGCTGGGAAGTCCAAGATCAAGTGTCTGATGAAGGCCCAATTTCTGGTTTATAGATGGTGCTTTCTCTCTGTGTTTTCACATGGTAGAGGAGCAAGGCAGGTCTCTGGGGCCTCTTTTATAAGGGCACTAATTCTATTCATGGGGACTCTACCATCATGACCTAGCACCACCCAAAGGCCTCATTCGTAATACCATGAAGTCAGCAATTAGGTTTCAACATATGATTTTTGAATGGATAAAACATTCTGACCATAGCACATCTTAAGGAAATGCTTCTGCTATAATCTGACTTGTCAGAGTGAATGAACTGACATTAGATGTGCAATACTAAGTAACATAAAAAATAAGAAATGTGAGAGTTTGAAGAGTCTAGAGAATATTGAAACTTGTGTTAAGTTGAAAGCATGGCAGAGAAAAAAGAGGAAGGAGGGCAGCTTTGTTGGAACTACAAACTATGCTGAAAGTCTCCTTGCAGTAGAGGAGCCCAGTCTTCTGAATGTAAAGAAAATAAGAGCCTGATATTCTGTGAGACAGTACTGAGAAGAGCAATAAGAATGAAAACCAGCATCAAATTGTATGACGTGCTAAAGAATGTGTCATGAGGAGGGATTAATGTAATCCCATGTCTGAAGACATCTCATGTACATGAGTCTCTCCATTTAGATGAGGAAAATGAATAATTTATAAAGAAGAATCATAGAGGACTTGGAAAGATCTTGATGGTGAGAAAGGTGTGGAGTGCAAACAGAGCTAACAAGTGAAAAATGTGCTATGGTTGAGATGGCTAGAGGCCATACTCTCCTTTCCCCACTGTACTGTTGTCACTGCAAAGTAGTTGTACATCTATGGGCTGTATTTCCCAGTCCTCTATCTGTGGCCATAGGACTAGTTCACACCTATAGAATCTGAGTAGAAATGACACCTGTCATTCCTAGGCCAGGTTCGTAAGAAACTCCCATGCATGATGTCCCATACTTTTCCCTTCTGTTGCTGTCTACAGAGGACTCCGAAGCCTTACGGATGAACAGATCTCCAAAGAGAAAGCAAAGTGAATTACCATGTGGAGAAAGGTTACCTGCCAGCAGGGAATAATTCTATTGGATTATTTGCTGATGAGACATAAAACTAGAATATATTGAAACACTAAAATTTTAAGTTATTTATTACAGAAACTAATATTACCCTGACACACACACACACACTTTACCAAGGAAAAAAATAGAATGTGACAGTAAACAGATTGTCAGTTACTTAAAACTTGTTAAACACCACTTTTTTCCTAAAGTTATGGTCTACACCTACCAAAAATGAATCATTAAGATCAAGAGGGTTAACAAGAACTTCTAAAATCTTGAAAAAGAAATGGAAAAATGGCAAAGAATGGCTGACCTGAGAAATAAATGGGTGGCCAAATGCAAGACAGAAGCCCAAGGCCCTTGTTAGGTCTGAGGATCTCCGAAGTCCTGGGAAGAAGTCACTTGCCCACAGGAAGGTTTAAAGTAGATGCAGAGGAGAGAGAATATTCCCAAGCAAATGGAGAAGAAGGTGAGTATGGTGAACATAAGTTGTGAAAGGAACAGAGAACTAACAATGAAGAAGGCGCCCAGGGATTCCAACAAGAACATTGTTAGGTAAAAACAAACAAACAAACAAGAATTAACACGAATGTGGTATGCAGAATAATTGCTTCCCAAAGAAGTTCATGATCTGATCTCCAAAACATGTGAATATGTTGTTACATGGCAAGAGGAAATTGCCAATGGAATTAATGTTGATAATCAGCTGGTCTAGAAGTAATGATTATGCTGGATTATCCATGAACCCAATGTAATAATTTTCTCCCAGATTTTTTTCTTTTTTGAGAATATTTTAGGCCCCTGCCATCTACTTTAAAGCTTCCTTTGGGAAAATGACTTGCTCCCAGGGCATGAGAAATCCTCAGTCATAAGAAAGGTCTTGGGTTTCTGTCTTGCACTTGGCCAGCCACTTATTTCTCAGGTCATTAATTCTCTTGCCTTGTCAAAATGCCAATGTTCACTGAAGAAAAAAAGTGACATTTCATTATTCCTTTGATTGTGGAAGAAAGAGGCAGAAGAATAGCATCAAAGAGACATTTGAAGATGCTGCCCTGCTGGCTTTGAAGATGGAGGAAGAGACCATAAACCATGAAATACAGGTGGCCTGTAGAAGCTAGATAGGGCAAGGAAATGGGTTATCCCCTAAAGACTCCAGAAAGAAATGTGACCTGGCAGAAATCTTGATTTTACTCTGGTGAGACCCTTCCTTTCCCTTGCCCTCCCTATACACATATTCATATGTTAACAACCGAATAGCACCTGTAACACTTACACATAACTGTTTACAAATCTCTTTCTTGTTAAGACCACTTAGGACAGAGATTATGACTTATTTTTCTATTTAGCCATCATGTTTGGGATTTTCTAGACCTTGTTAGGTACTTAGTTAAATGCTTCTTGAATATAAATGAAATAAAGTGCCCCTTGGCAGAATACAAAACTAAGATACAATTGAAATAAAATATAAAGAACAATTATGAAGGGAGTTTCTTTTTAATGTTATACTTAGAGAAAGAGGAACAATTATCTATGAATGTTAGTTGGAAAAATTTATTTCCCATTTTTCTTCAACTTCTCTAATGAAGGGAATGGTATTTAACTCAATGGGTTGGCACAAACACAAGGAAGAGCAATGTTTAAAGGCTTGGAGAAATCAGTGAGATACCACCTCAGAAAAGGTCTGTCAGTTTATTATAAAAGTAAACTCACATTGTTCCTATAATTAATTCTTCTAGATATTTACCAAAAAGAAATTAAAACAGACATCTACAAAAAGACTTATAAAAAAGAACTTGTAGCAGGTTTTTTGTTTTGTTTTGTTTTGTTTTGTTTTTATTTGACAGAGTTTTGCTCTTGTTGCCCAGGCTGGAGTGCAATGGCACAATCTCGGCTGTCTGCAACCTCCACCTCCTGGGTTCAAGTGATTCTCCTGCCTCAGTCTCCCAAGTAGCTGGGATTATAGCCATACGCCACCACACCGGATAATTTTTTTGTATTTTTAATAGAAACCGGGTTTCTCCACATTGGTCAGGCAGGTCACGAACTCGTGACCTCAGGTGATCCGCTCACCTCAGCCTCCCAAAGTGCTGGGATTACAGGCGTGAGCCACCACTCCCCGACAGCAGTTTCATCTATAATAGCTAAAAACTAAAACAGCTCATATGTTTATCAATACAATAATGGATAAATAAATGGTATATTCATACAATGGAGATATATCAATATTAAGAAGTAGATTACAACATGGATGAATCTGAAACCATCCTAAGTGAAAGAAACCTGACACAAAAAGTACACTATGCATCCATCTAAAATAGGCAAAATTATTTTATAGTGAAAAAAATTGAAACATTGGTTGCTTCTGAGAGGTGCTGATGAGAATTCACTGGGAAGGAGGATAAATGAACTTTCTGGGATTATAAAATCTACTGCATATTAAAGGGGTGTAAACATTTATCAAAACTTATCCAATGCTATACTTAAAATAGGCATACTTTATTGTATACAGATTTCACCAAAAGAAAAAAAAAGGAACTAAAAATGAATTTGCACTAGAGTTAATTATAAGATGCTAAAGTATCTGAGAAGTGTATTAATGTATACAACGTGTTTTACAAAATATCCACAATAAGATAAGTTGATAGATGGATGGGGGACAAACAGGTCATACAGCAAATACAATACAATGTTAATATTACAGTTGAAGTAGTCAATATATATGTTTACTGTACAATTCTTCCAATATTCTTTCAACTATTCTCATAATAATCTCTTTTAAGCATGTAGAAAGAACTTCTGCTGCTGCAAATAAGTTTAAATCTCCTGAGGAAACTTTTAATTGATATCTTTAAGTTATTGTTGGTAAATGTAAAACAATTTTAGCAAATGGAAGAAGTATTAAAATACTGGAGATGGGTCATACAGTTTGACATCAAAAAGTGGTAGAAAATATTACTAATTGTTTGAGTAACAATTTTGGGTATGTAAAAATTGGTACAAATTTCACAGGACACAGATTAATAAAATTGGGTGTGTAAAAATACGTAAAATTTTAATAATTGACATAATTTGTATTATTATTCCTGGTAAGTCAGAATTTTTTTTCATTGATAAAGAGTTTTCTCTTTTCCTATTTCTTTTCCCTTAAGGTTGCATCTAAGTTCAGGGTATTATTATATACTTAGGCCATCAATAAGTAGTCATCTTATTCTCTACCATAAAGATCTTCCTTTGAAATATTTCAACTCCACCAGGCTTCTCTGCATTTTCCATGTCCCAAGGAAAAACATCCACCTCCTACTTTCTCAGCTCTATCCAAAACTACATGGCATCTTGGGTCTCTATGTAGTTTTCCATGGCCATAGGTCCAGAGCCAGGGGCTTTTAGGGTTTTTGCCTCACTGCTTCCACCTGGGAGTGGCCTTGTTATCCTCAAGTCCCCAAACTATTCTAATGGTTACTTCATAAATGAAATTCAACCAGGTATTTTGAAACTTGAAGCAAAAATGTATTTCTTTGCCTTTTTAGAAACTATTGCACAACCCAGTTGTTAAGTAATTGATTCCTGAGACTCAGAGTCTAGTTTCAATGGGAAATATGTCCCAGCATAAAATACAGAATTTCCAGGTATATAAAAGTATTGATACTTCAAAATGTTGTCTTGCTACAGAGTTAATACATGAATGGCTTGTAAGCCATGAAGGAAAAGGATGTCATACTGACTTCTAGTGACTACTAAGAGCAAGAGATCTTTTAAGCTAAGGGCAAACAATTGCATCCTTGTATTAACAATATTAAATTAATAATTCATGAAAATGTAGCTCACATAGAGAACTTAGATTTTAGCAAGACATTTGGAAAGAGCTCTCAATGTATTATCATAGCCCCATATTATAATAAATTATAATGGATGTTGGTAGAATGGTAAAATTGGTGTATTAGTCTGTTCTCACGCTGTTAATAAAAACATCCCTGAGACTGGGTAATTTATAAAGGAAAGAGGTTTAATTGACTCACAGTTCCACAGGGCTTGGGAGGATATTATAGGAAACTTATAATCATGGCAGAAGGGGAAGCAAACAGGTCCTTCTTCACACGATGGCATGAGAGAGAAGGAGGAGAGTGGAGTGAAAGGGGAAGCCTCATATAAAATCATCAGATATCGTGAGAACTTACTATCATGAGAATAGCATGGGGAAATCTGCCTCCATAATTCAATTACCTCCCACTGGTTCCCTCCCAGGACATATGGGGATTACGGGAACTACAATTCAAGATGAGATTTGGGTGGGGACACAGTCAAACCATATCATTTGGGTAGATGAGCACCTTACTAAATGATTAGATTTAAACATAAGTAAATACTTTTACAAACCTGAAAACAGGTTACAAGTTGATCTTTTGTAGTTAAACACATCCGTCTGTGGCTTAGAATAGAAGACATCTTTAGATATTCAGATAACATGAAGCTTGGCAGAATCTCAATACTTGACAAGACAGAATCAGAATTTAACACTTAACAAGCTGCAGTAATAAACTAAATTCAATAAACACATATTGAACTCCTACTCAGAATCAGACAATGGGGAGAAAAAAGATGAGGAGAGCCCTTGCCTCCAACTTACTTTTTAATTACATTTATCACTTAGACTCTTTTATATTTGTCCTACTAAAGACTTATTCAGTTTCAAAAATGTAAATAAATATCCAAGAACAAGTTATATAAATATGGTTTATATGTGCTAAGTATGCTAGTGCCTTAGTTAAGTGTAAGCTCAAAATGGGTTACCTGGGGACCAGAGCTGCCAAAATTCTACCTTGACCTCCAGATACATTAATAGAATATTAAATGTAGTCAAGGAAATTAAAGACCTGTTGTACATTGCTGTGATTAAACTACCTCTGCAATATTGTTATCAATTTTTAAATTATTTCTTGGCTTCTTAGACAAAAGTCATACATCTAGCAATAAAAATTCATGTAGACAACTCAATCAAACCATGCTGAGAGATAAGAAAAAAATAAAATTTCAAAAAAGGAATTTTCTGCTGAAATACTACTTTGTTACTTTTCTCTCTGTATTGAAAAGCTCTGTTGTGGGTAGGAAACTTATTTACAGATTAAGTTTGGAACATTTGCCTGATGTTGCAAATTCAGTTCAAATTCATCTGAAATATTCCAATTCAGATGTCATGAATTAATAGAAAAATACTGTGAAAATAAGTGTGTGTGTGGTGGTGGGAAGGAACATTCAAAGATCAAGCCCTAGTACTAATTCCAGACTAATTTTAGTTCAATTACAGTAATAAAAAACAATTATTTATCTATTAAAAACAGTTACAGCAATTACATTTATAGTTTTGAGAATGTAAGTGAAATTAATTATATTAATACATATGGTTCATTTTAAACTTCAATTATATTTTTATTTGTAACCTAATTAGTGTTAAAATGTTGGAGAAGGCTTTACAAAACACAACCACAATAGAAACTTAAAAAATAAAAGACACGTGTATTTATACCAGTTTTTTATACAAGTCGAAATGCACGCATGTATGCAGATTTCATTGGCCCTTCTGCTGGCCTATTGTGTGTCCACAGAAATTGACTTTGTGAGGATTTTCTAGCAGAGATAGTAAATTTATAGCTTAGATAATTTTCTTTACACAACTACCCTTTTGATCATAGCAGTATGTGGAAGTTCTGAAGAATTTCTGTCCCAGATCTCTGCTGTTTCTGACCTTGTAAAAATCACAGAATTAAGGTTAGATACTATTCAGATATCTCAGCCTTGGAATGCATCTTCTCTTCTAGTTCCCACTCATAGGTATAGTGTATTTGGAAAAGTCCTGATGATTTAGGAAAAAAGAAACAAATAAAAAAAGAAGTCTTCTTCCAGAAAATACTTGACATTGCACAACAGAAGTCCTGTTTTCAACATAGATCATAGCTTTCTGCTTAATTGGTAATTCTGCCTTCTCTTGGAACACATGGGCGTATGAAACAACTGTATTGTTAGTAAATTACACTATAACATGAATTCAGACTTTAAGAAGAGATTTCTTCAAGTGAGGTGGATACAAGGCATCTGTTTTTCTTATCCTGCCCCCTGTCCTCTCTACTCCAGCTAACTCAGGCTCTTATCATATTTCACCTGTGCTCCTTGAATAATAACCTCCTACCTAGTGCAGTTCCCTCCATATTTTCCTCTTCTAATTTCCTCTTCCACTTTGTAGCAGCAGTGATACCAAATGTAAATACGTCCATCTCCTTCCTTTTGCTAGGAGATACCCCAATCACCTACAGGATTAAGGTCAATCTTCTTGCAAGACTTGCGAAGTTCTCCATGTTCTGACCCCTGCCAAATTCTTCTGGCATATCTTTTACCCCACCATTTTGCTACCTATTCATAATATTCATTTGCTTATGATGTTTACAGATGTGTTACTTCTGTTTATTTTATAGTTATAATTCAAAATACAGTACTCTCCTCCCTCCCCCCATCACTCACTCTAATTCTCTGCAGTAGCCTGTATCTTTCTTGGGAAGTTTTCTATGACTTTCTGGGCTGCATTAGTTACCTCCCCCTTTGCTCCCATTAAACTCTGTTATCTGTTTACTCCACATTATGTTTACAAGATCCATTTATGTTGCTGTAAGTTGTTGTAGTTTGTTCATCCTCATTTCTGTATTCAAGTATAAGAGTATCCCACAATTTATCCCATTGTTGATGAATAATTTCTCCAGATTTTGGCTACTATAAGTAGTGCTTCTATCAGCATTCTGTGTACAAAATACGTATGTTTGCACTTCTGTTGGTTATATACCTAGGATTGGAACTGCTGAGTAATAAGAAGAAGTATAAATAATTCTAACAATAACTCTCAGGATTCTATACTGAAATGATAAGGGGATTATCATAATAGGAAAATACCCAGGGAGGCCTAATCTAATCACATGAGCCCCTTTAAAAACAGTTTTCTCTAGCTGGGAATGGAAAAGGAAGTCAAATTTGAAGCACAGGGATACTTGATACATTGCTGGCTTAAAGATCAGTGATCCACATGCAAAGACTGAAGATCTAAGAAGCCCCCTGCTGACAGCCAGCAAGGAAACAGGAGCTCAGTCCTACAACATCAGGGACCTGAGTTTTGTCAATAGCCTGAATAAGCTAGGATGTGAATTTCTCCTCCGAGCCTCCAGATAAGGACTCAGCCTCTCATCACTGATTTCAGCCTTGTGATATCTGAGTAGAGAACACAGCCACACTGTGTCAGACTTTTGACCTATAGCACTGGGAACTAATACGTGATTTTTTGTTTGTTTGTTTGTTTGTTTTTTAATTAATTTTTTTTTTTTTGAGACAGTGTCTCGCTTCTTTGCCCAGGCTGGAGTGGAATGGTGCAATCTCGGCTCACTGCAACCTCTGCCTCCCGGGTTCAAGCAGTTCTCCCGCCCCAGCCTCCCAAGTAGCTGGGATTACAGGCACGTGCCAGCACACCAAGCTAACTTTTGTATTTTCAGTAGATATGGGGTTTTACCATGGTGGCCAGGCTGGTCTTGAACTCCTGACCTCGAGTGATCCACCCACCTCCGCTTCCCAAAGTGCTGGGATTACAGGCCTGAGCCACCGCGCCCAGCCAATGGTTTTGTTTTAAGCCACTAAGTTTGTGGTAATGGGTTATGCACCAATAGAAAACTGATGAATAGGGTTTGCACATACTCGTTTTAGTAGATGCCACAACAGTTTTTCAAAGTACCAATTTGTATTCTTACCAGCAGTGTACGAGTGTTCCACTTGCTCTATATCCTTGTTATCCCTTGTTTTGTCAGTTTTTCACATTTTACTGTTTTAGTGGGTTCATGCTGCATTGCATTATAGTTCTTTGTTCTGTCCTTTACTGTTTGTATGTCCTTAGAGCCATCTTTTCAGCAGCCTAAGTCACTCATTTCCCATCAGCGATGTGGGCATAAGAAAAATGTGAAAGCGCCTCGCACAGTTCCCAGAAGAGTAAATTTCATTTAAAATTTGAGATACAGGATTTTCAGTCTAAACACTTTCTTTAACTAACATTTATGTATTTAGAGACAAAGAACACAGTATATTCTGAAGGCCCAAAGTAACTCAGCAGGACCATTAAAATTAAATTCACTGAAGAGACAAAAGAAATGTTGCATTGGTTACTTTTAGAGAATGAAAGGAAGTGAATCCATTTAATCTTGTTCTTTAAACTGGAAATTTGTGCCTCTTTAATCTAATTATTTTCTCTGTAAAATCAATTTGTGTTGCCTTTAGTGTAGTCATAGACTATAAAGAATCTAGTGTAAACTTGCCTGATTAAATCTCTAAGAATTAATCATCAATGAAATAAAACTAAAAATGTAATGTAGCATTCAAATTTTCATGTAGAGACAAGACAATACAAAATTTCAATAAATGATAACACCCACTTCTGAAATTTAGCACCCCCCTAACACACACACGGAGCTCAAAAATAAAAATAAAAATAAAAGCAGATCATGAGCCAGAGACAAGGAGTCTGTGGGAAAGGCTCCATTTCTATCACCTAGAGATGATGAAACAGTATTTTTTTGCTGTGACCGTTAAGTCAAATTTTAGCAATTGATCATTCAAAGGAAGTAGTAATGATTATTTATTATTTAATGTAACTAGTTACTGATGAAATGATAGCATTTGTCTTTTCATAATGTGACTAGTTGATGGTAAAATGATAGCATTTTTCTTTTCATAAATCAAAAGCTGTAACATTAGAAATGTTAAAAAAAACCTATTGCTATTTCATTCAACTTATTTCACTGTTCTTTGTTTTGTGTGCTTTATTTTTTTCAACGTAACATGTACCTAAAGAGATAGTGGATACTTTTTAATTATCTAGTATACATTATGTAAAACTTCCATAGGGACTCTGAAGGAAAACTCTGTATTTATTTTAAATTTAATACCATTGAACATTGGTGTTTTTATCTTTTCTTTGAAAATTTTCTTATTCACTGGTACCATTCTCAGTCATTATATTGCTTCATCTATTTTTTAGAGCTTATTCCAGGAATTACAAAATACATAATTTTTTAACAGTCTATTTATAATCAATATTTTACCACCTAATTTGAATGTAGAAGTGTTACTACTATAAAGTCCCATTAAGATGTCTCCTTTTTTCTACGATTGTCTTAAATATTATACCTACAGACATTGAAACTCCCATCTGAGATTAGTATATTTTATGTTTTAACTATCAAACATATTTTAAATAATCCAAAGTGTATTATAGTGTATTATATATACCCAGAATAGTGTATTATATATACCCAGATATTTTCCCTTTCTGCTCCTCTTTCTTGATTTCTGATGTTCAAAATTTCTTTCGGTTATCATTTCCCGCTGTCTGAAGAGTTTTAGCAATTCTTTCAAAGCAGTTCTGCTGCCATTAACTACTATTAGTTT
The DNA here is from genome assembly GCF_000001405.40 of Homo sapiens. Classification (NCBI taxonomy): domain Eukaryota; kingdom Metazoa; phylum Chordata; class Mammalia; order Primates; family Hominidae; genus Homo; species Homo sapiens. The sequence continues at coordinate 39,887,109 of NC_000005.10, forward strand.
TTCTTAATCAGAGATGTCTTTATTTTAATTCCAAAAGGATATTTTCACTGATATAAAATTCTGAGTTGACAGTTTTTTGTGTGTTTTTTTCTTTTTTTTGGTCAGGACTTTAAAGACGTTGTGCCACTTCATGCTGGTACAACACAGATTGGGGGTGAGTGTAAGAGTTCATAAACACATTTAAGAGGTGACCTTCCTGAGCTCCTACTTTTTTTTTTTTTTTTTTATCTACCAGGAACTTTCCAGTTCTGTGGGCTGCCCTTTTCAGACTTCTGGCTAGAAATTGCCCATTGCACCATGTTCAAGGTCAAGCGGTAGCAGGACAGAGAGAGAAGTGAAAAACAAATACGAGTTTCATGACACCATCTTGGAGCCAGCTTGATTGAATAGAGAGAAAGGTACTCCAAGTTTTGGCTACTGCTGCTTTCTCATTCCTGGAAGATCTTGCACTACAGTTTTCCCCTAAGGTAATGGAGAAAAAGAAAAGGAAAAAAATCCAAGAAATTTTCCCCATTATCTCTGAGTTTTGAGAGTTCCCTTTTCTGTTTCTTGAGTTAAAACTAGAGGGTTTCTTCTACATCTCTCTGTCTGCACCACGGTGCTTATTTCTGGGTTTTGGATCATGCTGTTTCCTGGCCAGGACATAACAAAGGAAGAAAAATGTAGCAAGCTCACTGTTGGTTTAGTAGTACTTTGGTTGGTTTAGTAGTACTTTGAACTCTGGTATTCTTCCCAATCTGTCTTCTTATATTTACTTCTTAGAATTCTCAAATAGCTGCATGAGCATTTTTTTTCAGGTATTATAATTGAATTCAGTGTAAGATAAAGGGATGTTGACTTTATCTATCTTTCCCAGAACTAGAAGTTTATCATTTACATTTTCATTTTACTTATGGTATCTTCCTCTGTACAAACTTTGTTGTTGTTTTGAGGAAGTTGAATATTTTATTATTTGTTTCTTATTTTGCTGCAAGGCTATTTATTCACTGTATAAAAATGGCACCAGCAAATGCAGTATGTTGCAAAATTAAGATTGGATTGTTTTCCATCTGACATTGTACAACTAACTCCCAATTATTTCCAGTGGAAAGGTCATTCAGTATTTTGATCCAAATCTATGGATGGATGTCAGCAAGTTATAATATAATATAAGGCTTAAGATAATAATGTTATCCTTGAATTACATAATTTCTATAACTAGTTTTCACCACCAATAATTACATGAATTCTCAATACTAGACCCTAGTCTAAACACCATAGGGTATTTTGAAAAAGATGCATATTGTGTTTATCCACAATCATTGGAAAGTTAAGGTGTATTTTCTTTCACCAGCAGTGTTGAGAGTAGTTTCTTTTCCCATCACATTGCCAAAAGTTGCTATTTAAAGTCTTCTATCCACCATTACTTTAATTCAACTATGCTGGATGAAGTTATCTCATACTGGTTTGTTTAGGAATTCCACTTTCAGTCTTCATTAGATTTTGTGTATTTCTCATACACTTCACTCGTTAGTCCATCTAGTTCTGAAGGGTTACTTAGTGTCATCTTGATCAGTCAGCCACTTTCATAAGATTCGTTGGTAAGTCCTGGATTTTCTACAAAAGGTTCATTAATTTCAGTTACTTCTCCTCATAGAGGAGAATAGAGTTCACTAGCAGTTTTCACACTTCCCAAACACCAAACTCATCTTGTTTGTTCAATTTTGTCCCAACTTCACAGAGACTCTAGTAACATCTCCCAAAGCTTCCTGTGCAAAATTGCTGATTTCCACTGTTCCAATACCATTTTCTGTTGTTATCCATTTATACTTCTCTATGAATTTACATACCAACAGCAGAGAAGGTCTGTGCACAGGCCCATACTGTGGCAGTCTCAGCAGCCAGGGCCTCACTGGGCAGGGCCTACGGTAAAAAGAAGACTCACAGGCTGCAAGTTGCAGGCCAAGGTGCTCATGCTTTGTGCTGCTTCCTCAGTATCCACAGGGGATTTGTCCCAGGACCCTCCTGAGATACCAAAAATTTGTGGATGCTCAAGTTCTTATATAAAACGGGTTGTATTGGTATAACCTATGCGATCCTTTTGTGTACTTTGAATCATCTCTAGATTATGTATAATATCTAATACAGTGTAAATGCTATGTAAATATTTGTTATACTGCATTTTTATTTGTATTATGTTTATTCGTTTCTTTTTTAGTATTTTCAATTCATGATTGGTTGAATCTACAGATGCAGAATCCATAGATATGGAAGACCAACTGTACATGTATCTTTGCCTTTTGTAAATGGTATCATCGATAGGAAGGATGTTTCCAATCAACATTGCAAAACATGTTCTCTTTTATTTTCTCTCAATTCATTTATAAATTTTAAAATATATGTATCTTTAATATACTTATATTTTTCTATTGATATGTTTTTTCTTCTTTAATATCATAATATTTTAAGTTGCTGTAATGGATATTTCTTATTTTGAACCATCTTTGCATTCTTTGGGATAGACTGTTTCTGTCTAGATAAACTATTCATTCAATATATTACTTCTTAATGATTTTTACCTGTTTAATGATTTAATTATTATTTATAACCCTTGCTTATTTATAAGTTATGTAGGTTTATAGCTTCTTTTTATTTATGCTATCCTTATTCTATTTTAGCATCAGAATTGTGCTAGACTGATAGAGTGACTTGGAAAACAGTTCATTTTCTTCTTATTATTATTATCAGCATTCTGACCAGTTTAATACATTGTATATGTCTATGTTTGGCATTAGTAAGTATTCAACAAATATGTGTTCATGGACAAAAGAATGGGTGAATTAATTAATAAATTAATCCATCCACTTTTAAATTATCTTGGCAAATATATTCACTGGAACTATGGTTATTTTTCCAGGTTCATACATTCTATCAAGTACTATAATTGGTATTAGATTTTAGAGAAATAAAAGGTATTTATCAGCCTTCAAAGATGCTATGGACTGAATGTTTGCATTCTCCCCAAAAATTCTTCTCGAAATCCTAACCCCCAAGGTAATAGTATTAAGAGGTGGGGTCTTTTGGAGGTAAGTATGTCATGTAGATGGAAGCCTAGTGAATAGGATTAGTGACGTTATAAAAAGACAAGAGACACCTTGCTTTTTTTTCTCTTTTCTCTGCCATGATCAATTACAAAAAAAAAAAAAAAATGACCATCCTGATCTCAGATTACCAGCCTCTAGAAATGTGAGAAATAAATTTCAGTTGTTTATGCTACCCAGTCTATGGTATTCTGTTTTGACACCCCAAACTGACTAAGATAAAGAGTTTCAGTACCCTGTTAAGGATACCAAAATCGTGTCCAGCAAACATATATATATATATACATATGTCACTAAGAAGCAATAAAGTAATTAACACAACTGGCACAATAATGAAATAAAAATATATTCTCATATCACAAGCACAGTTCTTAATATGTATTCTCTATAAATTTTATTTCTTTTAAATGAGTTTCATCTGATCCCTGACTTTTATTATGCGAATAGAACTAGGTTATCTTAGAAAACAAACTTGACACAATAATTATAATAATATAAGAATTACAAATACAGAAATTATCTATTAAGAAAATATAAAGGGAAACATCATTTTCCAATAAAATATCAATTATACTATTCTAATTATCACTAACATGAATGTGAACTAGCTAGCATGATTTGTATTAGGACTTTTATACCGTATTAGCAAACAAAAAATAAATAAGAATAACACGAAAATAATTTGAGAACTATTAACAGATGGGTTTCACATATGAAAGCAATTTTATGTCTGTGACTATGAGAAAATACAAAGAAAAGTTATTATAAGCATTCTCCAAGATTTATATTAAATCTAAATGAAAAACTTCTGGTAGCCTTAATAAAGTTTTCAGCATTTTTATAAAAGCTAATTTAATATTTTTCTAATTTTTGTATGAATCCTTTTTATTTCTTCTTAGAAATCAATTAACTTCTCCAGCAGACAGGGAAAATGGAGCACTTTATTAATATCCAGACAAATAGTAACAAAATAACAAAATCGAGTTATAACTCCAAAATTAACTTTAAACTATGTTTAATAATGGTCACCAGAAGTAGCAAATAGTGCATGGATGTGCAGTCCTTCTCTAACTGTTAAATTTCCCCTCAAAAAGAGATGGTCAGGTTCAATCTGTGTGGTGTGCCAAAAGCCCATTGCCTCAACATATTTCTCAAGTCACTAAAGAAGTAACTTCTTTTAGAGGTATGTCTTTAAAAGGATACTGTGCCATCAATGCTGCCAAGTAAAGTTGAACTGATCCTCTGATAAAAACTATTAATTGAGATGCTCAAGACTGTGTCTTACAACTGTCCAGCTACCAAGACCTCAACATCCTTTGAGAGAAATAAGTACCGGAAATTTTAGAGAGGCAATGCTGGAAATGATTGTTCATGAGTCTCCCTTGGGAGCAGCAGGTAGTCTGGCCAAAGAGTCATGATTGCTTAGATTCCTCTGGCTTTCTCTGCCATAAGAGAATGAATCATCTTTGACATCTTGGGCAAGGGGACAGATTGTAGGCATTCACTGAAATAATTATTTTCTGTAAGAAAATGAGTAGGGTTAGAGACGTGATTCTAGCATCAGCTGAAGTTTAAAGATCATCCCTGTAAACCTGCTCTGGCTTTCAGTTTTCATAGATGATGTTTCCTTTTCCCAGGAAGGAGATACATGTTGGCAACATCTAAACTTGTCTTGTTTAATCTAATATCACTCAATTCATTTAGAGGCTTAGTCCTAGACTTTCCTCTCTTTGGTTTGTTTTTATTGTATTTCTGGAGAAATGCAGCTCAAAGTGCTCTTGTGAAACTCGGTAAAATTTTGCTTAGTTTTAAACCTACACCCCAGATACAGGATGTACTAGAGATGGTTCTGGCTCTAACAAGAACACTGTGCCTACCACAAAGATTTGATTCCTACCTACATAGTGCCTTGTGATGATTCCTGTATTTTTGCCTTAAATGGAATTTATGGAGAAGACATTTTTGAGATGCAGTCTTAGAGATTAGTGAAGATTTAACTAAAACATTGATACTACATGGTCTAAATGAGGCAGAGAGAGCATTTTAGATGTGATTCCGGTGAGTATTTAATTCTTCAATTATTCTGCTTATTGTTTGTTAAGTAAATTCACTTTTATTCATAAAGTTCTTGCATGTAGATAGCCCTCTACTTTACAAACAGTTGTTTTTAATCTGCTAAAGTCTGAAATAAGATATGATAAAATGTATTAAGATTGTATAAACTAAGAGCAACTAGGTTTTGAGTGAAAATTTGAGGAAGTGTCCAAGAAACAATATATATGTGTGTAAATGCTTAATCTTTGGCATGTAATTAGGGTATTTTCCTTTCTTGTTTATTCTTAGTAAACCAGCAACTTTATCAACCCGGATAAGAAAAGTTCCAGGAAGTTCAAAGTATCAATGAATTGGATTATTCTATTGATATTTCACTTTTCATGTGTATTTTTCTAATCTCCCAATTGTGTTTTAGTTCCATTGAGCTGGAACTTTTTCTTGCATCCTGGATAGCTCATTCCCAATAGGTCAACTCCAAATAGACTCTGAAAGTTCAGCAAATATGTGAAAACAAATCTACAAGTTTCATGTCTAGAAAATAAAACCTCATTTTAAACATTCAGAGTGGACAATGAATATCTAAATGTTGTCATGCAGTGATTAATCTTCAGCTTGTCCAAATGCCTCAAGCCGGAGTTTTATTTTTGTATCAGGCAGAAACAAAAAAGGCTGACATTGACAGTGAGTCAGCTTAACTTCCCCCTCTTCCTTTTGTTAGTAAACATGTGCTCACACACTCATAAGTATAGGTACTAATTTATTCCTTAAAGCTATGAGAAAATAAAATCAGTTTCTAACTTCTTAAATTTGAGGTTATTAATCAGAACTCATTTTTATAAGTCCTTTGCTTAATTGCCCACCTAAAATGCAATTTCAAACCATTTTTAAGAAAGAGTTTTGTCACTCCACTGAAAGTCAGATTTCAAATATCACACTCCTGAAACAGAGAAGCTCTGCAGCTCTAGAATTTGGTGTGAAATTTCCAGGTCTCCTACTCTGTCAACCCAATTCATCTTCTTTTTCTTTTAAGACACATCAGTTATCTCAGGCCCTCTCTTCTCACTCACATTGTACCTCTATATCCCCTAAACACCCAGGTAAAGAATGAGAATTTCAGTTCATCTTGTGAGTTGTTTATGTAAAATCCTTTTTTTTTTTTTTTTTTGAGACAGGGTCTCACTCTGTCACCCAGGCTGGAGTGCAGTGGTGCAAACACATTGAACCATGTTCAGTGGCTGAACCTCCTGGGCTCAGGCTATCCTCCCGCCTCAGCCTCCCCAGTAGCTGAGACCACAGGCAGACACCACCATGCCCACCTAATTTTGTTTACTTTTTGTAGAGATGAGGTCTCACTATGTTGCCCACATTGGTCGCGCACTCCTGGGCCCAAGCAATCATCCCATCTCAGCCTCCCAAAGTGTTGGAATTACAAGTGTGAGCCACCACACCCAGCCAAAAAATGTTTTACATAAAATCATAACATACTTTTTTCAAAGTGGATGTTATCTTTTGAAATGTTACTGTGATTTTTCAGAAAAACAAAATGTCTAGATAATAGCCAGAATTGTTTACTTCTTCTCTGGGCCTCTTGACTCACCTATCCACATGACACAGGCCCTAATATCTAGCCCCAAATATTCCCTTATATTCACTATCTAAAGAAATTTATAGCTGTAAGTAAACATAGACATTGAAACTTTGGTGTAAAGGAACCCATAAAAGTTCAAGTGAATGATAAGTGAATTCCTTATAGAACAGCAACATCTGAAATTGTGTAGAGGTATACAGAGATAATAAGAACTAAGACAATATGCATCGGGCATGGTGGCTCACGCCTTTAATCCCAGCTCTTTGGGAGACCAAGGCAGGCAGATGAGGTCAGGAGTTCAAGACCAGCCTGGCCAACATGGTGAAATGCTGACTCTACTAAAAATACAAAAATTAGCTGGGCATGGTGGCAGGCACCTGTAATCCCAGCTACATGGGAGGCTGAGACAGGAGAATTGTTTGAACCCAGGAGGCGGAGGTTGCAGTGAGCCAAGATCGAGCCATTGTACTGTAGTCTGGGCAACAAGAGTGAAACTCCATCTCAAAAAAAAAAAAAAGAATTAAGGTAATATGATTCTTCCATCCTTCTCTGAGAAAAATTTGGCAAGATCTTTCTCCGACTCTCTTCAGGTTGACCTGTGTTCAGGAACATGTAAAGATGCTGTATTAGACAAGCATGAAAAATTAAACCAACTCACAAAAGAAAGACATAGAGCCTCCAAGAAAGAATAAAATATCCATTGAAGGTGGAAAATAGATTTGTGGGTGAAGATATGGAAGAGCCTTTCATGTCGTGTTTAGGGGGAAATGAAAAGAAAAATCAAAAGGGAAAAAAGAGAGTAAAAACAAACAGATTTATAAGCAGCTTTTATTCTGTGTGTCATTTTTAGAGTAGAGTTGCAGAAAAGAATTTAAAAGTTTTGTTGTGTGTTATGAACATAAACTTGATTTGCCTTTTCAAGAGCTTCTACTTTAATACACTCCTGTCAAGAACTTTCTTCAAATTGCTCATGATGAATAGAATAGTGTGATGTTTACCAGCACAGGCTCTGAAGCCAAAGTTCCTTGTATAAATCCTGGGTTTTTCCTAATTGTATAATCTTGAGCAAGTTACTTAACGCCTCTTCCTCAGTCAATTCATCTGTAAAATTCATTTGTAAAATAGAAGTAACAATAGTTTCTACTTTATAGGGGTTGAGAAATTAGTGAAATCATATTTAAAACATATTTAGAAGAGCCCTAAGCATATAATAAGGGATCAAAAATACCAATAATTGGCATTTATATTTCTTTTGAAATCTAACATTGTGTGAGATGGATGGTTGAGTAGAATCAAGTCTTACATAACTTATAAATAACTCAAGGTAAAAATACTTTTTTCGGAGTAATTAAATTCGCTGAAATGGAGTCATCTGTTAGAATACTTTTTCTTCTTTTTAAAAATACTATTCCAGAAGTGTTTTTGTTTTGTTTTTTGTGTTTTGTGTTTTTTGTTTGTTTGTTTGTTTTTGAGATGGAATTTTGCTCTTGTTGCCCAGGCTGGAGTGCAATGGCGGATCTTGGCTCACTGCAACCTCTGCCTCCCAGGTTCAAGGAATTCTCCTATCTCAGCCTCCTGAGCAGCTGGAATTACAGGTGTCCTGTACCTGTAATTCCAACTACCTGGCTAATTTTTTGTATTTTTAGTAGAGGCGGGGTTTCACCATGTTGGCCAGGCTGGTCACAAACCCAGAAGTACTTTTGAAAGCCAACTTTCATTTTAGAAGTTCTTTAATTTCAATTATTCACTCATCTGTATTTACTTATCTGAAAGTTACTCTGATCAAGAACCAAATGGTGAATTTGTAAATTGGATGTTAACAACTCAACCCAATTGACATGTCAAAATAAAAGACCTCCACATAACACAGAGCATCCTATTTTTAAATGAGAAAATTGAGACCAAGGAGATTAAATGACCCTGGTTTAAACTGAGATAACTAACTGTTGTCACATTAGCACAATGTGTGATAACTAATTTTGGAGATAGGTCAGGAAACTAGATTCACAGAATGATTAGAAGCTAGAGGGCCCTCAGATTAGGCAAGCATTCAAACATCAGTAATACTCAAGCACAAGAGAGTGGGGAGATGCAATGGGTCAGAAACAGGCAAGAAATCCAAACAGCAAATACAGAGACACCTGCAACAGAGAGAACTAGAAATTAAACAATCCTGCTCCATGTAGAAATCTCTTGAAGTGGTTCGAGAGAGGAAGGTGGTATCCAAGGAGAGTGCAGGCCCTGATAGAGGAGACACTAAGGGGACATGGAGAGAGGCTCAAGGAAGGATGGGAAACTAGAGAATCGGGTGATGGTCTGAAGCTGTGGGTGTTTACCTGAAAAATTCTTGGTGGTAAATCAATATTTGGAAATTTGGGGGGAAATTGATTAGAGTGCAGACTGCCACTCACAACTAACTGAGCCAGTTCTCCCTTAGCCACTTGTCACCCGTCCTTTGCTTTCCCATATAAATTTACTCTAGATTGTTGGAGACATGCCAGTAATTTCTATTAATATCTACTAGAGACTCATGTGAGAAGTGGGATATTAATTTAAATAGAGCAAATTAGAATACCGTAGACTAAAATTCCTCTCTTTACATCATCTCTCTAGAAAGCTCTTATCAGGAGAAATAAGACTTAAAGGACCAGAATTTCTAAAAGCTTTAGTATCATGTTTGTTTTGTTTTGTTTTGTTTTGTTTTGAGACGGGGTCTCACTCTGTCATCAGGCTGGAGTGCAGTGGCGTGATTTCGGCTCACTGGAACCTCCAACTCCCTGGTTCAAGGGATTCTCCTGCTTCAGCCTCCAGAATAGCTGAGATTACAGGCACATGCCACAATTCCCAGCTAATTTTTTGTATTTTTAGTAGAGACAGGTTTTCACCATTTTGGTCAGGATGGTCTCAATCTCCTGACCTTGTGATCCACCCACCTCAGCCTCCCAAAGTGTTGGGATTACAGGCCTGAGCCACCGCACCCGGCCAGTACCTTGTTTTATATGCTCAAACAGGAGCAGTGAAACAGATTATCTTTTATTGGGTCTTCAGAGTTGACAAACACTCAGTATTTACTTTTGACAGGGAATTTTAACTGCTGTTCAAATGGCTCTAGAGTGCAATGGGAAAGAGAAAAACCGCACTAGTTTTCCTTTTCTCACAAGGCACATGAAGTACACTTCAGGCTACCACGGGTATTGGGCTATCACGAAGACTCAAGAGTTAGATAAGAATTGTAGTAACCCCAACCTTTCCCATTTTAGTGAACTTCAATGGGCTATTTGTACAATAGTTTACTGCTGAAGATAATTCACAGCCCATATAATTCTACTTAAAGTCCATCTTTCAGTCTCTGTGGAATTATGACTTTGTTGTTTGGCTTTAATTTGCTGCTAGTGAAGGAAGGTTAATGACATGGTATACATTCTTTGCAGATGTAACTATTTTGCCCTGACAGAAGATGTACAGCAAAAGTTCATCAGAGCAAAAACAAAACCTATCAGAAAAAGCACTGAGGAAAGATTTTCTGAAGAGAGGTTTTCTACCTAAATAGGCTAAAGATTTCATTAAAATAGATAATGGAATTAATTCCTCTAGTTGTAGTTTTCTTTCTGAAAGACTGAGATAAATTTATCTAATTCTTTACAATGATAACCACCATATAAGTAATAATCGCAATTTTCAAATCAGTTAGTAGAAAGTTTAGGCATAGACCAGAACCTTTGACTCCATTTACAAGATAAAGAGACTTTGAGTCTTCGTCACACTTGCATGGCCCATAGAGCATGGCACAAGGTCCCTACTCTTTCATTTTCCAGCTGGCATTTTCTAGGCCAAGACTCATGCACATTTAGATTATCCTCAAAGACTAGTACTGAAAATTGCCTAGCCTTGTGAAAAAGAAATTTAAAAGTGTTCGAATCTACAGCCATGGAAAGGAATGCAGAAAATGTCAAAAAACAACTTTTTTCCTTCTGCTCTCAGAAGAGAGTGTGTTTCTCTGTTTATAATGAAGAGATGAGTATGGGATGGTACTACTGAATACATTTGATTTCAGCATCTTGAAATTACAGAAACCAACTCCCTCAACTATTGCCAAATTCTAGAGGCTTCTTCCAACTCTTAATTGTAGTATGTATTTAGTTTTTATAAGACTAGTAATATGAAAATTATGTCAAAATTGTTATTATGTGCATTCCATGTAAAAGGTATGATGTCTGTCTTTTTGACTTTTGTATGCTCAATCCTTAACAGAGTACCTGGAATATAGTCAGTATTCCATGTATATTTAATTCCCCAATAAATAATGAAAGTCATAGATGACTTATTTATTTACAACATTCAAAATGGATTATTTACATAGCACTTTATGTTTTAAAATGTGCTTTTTATAGATGCTCAAATTTATGCTTTATTCAAAAATTCCAATAGGGCATGCCTGTTCCCTGAAACCTCCATGAGACCCAGTGACACAGCAAGAAACACAGGTTGAAAGTATATAGTGGGGACTTAGCAAGAATTTCCTTATTCCTTAAAGTAGAGTGGATCCTTGAATATTGAAGTTCCACATCCCCTTCATACTCATCAGTCCCTGCAAGCTTTCATTTAAAACAGTATAAACCATGGTTAGGAATCCTCTGAACTGGTAGGTTTCCACTCTACCTGGTGAGCTCCTCAAATTCTGGGCATGTTCTTGGGAGAAATAAAGGGAGGTGAGAAAAAGCCATATCTATTCATGTGTGTCTTTGATCTGGAGTATATTTTTGACTGCGTGTTTCTTGTTAGGTTATCAACCAAAGAGGAAATGACCATGTGTCCAAGTTATCATTCCAACCAATTCTCATACCTAAATTTGCTTTTGAGGTCTGGCCTGGTTCAATGCCCAAAGTATTCTAATGTGGATGGCTTTCTATTTTGACTTAATTTCAAGTTATTTCTTTAGGGGATCTTCAGGGCAACAAAGTTTTGTTTATTTGTTACAAAGAGTTCTTGAATTATCATTAGCAAATATTTGTGGTGCATCTATTATGAACAAGTCAACTGAATTCATATGTTGATGTCCTAACCCCCCAGTATCTAGGAATGTGGTTGTGGTAGGAAGTAAGGTCTTTGCAGATGTAATTAAATAAAAATGAGGTCATTAGAGTGGGTACTAATCCAACATGAATGGTGTATTTATAAGAAGAAGAACATGTGGACACAGAAGCACCGAAGGAAGACAATGTGAAAGGCACAGGGAGAAAACAGTCATTGACAAGCCAAAGAAAAAGGCCTGAAGTAGAGCCTTCCTTGATGACTCTCAGAAGAAACCAACCCTTTGGCACCTTTATCTTGGACTTCTAGATTCCACAACTGTGAAAAAATAATCTCTGTTGTTTTAACCACCAAGTCGGGGGCATTTTGTTATGGCAGCCCTAGCAAACTAATACAATAACAACACCACTTTACTTATTACTCTCCTTGACTAAGATCTTACACTTAGTTCTACATCCTTGGATACAAGATGAAACTGAAATAAAATTTAGGCCACTTAGCAATTTAAATACAGAATATACAATGCAATAACTTATATTTCCAGTAGCATCCTTCTGGTAATATGAAAGGGCTATTTTTTTCCATTAACAATCAGAAAATGATTTACAGAATGATTTTATTCTTGTGTGCAAAAAATGCCTAGTGCATTTCTGGCATATAAATATGACTCTGTAAATATTAGTTTATTTTCCCTCTTGTTTCTGTACTACATGATTTTCCAAAATGGCAAGAACCTGGGAAGAATGAAGTAGCTGATAAAATTTATCTCGAAGCTCTTTTTCATGTCAGTAATTCTATCTTTCACTTTGGTAAACCCTTTCCAAATAACCAATGTTCTTACATTTACTTACCAAGTCGTAGGTCTAACCACTGAGATGTCAGAATTCCTAAGCCACATTTTCCACTTTCTCTTTTCTGTCAATCAGATGTTTTATGTCCCACTGTCCGTTTTTTTCAGGAATATGCTCTGCTACCTTATGTGATAAATTTTGCGTACTACAGAAGCTATATTTGCTCCTCCATGCTTGTTGCCTCAGTCTCTAGGTAATTATAATTTAACGCATATGTTGTAAATTTAATGCAGTGCAAAAAATAACTTACTCTAGTTTTAGCTATAATGGCAAAAACATATTTTTAAGTGAACTGAATATTTGCTGTTTATAAAATCACATGCACATTCAGTTAAAATTTTTCTGAGTAATAATACATATGTACTAGATACAGCATTGTAATGTCCATTTCACATGTGTATTATAATCTCTGTTTTACAAGTAAGTGACCTGCTCTAAACCACATAGTTGGTAAATAATGAAACTGACATTCCAATTTTCTGATTCAGATTCATTATTATTATTATTATTATTACTATTATACTCTATTATGTCTCATTTTGGCATCCCAATGTATTTGTAAATATTAGCACAAGTGAAGACAAAAAGAAAGAAAACATTAAAACCAAGTATTTCTTTTTTCTCTATCCAATTCCCTGCTCTGCACTTGTGTCTCCAGGGAAAAACACAAAAATTGATCGAAACCTTAAGAATGTGGCAAGTTAATAGCACACATAAAAATGCCTACAGTTGTAAACAACAAGTCCTGGGTACTCCTTTAGAGTAAACTCTATATAAAATGAATAAGTGACATAATATCTGGATAGCATCCTGAAAACAGAGATACCTAATTTTAAATGCATTTAGTGAAATAAATCTCATATATTTACATCTTAGCACTTTGCTGTCTTGGAAGAATAAGAAACACTTCAAAATGCTGTGTGTCTAAAGAATAAGAGAAATTGTGTACACCGAATTTTCCTCTCAGCACAACAGTGTTAAATTTTCTAGATGTCATCCTGAAAGAAGTAAAAATAATTACAAGCTGAGAGCAAAGTATACCTGACAAATGTAAAGCTTCTAGTTTGGGTCAAATGGGCAGTCCTGCCAGTATATTAGTAAATAAATGAAGTTCAGTAAGAAGATCACAGCATACATCAAGAATGGCAAAAATATTTAATTTTAAGTGCTCATTTCTTCAATTACTAGTTACTACTTGATACCACCACAAGGTTAATAATAATGAGGGTGCTATCATTGATTACTGAATTCTGCTATGCACCTATTAGTTGCATTTGCTGTATCCTTGCACATATTTTTGAGCCCCAAACATAGTCACTTGCATATGTTTATCCAAATACTCCCATAAATATAAAATGTGGTGACAATAATATTGTCGAATTATAACTAGATATTTTTCTATTCTGTAATACTATGAAAACTCATGACTGTGAATGATTAGATTAAAATTGTTCTTGTCTTTTGTGGATGTAGAAAACCACTCTAGTTGAGAAAATCTGATTAAATGGTAAGAGGAAGAAGTCCCATATAAGAGACCAAGGGATGCAGTCTGATGAGGGAAAATAAAAGAGAGAGAGAGAAGTCTAGAGTATCAACTGCATAACCCAATCCCTGTCTCTGGATAGTTCACTGATTACTACACTCCTTGCAGTGGGAGAATATTTTCAGTGATATTATTTAAAAGAAACAACAAATTATTACAGGAAGAAGACAAACTAAAAGTGAATTCACCCAGTTGAAATCCCAATTTAGTTACTTACTAGAAATGTACTCTTATCCTCAGTAACTTCATAATAATATGGAGATAGCATCAACTATCTAGTTGGGTTGTTGAAAGTATTAGTAACAATGCAAGCAAAACACAGGTCACATGTTAGATGAGTGATATCTAATATTATTGACCTTCTACATGGCACTGGAAAATGTGACTAGGTTTCTAGCCTAACTGAGAAAAAATAAATTTGAAAATGAGCATGAAAATGTGCATTTTCACATAAAAATCAGGATTATTATATGTAAAGATATAAACATGTCCTGTGTAATATTCAGTCTACTTATTCCATTCTTTATCTTTGCATAGACTCCTGTGTTTTTCTCCTGATATTTGTCACTGATCTAAACCTCCCCACACTTATATAGGAGAGATTTTGAAAAAAAAAAAAGAGAAGCTTCAGCAAACAAATTAAAACAGAACATTTTCTTCCAAATCAAGCCATGTGCTGTGAATTAAACTACTGAGAAAAATAGACCTTATGCTCTACCCCATTCCTTATACCATGCTTAAAAAAAGTGATAGATCGTTGTTTATTAGAAATTTGTTCCTTGGCTTGAAGAGAATGATCTCTATCTTCAGTGTGCATAAATTTAAAATTGAGAACTAGATATGAAGTCTAATTTTTTTGGGAAGTAATTCATGATGCTTTGATAATTAAAGGTTACTTCAGGCCACTGGAAAAAGGCAATGCAATTCTTTTCATCAGTTATCTATGCTATGTAAATAGTTTCCTATGGGTCTGGCAGTTAGATAACTGATTTGAGTCACACTTCTCAGGTGTGTAAATTTAGAGCCATTCTTTGAGTCTCATGCAGAGTAAGGGGAGGATGATGGAGGGCCATTTATGAGCAAATATAAAATTTAAAATGGACTTTGATTGTCCTCAATAGGGCTGAAAATTGTTACAGGCTTATAAAATAACCTCTGTGCCCAAAGAAGTCCTTCTGTTCCCAAAGGATAGGTCTCCATGAAGACTCGGGGTTCACTTTGCACATCACAGGATCCAAACTGAAGAAGATTAAGGGAAGGCTTTTATAGGCACCCACTTTCCTCCCTTCTTTCTGATTACAAATATAATTTTGATCCCTTACTCTCCTGAGTACATTCTAGCTCCTACCAATTTCTCATTTCTGCTCAAAACCTTTGATGAAAAATAGGAAAGAGTTCCTTAGAATATATGAGACCATAGTCTAGAAATACCCTTTTACATGGGTATAGCATATGCATGGGCTATTCTGCTTTGAGCATAGGAAGGGTACCACCTGTGACTGTCAGTGTGGACATGTCTCATAGTGTGGAGGTCCAGCCACAGCTGGAAGATCCCATAGCTTCCCACCATTCTGCTCTCATTTCACATGCAGCATGTACTGATTTCCTGCTACTTAGAAGAGACTGTTGCCGTCACTCATTATTGCCCACTGTTTGGTACTATAAATTACCGAAACTTGAATTTCAGAAAAATCCTCCTAAAAGTCCTGCAAATTTTTTTCAAAAGTTTTCCATTGAGTATCCAGGAACTGAGTGGTTTCCTGTTCTGCTAAATATCTTCCTCCCTTCCTGATTTTCCAAACGCTTTCCTAAGAAGAAAAGCTTTGGGAAACAATTAAAAGTCATCTATTGATCTTAAAGGTTCAGATTTACCTATTGCTCTTAACATCTCCTTTGCTAAGTGTGGTTGTAATTATTCTTCGCGGGTACTGCAAGGGTGTGGTAGGCAGAATAACGAGCCCCCAAAGATGGTCACAGCCTACTTCATGGAACCTGTGAATATGTTTCTAACATAATAAGAGACCTTGCAGATGTGATTGCCTTAAGGGTTTTGAGATGGGAAGATAACCCTGGGTTATCTGGGTGGGCGGCATGTAACACAGGATCCTTTGAGGTGAAAGAGATAGCCAAGAGATTCAGTGTTGAAGAAGCAGAAGTCGTTGGAGTGATATAATTGCTGGATTTGAAGATGGAAGGGGTTGCAAGCCAAGGAAGGCAGGCAGCCTCTAGAAGCTGGGAAAGGCAAAGGACACATTTTCCTCACTAGTCACTAGAAGAAACGCAGCCCTGCGGACACTTTGCATGCTCCTAATCTTACCTCATGCCTAGTCCCAGTGTCCTACAGAGATTCTGGTATTCAGCTGGATCCTCAAATTGTTTGTAAATGAATACATAAATAAAAATATCTGCAAGCGTTAGTCAAATCAGAGGCCCCAGCATTCCTCACTAGTATCTTTTATCTGTAGGACCCATATTTTGGGCCATCTGTATACTCAGAACCCCAGTACGCATTTCAAGTTTTCTGCCTTCCATTCTTACCATTTCTACTATTTGGACCTAGTTTTTCCTCTCTCTTTGTTTTTTTTTTTTTTTTTAGAGACAAGTCTCACTCCATCGTCACCCAGGCTGGAGTGTAATGGCGCGATCTCGGCTCACTGCAACCTCCGCCTCCTGGGTTCAAGCAATTCTCCTACCTCAGCCTCCTGAGTATCTGGGATTACAGGCATGCACCACCACGCCAGGCTAATTTTTGTATTTTTAGTAGAGAGGGGGGTTTCACCATGTTGGTCAGGCTGGTCTTGAACTCCTGACTTTGTGATCTGCCCACCTCGGCTTCCCAAAATGCTGGGATTACAGGCATGAGCCACTGCACCCAGCCAGTTTTTCCTCTTTCTGTCTACAGCACTGAACACTGAGCCCTGCAATCAGAAATACCTATATGTCATTATCATTGATGGTGACAATAACAACAGAGGTTGCATAATAAATAAGAGAACTATGTAATGTTACAACTCATCAGGTGAAAACAGAAGATGTGGAGTGTGTTAGTTAGAATCTCACCAGGAAAAGATAGCCACTTCAAGTATTGAAAACAGAAGTAGCATTGGTTTAATGGACCAAAGAGCTGAGACTCCAAACAAGAAAGTGTATCACACTGATATTAGAAATAGAAGCCACTTGGTGTGGCAATTTGTCAAGGATCTAGAACTAGAAATACCATTTGACCCAGCCATCCCATTACTGGGGGTAGACCCAAAGGATTATAAATCATGCTGCTATAAAGACACATGCACATGTATGTTTATTGTGGCACTATTCACAATAGCAAAGACTTGGAACCAACCCATCAGTGATAGACTGGATTAAGAAAATGTGGCACATAAACACCTTGGAATACTCTACAGCCATAAAAAGGATGAGTTCATGTCCTTTGTAGGGACATGGATGAAGCTGGAAACCATCATTCTCAGCAAACTATCACAAGGACAGAAAACCAAACACCGCATGTTCTCACTCATCGGTGGGAATTGAACAATGAGAACACTTGGATGCAGGAAGGGGAACATCACACACTGGGGCCTGTTGTGGGGTGGGGGTAGAGGGGAGGGATAGCATTAAGAGATATACCTAATGTAAATGACGAGTTAACAGGTGCAGCAGACCAACATGGCACATGTATACATATGTAACAAACCTGCACGTTGTGCACATGTACCCTAGAACTTAAAGTATAATAATAATAATAATAATGATAATAAAAGAAATAGAAGCCACTACCACCCACAGGCTGGGACAGAGGAAACAGACAGGGTGATTACTGTGGCAAAGAGAGAGGTGAAGAAAAGACTTGGCTCTCCCTTTCCTTTACCCTCCAATCTTCTGCCAGTACTTCTCACTGGTCAGACCCATCCAGAAGCTCACTGACATGAAAGTGTGGAAGATCACCCCTAAAATATAGAGCAGAGTGTGGAGGACAGAGTGAATGTAGAATAAAGAATGGATCTGAGTTCAAACATGTCAAGAAACAGCATGCAAAGGGAAGGGATTTATACTTATATGAAAGTGTATAGGGAATCTAATTACCTCTAAAGTGGTTTTTAATTTACCATTAGTCGAAAAGTTAAAGTAATCTTAAGTGCTATCAACTATAACAAAATCTGGAAAAGGCACACCTCTTAAACTACTTAAAGTAATAAAAATAATCTCTTATTAAACAGTGCCAAATAGAAGGTAGTTTAGGACACTCCGTACACCCAACTTGCTTCTGTGCTAGCACATGTAGCTCTTAAGATAAACATGAGAGAAACGCAAACTATGCCAAGGCAGAGAAAGAGAAATGCAGCCAACATCAACTGATAAATACGTGTTTTCCAAGAGGCTTACCTAAAGTGTGGGCTGATTTTTCTGTTGAAGCAATATAAAGTGTCCTTTAGACCTTGAAGAGTTGGAAATAACACCTTGAGCTAAAAAGATAAGAAAAAATTAAATATTGTCATGGAATGTGTATAGGACAAGGAGACATGAAGTACTTGGCAACTGTCAAGTTTTAAGCTAATGGGAATTTTCCTATAAACTTAGAAAGGTTGGTTTCTGACATTGAGGTATGATAAGTGTTGTCCTTTATTTCTTCTTCTTTCCTGCCTTATCATTCAGCAGAAAAATAAACCATCACTTGATGAGTTGTGACCTAAATTTCAGAACGTTAGCTCTCATTCCAGGTACACAAAAGAATATATCATTTTGTTATGATGAATTAGCTATCTGTCCATTGAAAACATTGGGCTTTTTCTGGGTTTTGGACTTAATATATATTATCATTGAGAAGTTCATGATGACAGCTTATTTTGTAGAGTTGAAAGAATATTTTTTAAAAAGGCAATATGTTGGTCAATAAAATAATTACAAGTTTTGTGTCATTAAAGCACTATGGATATTTCTTTTTCAATTGCCTCCTGATAATTTTGCCATCATTAATTTTCATACTCTGGAACCAACTATTTAAGCTGTGCTATTGTATCACCTTTATCTGTAAAGTCCAGATTCTAACCTAGTGTACTCAGTGAAGATACCACTTTTGGTTGCCAAAACCCACAGGCATTTTTTTAAGCCACAGGAATTTTGTCTGTTAATCCTTGTCTTTGCAGTACTTGCTAGCACCTTCTCATCTATATGTATTTTGTTCATATTTGTTCCTAAGGATTTCTAAACATCTGGACATGTTTTTCTGTAAATTAGTTATGAGCTCTTTAAAGGTATGGAAAATGACTTACTGCATCTGACGTAGAAACTAGTGTATATTAAGTGACAGCCACTCCCAAATATATTTATTTTCACACACTTTTATTATTTCTTTCCTTGTGTTATTTTTCCATATCCATTTTAAATGAAAAAGTATATTCCTCAGTTCCCTAAATGCAGAGTTAGCTCTGAAATTTTTTCTAAGAGTAATTTTGTTGAAGATAAGTCCTTGGGCATCCATTATTCCCAACCAAATGCATCAGGACCAGATGAAATGTCTTTAAATAATGCAAAACATCATAGTTACATTCATGAGCTGGTTGAGTTACATAAAGTTTAGAATCAAAAGTGCTAGAAATAACGAGCACAAAGATTAATGTGACATGATTCCTGCCTTCATGTAGTTTACTTGTAATGGGAGACAGATCAAGTGAACAATGCAAGATGTTTGGTGTGGTGGGTGAAATTGTGTCCTCCCGAAAGAATTCATATATTTAAGCACTAATCCCAAGTAACTCAGAATGCAGCCATATTTGAAGGTAGGCCATTCAAGAAGTGATTAAGTAAAAATGAGGTAATTAGGGTGGGTCCTAATCCAATCTGGTTGGTGTCCTTATAAGAAGAGGAAATCTGCATGCACCCAGAGATGCCAGGGATGCATAAGCATAGAAAAAAGACTGTGTAAGAATCATTAATAAGGCAGCCACTTATTAACAACAACAGAGGCCTCAGCTCAGCATGGTGGCTCATGCCTGTAATCCCAGCACTTTGGGAAGCTGAGGCAGAAGGATCACTTGGGCTCAAGCGTTTGAGAGGAGGTGGTTCCAAGATGGCCGAATAGGAACAGCTCCAGTCTACAGCTCCCAGCAGAAGATGGGTGATTTCTGCATTTCCAACTGAGGTACCAGGTTCACCTCACTGGGGCTTGTCGGACAGTGGGTGCAGGATGTGGGTGCAGCACACTGAGCGTGAGCCAGAGCAGGGTGAGTCATCGCCTTACCCGGGAAATGCAAGGGATCAGGGAATTCCCTTTCAAGCCAGGCAAAGCTGTGACAGATGGCACCTGGAAAATTGGGTCACTCCCACCCTAATACTGCGCTTTACCAACGGTCTTAGCAAATGGCACACCAGAAGATTATATCCTGTGCCTGGCTCGGAAGCTTCCCGCTCACGGAGCCTCGCTCATTGCTAGCACAGCAGTCTGAGATCGAACGGCAAGGCGGCAGCGAGGCTGGGGGTGGGGTGCCCACCATTGCTGAGGCTTGAGTAGGTAAACAAAGCAGTCAGGAAGCTCGAACTGGGTGGAGCCCACCACAGCTCAAGGAGGCCGGCCTGCCTGTGTAGACTCCACCTCTGGGGGCTGGGCATAGCCCAAAAAAAGGCAGCAGAAACCTCTGCAGACTTAAATGTCCCTGCCTGACAGCTTTGAAGAGAGTAGTGGTTCTGCCAGCACGGAGTTTGAGATCTCAGAATGGACAGACTGCCCCCTCAAGTGGGTCCCTGACCCCCGAGTAGCCTAACTGGGAAGCAGCTCCCAGAAGGGGCAGACTGACGCCTCACACGGCCAGGTACCCCTTTGAGACAAAACCTCCAGAGGAATGATCAGACAGCAACATGTGCTGTCCAGCAATATTCGCTTTTCTGCAGCTTCCACAGCTGATACCCAGGAAAACAGGGTCTGGAGTGGACCTCCAGCAAACTCCAACAGACCTGCAGCTGAGGGTCCTGTTAGAAGGAAAACTAACAAACAGAAAGGACATCCACACCAAAACCCCATCTGTACGTCACCATCATCAAAGACCAAAGGTAGATAAAACCACAAAGATGGGGAAAAAACAGAACAGAGAAACTAAAAATTCTAAAAATCAGAGCACCTCTCCTCCTCCAAAGGAATGCAGCTCCTCACCAGCAATGGAACAAAGCTGGATGGAGAATGACTTTCACGAGCTGAGAGAAGAAGGTGTCAGATGATCAAACCTCTCTGAGCTAAAGGAGGAAGTTCGAACCCATGGCAAAGAAGTTAAAAACCTTGAAAAAAGATTACATGAATGGCTAACTAGAATAACCAATGCAGAGAAGTCCTTAAAGGACCTGATGGAGCTGAAAATCATGACATGAGAAATACGTGACACATGCACAAGCTTCAGTAGCCGATTCGATTAACTGGAAGAAAGGGTATCAGTGATTGAAGATCAAATGAATGAAATGAAGCAAGAAGAGAAGTTTAGAGAAAAATGAATAAAAAGAAACAAACAAAGCCTCCAAGAAATATGGGACTATGTGAAAAGACCAAATCTACATCTGATTGGTGTACCTGAAAGTGACAGGGAGAATGGAACCAAGTTGGAAAACACTCTGCAGGATATTATGCAGGAGAACTTCCCCAACCTAGCAAGGCAGGCCAACATTCAAATTCAGGAAATACAGAGAACACCACAAACATACTCCTCGAGAAGAACAACTCCAAGACACATAATTGTCAGATTCACCAAAGTTGAAATAACGGAAAAAATGTTAAGGGCAGCCAGAGAGAAAGGTCAGGTTACCCACAAAGGGAAGCCCATCAGACAAACAGCTGATCTCTCGGCAGAAACTCTGCAAGCCAGAAGAGAGTGGGGGCCAATATTCAACATTATCAATAGCCAATATCATACTGAATGGGCAAAAACTGGAAGCATTCCCTTTGAAAACTGGCACAAGACAGGGATGCCCTCTCTCACCACTCCTATTCAACATAGTGTTGGAAGTTCTGGCCAGGGCAATCAGTCAGGAGAAAGAAATAAAGGGTGTTCAATTAGGAAAAGAGGAAGTCAAATTGTCCGTTTGCAGATGACGTGATTGTATATCTAGAAAACCCCATCGTCTCAGCCCAAAGTCTCCTTAAGCTGATAAGCAACATCAGCAAAGTCTCAGGATACAAAATCAATGTGCAAAAAACACAAGCATTCTTATACACCAATAACAGACAGAGAGCCAAATCATGAGTGAACTCCCATACACTATTGCTTCAAAGAGAATAAAATACCTAGGAATCCAACTTACAATGGATGTGAAGGACCTCTTCAAGTAGAACTACAAACCACTGCTCAACGAAATAAAAGAGGACACAAACAAATTGAAGAACATTCCATGCTCATGGGTAGGAAGAATCAATATCGTGAAAATGACCACACTGCTGAAGGTAATTTATAGATTTAATGCCATCCCCATCAAGCTACCAATGACTTTCTTCACAGAATAGGAAAAAACTACTTTAAAATTCATATGGAACCAAAAAAGAGCCCGCATTGCTAAGTCAATCCTAAGCCAAAAGAACAAAGCTGGTGGCATCATGCTACCTGACTTCAAACTATACTACAAGGCTACGGTAACCAAAACAGCATGGTACTGGTACCAAAACAGAGATATAGATCAATGGAACAGAACAGAGCCCTCATAAATAATATCACACATCTGCAACTATCTGATCTTTGACAAACCTGAGAAAAACAAGAAATGGCAAAAGGATTCCCTATTTGACAAATGGTGCTGGGAAAACTGGCTAGCCGTATGTAGAAAGCTGAAACTGGATCCCTTCCTTACACCTTATACAAAAATCAATTCAAGATGGATTAAAGACTTAAATGTTAGACCTAAAACCATAAAAACCCTAGAAGAAAACCTAGGCAATACCATTCAGGACACAGTCATGGGCAAGGACTTCATGTCTAAAACACAAAAAGCAATGACAACAAAAGCCAAAATTGACAAATGGGATCTAATTAAACTAAAGAGCTTCTGCACAGCAAAAGAAACTACCATCAGAGTGAACAAGCTACCTACAGAATGGGAGAAAATATTTGCAGTCTACTTATCTGACAAAGGGCTAATATCCAGAATCTACAAAGAACTCAAACAAATTTATAAGAAAAAAACAAACAACCCCATCAACAAGTGGGTGAAGGATATGAACAGACACTTCTCAAAAGAAGACATTTATGCAGCCAACAGACAGAAAAAAATGCTCATCATCACTGGCCATCAGAGAAATGCAAATCGAAACCACAATGAGATACCATCTCACACCAGTTAGAATGGCGATCCTTAAAAAGTCAGGAAACAACAGGTGTGGAGAGGATGTGAAGAAATAGGAACACTTTTACACTGTTGGTGGGACTGCAAACTAGTTCAACCATTGAGGAAGACAGTGTGACGATTCCTCAAGGATCTAGAACTAGAAATACCATTTGACCCAGCCATCCCATTACTGGGTATATACCCAAAGGAATATAAATCATGCTGCTATAAAGACACATGCACACGTATGTTTATTGCGGCACTACTCACAATAGCAAAGACTTGGAACCAACCCAAATGTCCAGCTATGATAAACAGGATTAAGAAAATGTGGCACATATACACCATGGAATACTATGCAGCCATAAAAATGATGAGCTCATGTCCTTTGTAGGGACATGGATGAAGCTGGAAACCATCATTCTCAGCAAACTACCACAAGGACAAAAAACCAAACACCACATGTTCTCACTCACAGGTGGGAACTGAACAATGAGAACACTTGGACACAGGAAGGGGAACATCACACACCGGGTCCTGTTGTGGGATGGGGGGAGGGGAGAGGGGTAGCATTAGGAGATATACCTAATATAAATGACGAGTTAATGGGTGCAGCTCACCAACATGGCACATGTATACATATGTAACAAACCTGCACGTTGTGCGCATATACCCTAGAACTTGAAGTATAATAAAAATATAAATATACTTATTTAAAAAAAAAGAGAGAGATCAAGACCAGTCTGGGAAACACAGCAAAACCCTATCTAGCTCTACAAAAAAATACAAAAATCAGCCAGACAAGGTGGCTCATGCCTGTGGTCCCAGCTACTCAAGAGGCTTAGGTGGGAGGATGGCTTGACTGGGGAGGTCAAGGCTGCGGTGAGCTAAAATAATGACACTGCACTCCAGCCAGCCTGGATGACAGAGCCAGACCCTGACCCCCCCAAAAAAAGAAAAGAAGAAAGAAAAAGAAAAAGAAAAAGAAAAAGAAGCCTCAGTAGAAGCCAAACCTGCTCATACCTTGAGCTTGGGCTTCTAGCCTTCAGAACTGTCAGCAAATAAATATCTGTTGTTGGAATCTATTATATTTTGTTATAACAGCCTTAGCAAAAAAATACATTTGGTGAGTCCTGCAATGGGTGTAAGCATGAGCTGATTTAAAGAGCCAATAGAGGGTCTTAAGATAGTTTTTAGTGTTATTATACACCATAAAGAAAACCTCCTTTACATTGTACTTTATGTTATCTGGGTATGTTCTGGGAAATATTACTGTATGTCAGCACACAATTTATCTCTTGTGTGCTTGTATACATACAAATATATTTATTATCCAGATTGATTATTTCCAAGAAAATAAGCTAGAGATAGCCAGAAGGCAGAAGACCCAAATAAACTATTACATTTAGCTAGCAGCCTTCAAAACCTGAATGTATGACCAGAACTGCACAAATGGAAATTTGAGAACAGATTTGTAATTTCTAGGTCTTGTGTGAAGTTACATGAAAAAGATGATAGAATCATTTTAGAATTATTTTCACTGATTAACTCTACAGCCAAAAAAAAAAAAAAAAGGCAGTTCTTTAAACAGCTCCTACTGAGATGATATTTTTTTCTGGCTTTTGCCTGATTTGCGTTATAAGTCCTTTAATATTAAATACTCAATTTGTCCCCATTGAAACAAGGAGGATAGGTCCACAGGCACAGAAGGTAAGTGAGTAGGTCCTTCAGGATCAAGCATTGTTTTCCTTAGTCTGAGAACTCAATTTTAGGCAGATCTCAAGTCCCACAAGTACTGTGTCCCCATGGTTGGGGGGTGGGGGGTGGTGGCAAGTAGATGACTTATACCGTTCAGAAGTAGAGTGAGGACATTAAGGTAAGTACCCAGTGCAATTGGAAAGAAAGTAAAACATGCCATCAACACCCTCTTTTCTCCCTTTTCTGGCTCCCAAGCTGTTTATGTTCTGGCTCCTCAGGTGTCCAAGCCCTCTTAGCTGCCGTCTAACTTTGTAGAGTTCTGTACCATGACCTCCTGCACCTGCCCGTCCTCCCCAGGAGTAGTAGAAAATATGTTTTCTTTAAAAAAGTATTTTGCTTTGCTCAAAAATACTTAATCTGATAAAACTAATGTGTAATAGGATTTTTATGGTAGATGTTTATAAGCCTTCATGAGCCTGAAAGACGTACACATTTACCTTCTGTGCCTGTAGAGCTATCCTATTTGTTTCAATGGGGACAAACTGAGTATTAAATATTAAAGGAATGATAATGCAAATTAGGCAACAGCCAGAAAAAAAAACATTCCAGTAGGATCCGTTTATGGTAGATGTTTATGATAGATGTTCTCTATTAAAGGGGTATGAGTTATGAGCAAGTGATATGAGCTATGAGCCATAGCTCATACCACTTAATTAGAGACTTTGTGTTTTAATCCAAAGATGTGACATTTGAAGGATGGTGTTACAGCAACTTGAGAGTTTAGAGCAGGGGTCACTAACTAAGGATGCAGGTGGGGAGTGTGACTGTGTAGGCAGCTGGATGGGATCTGGGGAACTGACAACACTCCATCTAAATGGACACAGAGGCTATTCATCTCTGTGAGTATTGCCCCACTAGAATGTTGCCTACTGTTTCCAAGTGTTGCAATCTGTATTTTTTATCTCACATTTTAATAGTAGAAACCATATAAAATATTAGCTTTACTTGGGCCAAAACAAATAATACACATACAGACTAGGTCAGCCTTATGGGACACTATCATGTAGAGTCAAAGGTACTTCGAGACAACGGTTTCTGCCAATTAAAATAAAGTCATCTTCTATTTTCAGAAGAAGTCAATTAACATTTTGTATAAAGATGATCAAGTAGGTATATGTAATAAAGTGAGAAGCCCAAAACATTGGTTTATGGTTTTCTATTTTTCATTCACCAGATGGGTGGCATTGTATAAGTCACCTGTCTTTTCTGAAGTTCACTTCATTTTCTTTAAAATAACAGGGTTTCCTGTGATTTTTATAGGATCTTATGATTGTAACTAAGATGTCAGTGTAACATCAGTATTCAAGATGGTTTATGAGTTTTTGTTTCGGTTTACAAAAATGCTGTATTTGAATAGGTTAACTTTTTGAAAATATATTAAATAATCTTTATCTTATTTAGATATTTAAATGATACAGGCAGACTCAAAACCAAAATCACTATCTGAATGAACCAGTGCCAGAGGAGAAGGGAGAAAGGTGGAGAGAAGATTTAGTGAGGAAGAAAACAAAGATTTCCAGTCAAGCCACCAACCTACAACCTGTATCTGAAGTTAGCTGAGTAGAAGCAACTGAAAAAAAATAATAGAAAAGGGAAATGGGTAAAGGACAGGGGTTAAAAAGAGAGACTTGTGACTACCTTACAAATTAAAATTGCATACTGTATGAGGAAAATTCGGGTCATGAAAGATAGCTAACACATTTTACAAATAGGAAATTTACTCCTGCAAAATTACAAATAATAGCATAGTCGAAAACTGTATATACTTGATATATTAACAGATGTGAGAAGTAAACCATATACACAAAAAAGAAGAAAAATTTTCAGTGGAAAAAAAGCAGGTGACTATGAGTCAAAAACGAAACAAACTAAAACAGAAAACAATCTGACATCCTAGGAATAAAAACGTTTTTGACATTGAAACAAAAAATTCAATGAACCAAAATATAAACTACAGAGATAAAGCTACAATAGTAAACTGAAAGCTGAATGATAGTGGAAGTCAAAAATGAATGAAAAACACCCCCATATGCTTAACAAGTGTTCTAGATTTTAAGAAAAGAATGATTGATAGAAAGGCAATATTTTAAAAGATATTTATTTAGAGTTTTTCAGAATTTTAAAAAGATGTTTACTCAAATTGAAAGTGAATATCAAATGCCAAGAGCATTTTAAAAAATAAATCTGCATCTAAACACATTGTTGTGAAATTTCAAAACATCAAAAATAAAGCAAATAAAAATAAAGCAGAGGTAGTAAAAGTTACCTCTGGAGTAATAATTCCTAGCAAATAAATTTTACCTTTTACCAAGAACAGACAATTAGATTAACAGCAGACTTCTCAATAGCAACAATAAAAGTTAAGTGGAATTAGCTATAAAACTAGAATTCTATAAACAGCTTAAACTTTTCATAATAAAATCAAGACATTTCAAACATGCAGAACCCCTGGAAAAGGCTTACTAGAAGAATTAATTCAGTAAGAATTATGAATCCAAAGAGAGAAATGCAAGAAGCAAATATAAGTAAAATAACTAAGAAAAAAAGCAATAAAGAATTACTATTGACATTAAATAATTCTTATTTTTAGCCGGGCATGGTGGCTCAGGCCTGTAATCCCAGCATTTTGGAAGGCTGAGGCGGGCAGATCACCTAAGGTTAAGAGTTTGAGACTAGTCTGGCCAACATGGTGAAACCTCATCTTTACTAAAAATACAAAAAAAAAAAAAAAAAAAAAATTAGCTGGGCGTGGTGGCACGTGCCTGTAGTCCCAACTACTCAGGGAGGCTGAGGCAGGAGAATCTCTTAAACCCAGGAGGCGGAGGTTGCAGTGAGCCAAGATTATGCCACTGCACTCCAGCCTGGGCAACAGAGGGAGACTCCATCTAAAAAAAAAAAAGGGAATTATTATTTTTATAAAAATTACAATTGAAATTCTCGACATAGAAATGAAGTGGGTGAGTATGGAATAGAATGGTACTTGCTAAGTTCTATGTCTTCCTCTGACAGAAGATAGAGATGTTGAATATTTTAGACTTAGAAACATTAGAAACAAAATTATGCATTTCAAGTGACATCAGAGAATAAAAACTTCATTAACAGAAGTAAGGGGGCGAAGTAGCAAAAAGAAAGCGTGTTTAACAGAAGCACAACTGTAAAGGCAGAAATTAGTCAGAATGTATCAGTAACTAGTAAAAATGTAATAGATGTAACTCACCTATTAAAATATAGAAAATCCCAGCACTTTGGGAGTCTGAGGTGAGAGGATTATGTCAGTCCAGGAGTTCCAGAACAGCCTGGGCACCATAGTGAGACCCTGTCTCTACAAAAATAAAAAAATTAAAAGCCATTATCTAGATGTGGTGGTGCACACCTGTACTCCCAGCTACTCAGGAAGCTGAGGTGGGAAGATTCCTTGAGCTCAAGAGGTCAAGGCTAGTGAGACCTGTCTCAAAAATGTCTATATATATATTCACATATTTTTATCTATACTTGCATATAGACATAATTTATAATGTAGCTTTTTGCATCTTAGAAAAAAAGCAAATCAAGAGAAAAAGAAAACTACATTGAAAGATTGAAGATAGATTCTGGATATTAGCCCTTTGACAGATGAGTAGGTTGCGAAAATTTTCTCCAATTTTGTAGGTTGCCTGTTCACTCTGATGGTAGTTTCTTTTGCTGTGCAGAAGCTCTTTGGTTTAATTAGATCCCATTTGTCAATTTTGGCTTTGGTTGCCATTGCTTTTGGTGTTTTAGACATGAAGTCCTTGCCCATGCCTATGTCCTGAATGGTATTGCCTAGGTTTTCTTCTAGGGTTTTTATGGTTTTAGGTCTAACGTTTAAGTCTTTAATCCATCTTGAACTGATTTTTGTATAAGGTGTAAGGGAGGGATCCAGTTTCAGCTTTCTACATATGGCTAGCCAGTTTTCCCAGCACCATTTAATAAATAGGGAATCCTTTCCCCATTGCTTGTTTTTCTCAGGTTTGTCAAAGATCAGATAGTTGTAGATACGCGGCGTTATTTCTGAGGGCTCTGTTCTGTTCCATTGATCTATATCTCTGTTTTGGTACCAGTACCATGCTGTTTTGGTTACTGTAGCCTTGTAGTATAGTTTGAAGTCAGGTAGTGTGATGTCTCCAGCTTTGTTCTTTTGGCTTAGGATTGACTTGGCGATGCGGGCTCTTTTTTGGTTCCATAGGAACTTTAAAGTAGTTTTTTCCAATTCTGTGAAGAAAGTCATTGGTAGCTTGATGGGGATGGCATTGAATCTGTAAATTACCTTGGGCAGTATGGCCATTTTCACGATATTGATTCTTCCTACCCATGAACTCCAACAAATTTCCAAGAAAAAAACAAACAACCCCATCAAAAAGTGGGCAAAGGACATGAACAGACACTTCTCAAAAGAAGACATTTATGCAGCCAAAAAACATGAAAAAATGCTCACCATCACTGGCCATCAGAGAAATGCAAATCAAAACCACAATGAGATACCATCTCACACTGGTTAGAATGGCAATCATTAAAAAGTCAGGAAACAACAGGTGCTGGAGAGGATGTGGAGAAATAGGAACACTTTTACACTGTTGGTGGGACTGTAAACTAGTTCAACCATTGTGGAAGTCAGTGTGGCGATTCCTCAGGGATCTAGAACTAGAAATACCATTTGACCCAGCCATCCCATTACTGGGTATATACCCAAAGGACTGTAAATCATGCTGCTATAAAGACACATGCACACGTATGTTTATTGCGGCATTATTCACAATAGCAAAGACTTGGAACCAACCCAAATGTCCACCAATGATAGACTGGATTAAGAAAATGTGGCACATATACACCATGGAATACTATGCAGCCATAAAAAATGATGAGTTCATGTCCTTTGTAGGGACATGGATGAAATTGGAAATCATCATTCTCAGTAAACTATCGCAAGAACAAAAAACCAAACATCACATGTTCTCACTCATAGGTGGGAATTGAACAATGAGAACACATGGACACAGGAAGGGGAACATCACACTCTGGGGACTGTTTTGGGGTGGCGGGAGGGCGGAGGGATAGCATTGGGAGATATACCTAATGCTAGATGACGAGTTAGTGGGTGCAGCGCACCAGCATGACACATGTATACATATGTAACTAACCTGCACATTGTGCACATGTACCCTAAAACTTAAAGTATAATAATAATAAATTAAAAAAAAAGAAAGATTGAAGATAAGGAAATAGAAAAATATATACCAGGCAAATGAAAAACGAAAATAGCCGCTAACTATTTGGATCACTTTAGTAAAAAATAATCTTTTCAAAAATGCATAATAGGCCAGGCATGGTGGCCTATGTCTGTAATCCTAGCACTTTGGGAGGCCAAGGCAGGAGGATCACTTGAGGTCAGGAGTTAGAGATCAGCCAGGCCAACATGGTGAAACCTCGTCTCTACTAAAAATACAAAAATTAGCCGGGCGTGGTGGCACACACCTGTAGTCCCAGCTACTCAGAGGCTGAGGCAGGAGAATCACTTGAACCTGGAAGGCAGAGGTTGCCATGAGCTGAGATCACTTCATTGCACTCCAGCCTGGGCAACAGAGTGAGACTCTGTCTCTGTCTCTCTCTCTCTCTCTCTCTCTCTCTCACACACACACACACACACACACACACACACACACACAGCATAATAAGTAGTATTAGGGAGAGTTTTATGGAAAATTTAAGAGAAGAATAATCCATGTTTTAAAGATATTCTTTCAGAGAGTAAAAAAAGATACCGATATAAACTTATTGGCCAAATTTGACAAAAATAATACAGGAAAAAATTATGGGTGAATTCCAGATTTTTCTTTGTTATTATTAGCTAGCTGATAATCAAATCAATACCTACAATTTTTTTCCTCTGTTTATCACTTCAAAAATATCTAGGCTACTAGACCACCTTTAGAGGATCTAAAGGGCTTTAAGTTTTCACCAATAGCTGTTATTCTCCTATTAGAATATAGTGTAAAGCAATGCAGATGGTGAACTCCAGCTTCAGCAGGTATTTTTGCATTCATTAGATCATACTCTCTAAGGAGTCAGGTAAATAATCATAATCACCTTGGAAACTCCTGATGCTTTCAACATTGCTATATTGAAAGGAGGTGCTCAGTACTGCTTCAATTCTACAGCATTAGCAAGTGCTAAAATTCTACAGCATTAGCAAGTGCTAAAATTCTATAGCATTAGCAAGTGCTAAAATTCTATAGCACTAGAATTCTAAAATGTGCTTCAATTTTGCAATTTGAGGTCTGGTGCCATGGCTCACGCCTGTAATCCTAGTACTTTGGGAGGCCGAGGTGGGCGGATTGCCTGAGCTCAGGAGTTGAGACCAGCCTGGGCAACACGGTGAAACCTCGTCTCTACTAAAATACAAAAAAATTAGCCAGGCATGGTGGCAGGTGCCTGTAGTCCCAGCTACACAGGAGGCTGAGGCAGGAGAATTGCTTGAACCTGGGAGACGGAGGTTGCAGTGAGCCGAGATGGTGCCACTGCACTTCAGCCTGGGTGACAGAGCGAGCTTCTGTCTCCAAAAAAAAAAAAAAAAAAAAAAAAAAAAAAAAAAAAAAAAACACACAAAGCAAAAACCATTGTAATTTGATGTGAATTTTACAGCCATATTTTTAGAGCTGTAAATTGTTAACCCTAATATGCTAAAACTCAGCCCTGTCAACAATGATCAATGGTTTCACTTTAAAAAAAATCCACCCAGGGCTAGGGATAAGGACACAAATAACGACCCTGAAATATGTAACCCATATGTATCTTGAGAATTCTGACCTTTTGAATCATGTAGTATTTTTAAAGTAGTGAAATAGCTTTACTTTCAAATATTTATGTTAATAAAAAGGAAACGCTAGTGAAGTATTTACAAGTAGAAGTTCATCTGAGCCAACTGCAACAATTAGACCTGATTTGTTAGTAGTACTAACATTATATCACTATAAATATATCGACAGAATAAGGAAATGTTCTTTTTGTATTGGGCTAAACTAAATAATTTTTAAAGACTTTTAGAAATGAAATTTTATGTGTCTGTAATAGACACAGTTTAATACACTTTAGTTGAATCATAAATTTTCCACTCAAAGAGGCCAATGATATAACTGAAATTCATAGTTTATTATATTAATAGTGAGAATGCTCCAAGGACAAGAATATTGTTAGAGGAAAATACTTATAACACCTATTCAGAAAATATTCAAGAAGAGTTAGACCTCATATTCAGTCAGAACTGTGCTCCCCTTTGGTGATCATATGAAGTTTCTTAACCTTGATGATCCTCAGTTAACTCACCTGTAATAAGAAGTAGTAATATCTACCTTGTATGGCGGGGGGAGGTCAGATTTGAGATAAAGTATGTAAAGTGCCTGGCGCATGATAAGCCTTCAGTAAATTGAAACACATGTAATTTATTAATTAATACTCAGGAACCAAATAGCACTGCTGAATATAGGATGTGAATGCAGTCTTAAAAGTCATATACTTAATGAACTGCAGAGAAAGAATGAAAATTAAATGCAAAGTGAACTAAACACAAAAATAAGTCTGAATGTGTGTCTCAGTTATAAAATGAGCACAGAATTTATAGAAAAAAGTAATGAATGTAGAAAGCGTAAGTATGACACAGAGTAAAATATTAATTCAATTCTTAACTTGGATGAATTGGCAAATATGATTTAAGATCATCATTTTTTTAAAGTCAGATTGGGACCCAAGGGAACTGAATCACCACAGCTATAAGCCTTCCAGAAATCCTTTCAGAAATGGACTTCTAAAGGGAATTGTTGACAAAACTTTTTTGCTTATGGTCATAGAACCAAGTGTCCTTGCAATTGGCCTTAAGATATTGTTTTATCTCATAAACAATTTCTAGTTTTTATAAAAGATTGTTTTTTTCTGATGCTCTTGTTTCCCAACTCATTATTGACAGAATTTAGGTGAGGCCTCTGAGGCAGTATTTGGGAGGCAGACATTTTTCACTAGCTTCATTATGTGGGCAAGAAATGTAAATCAACCTGATAAATATCCTCCCAGGTAAAGGTGAGGGCCAATCAATGGAAGTGTTAAAACAAATTGAGTTTATAATGAAAAGAAGGATGTTATAAGGTAGTGCTGTTAATATTTTAAGATAGAAGTTGTGTTCACTTTCTGATGCCTGCATCAGAACTCATAACTGTGTCTTTCCGTCTACGAGGTAATTCTTTGTGTGTCTACAAAATTACCAGTTGTGAATTGTACGGTTTCAAAAGGGATTGAAATCAGAGTTTTGCTCTTTTGTTGATTTGGTGTGTCAATATGTTATGTATACACTAGAGAATCTTGGTGAGGATTCAGAAGCATAAAAGTTACAGGAAGTATTATATTTCACAATAGGTCATGTGAAAGCCTTAAAAGGCCTTCTTAAGGTAATGACAGAACATTGTGGATGGTCTAGTAAAGAACATGGTGAAGCCAGGCATGGTGGCTCACACCTGTAATCCCAGCTCTTTGGAAGCCAAGGTGGGAGGATCACTTAAACCCAGTTGAAGACCAGCCTGGGCAACATAATGAGACCTAATCTGTACAAAAATAATAATAATTAAAAAAAAGAACATGGTGACAAGATTTCCATTATAACCAGAATTTGTATAAGTAAAATATGCTTTATTATGAGATTAAATAACATTCGACTGTCATAAGTGATATTTCAATGAAATTATGATAATTGGAGCAGAAGGAAGTGAGAAAAGTTACAGAGGAAATATTCCCCATGTTGATGCTGCATAATGAGCACATGGGTTTACTGCCATATTCTATATTTATGAATGTTTTAAATGTTCTTTAAAGATGTTGAATGTGACATTTGTTGATAACATTAGAATATATTTATAATATGGTATACAAAAAATAAAAACACAAAATGGCAAATGTAACAAACTCCACGTAGAAAACATAAGAAGGAAAGAAAACCAAAGTAGTCCAAGATATAAATAATAAATGTCTCTTGAAAGTGACATAATGGGTCATTATTTTTTTTCTATATAGTTACCTATAAATTTTCT
This sequence comes from Homo sapiens, assembly GCF_000001405.40. Lineage (NCBI taxonomy): Eukaryota > Metazoa > Chordata > Mammalia > Primates > Hominidae > Homo > Homo sapiens. The sequence continues at coordinate 39,921,395 of NC_000005.10, forward strand.
AACATTAACCAAAAAAGTGCAAAAACATAATTATAAGCATTGAAAACATTTTAGCATGCATTATTCATAAGAAAAAAACTAAGAAAGTACCCACATATTGATATGAAAATTCAATATTTAAAAAATCAACAAAAGACATAATCATACTACTTCCTTAATCATGTTACTATCAAAAAGGGAATTATACAAGATGATCTGTTCAAAAGAGAACTAGGGGGATTCAGGGTTTGCCTTTTTGTTTAGCCCCAGAAGCCTGGATTGATTTGAGCCATTTTTTATCTTTGTGACTTTGGGAAATTTAATTAATTCAAGTTTTCATTTCTATAGTTTAAAAATACAATTGTACAATTATGTAATTATACAAACAATGGTAGAACATACCTTGCTGGGTTTTATAGGGAATAAATGAGATAATCTGGGTGAAGCACTTATTCCAATGACTTGTATATAGTTCTTAAAATGATTAACTAATAGGAGTAATATGGTCCTGAGAGTGGCTCTCTGATATTTTATTCATATTATTTTATGTCTCTGTATTTTCTGCTCATGTAAAATTAATGGTCTTCTGCTCATGTAAAATTAATGATTTTAACTGCAGAATGGATGTTGTGTTAGCAGACATGAAAACAACACTAATCTCCTTGTACATCTCCATCAGAGCTCTTGGGGTGATCAGGTGCATTGTCATTGAGCAGTAATATTTTGAAAGAAATCTTATTTTCTGAGCAGTAGTTCTCAAGTAGTCTTAAAATATTCAGCAAACCATGCTGTAAACAATTGTACTGTTATATAGGCTTTGTGGTTCCATTTACAGAACATAGGTAGAGTAGATTTAGCATAATTCTTAAGGACTCAAGAGATTTTCAGCGTGATAAATTAGCACTGGGTTCCACTTGAAGTCACCAGCTGCAGTAGACGCTAATTATAAAGGCAATTCGCCCTTTGAAACTTTGAAGACAGGAACTGTCTTCTCTTCTCTAGTTAGGAAAGTCCTCGATGGCATCCTCTTTCAATAGAAGGCTATTTTGCCTACGTGGAAAATCTGTTGTTGAGTTGTAGCCAACTTCATCAAAGATCCCAGCTAGATCTTCTGGATCACTTACTGCAGATTTTTCATCAGCACTTGCTGCTTCATCTTGCACTTGTGTGTTACAGAGATGGCTTATGTCCTTAAACCTCACAAACCAACCTCTGCTAGCTTCAAATCCTTCTTCTGCAGCTTCCTCACCTTTCTCAGCCTTCATAGAATTGAAGAGTTAGAGTCTTCCTCTGAATGAGGCTTTTGCTTAATGAAATGTTGTGCCTTATTTGATGTATACAGACCACTCAAACTTTCTCCATGTAAACAATAAGCCTGTTTTGCTTTCTTATCATTTGTATTTACTGGAGTAACACTTTTAATTCCCTTCAAGAACTTTTTATTTGTATTCGCAACTTGGCTAACTGTCTGTTGCAAAAGGCCTAGCTTTCAGCCTATCTCAGCTTTTGACGTGCCTTCCTCATTAAGCTTAATCACCTCCAGCTTTTGATTCAAAGTGAGAGACATGTTACTCTTTCTTTCACTCGAATACTTAGAGGTCATTGTAGGGTTGTTAATTGACCTAACTTCTATATTGTTGTGTCTCAGGAAATAGGGAGGCCCAAGGAGAGGGAGACAGATGGGGTAATGGCTGGTTGGTCGATGGAGCAGTTTGGAACATACACATTTATTTGTGGTATTGAGTGTGGTTTGTAGCACCCCAGAACAAATACAATATGGTACTAACATCAGAGATCACTGATTACAGATCACCATCAGAGTTATAATAATAATGAAGTGTCTGAAATATAGCCGAATTACCAAAATGCGACACAGAGACACAAACTAAGCACATGTTTTTGCAATAATGGCACTGATAGACTTGCTTAATACAGGGTTGCCACAAAGCTTTAATTTGTAAAAAAACACAATCTCTGTGAAGCACAATAAAGTAAAGCACAATAAAACGAAGTACACTTGCATATCTTGCATATTTAAACAGAGTTTTCTTTTCAGTTCAAGATTATATCATTGGTCAAATAAGTTTGAAGATTGAGGTAAATGATGGTGTCTACGTAAGTTTGAACAATTTCTATATGTTGCCACATTACTTAAAATCAAGTTAATTGACCTAATTTCAATATTGTTGAGTCTCAGGGAATAGGTAGGCCTACATTACTTAAAGTTTACTAAACCAGGCAAATTTTCACCCCTAAATTCTGAAGATTTTGATTTTATGAAACTATACTATTGAAATTCAAATTCAAGTGCAAGTAAAAATCTCTTAGCCTTTCAAAGTGTCCCTAGTTACATCTCTCCAATATCAAAATATAAATTAGTTCAAATCACTTCTTCCACTAACCATAAATTTTTATTTCACAGACCAAGTATTTAATCACTTAAACAATTTTATAATTAGCAACGTGTTAGTACTATAATAAGTAAAACCTCTTCTTAGTTCTAAAATTTAATATGTTAGTGATTCTAATGAACTAATCTATAAGCCAATCTATGAATTTATCTTAGAAATCAGTGTCCCTAAGGCACATATTATATAGTGGAGTACATAAAACCAATACAAATTAGAAATTTAAATAATTATAAGCAGTAATATTTAATAAAATGTTAAATGTGATCAAATCAACTGGTAGATTATAAACAATAGTTTACAAATTTTGTGTAGACAATATTTTTGTTGACTATATATTAAGCTGTCTTCATATTTTAACTCATTGAATTCTTATAATTATCTAATAACAAAGGTAGTGTCATTATTTTTCTGTTGCTCAATGAGCAAGATTAAGTTCTGCAAGTGCAATTGACTTTCCCAAGGCGGTTTAGCTAATAAAGTGCAGACGGTTGTAAAACATCAAAGCATATGTGGGGTGTGTGTGTGTGTCTGTGTGTGTGTGTGTGTATTTTGTATATGTTGATATATATGAGTGGTGGGGAAACAATCACAAGCAGATGAAACATAAAATATTGCATGCAGGTGACAATGACCATCTCTTCTTTTCATTAAATACCACTCTTACAATTCCAAAGAGCGTCCTTTGAAGTTCTTAAATATATCTTCTCAACTGACATTAACTTCACAATTTGACACTAGAAAACTGAGTTAGAGATACATTTAGGGGCTGCCAATTTGAAAGAAGAGGGCCAGAGGGGTGAAGGGAGTAAAATAAAAGTTGAAGAACAATCTTTAAGACCAGCTGAGATTAAAAAGAAGAAACAACCTTTCTTCTTCACATTAATAGCATTTTTAATTCCAGTGTCAGACATGTATTAAACACCTCTCTGACATTAATGTAAGATCAGTGGCTAATATGATGAGATATATAAAAGCCATATTGAATAAAATTAAAAAGTTTATAATTCTTGGCCATGCAGGACTGTAAAATCAGAGGTTGATATTAAAGGTTACTCTTGCAACCTTTAATAAAGAAGTCATAATCATTTTTCTAGATAAGGACAATGTTAAAAGTTATCCAGTTTGCCAAAATTAGGAAACTGGATAACTTCAGAGTGACTTTCTGCTATGTCCACATAACATCATTTAGTGTTTTCAACTGTTTTCCTCATTGAAGAAATGTTATATGCAGACTGAAATATAGTTCCTGATTTTGGTTTTGCTTAAAATTCATGAATCTCTACAAGCTTTCTTGAAATATCGTACAAAGCTTGTTTGGGAAGGAAAATGATGCCATGGAAAGTTGAGGAAGAAACTAATTTATGTTTAACCTTTATACAGGGCCACCACATTGCATCATTCTAGGAGCTGCCATTGACATTGTCTTCTTTGCATGCCCCAAGGAGTGTTCATCCCCATAATAGAAAATGATAAGGCAAGTTACTTAACCTCTCTTTTAATTTGCTGTTATTTGTATCTTTCAGGGTTGCTTGAGAAGTAAATTAAAGAAGATAAAAAATAACATAGTGCGCAATGCACAGAATGCGTCCCAAAACACTAGTTTTTTTCCTCTCTAATCATTCTTACAGAATGCCTGATGAAATCTTGTTACTTCTGCCACCAGATGTAACTGAAATAGCTTGGAATATTTGGTTTGTTTAAGCCACTGGAACTCACTGGACTATTTTTAACTAATATTAGTAAGAAGGAAATTCTGTTCACTTACAATTAAGGAAGCCTACAAAAGTTGTCTTTTCATTAAAAAGATAATATGCATTTAGGTAGTCATCTAACTCCTACTTAAAGCAGCATGTCTGTTCAAACATCCTTTATTTTCTTAATTTGTCTCAAAAGAGGTTTGCTTTATCTTAAGGGTGGTTATACCAGATAATGGGATAACCCATTGTCTAGAATGCAGAGTCTTTGTTATTTCTGACATGAATAAATATTTGACTGATTAGAACATGTGCTAATATCACAATCTCAAATACTTTGTTAAACACTGTCAAAACAAGTAACATGAACCTTCATGATTATATATATATACATATGGTTTTATTTCTACTGTGAGTATGTGACAAACAGTAAAATAGCATATTGCTTGCCTGGGAAAACCACATTTTGTGTTGTATTTACATTTTTATTTAATTTTCAAAATGAACTGAGCATTTCACTACTAAAAGAATGTAAATAGATAATGTCAAGTAATATAACACTTGAGACATTCCAATGCAGATAAAAGTTATAGGTTCGTTACAATTAGATTCACTGGTGTTTGGCCTGATTTTTCACTTTTGAAGTATTGTTGCAGTATTATGAGAAAATGAAATGAATAAAATAATGATACATATTATGAATTGCTGTAAGGTTCTACTCCTACTTAAGAGTTTGCAAAGCAGTGCTCTTCATGCTGGACCAATAATTCATTACACTGCTGTGAATTAAAATAGTCATATTTATTAAATACCCAGTGTGTCGAGTTATATCTGTGTTGTGACTTTCATAAAAGAATATGTTGCCGGGCGCAGTGGCTCACGCCTGTAATCCCAGGACTTTGGGAGGCCGAGGTGGGAGCATCACGAGGTCAAGAGATCAAGACCCTCCTGGCCAACAAGGTGAAACCCATCTCTACTAAAAATACAAAAAATCAGCTGGGTGTGGTGACGCATGGTTGTAGTCCCAGCTACTCAGGAGGCTGAGATAGGAGAATCATTTGAACCTAAGAGGCGGAGGTTGCAGTGAGCCCAGATCGCGCCACTGCACTCCAGCCTGGCGAGAGAGTGAGACTCCATCTCAAAAAAAAAAAAAAAAAAAAAAAAAAAGAGAGAGAAAGAATATGTAATAGAGAAGCTAGTGTTGTGATATTTGATTAGGAAAACAAGAGTTTCTCTGAAAGAAGAGGTCTCAAATTAAATTAGAAGTGATTCTTTGGGGAAAAAAAGAAAAACAATAGAAAGAAGAAAAATGTTGGTGACTATGAGCAAGCAAAAACATCAAAACATCAAAGATCTTTTTTCTTCCTTTTCCTTTATCCTCTCCTTCTCTTCCTGAGTTAAGGCTTTCAGTCCTGATGCTCTGAAGCTAGGCAGAGCAAGTTAGGCATCTAGGTGGAAGCGTGGCCTGGTGTGGAGTGCTGGGAACCAAGCCAAGTGAACAAGGCATCCACATGCAGGGAGTGATCAGCTTAGGGTATCAAAGCCCAAGCAGAAGGAGAAAGACATCAAAGGGTGGGAATGGCTCGAGTGGGGAGTCAGAATCTGAACAGAGTTAAAAGGAAATAGTCTATGGGATGACCTAGCTCAGTTTTAGAGTCTAAGCAGGGTGAGGAGGGTATCTTTGCAAATGAGCATCTTGTCATTAGGTGTCATAAACCAGGTGGAATGATGAAACTGACCACACATGGGAAAAGTTTTGATGTGGGATAGCAGAGCCCAAACAGGAAAGGATACAACCACATGGAGAGAAAAATGGTTGTGCATGTCAGAGGACAACTGTGCTGAGGAGACCCCTAAGGCACAGATGTGTGAAGAGGGTACCCACAAGGAGGTATCCTAGAGTGAGGATGAATCAAAACTGGAGAGAAACCTCAAGACCAAATTAGAAAGAAACCATAACAGTAGAAATTACAACATATGTACATGTATATTCTCTAGTTCTGTCCACCAAGACAGTCTGCAAGCAATGATAGCCCAATAGCAATGAATATACCTACCATCCTAATCTTGGCTTCTAATGATCATTCCCCACTTGAAGGTATGAGTTCCCTGGAAAAATGGCTGAGTTCTGGTTTGGGCAAGGAGACTATAAGATGAGCCTGAAATATCACTGTATCCCAGAAAGCAAGTACGTGCTCAAAGAATGATGGGAATATCCCAAGAGTTCACAGAAGCTAGCTTAAATAGTGTTTCACTGAGCAAATCCATGAGAAGTTGAGCACCCAAATAATGATAGCAATGTTTTGTGACCCACTGATTGAAATAGAAAACCATAAAACAATAAATTGAAAGTTTGATGAAGAATTGGATATTTACATAGTTAAAAAATAGCTCTTCACAATGTACTTGCTAATTAAAAAGAGAAAAAGGGTAACATTAAAGTGCAGCAGCCTGGGAGATACTTCCTTAATCAAGTGAGCAAAGTAAATATTATTAGTAATGTAACAAATTAAAATCATGTGCCACCAAATAGAGCGCAGTAAGTGGCATCATTTCTGTGTATTACTCCCAAAGATGAATAATCTGAGTGTAATCATAAGAAAACACCAGATGAACACCAATTGATGGACATTTTACAAATACTAGGTAAGTAATCTTCAAAAGAGTCATAAAGACTAAAGACACATAAAAATGAAATGCATGATGATTCCGAACTGGAATCTTTTGCTATAAAAAGCTATATTGAGACAACTGGAAAAACTTGAATGGGGGTCTAAGTTTAGATAGGAGAAATGTATCAGTATTAATTTCCTGATGTTGATGGTTGTATCGTATAATGGTTATGTAGCAAAAGTTCTTTGACAGAAATACATGCTAGGGTATTTGGAGGTGGTCAGACACAAGGTTGGCAACTTTTAAAGTTCTTATACTATACATTCAGGTCTTCTGTAACCTTGATATTATTTCAAAATTAGCATTGATTTTTTTAAGAGCAAAAATCTACTAACCTAATTTATAAGGCAAGGGTTTCAGAATGTACTGGTGTAAATGTTATACAGCAATCAATCAATCAACAAGTGTCTATTGAGTTCCCGATCTGGGTCCAACAGTCTACATAAAGTCACATAGTTGTTATTTGATCAAAACTAAGAAAGCAATATAGAAACACAGTGAATTACTGGATAAGCATCATACTAACAATATCTGCACTAGGCAGTCAAGAAAAAAGTGACCCATGTAACCTGGAAAGGGCTTTAGGCGAGGACATCAGTGCAGGCGGTATTTCAGGGTTGACAGTAAGAAAACACTGGTTCAGCAAGGGATAGTCAAAAGACCAATTTGACAATGAGCAGAATGTTTCAATGGAAAATCATAGATGAAGCAAAGGCAGATGTGACGTGGAGTTCTCGGAAGCCAGGAAAATGTGTGTGAACTTGATGAAAAGGGAGAGTGATGTCAGCCAGCAGACAGCTGTATTAGTCAGTATATGGCAAGAGAAACGGCAATGTGCGAGGAAAGAACAATTAGAAATTCTAAGAAAACCACCTAGAATTGGTGACAAACAGGTCATGTTGTTAACTAAGGTATATGTTCTTCCTTCCACATTTGCAGAGTGTGTATTAAGCACTAGATTTGCTAGATTTGGGGAGGCAGTGGTCAGCAGATAGGCATGGTTCTCATGGAGCTAGACAGATAAGGTTAAAAAGTGACACAGTAAAAGTATAAAGGAAATATAACTGGAAGAAGAAAGTGTGAGATTAGGAAAACTTCTTTGGGGAGGTGATTTTAAGTTAAAACTAGAAGGAAGAATGAAATGTAGAAAGCGAAAGGAGGGTGGAGGCAAGGACGGAGCATCTCAGAAAATGGAAAGAGCAAATGTTAATTGCAATTTGAGTAAATAACTTAAAAGTTAAATTTAAAAATTAAGATTAAGCAATTTATTTTTCAGTGAGCCATCTATTCAGGGAGTTAAATTTTTTCATGCATATGATATAATGTTATTAACGTGTGATAGTGAGGTCTATAACTTGCTATTCCAAGCAAAGGACTCACCTTGGCAGATTGAATTCATTAGGACAAAAATCTTAATTATCTTCCTCTTGACTGTCAACAAAGGCAATACTCTTCAAATGTAACTATTTTTTCCTCAAATGCAAACTTATTAGAAATCCAATGCATATGGTAGACAGGAATGAAGCCACTTTTATTGAATTGAGAGTTGGAAGCCTAGAGCTCTGTCTCTTTGCAACTAAAATGACTTTTCACATTCTGCTGAGGAAGCCTTAGGATCCAAGGACCACAGTGGGAAAACCTCTGGTAGAAGGTAGTGACTGAAGTGATCCTCACAGGTATTTATGTTTTAAAAGGCGCATCTTCAAATGGATGCACTTGACATCCGCATATGATATGGTTTGGCTCTCTGTTCCCACCTAAGTCTCACCTGCAACTGTAATCCCCACGTGTCAAGGGAGGGAGGTGATTGGATGATAAGGATGGTTTCCTCCATGCTGTTTTCATGATAGTGAGTGAGTTCTCACAAAATGTGTTGGTTTTATGCGTTTGGCAGTTCCTCCTTCAGTCACTCTCTTTCCTGCCGCCTTGTGAAGAGGGTGCTTGCTTCTCCTTTGTCTTTTGCCATGATTGTAAGTTTCCTGAGGTTCTCCTAGCCATGAGGAACTGTGAGTCAATTAAACCTCTTTCCTTTATAAATCACCCAGTCTAGAGTATTTCTTTATAGCATTGTGAAAATGGACTAATACAACATACTAGCCAGCATATGACTCCATACATTCATGTTTGTTTTTACATAAATCATCTATTTATATTTCTACCTGGACCATCTAGTCAAATGTCTAGATGGGGTAGTTTTAATTAAAAAATTTTTAATTCTTTCCTTATCCATAAAATAATCATCAGTTAGCATCACTCTGTAGAAAAATATATGGAGATAATATATTTAGCATTCAACTGAAATATGTTCTAAATCAAGTTAAAATATATTAAATTGTCTTCTCAGCAGGTAAATACAGTTTGCGAAAATCTGGTTATAGAGTCATTACCTTCAAGGATCTCCTTAAAAATATATGTTTCTCTCATATTGGAAAAAAGATCATTTAACTCGTTCCAGATTTCAGGACCCCAGGGAAATTACAAATTATAAAGTAAAATTTCTTCAAATTTGGTATGATTAAAGTAATTTCAGGATATTGAAATAATAACAATATTGAGAGAATATACTCAGAAATAAAATGATATTTAGTATAATCCAATTTCTTTTGAATAAAGTAATTTTTATTTTCAATGGGAATTTATAAAAATATAATTTAAATTATGAAATAGATTATGTGTATATGTTCATTTATTTGAGAAGACTTTAAAATCGAGTTGAGACTTTAATTTGAGCCATGATTGGGAAATATCAAAGTACCTGTATGTGAAATCAAAACAAAGCACTTTATTAAAGAGAATGTAAAATATTATAATATTCAGGTACACTGAAGTTTACTTAATCATTCCTCAGCTTGTAATTCTAAAATTGCAACTATAAATATACTATATTGACCACTGAGTTTCTTGCCATACCGTAGTAGCCAGATTCTACAGTTTCTTTGATATGTAATTCTCTTTTCCTATCCAACCCAGCACTTCTCCAGTAAGGTTATCCTGAGATTTCACCCTAGTTATAGATCTGGTGGCCATGATGGTGTATGAGTATAGATGCTGAAGGAAACTGTTCTATTGTAAGGTCTCACTGTAGGACTCCAAGTAGCCTTCCAACAAGGAGAGTGGTCCACTTTTGCAGACCCAGTAGGTTCAGGGATCAGGGGATTCAAGGTTTTCAAGTGCACCTAAACCAAATATCCTCCACCTCAAGTCTCAGGAGCATATATTTTCCTTATGAGAGCTGTGATCGGCATAGGAAACTTGCCTGAACTAAGAATAGTTTTGTCTCTTTTATAATCAAGTCCTGTGTCTCATTTTAAGCTTTATCTTCCCTCTGGCTTCAAGAGTTGCTTTAAATAATGCCTAGCAGACTCTCAAGTTTCACATTTTGTTTTGGAAGTCATGATTAATGTATTTGAACCTGTCATTTTCTCTTTTCAATACAAGGTATTTAGCTATAATGTCCTAATTTCAATAGTACATATATTTACTCTTTTTCCCATACCTCTCAAATACCACAGGCATTGACATGCTAGTCTATCCCCTTCCACCTATGTCTTTTCTAAGTTCGCCCTAGAAGAAGGTATCAGCAGTGACACAGTCAAAGGAAGCGGGGGACCAGCAACACTTCTACCACTGGTGATTGGGCTCTCCTTGCCCCTCTTCAAGTGAGGTATCCAACTCAAGTCACATCTTTAAAGACTGCTTCCTGGGACCGATTCCAGTACTATCTTGGTCAGATTTTCTAGGAACACAGCCTGAGATTCCTGTGTTAAAAATGTATTGATCAAGAATTCTCAGAGAAAAAAAGAATTATCAGAAAAAAGGGTAGTGAGCGAAGCAGAATAAGGTAAAGGAACAGAAAAAACAAAAAAGAAAAACAAAAATAAAAACCCAAGCAGGAAAGTGATCTCAGCTAGAAACTAGCTTTAGCCTGAATCCATGGGGAGCTTTGGAGCACAAATAGCATCATAAAGGTGGTTCCACCATGAGTAAAGGAGCCAGCTTTTTGGATCCCTTCTCTCCATTAGTCAGTTCTCTATCTGTAGCTGCTTGTGGGTGGAGAGTAGGGAGAGGAACTCTAACCTCCTATATAATGTTGGATGTGAGCTGAGATCAACTCACCTGAGAAGGATCAGCTGTGGGTTTTCAGCAACCAATGCTAGCAACTATTATGGGATGGATACATGAGCTCAGTGAAGGAGATCTGGGATTACACATCATTCAAACCAGGATAATTTTAAGAGCAAATGGGACAGCTATTGATAAATACGCCAAAAAAAAACACAGAAAAACAAAAGTGTCCTAAACAAATGAAGGCATAGTCATCCTACCTTCACCACATTACTCCCCTGCTCTATGGAATATAGCTCTAATGAAACCCTAGATTTCTTTGAGGGACTGAAACTCTAGGGAGGAAAAACCCCACATCTGTTCTATAAATCTTCCCCCTTGGAGTTGAAACTTGATGTAAGGGTGGAGATGAGAGGGGAAATTCGAGGAGCTAATTTCCTCAGTTTTATGCCTCCTCATTTCAGTTCTTTGGGACTAGCTGGAGAATTGTTTATCTTAAAAAATAGTTTTAATCTGGGAAATAACATATTTTTTCATCACTTAAATACAAAATGAATTTAAATCCACAGTGCAAAGCTACATTTTGTCAGGTTAATTATTCTAATTATACAACCAGATCAAAAAGAAAAAACAATTATAAATCTTTTAAAAATGGTTTTCGATGTTAAATGTTAAAAATGAAGTAAATTGTGTTCCTTTTACAAAAACTATATTCAAGAAACCAAAGGAGCCAAAAGAGTTGTGAAATGATAAAATATGTTTTAGATTGTAGATGTGAAGGCATTTTTTAGTGTTTCCAATACATAATTTTGGTAAGACACTTCTGGGGAAAATATTTTATTCAAAAACAAAACATAGTAAGAAAAAAATGATTTTTCAAATGCATAAAAAACAGATTTTTACAAAGAAAAAGAAAAAAAAAGTGTCTTTAAAATTGTTTCCTGGAAGTGCTTGTAGAAACTAGGGAAAAACATTTTCTGTTGGAGGCAGCAACTCATATCTTAGCATGTGAGAGTTTAAGGCAGAAGGGTGCATATTTCACAATTAGTCACCACTTTCTCAAGAACTTCATTATCAATTCTCAGTTGATAATTTCACTCAGCTTGAGTGGAATACTACTGGACAACTCCATGAAACCAGCAATGTTTTGTGAGTGAATGACTTGATCGTATCACAAAAACAAGCAGTATTTCTTTTAATTCAGTTGGTATATTTGTGATATTGGAGTGTAGAAATACTATTTAACAGCTTTACTGAGGTTTAAGTGAGAAACAACAAACTGGACTTATAAAACTTTTGACCTATGAATACATCCATGAAAGCATCATCACAATCAAAATAAACATTTATTTTCTTCCAAAATACTTGTTATGCCCCTTTGGAATACATGTCCCTGTTCATTTTGTGCCCAAGCCCCTGTCCCCAAGAAACCCTTGGTCTTTCTGCTATTAAGATTAGTTTCCATTATATGGAATTTTTATATATATGAGATCATACAATAAGCGCTCTTTTTTTTGGTCTGGCTTCTTTCATGCATGCGTCATAAATATTTTGACATTATCATCCAGTTGGATGATATTTTTTACTTTATAAAATAGTGACCACCAAATATAACAAATATTTGGTCATTATAAAAATATATGGTCACTTTATTTTTCATTCATTATATAAATATTTGGTCACTTTTTTATAATGACCAAATACTATTTTTACATTTTATTTTTTTTTTTTACATTATAAAAAAGTGACCAAATATGTTGGAATGGGATGGGAAGAAAATATACTTCCAACATTTTGTCAGTTGATTTTCTAAACTGATTGTACCATTTTACATTACCAAAAACAAATTAGGCAAAAATTTCTTAGCTACAATGCTAACACCATGATCCATAAAACTTTTTAAAATGATAAATTGAATTTCATCAAAATTAAAAACATCTGTTGTTTAAGACATTGCTTATAAAATAAAAAGACAATTCATAGACTTGAAGAAAATATTTGCAAATTATATATCTGACAAAAACTTTTATACTGCATATATAAAGAATGTTCAACCCTCAATAAGAAAAAAACAAATGATCCAATAAATAAAATGGGTGACATAGTTAAACAGATAATTCAAGAAGAAGAAATATAGATGGCAAATATTCATGTGATAAGATGTGCAACATCATTAGTCATTAAGGAAATGAAAATTAAAACCACAATGAGATATGATTACACATCTATTAGAATGGCTTTAATTAAGTAGACTGGCCATATCAAGTGAAAGAGGATGTGAAGGAACTAGAACTCTCATACTCTGCTGGTAGAAATAATATTTTAAATGTCTATTGGCTGGATACTGTGTTAGGTTCTGTATAAATTTTATACTTTCTAGACTTTTGACACTGAATAGAGTTACTTGCACATTACTTAAAGCTTACTCTCTAAGGAAGAACAATAGAACTGATTTATACCCATGAAATCCTTTTAGGTCTTACTTTATCATGTGGTATTATCCATGTCCTTATTCTTGAAACTATTTTATTTTTCATTCTTTATGACTGGCCCATTCCAAATTATCTTTCATCTATCTCTTTTGCCCAAATATCAGTGCTCTTTGGGACTCTGTTCTAAGCCTTATTTTACTCATACTCCACAAACTTCTCTCTATTTCAATGACATGTGCATTGACTACTCGCAAATGGGCATCTTTAGCTCTGAGATGTCTCTTGAGAGTCTGATCCACTAACTCTACTAAAGGGTCCTACTGGCAACTAAAATTCAATATTAACCAAACTTGTGTTTATACATTTACATGACCTCCAAGTATGCTTCCTCAATGGGCTGTGTAAAAGTTTATAAATTATTTACCCAGTTTCCTGAGACAAAGTTTTGATCATTATCTTTGACTTCTTTCTCTTTCTTGCTCACATTTCCAATTGATGCTACTCCTTAAAGATTGCTTCTGTTTTTCTTTTTTCTTCATTTCTACCCTAACTCAAACCTTCATCATTTTTTGCTTGGACTCTTTTAATAGTCTGGCCACCTTGCTTCTGGTTGTGGCCCCCTCTAATCACTTTAAACATCACAGCCAGATTGCATCTATCTGTCTACCACTTAAATAATTTCACTGGTGTCTTACAGCCCTTAGGATACAGTCTCAATAAAATGGTAAACTCTTTATAAATGGTACAAATAAATAAACCAAGCTTTACCTAGCCTATTTTTCATAGCATCTTCTCTCATGCACTTTATCCCCAGTCCTACCAAATTTCTTCCTCAACTATGCCATATTCTTTTTTATTTCAGGACCTCCCCATAGATTGTTCCAACTACTTAGAACATCCTCCTAGTTTCTTCAGAACCCCTTTGTCTTTCGAACTTACATACGACTTCTACTTATCCTTTCAACTATCTGTCCTGGTGGTCACTTCCAACAAGACGACTTCTTGGACCCTCCTAGGTGGGTTACACGTCTGTACTGTGTGCATTCTCATCACCCCAATCATGGTACCTGATAATTAGGATGCTATTGAGTTGTCTGAATCCCCCATTAGAAAAAAAGCACTGTGAGGACATAGACTGTATCTGTCTTTTTCCACCTTTATATTTTTATTCTTAAAACATAATATGCATGTCATGTAATATTAGTTTGCATGCATGAGTGAATACATTAATAAATAAGTAGAGAAATGAGAACTTCTGTACTTGCAGAAAGGGAGACTCACAGGGAAATGGGAAAACAAAGAGGGGTGAAAGTGTAGAAATGAATGTGAGCAGAAGCAAAGATGAATATTTGGTAGATAAGAAAGGGATGACCTAATCAGCTCCCACAAATAAATAAAGTCATGCGCTGAATAACGACATTTTGATCAACAATGGGCCTTATATATGACAGTGATCCCATAAGATGATTATACCATATTTTTACTATGTTTAGATATGTTTAGTTAGACAAATACTTATCATTGTGCTACAACTGTCTACAGTATTCAGTACAGTAACATGTTGTCCAGGTTTGCAGCCTAGGAACAATAGGCTATACGTATTTGTATAGTAGGCTCTACCACCTATGTTTGTGTAAGTACAATCGAAGATGTTCACACAACAAAATTGCCTAAGATGCGTTTATCAGAATATAACCCCATTGTTAAGCGATGCATGATTATATAAAATACTTTGCCGTTCTGCTTCAAGAGTTTGACATAACTCTATTTACGTTTGAAGAGATACACTATGTTTTAGTAGTAACAAATTAAATACAAACAAGAGGCAAAATGTAGGCAAGATATTTTAAGTAATGACCTCTAATGATATTAGCAAACAACCGAGAAAGAACAGAGGATGGCTGGACAGAAGAGAAAAGATGAAGCTAAATGACTGAAATATGACAATCTTAAACGAATCAAAACATGGCATGTATTTTAGCAAAAAGAAACTCACCAGCACTAAGTAAATATATCTTCTTGAAGAATTCATTAAAAAAAGAAAGAAAAATACACGACACCATTTTTAGTGCTAACAAGTAAACATGGCATTACCTTATTTAAATTTAACTCTGGATGTTAAACTATTCAATGTGCTATTGACTCTTTCCTCATCTTTGATTTATTTTACTCAATCTTTTTATTGTTACTGAGTTTTAAGTTTTTCCAATGTTTTTAAAGATTTCACTGAACCATAATATGTTTTTCAGAGAAACCCATGAAGGTTTTATTAATCATAGTTCTGCAGATGAAATTATACATTTGATATCTGAGATTTCTTTGTTTATTTGGGATACTTAACAACTGCATCCTACATATTTAGAAAACAGAAGATGGAGGGTTAATGCCTTTTCCAAGGAATGAGGGATGAGTGAATGATTTCAAAGATTATTTGACAAAGACGCAGGCTAGAGGTATTCAGCAGAAAGGTGGCTTAATAGTCAACCTTTGTTTAGTTCAGTTGCTAAATATTATACTATTGAATCTTCTGCATGGAAAAAAAATAAATCCTAAAAATATTTACCTACAGATATTGGCAAACCCAAACCAACATTTTTTTTATCTTTTGCATACACACACAAATCCCCTCCCAGACTTGATTTCAGGTTGATAGAAACATATTTTAACACTTGTTTGTTCAATTCATGACTTTTCTAAGAGTACCATTGCTTTATTCAAATCTACTTTGCTCATTGACATTATTCTTGTTTGATAAGTCACCTTAATAGAAAATTTTTTTAGAATCCACCTATAGATCTATGCTGTAATATACATATATGCAATAATGTCATGATGAGTTTGTCTATGAAAACATTACCAGTGATTCAGCTGATATTAGTCAAATCAATTTTATAGCATTTTATACATAAATAATAGCCATCACTGATTATTTTTCTTTTTCATTTGTTTAATTTTTAAATAAACTTTTTGTGTATATTTGAGGTTTACAGTACAATGTTATGGGATATTTATAGATAGTAAAACAGTTACTATAATAAACAAATCTTTCACCTTACATAATTTAACTCTTTTTGTGACAAGAATAGCTAAAATCTACTTAGTTAACAAAAATCCTTGGCACAATAAAATTTTATTAACTGTAGTCCTCTTGTACATTAAATGTCTAGACTAGGAGCAGGTATGTAGGATAATTATTTCATTTGTGATTGGCATTGTGGTATGGTGAGAGAGTAGGGGGAGAAAGTGAGGTCTCTGTGTAGGAGACTGAAGATTCAGTTTGAATTCCATCAGCAATGAAGTTATATTATTAAGCTAATGACAAAATATCCATCCTAACATGTTCACAAATTGCTTGTCATATTTGGGGCTACTTTGTTATTTTACCGGCATTAATGCCACTGTCCAGAGTCACTCTCCAATCTAAGGTTAGCTATTATTTTATATCCTATGTTTTCACAAACCATGATATCTGGGGTTTAAATAAGCACATATTAATAGTAATACCTCAGCCACTGACTTTCACTCCTGCCTGCAACTGTGAGACCATCACTTTCCTGTAAATGTTACTCTATGTGGTTATTTTCTGGGGATTCATTAAAAATACTTCTAGCTTTCTTATGCACAAAATGTGTTAGAGACAACATAGCAACCACCGTCATCTTACCATTTGGCTCTGGCCCCCACTCTCTGGTGGTGCATAAGGCAAAGGCGGGTGTTTGTATTGCTCACAGTTGAGCTGCTTCCCTCTTCCCACCATGCCACCACTACCACCAGCAAACCCTCTACCAGAACAAAAAAAGTGCAGAATTTGGAAGGTTTTTCAAAGTCTAAAGTCTATCCTGGTTTATCTTATTCATTTATATACTGTTCTACAAAAGACCAGATTTGTGGCCGGGTGCAGTGGCTCACGCCTGTAATCCCAGCACTTTGGGAGGCTGAAGCCAGCAGATCACCTGAGATCAGGAGTTTAAGACCAGCGTGAGCAACATGGTGAAATCCCATCTCTACTAAAAATACAAAAATTAGCCAGGCATGGTGGCACAAGCCTGTAATCCCAGCTACTTGGGAGGCTGAGACAGGAGAATCGCTTGAACCCAGGAGGTGCAGGCTGCAGTGAGCCCAGATCACGGCACTGCACTACAGCCTGAGTGACAGAGTGAGACATCATCTCAAAAATAAAAAAAAAATTAAAAAAGATTAAAAAAAGACATTCTAAGTCTAAAGATGATCATATAATGATTTTAATGTAAAATATATTAGGTAGGTTAAATGACAGATAAGACAAAGCTAGAGAAATAATAACAATATGGCAGAGAACAGACAAGAGAATGTTACTTACAGTGAAGCATAAAAAACATGAAAAATATGAAAATGAAAGTAAAAGAAGATTAATAAATGTATAATTGGGGTTCTGAAAAGAGGAGACTAGAAAGAATGAGTAAAATGTGATATTCAAAGGGATTAATGGACGTGAATGTTCCAGAATGTCTACAAGACAAGAATCCTTAAATTCTTAAAGCATAATGAATTCCAAGCAGGATAAATCTAATAAACCCTACTTCTAAGCACATTTCCATGAATCTGAAAAATATTAAGGACATAGTTATTTTAAAAATTGTAAAAGAGAAAGAAAAAATAAAAGACAGACTTATAATTGTCATCTTGACACAAAATAAAAGATGGGGAAGAGTAGAATAATATTTCTTTAATTTTTTTATTATTATTTTAATAGTTTTTGGGGAACAGGTGGTATTTGGTTAGATGGATAAGTTCTTCAGTGGTCATTTCTGAGTTTTTGGTGCACCCATCACCAGGGCAGTGTACACTGTACCCAATGTGTAGTCTTTTATCCATCACTCCCCTCCCAACCTTCCTCCCAAGTCCTCAGAGCACATTATATCATTCTTATGCCTTTGTGTTTTCATAGTTCAGCTCCCACTTGTGAGAGCATATGGGATTGGTTTTCTATTTTTGAGCTACTCCACTTAGAATAACAGTCTCCAACTCCATCCAGGTTGCTGTGAATGCCATTATTTCACTCCTTTTATGTCTGAGTAGTATTACATAGTGTATGTGTGTGTGTGTGTGTGTGTGTGTGTATATACATATATATATATATACATGTGTACTTTATATATATAAATGTGGTGTATATATATATACACACACACATACATATATATATATCACATATCACATTTTCTTTATCCACTGGTTAGTTGAAGGGCATTTAGACTGGTCCCACATTTTTCAAAATTGCAAATTATGCTGCTATAAATATGTGTATGTGTATTAGTCCATTCTCACACTGTTATAAAGAAATATCCAAAACTGCCAAAACTGGGTAATTTATAAAGGAAAGAGGTTTAATTGATTCATGGTTCCACATGGCTGGGGAGGCCACAGGAAACTTACAATTATGGTGGAAGGCACCTCTTCACAGAGCAACAGGAGACAGAATGAGTGCCCAGTGAAGGGGAAAGACCCTTATAAAATCATCAGAAGAACTAACTCACTATCATGAGAACAAGATGGGGGAAACCTTCCTTATGATTCAGTTATCTCCACCTGGTCCCTCCCACAACACATGGGGATTATGGGAACTACAATTTAAGATGAGATTTGAGATGGGACGCAGCCAAACCATATCAGTGTGCAAGTGTCTTTTTCATATAATGATTTATTTTCCTCTGGGTTGATACCCAGTATGGGATTCCTGGATCAAATGGTAGTTCTGCTTTTAGTTCTCTAAAGAGTCACCATACTGTTTTCTATAGTGGCTGTACTAGTTTACATTCCCACCAGCAGTGTAAAAGTGTTCCCTTTTCACCACATCCATGCCAACATCTATTTTTTTTTTATTTTTCAATTATGGACATTCTTGCAAGAGTAAGGTGGTATTGCTTTTTATTTGCATTTCCCTGACAATTAATATCTCTAAGCAGTAAGATAAAATAGCTGTCTACCTAGAATTATATCCTTTGAAATTATTTTTAAGTAATAAGTATACAATAAATACTTTGAAACTAAACAAAAAATAACCTTGAAGGAAAAGAAAATGAGAGCAAGAAGGAAGGACTAAGATGCAAAAATGAATAATAAGCAATGTGATTTGTAAAATTATGGAAATATAGAGAAACAACTTTCACATGAAATAATAGCAATAAATAGTAATACGTAATTATTGCTGTTAAAATACAAGACAAAACTAACATAGCATACTCTATGCTTAATATTAATAAAGAGGGTATTCCAGGAAGCTTATGATTAGTAGCAGGGGAGAAATTAAATAAATTTAGACATAGCTATGCTAAATGTCCAGGGTAATCAATAAAATGTAATAATTTATAACTTCAAACCAATAGAGGGGAAAAATTAATTTAAAAAATAGTCATTCTAAAAGAAGGCAGAAAAGGTAAAGGAATTTGGGAAAAGCTAGGTAAACAGAAATCACAAAATAAGATGTCAAAAATAGATTGAACACATCAAAAAATACAATAGCTGACAGCTGAACTATAGCTGACAACTGATATCAGAAATTATCACACAGGAATAACAGATTATGACAGTTCAATATAATTGCTATCATATAAGTATACACAACTCGCAGAGAAGAGATGTAACTCATATCAAGAGACAAAAGAAAGAGTTTTAGAGAAGGTCATGTATGAACTGAGTATCTGAGTATATATGCCATTTGCCAAGGACACAAAAAGAGGAAGAACATTCCAGAAAGAAAAATGGGCATTTATGAAGATTAATTGTGGTATATGTCTACCTTCCCCCTACCTCCCCCAATTCAGTGGAAGAATGGAAAGGCAGGGAAAAAATAAAAAGAAATTAAATAAAAATCCCTTTCCATTTGTCAAAGATGTAATCGTTCTGGAATTCCTTTTTCTAATCATCTTTTAAAATAGAAGACATTTTCTCCATCTGGGTTAGTTCCATGGAGCATTAGATCAGTGATTTAGAGACATTGGCAATAGACCTCTGTGTTAGTCAGTCCAGGCCTCCATAACAGAATACCACAAACTGTGTGGCTTAAACAACAGACATTTATTTTTTCACAATTGTATTGTTGTTTTCTGGTGAGGCCTATCTTCCTGGTTCGTGGACAGCCAACTTCTTGCTGTGTTCTCAGGTGGCCTCTTTTCTGTGCACAAATTGAATGAGAGAGAGAGAGATCTGGTATCTCTTCTTCTTACAGGGACATTCATCTTGTCAAATTAGAGCTCTGCCTTATGATCTCATTAACCTTAATTCCCCCCCTAAAGATCCTATCACCAAATACAGTCACCTTTGGGGTTAGAGCTTCAACACATAATTTGGGAGTATTGGGGGGCAAAATTCGGTCCATAGCAGTCTCATAATAAAGTTTTCATGAGTCTGAGAGAAAGAAAGATAATATACTGAATGTCTGTGCATTCAATACAATGCTTTTGGAATTTTGGTATTAAGAAGTTCTTTACATTATGTTGATGGTGGTTATAGGCAATAGGTTTTTGTTTGCTTCTTGCTTGTTCTTTTTTGCTTCTTAGTTTTAAAGGTCTTTTTTGGCAAAATAAGAAGTGGGAAATAAAATTTTTTCCTTTGTATTAAATGGCATTTTAAATTTTCATGAACTCCAAAGTCTAGAAACCATTGGATTAAATGATTCTTAAAATTTATTTTGCAAATATCTATGCAGCTTGAAATATAATGTTTTCTGAAAGAAATACATAAGAAACAAAGACTTACTTTAAATAGAGCCAATCCAAAAAATTATATGTAGAAAGTATTATCCTCCTCAGTTTGATAAACTTACGTCTTTAGTAAGAAATATGAGTCTCTTGTTTTCAGAATAATAAACTAAAAATTAGGCATACAAACTTCCTATCTGTTGTCTGCTTTCAGGGGAAAAAATACCACTTACTAAGTCAGTTTCTTACATGTATATATAAAAGAAAGTGCATGCATGCTTTTAAAAATTATTTCATATTTGCATATAAGCTAATCAATAAAAGACTGTAGTGATTAGCTAGTTTCCTGGAATAATTAAATAACTAACATTACATGCCAACTGAACTTGGCAAATACTCCATGCTTGTCTAGGAATTAAATATGATATTAATTCATAGGATTAAATTTTCCATTAAATATTAATGGAGTTAATTAATTCATAGGATTAATTAAAATTTCTATTAAATAATATCTTATTTAATGGAAAAATATGAATTATTTAATATAAACTTATGCCATATTAAATATGGAGCTCACGTTTAGTTTTCAAGTAGAGTTTAAAAATGGAATTTATATCCATGACCATTATATCTAAGTTAATTATTAATTAAAGCACCAAAAGACTTAAAGGACACATAATCATACATTTTATTTTAGTCCTTTCATATTTATTCTCTTCAGGAAATTCTCTGGATTTCCTGCATTCTTCAAAAAAGATTTTTTTTTTTACACATTAGGTCTCTTATACACTATTATTAGAATGTATAAATAATACCCGTTAGCCTTACCATGATGAAATTAGAGTCTGTATAATCTATGTGATGTGATCCGTCCTTCATTTAAAAACTGTGCAGTACTTGATCATGAGGAATGGAATACACAAGTTGGTCATATACATGCAACTTCCAGTGACATATAATAGGCCCCCTAAACCTACTAACACCTATTATTTTTATTTTAATAGTAGATATAAAGAAAACAGAGAGCACAGGTGAGTCAAAGATAAAACTTTGCCAACAGTTTTATTTTATTTTTGAAAGGAAACCATTTTCCCTAGAATATTAATTCTCAAAATGTGATCCACAAACTCTTCGGAGTCCCCAAACACTTTTAAGAGGTTCCACTATTATAGTCAAGTTATTATTTTCCTTTTTCATACCCACTCTTACAAAGTACACAGTGGAATTTTCCAAGGCTACATGCACATGATGATATTGAATCATGAAATGTGTTCAAATTTGGAAGATGTTCACAAATGAGAGGACCAATATCTTCCAAACAACCAGTGCATAATGTGACTGAATCACACATCGATAAAATAGTCATGAAAAGTACAGGATAGATCAATGGATTTCAACGCAATAGAGTATCATAGTGATATGTTTTAAGACTCCACATTACAACTAACCTCCAAGAAACTATTACTTGTCAAATGTTTGTGGCATACAAAAGAATATGCCCAATTATCTAAAAAGTTTATTAAAATATACCTTTCTCTTTCTCATATATGTCTTGTAAGCCAGATTTTTCTCTATACTTAAACCAAAGCAATATATTGCAATGGATTGAATGAAGAAGCAGATATGAGTTCAGCGATCTCTTACTGAGTCAAACATTAAAGATGTGCATTGCACAATTGCAGAACATGAAGAGCCAAAGTTTGAGAACTGCTGCCCTATGGAATTCAGAGTGGCTTTTGTATAACAAAAGAATATTTGTTCTAGATGAGCATTTAACTCCAATTTAAAATTAAACTCTGTTTTCAAAGACCATATAGAAATTAGAGCAAGACTATTTGTCAGAATGTTTAGAGAATTCTGGAGGCTGAAAGAAA
This sequence comes from Homo sapiens, assembly GCF_000001405.40. Classification (NCBI taxonomy): domain Eukaryota; kingdom Metazoa; phylum Chordata; class Mammalia; order Primates; family Hominidae; genus Homo; species Homo sapiens. The sequence goes on from NC_000005.10 coordinate 39,944,202, forward strand.
TGACTGGGTTTTAATCCATAATGTGAACCTGGAATATACATTACACATGCCCACTTGGACTTAGAACAATGCGAAACACTAAACACGTAAGGCTAATTAAGTGAGCACAGCATCTAAATGTAAATCTAGATTTCGATAATAAAATTTTAAAAATTTAATGAATAAAAGAACATGTCATGCACCCTTTTAGCATTTGCATACATTCACCACTTACAGAACATATTTCTTGAAACTCTTAATTATTCTAATCTTGCTAACTTTTTTTTTTTTTCTGAGATGGAGTTTTTGCTCTTGTCACCCAGGCTGGAGTGCAATGGCATGATCTCAGCTCACCGCAACCTCCATCTCCTGGGTTCAAGCAATTCTCCTGCCTCAGCCTCCCGAGTAGCTGGGACTACAGGCGCCTGCCACCATGCCCGGCTCATTTTTGTATTTTTAGTAGAGGCAGTGTTTCCCCACGTTGGCCAGGCTGGTGTCGAACTCCTGACCTCGGCCACCCAAAGTGCTGGGATTACAGGTGTGAGCCACTGCACCCAGCCTAATCTTGCTAACTTTAACTCAACGCTTTTACTTATAACATTTCTGCATTAAACAAATATTACAATTTTTGTACAACCAAGAAAAAAGTATCAACAGTGATATTAATGGAATCAAGGATCATAAAAAGACATAATAAAAGTCTTATGCTAAGGAGAATCATCTAATTCAGAATTAACATTCTATATGAAAATCTGTGAGAACAATGATATGATTTGAGTTTTCTTATCTAGTAATGAGAAATGCAAAAATTAAAAGTGTCAATCATTCATCTATCACATAGGAAGAAATTGATTAAATTTTTCACAGCAAAGTTTGAAGAAAGTGAAGTAAATATGCATTATCAAGAAACTATTTCATCTCAAAGTAGAGCTTTCAGATATAATTCCATCTTCCACAATCCTTATACTGAGTCAGACAACATTTACTATAGATTTTCCTCCCAAAAGTCTTTTTAATCATGCTCCCACTTCATTCTTGTTACCTTAGTCCCTGTTTCTCTCTGCTCATAACTTTACCTGGCTAATTCTCACTGCTTCAATGTTCCTTTATATAGATGCCATAATCAAAATAAGAAACAAAACCAAAACATCCATATCTGTTCAAGTCTCTCTATGTTTAAACAGTGACAGCCTACAAGATCAAGTCCATACTCCTTGGCTACACACAAGTGCCTTTTCCATCTGTCTCCTTCTGTCTTTGCAGGTATTCTCCATTTGCTTCTTTGAAATACTTTCAAAACCAACAAAATCCATCTGTTTTTGAAGTGTCCTCTCCCTTAACCCAGCTCTGTCTATTCTTCTCATTCTCACTCCACTAGACACCTAATTATGAAAACAATAATTAATTGCATAATTCACATGTGGGATTTTCTAGGCTTTACTATTGGAAGAAACAAGTATTGTCACGTTTCCAACTTTTTTCCCAGTCCCAAATTGATGTTAAATTCTAGCTAATAGTCATAGTCACCATTACTTGAATATTTACAATGTGCGAAATGCTTTAGACAGTAGGGGCAACCAAATTGCTCATAAAATTCAGTTGTGCTGAAAAACGAAATTTCCATATTTTGCTTGTAATTTACCTAATTTTTTCATGAGTTTGTCTATTGAGTGATGACAAAAACAAACAAACAACCATACAAAAAAGTTTAAATTGTATTGAATTTAAATGAAATTCTATCCAATAATTTAAACACTGTGTTTAGGTAGTATTCAATCTTTGATAGTGATTGTCAATTTATTTTGTCTCTGAGCCTCTGTTCTTTAAACATGGCATCTATTAGGCATAGTCATCTAGATAACTCACATGCAATCCATGTTCAACACAGCCACAGTCATGTGCATACTCATCATATTCTTCTTCATCCACCGCCCTGTTGTTTCCCTATGTTCCTGATCTCTGTCAATGGTTACTGGAATCAAAAATCTGGGGAGTTTTCTCTATTGTTTTATAGAACCAAACAATTAAGCAAATTCTGCTGTTTTTATGTTCTGAAAATTCCTATTCATGTCCTCCTTCTCCTCTTTGCCTTCTATTTGTGCCTAGATCCCAACTTAAGAATCATTACTTGGCTATTAAAAGAGCCTGCTTCTAGCCCTGCTGCCTTCAAATACAGCCTCCGTGCTCTGGCTGGGTTGCTTTAATTGTGCTGTACTACTAGCTTGCTTAAGGCCCTTACTAGCAATGGAATAAATCTCAAGATTCTTAGCTTGGCATAGAACATGACATAAATACCACCATTTCAGTTATATTTGCCACTACACTATTCCCTATTTCATAATCTATGTTTTCATAATATGGAAATGCCTGCAATGCCCCCCACCCTCCGTGCCTCTTGAAATCTTCTTGCCTTTGGTTGTGGTGTTTCCTCTTTCTGGAGTGCCTTTTCTACCTTTATTTACCTGGCTAACACTCACTCACTGTCACTCTCAAGTCTTAATACTAGTTAGTTAACATTATTTAATGGAATGATGGTTTTATTGTAGTTTGTGGATAATTTCCCCTAAAATATATCCAGGTTTTTCATGACTGGAATTGTGTCTGAGTAGAAAACTGCATTCATTAATTTCAAGTGAACTTCCCTCTTTAAAATTCTAAACTATGTCATTTCCCTTGCTTGTCATACCCACCCCAATCCTCTCAAACTCAGCTTCTCCTTTCTTTTAAAACTCTATTTAAGGTTTTGTCAACTTATTTTTAAAAATAATTCAAAGAAAACCTTTCTGTTGGTTATCTAGATTCTGATAATTTATGTATTAGGTGCCAAATTTAGATAAGAATCTTCATAAACATAGGTCCACAGCCGGACACCGTGACTCACACCTGTAATCCCAGCACTCTGGGAGACCAAGGCACTTGGATCACGAGGTCAAGAGATAGAGACCATCCTGGCCAACATGGTGAAACCCTGTCTCTACTAAAAATACAAAAATTAACTGGACATGGTGGCGCGTGCCTGTAGTCCCAGCTACTCAGGAGGCTGAGGCAGGAGAATCACTTGAACCCAGAGGCGGAAGTTGCAGTGAGCCAAGATCGTGCCACTGCACTCCAGCCTGGCGACAGAATGAGACTCCGTCTCAAAAAACAAACAAACAAATAAACATAGATACATTTCCTTCATGAAACTTCCTTGAGAGAGATTGGCTGATTCCTGTCACTGCCAATTTCATAATATTTTCAGCTTTTCCTCCAAAACATTTTTATAAACAAGTAAAATTGGCTGGATGTACAGACTCATAGACTTTAAGGCCTATACTACATTTAACTAACCTAACCTCTTATTTTTACAGAGAAAGAAATGAGGCCCTAATATTTAGTAAAGGACATGTTACTAATGAGTTGCTAATATGTTTCTGCTGCTCATGTGTAGGTGTGTGTAAACACACACACACAGACACACACACTACATGGTATGTGAATCTCTCTCTCCTATTCCAGGTCTTAAAAGAATGACAATCACTCCTTCTCCTTGTTTATTCCTTTCTCTAAAAAGAAAAAAATATTCATCACTGTCTGATTTTGCTTTTGCACTACAGGCAAAGGTAAATGTTGACTGCCTGGCTGACTCCTCCCACCATGACTTGCCTTAAGTAGTGCTAAGACATCTCCCTGCCCATGGCCTTGTTTCTACTGGCATGAGTCTCTTTCATTCACGTCACTGGCAGCCATATCCAGGGACTTGTGGTCAGAATGGAGTCTAGTGTGCTGTTTTTCTGGATATTACTCTGTCTTTTTCCCCCTCCAGTGTGTGACTGGAAGTCTCTTTAACAGTTAAAATAGTGGCCATATATGCACACTGGAGAGAGAGTATTCAATAAGATCTGTAATTTGTAGACCACTGTGAGAGATTAGTCCCTGTTCCCTCATGTTCTAGCTTCAATATACGCTTTAGGATCAATGCTAACTTCTGCAGTTACTTTATAGTAATTGTGATTACAATAAAAGTGAACACTTACCTCAAAAGGGTAGGGCCAGAATGAATTCTTCTTCTTTGTGGTCTTTGATGAAAAGTGTCTAAGTCACATATAATTTGTACCTCATCTTTTTAATAAGTAAAGGAAAGGCATTCTTATTAACTCTCCCCGTAGGAAATCAGAAAGGCATTCAGAGAGAATGGATTTCAGGCACAGGCATCAAGTTTGCCAGTGCTTCCACCTGAGCCCCACAGTTTGAGCTACCTGGTGCTCACCTATGAACTCAACACTGGTCCAATGCCCTGGACTAATTCCAACTGAGGCAAGAGGTGTTGAGGTAGCTCTTCTTCATGCGAGGACAGGACTTACTTAACTCTAACTCAGTTTCTCAATCTGGTTTCCTGGTTGCTTGCTTCCTCTCCATGTAAGAAATGAGTCAACATAATGTATGTGGAGTCCTAAAATGGTTTCTTCCCCCAATGGAGGTATTTTTCAACTGTGCATTTGAATTAAACTATTATAAGTATTTAATATAAGTAGAATAACATAATTTAAACATTTTACATATCTCTATGAGAAGTGGTTATTTAAAGGAAACACATAATTATAGTTTTTGTTATTCAAATAAATAATTCCCATTTTAACTGTTTTGAAAGTTGTATTTCCACATAACCAGCTTTTCTGTTGTGCTGTTTCTATGTGTTAGCCATAGCCAACCAAAGTCATGTGTAAACTGAATTATGCATTACAAATAAAAGAGCTGTAATCCTCTGAATACCCTAATTTGATGTAGAAAAAAAGTTTAATGCCCATTCTACAATGAATGCATATTTGAGAGTACTAAGAATATTTATAGATTTTTTTACTTCATTGTCCATAGACACTTCTTGACTCTGGTTTTTAGTAACCAGCAGAGGGCGCAACATACACAAGTTAGGGTCTTTAAATCCTTAATGGCTGATCTCTTCTGTCATTTGTATCCACAGGCACCTGCACCCTCCTCCACCATCAAAGTACACCCAGCCCAAGTCAAGTGAAAAGAAAGAAATATGTGCTTACTTATTTGTTCCTATCACAGCTGAAGTTAACCTTTAGCTGGAGACTAAATTAACACCAATGCTCCAAGTTTAGATAATTGTTCTGAAATAAATAGAGCCTTAAGCTAGAACTTCTTACATAGTCAAGGGAGATAGGTGGATTCTTTTGTACTTCATTTTAACTATCAATGGTGTTTTAAGAACCAAATAACATTTTTCTTAAATCATTTTTTTTCCTATCATAAGTAAATTCTCAGCCGGGTGCTGTGGCTCATGCCTGTAATCCCAGTACTTTGGGAGGCTGAGGCGGGCACATCACCTGAGGTCAGGAGTTCAAGACTAGCCTGGCCAACATAGTGAAACCCTATCTCTACCAAAAATACAAAAATTAGCCATGTGTGGTGGTGGGCGCCTGTAATCCCAGCTACGGGAAGCTGAGGCAGGAGAATCACTTGAACCCAGGAGGTGGAGGTTGTAGTGAGCTGAGATCGCGCCACTGCACTCCAGCCTGGGCAACAGAGCCAGACTCCATCTCAAAAGAAAAAAAAAGGAAATAAAATTGATGCCTCTGTTTCCACTTTACCATTTAAAACTCCTACCTCTAAAATAAATAAATAAATAAATAAATAAATAAATATTCACATATATAAAGTAAAATTTAATCCAAGATTCTATTGCTTCTAGGAAAATTTAGAAGACTTTTTATAGATTCCTTATGCTCTCTTCTTTCAATAGTAGTCTTATTTTGTAACTTTCTTATATTTTTGCGTGTTTATTTGAGTCAACAAACCACTAAGGCAAATTCACAGGTATATTTCATGTGAGAAAGATTTATTATCATAGACCTAATGCCTTACAGAAAAATTTCTGGCTGAAAAATTGTATAATATTGGAGAAAAACACGAAAGGAATAACATATATAGACCTGATACAGGTTACCAAGTAAAATCTTCCTAAAAATGTAGGTGACTCGTTCCCTATCTCATTTTACAGATATCTCATTTTACAGATAAGGAATCTGAGGCAAAAAAAAAAGAAAATAATTAAGTAAGTTTACTAACGTCACGTATCAGGCAATGTGGTCCAATTTTCATGCTCTTGACTTAGCCTTTACAGTATTCTGTCTCTGAAATACATATTCTATGCTCACCTAGTACACATACACACACACACACATACACACAGAGACACTCCATACATATGCATATAAATGGAACAAGGTTTTATAAAAGAATATTTATTTTTATGTCTGATAAAGTAAAAGCATAAATATCAAATATTTTATTACTACATATAGATATGGAAAAAGATCATAAAATGAACAACACAAATGCAGACAAACAGAAAATACTAGGTAAGGCCCACAAAACTAGTTTTACCACTCACTAATTGGTAGCAATATACAGTTTGAAAAGTATCATTGAATTTGACCTTATTGGCTCTCAACTTTACTTTTTTTCTGCTGTCACTGTCATTGTTGTTTTCACATAAATTATTATTGATTCTTAAATAAACTATCAACTGTGAGCCTACCTCTTCATTTTTCCATACCTCCCAAAATGCACACTTTCATTATGTGATTCCCTGCTGTAGAATCCTTCACTCTTTGGGCCAAGATGGCCAACTAGAAACAGCTCTGGTCAAAGGCGCCCATCAAGAAGAATAAAAACAGCAAGTGAATCCTGCACCAGTAACTAAGATATCCAGGTTCCGTCAATGAGACTGATAGGCAGTTGGCGCAACCACAGAGAGCAAGGAAAGCTAGGCAGTGTGATGGCCCACCCAGGAGCCACACAGGGCAAGAGAAGCTCCCACCCCCAGCCAAGGGAGGCACCTACACTAGTGACACCTCCAGGTACAGGAGGGACCCAGGAGAATAGGATCTGGAGTGGACCCCCAGCAAACTGCAGCAGCCCTATGAAAGAAAGGCCTGACTGTTAAAAGAAAAACAAACAGAAAGCAACAAAAACAACATCAACACAAAAGACCCCACAAAAACCCCGTCCAAAGATCAGCAGCCTCAAAGATCGAAGCTAGACAAACTCATGAAGATGAGAAAGAATCAATGAAAGAAATGCTGAAAATGCAAAAAAATGCCAGAGTTCCTCTTCTCCTCTAAATGATCGCAATACCTCTCCAGCAAGGATACAGGACTGGGCAAAGGCTGAAATGGATAAACTGACAGATGTAGGCTTCAGAAGATGGATAGTAATAAACTTTGCTGAGCTAAAGGAACATGTACTAACCCAATGCAAAGAAGTAAAGAAACATGATAAAACATTACAGAAGTGTTAACCAGAATAACCAGTTTAGAGAGGAATATAAATGATCTGATGGAACTGAAAAACACAACATGAGAACTTCACAATGCAACCACAAATATCAATAACCGAATAGACCAAGTGGAGGAAAGAATTTCAGAGCTTGAAGGCTATCTTGCTGAAATAAGACAGGCATACAAGATTAGAGAAAAAAAGAATAAAAAGGAACAAACAAAACTTCCAAGAACTATGGGATTATTTAAAAAGACCAAACCTATGACTGATTGGGGTACCTGAAAGGGATGGGGAGCACGGAACCAAGTTGGAAAATGTACTTCAGGATATCATCGAGGAGAACTACTCCAACCTAGCAAGACAGGCCCACATTCAAATTCAGGAAATCCAGAGAATCCCAGTAAGATACTCCATGAGAAGATCAACTGCAAGACACATAATTATCAAATTCTCCAAGGTCAAAATGAAGAAAAAAACATTAAGGGTAGCCAGAAAGAAAGGCAAAGAAAGGCCAGGTCACCTACAAAGGGAAGCCCATTAGACTAACAGCAGCCCTCTCAGCAGAAACCCTACAATCCAGAAGAGACTGGGGGCCAATATTCATTATTATTAAAGAAAAGAATTTCCAACTCAGAATTTCATATTCAGTCAAACTGAGCTTCATAAGTGAAGGAGAAATAAAATCCTTCTTAGGCAAGCAAATGCTGAGGGAATTCGTGACCACTAGGCCTGCCTTGCAAGAGCTCCTGAAGGAAGCACTAAATATGGAAAGGAAAAACCATCCACTGGTGTGCTGTATTCAAGAGACCCATCTCATGTGCAAAGACACACATAGACTCAAAATAAAGTGTTGGAGGAAAATTACCAAGCAAATGGAAAGCAGAAAAAAGCAAGGGCTGCAATTCTAGTCTCTGGCAAAACAGACTTTAAACTAACAAAGATCAAAAAAGACAAAGAAGGGCATTAAAAAATTGTGAAGGGTTCAATTTAACTGGAAGCACTAACTATCCTAAATATATATGCATTTAGTACAGGAGCACCCAGATTCATAAAACAAGTTCTTAGAGATGTTAAAAGAGACTTAGACCCCCACACAATAGTAGTGGGAGATGTTACCACCCACTGTCAATATTAGAAAGATCATGGAGACAGAAAATTAACAAAGATATTCAGGATTGAACTCAGCTCTGGATCAAGTGGACCTGATAGGTAACTACAGAACTCTTTACCCAAAAACAACAGAATATACATTCTTCTTGGTGCCACATGACACTTACTCTAAAATTGATCACATAACTCAAGGTAAATCACTCCTCAGCAAATGCAAAAGAAACAGTCTCTCGGAGCACAGTGCAATCAAATTTGAACTCAAGATTAAGAAACTCACTCAAATCCACACAACTACATGGAAATTGAACAACTTGCAGCTGAATGACTCCTGGGTAAATAATGAAATTAAGGCAGAAATCAAGAAGTTCTTTGAAACCAATGAGAACAAAGATACAATGTACCAGAATGTCTTGGATGGAACTAAAGCAGCCTTAAGAGGGAAATTTACAGCACTCAATGTTCATATTGAAAAGCTATAAAGGTCTCAAATTGACACCCTAACATCACAACTAAAAGAACTAGAGAACCAAGAGCAAACAAACCCTAAAGCTAGCAGAAGACGAGAATTAAGTAAGGTCAGAGTGAAACTGAAGGAGATAGAGACATGAAAGACCCTTCAAAAAATCAAGGAATCCAGGAGCTGGTTTTTTGAAAAAAAAATTTACTAAAATAGATAGACTGCTACCTACACAATAAAAAAGAAAACAGAATAATCAAATAGATACAATAAAAATGATAAAGGGGATATTACCACTGACCTCACAGAAACACAAGTGATCATTAGAGAATATTGTAAACACCTCTATAAAAATAAACTAGAAAGTCTAGCATAAATGGATAAATTCCCTGATGTATATATCCTCCCAAGACTGAACCAGGAAGAAGTTGAATCCCTGAAAAGACCAGTAAGAAGTTCTGAAGATGAGGCAGTAATAAATAACCTACCAACCAAATAAAGTCCAGGGCCAGATGGATTTGCAGCTGAATTCTACCAGAGGTACAAAGAAGAGCTGGTATCATTTCTTTTGAAACTATTCCAAATAATTGTAAAGGAAAGACTCCTCTCTAACTCATTTTATGAGGCCAGCAACATCCTGATACCAAAACCTGGCAGAGATACAAGAAAAAAAGGAAATTTTAGGCCAATATCCTTGATGAACATCAATGCAAAAATTCTCAAAAAAAAAAAATACTGGCAAACTGAATCCAGCAGCATATCAAAAAGCTTGTCCACCACAATCAAGTTCGCTTCATCCCCAGGATGCAAGGTTGGTTCAGCATACACAAATTAATAACATAATTCATTACATCAACAGAACTAAGGACAAAAACCACATGATTGTCTCAGTAGATGCAGAAAAGGCCTTCGATATAATTCAACATTGCTTCATGTTAAAAACTCTCAATAAACTAGGTATTGATGGAACATACCTCAAAATAATAAGAGCCAGTTATGACAGACCCACAGCCAATATGATATTGAATGGGCAAATGCTGGAAGCATTCCCTTGAAAACTGGCACAAGACAAGTATGCCCACTCTCACCGTTCTATTCAACATAGTATTGGTACTTCTGGCTAGGGCAATCAGGTAAGAGAAAGAAATAAAGGATATTCAATTAGGAAGAGAAGAAGTCAAACTGTCTCTGTTTCCAGATGACACATGATCCTATATCTAGAAAACCACATCGTCTCAGCCCAAAAGCTTCTTAAACTGATAAGCAACTTCAGCAAAGTCTCAGGATACAAAATCAATGCACAAAAGTCAGAAGCATTCCTATAGACCAACAATAGACAAACAGAGAACTAAATTATGAATGAACCCTCATTCACAATTGCTACAAAGAGAGTAAAATACCAAGGAATATCGGTAACAAGGGAAGTGAAGGACCTCTTCAAGGAGAACTACAAACCACTGCTCAAGGAAATCAAAGAGGACAGAAACAAATGGAAAACGTTCCATGCTCATGGATAGGAAGAATTAATATCATGAAAATGGCCATACTGCCCAAAGTAATTTATAGATTCAATGCTATTTCTATTAAACTACCATTAATATTCTTCACAAAATTACTTTAAAATTCATATGGAACCAAAAATGGAGCCCGTATAGCCAAGCCAATTTTAAGCAAAAAGAACAAAGCTGGAGGCATCATGCTACTCAACTTCACACTATACTACAAGTTTACAGTAACCAAAACAGCATGGTAGTGGTACAAAAACAGACACATAGACCAATAAAACAGAGAAGAGAGCTCAGAAATAAGACCACATGTCTACAACCATCTGATCTTTGACAAACTTGACAAAAACAAGCAATGGGTAAAAGATTCCCTATTTAATAAACGGTGCTGGAAGAACTTGCTAGCCATATGCAGAAAATTGAAACTGGAACCCTTCCTTACTCCTTATACAAAAATTAACTCAAGATAGATTAAAGACTTAAATGTAAAACCTCAAACTATAAAAACCCTAGAAGAAAGTCTAGGCAATACCATTCAGGACATAGGCATGGGCAAAGACTTCTTGATGAAAATGGCAAAAGCAATTGCAACAAAAGCAAAAATTGACAAATGGGATCTAATTAAACTAAAAAGCTTCTGCCAGCAAAGGAAATGATCATCAGAGTGAACAGACAACCTATGCAATGGGGGAAAAATTTCTGCAATGTGTTTATCTGACAATCTACAAGGAACTTAAAAAATTTACAAGAAAAAAAACAACACCATTAAAAAGTAGCCAAAAGACATGAACGAACACTTTTCAAAAGAAGACATTTATGCAGCCAACAAACATATGGAACAAAGCTGAACGTTACTGATCATTAGAGAAATGCAACTCAAAACCACAATGAGATATTATGACTTTAGTCAGAATGGCAATTATTAAAAAGTTGAGAAACAAGAGATGCTGGCAAGGCTGTGGAGAAATAGGAATGCTTTTACACTGTTGATGGGAATGTAAATTAGTTCAACCATTGTGGAAGACTGTGTGGCGATTCCTCAAAGACCTAGGGCCAGAAATACCATTTGACCCAGCAATCCCATTACTGGGTATATACTCAAAGGAATATAAATTATTCCATTATAAAGATACATGCACTTGTATGTTCATTGCAGCACTATTCACAATAGCAAAGACATGGAATCAAGCCAAATGCCCATCAATGATAGACTGGATAAAGAAAATGTGGTACACATGCACCATGGAATCCTATGCACCCATAAAAAGGAACAAGATCATGTCCTTTGCAGAGACATGAATGGAACTGGAAGTCATTATCCTCAGAAAACTAACACAGGAACAGAAAACCAAACACCATATGTTCTCACTTATAAGTAGGAGCTGAGCAATGAGAACACATGGACATAGGGAGGGGAACAACACACAATGAGGTCTTTTTGGAGGTGGGTGAGTGGGGAGGGACAGCATCAGGATAAACAGCTAATGCATGAGGGGCTTAATACCTAGGTGATGGGTTAACAGGTGCAGCAAACCACCTTGACACACGTTTACATATGTAACAAACATGCACGTCCGCATGTCCTGTACATGCATCCTAGAACTTAAAATAAAATAAAATTAAAAAAAGAATCCTTCATTGTCCCAAAATAATTTTTATTCTCAAGAAGCCAAGCCCAAAACTAGAAGTTTATAGTCAAGAAAGTTGCCCATATAATACCTCATGTTCTGGCTCCCTTCTATGCATCCTCCTCTCCAAATACTCATGCCTGCCTCATCACCTACCTCTCTTCATTCCAGCCATATGTGAGGGTCGTAGGGAAAGAAAAGGAGGTAGGATGAGACAGAAGGATAATAAGACATTTCAAGACACACTAAAGTCTCCCTGGAGAGGTTAAAGCAGTGCACATATTCATATAATACAAGTGAAAACGCCTAAGAGATAAAAGAAATAATACGTAAGTGTAAAGATAACACAGTTTCTTCAAGCCAAAGGCTGATAAATGTGGGAACTTTGAAAAATGCCACTGAGACACCTGTTAGAAGTTTTAATGTAGAGCATGATAAGCTGAGACACATTTTTAGATACTTTTATTCAGAGTCAGAGTTAATAAGATACAGAGCAAAATAGTCACAAAATTATTAGGAATTTCACCAAGGGGATGAGAATCAATGATATGGTTTGACTGTGTCCTCACCAAAATCTCTTGAATTGCAGCTCCCATAAGCCTCAAGTGTTGTGGGAGGGACCTGGTGGGAGGTAATTAAATCACGGGGGCAAGTTTTTCCTGTGCTATTCTCATGATAGTGAATAAGTCTCATGAGATCTGATGGTTTTATGAAGGGCAGTTCCCCTGCACATGCTCTCTTGCTTGCCACCATGTAAGACTTGCGTTTGCTCCTCCTTCACCTTCTGCCATGATTGTGAGGCCTTCCTAGCCATGTGGAACTGAGTCCATTAAACCTCTTTTTCTTTGTAAATTGCCCAGTCTGAGGTATTTCTTCATAGTAATATGAAAATGGACTAATACAATCATCATGATTTTTTTGCGGCAGGTAGAAAAAGAAAAGACACACAGATGCACACACACACACATACAATATATAATATAGAAAATAATATTTTATAGGAAAATGGTAGAGGATATGATGAAAGTAGGAACAATATAAAGAAAATTTAAAATTTCCTCCTTAGTTTAAATAGTGGGGGTGGGGAGAGAGAAAGGGAAAGACTATTGTTTCTTAAAATTATTGATTTTAATTTATATGTAGGTAGTAATGCAACCTCTGGCCTATCTTCAAGAAGATGACACTTTTCTCCGGATTTGTAGAGGACTGTGCTATTGATAAAACAGTTTCAACTGGTAAAATATTTAGTTAGTCTAATTAAGTGACTAGCTGAGCAACTTTTAGACAGTGTATGGGCAGTTGGCATTAGATTAATTGTATATTTGGGTTGAATCCGAATACACTGTGTACTGGTTTATATAAAGCTACTGCAAATTTTAGTATCACATGAAAGTACTGAGCAAAATGGTGAAGGCATTCTGTATTTGATATCTAAGCTATTAGAGATAAAAAGAAATGTGAAGCTCATTCAGTTTAGTTTCTCAATTTACAAGTTAAAAACTGAAGCTAATTACAATTCTGAAATTTTACAAGTAAGATATATTCTATTATACCAAGGAAGAATAGAACACAGGGCCCCTGAATTCTCATCAAGTATTCATTCTGTCATTCCTTCCCTATTTCTTATCTACAGTAATCAGAATCTCTAACAAAAATCGTTACGACTAAACTTAGTTCCCTAGATGTACATAATTTACCTCTACTCCTCTTAAATGAATATATAAACATTCATGAATATGTAAGATATATTTACTTTTCAAAAATAACTTATTTTGATATAGGAACATAATAAGGTTAAGTGATGATTAAACATTTATTATATTTCATTTGAGTCCAAAATGAAAGTTCATGTAAAAATTTTTAAATATATTTAACAATGATGATAAAATCATAGAGATTTAACACCTTTTTAGAAAATAATATATTTTAAAACAGGATAAAAATTATTTTCTCATTTGCATTGCTTTTAAAAGGTTATAATTACATTTATTGAAAAGATGTTTGTATGCAAAGAGGAGCTAATTTAAAGACAATGTATAATTAGAGTTTATTTATTTGTATTTACGCACAAGCACATGTTTATTTATATTTGTATTTATTTATTGGCTTGACTCCCCTTGATCTCAGACATAGAATAGTGTCAGGGAAAGCTATATAAAAGTTCAGGATAATGATCATAATGGACAAGCACAGTTCAATATATTTTGCTATTTTGTGTGTGTGTGTATGTGTGTATATACACACATATGCATATATACACACACATACAATAGTAATATATACATATACTATAGATATGTATGTGTATACATATGCACATACTACATAAATATATAGCATATATTTTACTATTGCCACTCGGTCTAAGAAATGATATTAGACTCAGGTGTATAACCAAAGCCATTATATTCTTTTCAAGGGATTTTTCTATATATTATATTAAAATTGTATACATGTTCTGAAATAAAAGTAAGAAAGTTGTCCCAAATTAATCTTCATGTCTGTGATTTAACCATCTCCCAATCAACTGTCAGCCCCTGCAGACTGTATCTTGACTCATGGGTCTGTTCTGCAGAGCAGGGTAATTGGTGGGGATAAGAATAAGATCAATGAGCTAGGCCTAGTTTGGAAAGAACTACCAAGGGCCTGATGGGAGAAAATAAATTGATATTCAGAAGAACAGGGCACTAAAATGAGATAACAGTGCCTGAGACAGAGAATTTGGTAAGAATTGGTGTGTTCTGCATTTTGTAATGCAGCAAGGAAGGAAAGGAATTTTGAGAGAAATTGCTTTATGTGTATGGATTTGAGAGAAATGAAAAGCAAGATTTAAAAATTTTTTGACTGTGCATTATCCCCTGTGAAATTTTTCTTGAGTGATTGCAGGAAATAAATTGATTTTTATTCAAATCGGAGGCCAGATTGTTTTGTCTAACTTATTCTATGTAATCTACATATTTTAGCATTTTCTACCAGTCAGATGACACATGTGCCTAAACACTTTCCTTTTATATATTTCTTAGTTATTATGTACTACAGCACTCTATTTTTTGGTAAGGAATATTTCAAAGCTTTTTTAAAAGGAGCTGTCAAACTGACATGAAATAAATATATTTTTAAAGGAATTACTTAGGAAGTCCTTAAGGGAAGAGGTATAATAGGTTTTTGTATGAACAACATATTTTGATTGTGTAAGGGCTGCTTCCCTATTCAAGTTGTCTATATGTATGGCTGCAGAAGCAAATGTGTGCCCAGGAACGGTTAAAACTTGAAGGCAAGTCATTTTGGCAAGTCATTATATTAGGCACTCAGCACTTTGAGATTTGTTAATCTTGAGCTATCTTCTTTTGGGTAAAATAAATAATAACTTGTATGTTGTCAGAATGAGAAAAAAAGAGCTCCACCTAAATGAACTCTCTGAAGTTGAATTGGAACCCCAAGTATTAGAGTTGGGGCCTGGTGGGAGGTAATTGGATCATGGAGGCAGTTTCAGAGGTTTTAGCAGCATCCGCCTAGCGCTGTCTCATGATAAAATTCTCACGGGATCTGCATGTCCCCCACTCTCCCGCCACCATGGGAAGATGTACTTGCTTCCCCTTCATCCTTCTGCTATCATTGTAAGTTTCCTGAGGCCTCCCAATGATGCTTCCTGTATAACCTGTGATTCTAAGTCAATTAAACCTCTTTTCTTTATAAATTACCCGGTCTCAGGTAGTTCTTTCTAGCAGTGTGAGAATGAACTAATACAACCGCTAACCAGCTTGCACCTCCTTAACCCAATCTAACTGCACCAGAAGCCGGGAAATATAGCCTTTCTCAGGTCCCAGAAGAAGGAAATTTGATTATTTATAAGATCTAGACAGACTCTAACATATCCTGACTTTGGTTCTGGAAAGGGAGGATTAATCCTGAAGGGACAAGCTATAGAAGTCACTGAGAGCTGGAAGAAGTTGGGATCAAGTGGAAGCTGGAAGAAGTGGGAATCAAGCTAAGGAAGAACACCTGGGCATCAGCAAAGCAGGGAACCACCAGATAATCTTCTATTAATATATTGGCAAATGCTTGATGGGGCAAGGTGTAAAAAGGTGTGCTCTGAAAGTCCTGAGAGAACACAGACTTACCAAAAGGAAGCCTTCAAAAGTTGTTAGAGAAGCAAAATATTAAAGCTTGTTATGATTAAATTTACTTTTATTCATCTGGACCTGGGCAATATGTGAAGGTCTCAATAATATTAACTATATGTTTAAAATTTTCTTTCTAACTTGATGTCCTATAACCTCCTTACTGCTAATACGGAATTATAAATATTTGTTTCTATTTACCCCCAATTCCATCCTAGTCCAACCCAACTTCTATTGAGTGGTCTCCAATTTGTAGCCCTGGTTCTTTCCCTGTACTTCTATAATCCATTGTTAACAGTAAAAACAGAATAATCTTTTATAAACAAAATTCAGACTCTCTGTGTTCCTAACTAAACACACCCTTCTATGGCCTCTCTACCTGCCCAACTCTATTCTACGTGCTCTACAAATTTTAACTTGTTTAATTCTCACAACAACCCTCTAAGGCAGATGCTATTGTCACCTACATTTTGCAAGGAGGAAATTGAGGTGCAGAGAAGTTAAATAGCTTTTCCATAACACATAGCTAGAATACAGTAGAGCTGGGATCTGAACTCAGGTAGGCTGGCTCCAGAAGCCATGGATTTAACACTAGCTCTATGCTGCCACATTCCCAGTTAAGCCCTCAACAGCTTCTCTTAATGCCCAGAATTAATTTCTTACTGTGATCCTATATAATCTGACCTGTGATGATCTTCCCAAGCTCATCTCTTACTATATCCCTCTTGCCTACAATGTTGTAACCACACTGGCCTTTCTTTTCCTGCTACAAGCTGAATACTTTCAGCCTGAAGGTTCTTGCATTGGCTCTTTTTTCTGCTGTAATACCTACACCCTCAATACTGCATAACTGGCTTCCCCTTGGCCTTCAGAGCCCAATTTAAATGTTAGCTCCTAACAGAAGCCTTCATTATCACCAACTGAAGGAAGCCCCACTGTTAATGCTTAATAGAACAACTCATTTTACATTTCTCTGTGGAAAGTGCAACTCTCCCTGATATTTTACATATTTGTAAATTAATTTACTATTTTTTTCTCTCCCATGAGAATGAGAGCTACATGAGAACAGGGATTTTGTCTCATTTACTACTATAGTACCAAGAATATTGCTTTTCTACCTTTCATATGTCAAAAAAATATAAATTATAATATTTATTTGGCACTTTGGGGTAAATTGGAGATTTAATGCACTTATTTGGGTCTTAAC
The DNA here is from genome assembly GCF_000001405.40 of Homo sapiens. Taxonomy (NCBI): domain Eukaryota; kingdom Metazoa; phylum Chordata; class Mammalia; order Primates; family Hominidae; genus Homo; species Homo sapiens. The sequence continues at coordinate 39,961,496 of NC_000005.10, forward strand.
TGATAAAATTATTATACTTATTATATTATGTAATTTTAAGAAAATAGAATAAAAATGCTAGTTTTCACATTAAATATTAAGCTTATATGAAGTTTTAAAATGCAACCCTTATAAACTTTTAACGTAAAATATGAGCAGGCTTTCCCAAACATACTTTCTTATATTAGGCTTTGTGCTTGAAATAGCTGAAAAATTTCTGATGACTTTTTAATGATTATATCTTTATATTCTTGATAATATCAATGAGAAACTTTCCCAAAAGTAGATGCTAAAAAATTATCAACAGAGGAATGTATTCATAGTAACTAACAGATATTTCTTACTTTCATGGATAGACATAGTGTGGGAATTTCTTGGTATAATGCAAATGTACTTAAGATTCAGATTTTTTCATTTCCAGTGTTTCAGAATAATGAAGAAGCTATAGTTTACAAAACTTTCATGCATCATCATCCTCCTAAGCTAGCCAGGATGCTATTGGCAAGGGCATATATGCCTCAAATGAACATAAGCACCAGATATATGTGAAGACAGACATTCAGTGGGGTCACTTGGTGCTCTACTCTTTAGGAAGCCTCGCCTACTTATTTTGCTTCCCTTTCCTTGATAAGCCTCAGGTTGGGCTGCACATTTTTCAGCATGGCTCCCAGAAACACATACTCTTTATTATTTCAATGGGTCTCATATTCACGATGAGTAGAGAAGAGTTCGGCAATGGACTGTGCACATGGTAGATTTTGTCCTTGGCCATGCTCAGTAAGCAGAAAAAATTAATGAGTGCTGGATGCTACTGCTCATTCAGTCTTTATGAAATGAACATGGGGTGCACCTCTGAGGAGTCACTGAGGAGGGTACTCAGCAATGACTACTGGCTACAGTGAGCTATGACCTCTCAGAGGGCTAAGAGGAGGATTATTTTTTAGGCAGGCCATTTGCAACATGAGAAACTTTGTTTAGAAACTTGTACCTCAAAGTGTGCTCCATACCAGCATCATCCACATCAGTTTGGAGTTTGTAAGAAATGCAGGATCTTAGTCCCTGTCCCAGTGGGTCTGAATCTGCATTTTAATAAAATCGCCTCATAATAATATACACCTTAAAGTTTGAGAAGCTGTTTTGGAGCACTATGTAGACCAGAGTTGAGTTGGCAATTAATGTTTGTAGAATAATATTGTATGAATTATATGATGAAAGTTCAGATAACTAAATGGATATTGCAATGTTTTACGTTATTTTTAAGAAATTTCACCATGATTCACACTTATATACATATACAAAGTTTATTTGAAAATGACACGCAAAATGAAAATGACTGTGAGTAGGACAAATCTTGTCACAATGGTGCTACTTACAGTTTTTATATGAGTTATATAAATAACCAAGTCGTTACTATTTGCTTTGTCTACTCTTCTTTCTGAAAAAATACATGCCAGCCTGCCTCCTGTGCTTTTTGACATGTTTCTGCATATAACATGTGTATATATTAAATGCACATAATACACGTAACTATAATATATAAGTGCATCTCAGACTGGCTCAGAGTAATACCAATAATTTTTAAAAATCCCTGTTCAATTTGCTTACTTCCACAATTTGCTTATTTTATAAAACATCCATTTTTTTTTCCAGCTTTTCCTGTCTTACCTCCTCCCCATTTCCAAACTGGCCTTAGAAATGAATATTCCAGTAATTGAGCCATCAAATATTTGCAACTTCAGGCTGTTCCGGGACTTTCACAGTACTTCAAAGGTCAATCAGAGTTAAAGGAAATTGTTAAGCTTCGTTTTGGGTAAATCAGCACAAAAATCATTTTTTTTGCTGTTTTTACTTTCTCACTGGTATTCCAGATTATGTTTATTAGTTATCACTGGGGCTTTTCCAAAATGAATTATAAGTTATACTGTCTAGTTAATTCTGTTAACTCTTCACAAGTATGTACTGGCCATCCACTGCAGGTACAACATTTATCTAGGATGCTCAACTTGGCAGGACGTTATAGGTTATGTTACAGAAACAAAGAATCCCCAAATCTTACTAGTGTATCAAAGGGATTGTTGATTTCTCACTAAGAGTACATATATGCATCACAGATTGACAGTAGAGTCTACCATTGTAGTCATTCAAGGACCCAAGCCGATAGAGGCTCTATCTTCATACTTGTATCTCATGGCAGGAGATGGGAATGAAGTGATCCATCAATTAGCTCTGAAAGCTTATGCCTTTAAACGAGATATATATATATATATATATATATATATATATATATATATATATATATATATATATATATATATATAACTTCTGTTACATTTTATTGTCTAAAGCAAGTCATAAAGCTGTGCCTAATTTAAAAAAAATTGAGAAAGTGCAATCCTACCATGTGTCCAACAAAATAGAACCATGTATGTACAGCCTTAAGGAGAAACTAAATTACACAAACACCAACAATTTTTCCAAGACCTTAGAAGCCAGTTGCAGAATAGAACATATATGTAAGAATCTATGTAAACAGAGTTGAATGTCAAGTAAAATATGTTCTAAGACTCATGATGTGGTACTGTAAAAAAAGTATTTAAGAAGTTCAGAGATAGAAGAGAGAGATGTGGATGGGTGAGTAAAGAAAGTAGGTGAACAAGGTGAGATTATATATAAATTATTAGATTCAGAGAGGGAAATGGAAGGAATAAGAATATTCATGATTGTATCCAAATTCGATGAAGCAGTCGTGGGGTGCAAAGCTAGTAGAAAGTGGATCTGAGTTGACCTGAAAAAAAAACATTAAAAATACTTGTTCCACTAAAAGCAAAGAGTTCCTTTTAGGTGACATAAGGTGAACGTGGATAAACAGAGCAGGAACAGGTTATGAAGAGCCTTGAATGCCAGACTAAGATGTATGCACACGGTCTTTTATATGGCCATCTTTGGACCTCTCACTTTTACCTCCTTTTTAGCCTTTTGGTGAGGGACCACCACATTGCAATTTATTGATGATCAACATTACATACTTATTGAGAAATAGAGACCAGGGAGCCATGTGGAGCTTTATTACACATGTGGGTTATATAAGCATTTGCAATGCTCTTCGTGGAATGTAGGTGCTATAATAGAATTTAAGAAGAAAGAAGTGGCCACAAAGTCAGTCTGACTTTGAACATGTTGGGGTCACTAGAAACAATGCAAAGGCCAAAACAAAGCAAAAACTCTAGTGGTTTCAATGAAATATTTTACTGGCAATGTTTCATCAGAGCTGCAGGGAACAGGCTTCTTGCATCAAATAACAGGGAGAAACAGGAATTCTGGGAAAAGTCAAGCTCTAGATTTCAGAAGTCCTATAGTCTAGTGGCAGAGAGCCCATATTAGCAATGCGATTGTAGAAAATTCCTTTGTTTTTATGAATATCAGTTTCCCTATTTGCAAAAATCAAACATGCTGGATTGATAATTCTCAAGGTTATAAGTTTAAATATTTTTTGTTTGGGTTCACCAATAAACAGGTATTAAAAATAAAATGGCATGAATCAGTATCAATACACTAAAAGATAAAGTTTTGGGGATTGGGAAACTTATTTAGCAGTTAAGAAAATACATAACAAGATAACTACCTATGCCAGATAACTAATCATGTCAAACTGTTATGTATCACTGCTTAAAGCAATATTAATGATAGTTTAGAGGATGGAATCTTGCTATGGGACTTAAAACTGTCTTGCCCATCATCACCACCATCTTGCTTTGTGACTGGGTAAGTTAACAAAGGCAAACCACCTGTCTCATATAGTTGGGTAAGAGTCAGTTTTTAATTAGCTGCCCTCCAGAAAGACAGCATAAAATAAGCACATATTAAAGAATGCTGGATTTTCTCTTTTGCTGTTATTTTTGCCAGCTTCACCTTATTGTTACATATACCCCATGATTTTGTCTTCAGCTTCTTCAGTTAGATTTCCATGTGGTGCTTATACTTCTGATACCTTCTGGCTAGAGTTTACTGCTCTGTAGTTTTCTATGAGAATGTGACACTGAAGTCCATTTTGGAGACAAAGACAAACTCAAATAAGATAAAAGATAGGGAAGCCTTCCTCTGTCATTTAAAAATAAACTCAGTGATTTTTCATGCATCCTGCTGCTTTGATAAGTGTTCAGAGAAAGAATTTCACCAAATCTTGGCTTAAAATCTACCCAGAATAGACCAAGCAATTCCCTAGTGAGACGTACTGATCTTAGATGTTCTGTTGGTTGCTGACAATTCTAACTTTAACCCTTTATCATCTCAGTGAAAACTGAAGTCTCCTCTGGCAAAGGGTAGCATATTATGGAATTCTTTATACCTGGTGTTCTAGGTAAGCCCAGAGAGTAAAACTTTGATCAGGATTTTAATGTTATGCAAATCATTCGATCAACCATATTTTTTGCAACAGGAATTCTAAACTTCAAGGCAAGAAAAGACGTTGTTTTTCTGGGCTTTTAATTAATTAGCTAAATTTAAAAATTAACTTTGCTTCACCATCACCTTAGATACATTAACTTGTACTCTCTCTATGATCCACCTTCCTGCATCTTTTTAAACAGATACAGAATTGTATCAGTGTATAGATTGAATTTGTTTAATTCATTGTAATTAGGACTCCCTAAGGAACTTAGAGCCTTGACTGAGCTCAGCATTCTTGGCTCTATTTTGGGAAGCCAAAATGAAGGAATGCTTCCAATAGAGTTTGGAGTCTTGTTCTGTCCATGCTACTCAGAAGTCTGTATGGAAATCTGAGAGTCACCTTGCAATCTTCTAGTTTATTCAGCCAGCCATCTCATGTCGCAGTGACCAAAGACTTTTGGATGAAATCCCACCTTTCTGCCTCTCCTCCAGTCATTCCATACTCATTTATCTCCTAGATTCCTGCAGCACCCTTCTAACTATTCTGTCTTTCTCCCAACTCGCTTCTCTCCCCTTCACCTTTCTCTCACAACCACTCCTCCAAGTTTGCTTGAGATCATCTGCACCTACCCTAGGAAGTCTTTTCTGTACCCTCCAGCCTAAGTTTTATTAGCTGCTGAGCATAACTCCTGGGAACCTTGTGCTTTCCATAGTCATAGCACTTTTGACATAGTACAGTATACAAGATCTCTCTGTTCTTCACTGGGCCAGAAGCTACTGGAGGTAAGAGGTGTTATTACCTTTGGATCTTTAAGGCTCCCTAATAAGTATTTGTTGGATGGATATCAGAATAAATATGTGATTAATAAATTAATTAAAGAAATGGAAATATAGGAAGTTGGTCATCTAGGTCATACTCTAAATCAAGAAACTTTAACAGATTTCTGTCAAATGCTTGTCCAGGTTTCTAATTATTTAAGATGCAGTTCCATGTCATGGTTGGATAACAGCAAATACACTATTATGAAGCATACCTACTACTATGCTGTTCGACTCAGCTATTTTATATACAATAGTAGCCAACAGTGCATTTGGTGTGTTGAAAATCCTGCAATAGGCATTGAATGGAAATCTCAAATGTGCAGATGTTGGGAAACAGGAGAAAAAAGCTCCCATACTCTATTACAAAATCCTAAGTCAATTTTTAGAATAGAAAAAAAATATAAATTTCCTTCTTTTCTGCATGAAAATAGCAAGTTTTTTTTGGTTCGTTCTCTTTCTTGACCATGAAATTTTTATTGATATGCTAACTCTGAAATTGGTGACCCAGGTAATCTGTAAAACTTTTCCTCTGGTGAAAACTCTGGTGGAGTCTTTTTGGATCTTTCCTGTTGGAAACAAAAGAAAAAAATTTCTTCTTCTAGTGGACTTAAATTATAAAGTCTTGGTTCCAGCTTCACTTTTGGCAGATCTCTAATACGCAAGCATATTTACAAGGTCTAAAATAGTAGTCATGTTGCTTATCTTTAAGAATGTGAGCATACTAACATATATAGTCATAATTATGTGGATTCTGTTGTGTGTAAAGAAAGAGAATGCCTACTGCAAATGAAAAACACCTTGATCTTTTTCTTAGTTATGCTCAAATAATACTCAGAATCCTTCAGGTTGGCAGGTTTACATACAACATGATTTGTATACAAAATGACCTTTGTCTTTGTCTTAATTTTTTTTTCTAATGAGTTAGAGATGGGTGTAAGTTTAGTTCCCTTTAGGACATATTCGTCCTCTTTTTTTTTTTTTTTTTTTTTTTTGAGACGGGGTCTCGCTTTGTAGCCCAGGCTGGAGTACTGTGACCTGATCTCGGCTCACTGCAAGCTCAGCCTCCCGGCTTCACACCATTCTCCTGCCTCAGCCTCCTGAGTGGCTGGGACTGCAGGCGCCCACCACCACGCCTGGCTAATTTTTTTGTATTTTTAGTAGAGACGGGGTTTCACTGTGTTAGCCAGGATGGTTTCGATCTCCTGGCCTCATGATCCACCCACCTCAGCCTCCCAAAGTGCTGGGATTACAGGCATGAGCCACTGTGCCCGGCCATTAGTCCTCCTCTTAATGATCAAATCAGCCTACTTATATTCATACTCAGGATGTGGGCATCTACATTAAGAGTAAGTTTTATTTCTTAAAAGCCACACCAAAATCATAGTCAAAAACTAAGAATGTATCAAAAGACATATGCCCCCCCAAATACATTAAAGAATATTTGAGTCCTAGTATATCTCTTTTGAAACTACTGCTCTAAATGTAATAGCTGACTCTAATGATACTTCCTGTGGATACAAAAGGATTTTTGTCAAAGAACATTATTCTAATCATTGCATTTTGAACAAATGGAAAACAGGCAGGCAGTGTTATATGAAATCAAGTTCTCATTCATATTGAGGACAATCACCTACGTTCTTAGTGATAAGAGTCATAAATGTGCAAATTCAGATAGTCAGGTACCCTGCGATGCCAAATTAAACAAGATACCACCTCCTCAGGGTAATATCCCTACCCTGTTTGAGCATTAGGCATTGGCTGGAACACTTCCATTTGTCAGTTCAAAAAATACAGCAGTAAAATGAATTTTAAACAAATTAAATTATACTGAGTGATGGAAGGGTGATGAAAGCCAAGAGCAGAGTGATTCTATTTCCACATTTAAATCACAACATACAACAGCTGGTCCATGACTAAATACTTCTCACCTATAAGGACGACAGGCAAATGGAGAAAACGTCAGCTGGTAATTCCCATTTCCCACTTATTGCAGCAGAGCATGATTTAAAAGATGTGCTCTGGGAAGTGTGCATAGATGTAACTGAAACAAAAAAAGAAAATGGGTGTGTTTGGTGTTTAAACAAAATTAAATGCAATTCTTCTCTAAAGGAACTTTTTAATTTATCTTGAATATAAAAATACACATTACGTCTCTATAAAGAGAAGATGCAAAATGATTTATAACTACTTGATCACAGAGCTTTCTCTTTGAGAAAAATTTACATTTTGGAAATTTTGGAAATGGAAACATTGGAATGAAATTGTTGGAATGAAAATGTTTACAGCTGTGAGGCTGTAAATTAAGAATAAAAGTTCAAGATCTTCTTCCTGCCTAAGAAACTGATTTACCAAATTGTCACAAAAAAGCCTCAGATTTCTCTTTATGTTAACTCCGGATCTTAAAATTTTCCCTCTTTTTTCAAAATAAAAAAGGAAAGATTAATAAAACAGTCCCGATAGAATCACTAAGAGAGTTCTTATTCTTAGAGAGTATCATTTTGTTACAGGTAGTTAGGCATGAGCAGGGCAGAAGAGGGCTGTTCCCCCACCCACTAGAAATATTGGGTGATGGTTCGGCAATTATCGCATTGCCTCTCTAAAAATGATAATTGAGAAGCCAGGGAGAGGCAATCTCCTGATGGTCCATACCTGTTAACGTTAAAAGTGTTAATTGAAAGCGGACCCCAGGGAGACGCAGCTTCTTGGGCATGCATGTTAAGAGACAAAATGGCGAAGTATGACATTTCGGGGCACATTCCACTGGAAAAAGGAAAAAAGGCTCAGATGGTCATGTGTGTCACTCTCTAAACACACCGTGCATGATCAATTCCAAAAGGTAAGGGAAGCACTGCGCATGCGGAAGTCCCACCCTAGGGGAAGTATCATGGAAAAGAGGCCATCCTGTAAAGTCCTGGGATCAAGGTGAAAGGGGCTCTTTTCTCTCTTTGACCTTCAGGTGCCCAGTTGGATCTCTTCCAAAGGTTCTGTCCTTTCTTTCCTGTTCTATAGACTTTTTAGAAAACTTCCACTCCTGTTCTGAAACTTGCCTCTATCTCTTTTTCTGCTTTATTCCCCTTAGTCGAATTCTTGCTTCTGAGGAGGCAAGAAGTGAAGTTGCCATGGACCCATACGAATAGGCAACCATTAACTAGGGGTAACTTGAATCTCAGCCACTGGTAACAGTTTCAAATTTATACTCTATGTTTTTCCAATTTTAGATTGCTGGTAGTGCATAAGCAAGTGCTCTTAATGGGTCATTCTTCAATTTCCTTCATTATTTGGAGTGGATTATGAATAATCACTTCATTCAAGGAGGATTGGACACATACCACAATGAGTACCATTAACCTCTGCAATATGAATCTCATTTTTAGCTCAAAATAAACACTTGGCCCATTTCAATTATGACAGCAAATTGCTCATGAAGTTAAAGTTAACACTGTTCCAAACTACTCTTTTATTTTTAAATTATTGCTGCTACCAATTGACAAAATTTATGTGAATTACAACTAGTGAATAACTAAGTAATAGAAACAATATTTATCAAAGTCTTTGGCTACTGCTAGTTTCAGTTTGCATCATTCTTTGAAACTTAGTACATTGTGCTTATACTGACCAGTCACTTAATCAGTAAGATGTGAGTGAAACCTTAAACAGGATGACTGCACCTGCCTCAGCTCCCAGGAATTGTTATATTTTAACAAGCAAGCAGTTAAGTATATTTTACTTAAAATCAGTTTTGATAACTAAAGAGCCCAACCTAACCAAATACCTATAAAGTTAAACTACTGAATATGTGTTACAAGAGATAACAAATAATCAAGCACTTTGAGGAAATGTATCCCAAGTTTGTAGAAAATTGCCCTTATTTGCATTGGCCTTTTCCAGCATACTACACATAGGAATTAGCAAGACCAAGTAACATTTGTAAGAACACCAAGTTCCTCTTACGGACAGAATGAATGTGCTTGGCATATACACCACTGCATGAAGATATACAAATTAAACACACACACAACTAGGACCATCCGATTTAACTTGAATCAAAAAGAAAAGACATAGAACTGATTAAAAAGTGACAGATTGTATTAATCCAGTTTTAAATGAATGAAAAATAACTGGAAAAATTAATATTTACACTATTTTGTTTACTTCTCTGATCATCCTTTGTAGATAAAATATATTAAAAGAGTTTCTAATTGAGACTGTTCTGATTAGTTGATTGCCAAGTTTTCAACTTACTACGCCTTGTACATAAACAAAATAGCCAATCAGTCTCAGGAATGATGGCTTCAAATAGATTTGTGGGATCGATTTGAGAGAAATTTAAATTCCACACACAAGGGCCTGTTGGTAGAGAAATTTACCCTTTGCCAAATATTCATGTGCATCTCCTCACTTTCTGCCTTTGAGAGGTTAGGCATTGTGTGTGGTAAGTTCTGGTTTATGAATTATGATATAAAAGTGGCATTGGTCTTGTTTTACTAAAACATTTAGGAGAAGCTCTCTAAGCAGCCTTGTTACCTCATGTCGAGATGTCCAAGCATCTATCTACCTGGGTTTTGGGTGGCAAAGCCCTCATATTTGTGTAATATGAGCAAAAAATAAACTTTTATTTTGATAAACCATTGAGATTTGGGAGTTACTTTGGCATGGTCTAGTCTACCTCAACTAAAGTATGGCCTGTATACCTTTGCCTAAAGTTCTCTAGTGCACAAAGAAAGAAGGCAAGAGGACCCAACTTACAAACTAATTGTTTTCAATTTCACTTGATTTATTGAGTGACAAGTATCTGCCAGGCCCTGTGATAGATGCCATTGATGTAAACATCCAAGAAATAGCCTCTAATGCCCAAGATCTCATAGGCTAGGGTAGAAGCCAAAGACTTAAACAGACCAGATATATCAAGATCAGTAGAGGTATGCACCAGATGCTATGAGAAGAAAGTCACCTAACCCAAATGAAACTAATCAGGAAATATATCCTGGTGGAGGTATGTATTAGTCAGTATTCTCTAGAGGGACAGAATTAATTTTATATATATATGAATTTTATATATATATTCATATATATAATTCATATATATAATTCATATATATATTCATATATATTCATATATATTATTCATATATATTCATATATATATTCATATATTATTCATTCATATATATTATTCATTCATATATAATATATATACTTATATATAATATAAAATATATACATAGGAGTTTATTATTAACTTACACAATCACAAGGTGCCACAATAGGCTGTCTGCAAGCTTGTGGAGCAAGAAGAGCCCTGTTTCAAAACTGAAGAACTTAGAGTCCAATGTTTGAAGGCAGGAAGCGTCCAGTACGGCAGAAAGATGTAGGCTAGGAGGCTAGGCCAGTCTCGCCTTTTCACATTTTTCTGCCTGCTTTATATTTTCTATCAGCTGATTAGACGGTGCCCACCAGATTAAGGGTGGGTCTGCCTTCCCCAGGCCATGGACTCAAATGTTAATCTCCTTTGGCAACACCCTCACAGACACACCCAGGATCAATACTTTGTATCCTTCAATCCAATCAAGTTGACACTTGGTATTAACCATCAGAAGTACACCCCTTGTCAACTTGAACCTATACACATCTCATGATGTGTGTATGTATGTGTACATAATCTTCAAATAAAGACAATAATAAGGTCATAATTACACCTAACATAATACAACCATTGTTCATACAACCAGAAACACACCAATCCCCAACCCAAATCCTATCACATAAAGTTAACAGTACTTAAATGCTGATATGAAGTCAATAAATCTGATGTCACATAACAGAAAAGGAAATAAAATGAAGATATTTTCTTAGTACAAGTGTATACATGCACAAACATTTTTTAACAAAAGAAGTAGCAAATTCTCATGACAGCTACAATCCTCATTTCTGCAGCTGGTCATGTGGTTGTAGCTGGTATTGATAACTACCTTCTTCTACTACCCATTCTGTATTCCACTGCCTTCAGCAAGCACCTCAGCAGGTCGTGATTTTTTTTTTGTCCTGGTGGAGTGACCCAAACCTTCATTCCTGAGGGGTCTGGGCCATTTGTAGTCCTGTATTTGGCTGTTGTAGTTTCCTATTGACCTTAATCACAGGTCATGGTGATACTAAAAGAGGCCATAATGGATCTCCTGTATTCTGTGCATACTCTTCCTTACCTCCACTGTGGAGTAGTAGACTGATTCATCTTGATAGTCCGTGCCAGTCACCCCAACCAACACTGTAACTCCCTTCTTAGCCTGTTGACTTAAAGGTAGGAGGAGCCCAAGGTGTCCAGGGACAATCTTAACTTCCAGTTTAATGGAATCATTGTTGTGTCACCTGGTGGCCGCGTTCCTCACTCTGGACCTAAGACTTCTAGGCCAGCAGAACATAATGTTCCAGGAACAGGAAGCAAAAATTTTGCTAGTGGATCACTAGGGGTGATGGTGAGTGGTGCCACTTCCACTCTCACCCCTTAAATCCCGCACACATGATTCCTGGCTATGGGAGAAACAGTACCATATATTGGATGCTGATTCAGAGAATACATGGCCTTCTGGAGAACTTTGCCCCAGCCCTGCAAAGTATTGTCACCTAATTGGCATTGTAATTGTGACTTAAAAAGGCCATTCTACTGTTCTATCAATCCAGCTGCTTCAGGATGATGGGGAACATGGTAAAACCAGTGAATTCCATGAGCATGAGCCCACTGCTCCACTTCTTTAGCCGTAAAGTGAGTGCCTTGGTCAGAGACAATGCTATGTGGAATACCATGACAGTGGATAAGGCATTCCATGAATCCATGGATGATAGTCTTGGCAGAAGCATTGTGTGCAGCATAGGCAAACCCACATCTGGAGAAAGTGTCTATTCCAGTGAGGACAAACCTCTGCCCTTTCCATGATGAAAGAAGTCCAGTATAATCAACCTGCCACCAGGTAGATTGCTGATCACCCTGAGGAATGGCGCCATATAGAGAGTTCAGCGTTGGTCTCTGCTGCTGGGAAATTGGTCACTCAGCAGTGGCCGTAGCCAGGTCAGCCTTGGTGAATGGAAGTCCGTGTTGCTGAGCCCATGCATAACCTCCATCCCTGTCACCATGGCCACTTTGTTCATAGGCCCATTGGGTGATGACAGAAGTGGCTGGGGAAAGAGGCTGAGTGGTGCCTGCAGAATGGGTCATCCTATCCACTTGATTATTAAAATCTGCCTCTGCTGAGGTCACTGTTGATGAGCACTCATATGGGATACAAATATCTTCACAGTTTTTGACCATTCAGAGAGGTCCATCCACATGCCTCTTCCCCAAATTTCTTTGTCACCAATTTTCCAATCATGCTTCTTCCAAGTCCCCGACCATCCAGCCAAACCATTGGCTACAGCCCATGTATCAGTATATAATCATACATCTGGTCATTTCTCCTTCCATGTGAAGTGCATAACCAGGTGCACTGCTCAAAGTTCTGCCCACTGGGAAGATTTCCTTTCACCGCTGTCCTTCAGGGATGTCCTAGAAAGGGGATATAGTGATGCATCTGTCCACTTACAGGTGGTGCCTGCATATCATGCAGAACCATCTGTGAATCAGGCCCTAGTCTTCTCTTCCTCTGCCAACTGATCATAGGAACCTCCCCATGATGCCATCAGTGCAGGCTGGGGGACAGAAGGCAGAATGGCAGGAGTGGAGACCATGGGCATTTGAGCCACTTCCTCATGTAATTTCCTTTTCATTCAGGACCTGCTCAAGCCCGATCATGTATATGCCAACTCCATTTGATGATGCAATGCTGCTATGCACAGCCCACTTTCTGGCTAGGTGGGTCAGAAAGCACCCTGTTCATGATAAGCAGTTCAGGTTGCATGATGGCTTGATGATCCATAGTCAAATATTCAGTTTCCACCAAAGCCCAGTTATAGGCCAAGAGCTGTGTCAAAAGGAGACTAGCTATCTGAAGAAGATGGCAGGGCCTTGCTCCAAAATTCTAGAGGCCTCCACTGTGATTCACCTATGGGGGCCTGTCAAAGGCTTCAAACAGCATCCCTATCTGGCACTAACACCTCAAGCACCATTGGATCTGCTGGGTCATATGGCCAAAGTGCCAGAGCAGCTTGCACAGCAGCCTGGACCTGTTGCAAAGCCTTCTCATGTTCATATGAGGAATGTGTTGCCTCCAAAATCCAAGTAGGCCCACTAGGCATTGTGACTCTTTCCTGGTTGTAGGAGGGTCCAAATGCAGCAACTCATCCTTCATCTTAGAAGGAATATCTCAACAGGCCTCACACCACTGGACTCCTAGAAATTTTACTTAGGTAGAAGGTCCCTGAATTTTAGTCAGATGTATTTTCCATCTTCTGGCACATAAATGTCTCACCAATAAGTCCAGTGTGTTTGCTACTTCTTGTTCACTGGATCCAATCAGTATAATGTCATCAATGTAGATCGGTGTGATATATTGTGGAAGCAAAAAGTGATCAAAGTCTCTCTGAATAAAATTATGACAGGAAGCAAGAGAGTGGATATACCCCTGAGGTAGGATAGTAAAGGTATATTGCTCACCTTGCCAGCTGAAGGCAAATTGCTTCTGGTGGGCTTTATGGACAAGAATAGAGAAAGAGACATTTACCAAGTCAAATGGTTGCATACCAGGTACCAAGAGATGTGTTAATCTGCTCAAGCAATGAAACCACATTTGGTACAGCAGCTGCAATTGGAGTCACCACTTGGCTAAGCTAGCGATAATCCACTGTCATTCTCCAAGATCCACTGTCTTCTGCACAGGCCAAATGGGAGATTTGAATGGGGATGTGGTGGGAATCACCACTCCTATGTCTTTCAAATCCTTGATAGTGGCACTAATTTCTGTAATCCCTCCGGGAATGTGATATTGTTTTTGATTTACTATTTTTCTAGGTAGAGGCAGCTCTTACAGCTTCCATTTGGCCTTTTCCATCATAATTGCCCTCACCCTACCAGTCAGGGAGCCAATGTGGGGGTTCTGCCAGCTGCTAAGTATGTCTATGCCATTTATGCATTCTGGCACTGGGGAAATGACCACAGGATGAATCCAGGGATCCACTGGACCCACTGTCAGTCAGACCTGAACTAAAACTCCATTAATTACCTGACCTCCATAAGCCCCTACTTCAACCGGAGGGCCACAATGATGTTTTGGGTCCCCTAGAATCAACGTCAGCTCAGAGCCAATGTCCAGTAGTCTCCAATATGTCTAATCATCCCTGTCCCCAGTGCACAGTTACCCTGGTAAAAGGCCAGAGGTCTCCTTGGAGACATATATGTATATATACTTCATATATACATATAAAGTATATATGAAGTATATATATATGTATATATACTTTATATATAACATAATATATGTATTTATATATTATATATAATATAATATAGTATATATAATATATAATATGTAATATATATAATATAATATAGTATATATAATATATAATATGTAATATATATGTATTATATATAATATTATATATTATATAATAATGTAATATATTATATTATTATATTATATACATTATAATATTATATATTATATTATATATTATATAATAATATAATATATATTATATATGTATATATACTTTATACATATATATTTTAATATATACTTTATATATATTATATATAATATATATAAAATATATTATATGTGTGTATGTGTGTGTGTGTGTGTATATATATATATATATATACATATAGTATTAATTTACATGATCACAAAGTCCCAAAATAGACTCTCTGCAAGTTTGAGAAGCAAGGAGAGGCAGTCTGAGTCTCAGAACTGAAGAACTTGAAGTCTGATGTTCAAGAACAGGAAGCGTCCAGCATGGGAGAAAGATATAGTCTGGGAGCCTAGGCCAGTCTCACCTCTTCATGTTTTTCTGCCTGTTTTATATTCACTGATAGCTGATTAGATGTTGTCCATGAGATTAAGGGTGTGTCTGTCTTGCCTAGCCTACTGACTCAAATGTTAATCTCCTTTGGCAAAACCCTCACAGACACACCCAGGATCAGTACTTTGTATCCTTCAATCCAATCATGTTGACACTCAGCATTAACCATCACAACGTAGTGCCCAATCTGAGCATTGAAGGAGGAGAAGGTGCTAGCCAGGTTGAGAATATATAAATAAGAACACTGTCCGTATTGAGAAACAAAGGTGAGCCTAGGAATATGGCAAAGGTTGCAGCAGAAAGCCTTGAGCATCATGGTGAGAAGATAGACACTTATTCTGACTGCAATGAATTATTTTAGGCCAAAAGAATCAAATAAATGTTTTGGGATATATGTAGTTATTCTTTGAACAAAAAATTTCAGTATTTCACAAAGTAGGGGTTAAAATCACTGGGGGAGCATCTCAAAAGATCAGAAACAAAGAGATTCCCAAACCTCACCCAAAATGAACTGAATCACAATCAAACTGGCGGATGGAGCCCAGAAATATATGTTTTAAATATGTACTTCAAATTTTATTTATACATAGTAAAGTACTAGTACTCTGAGACTAGAAGCCTGGAGTCCAGCCCAGAGTTAAGAAAAATTAGGCCCTAAGGAGGACAGGGAGGATGGAGGGAAGGAGTAATATTCTGAGGAGACTTGGAGGCAATGTTTTCTTGTTCAGGGACCAGACTGCTGGTGGGGCTGTTTCGGTGCTATGCTGGTGAACAGCGAGGAGGAATGTTTTGAAGGAAGAAGTTGAGAATTGTTTGAATATTTGAGGTTTGAGTGAAAGACATTTAAGGCCATTTATCAATATGTGACTGAATTAGTCCTGTCTCATGCTGGTAATAAAGACATACCCCAAACTGGGCAATTTATAAAGGAAAGAGGTTTAATTGGCTCACAATTCCACAGGGCTGAGGAGGCCTCAGGAAACTTACAATCATGGGAGAAGGGGAAACAAACACATCTTTCTTCACATGGGGGCAGCAAGAAGTGCTTAGCAAAAGGGGGAAAAGCCCCTTAGAAAACCATCAGATTTCGTGAGAACTCACTCACTATCATGAGAACAGCATGAGGGTAACCACCCCATAAATTACTTCCCGGGCCCCTCCCACGATAAGTGGGGATCATGGGTACTATAATTTAAGATGAGATTTGGGTGGGGAAGCAGCCAAACCATATCAGTGACAGTCTTACTTTTTTGGAAATCATATTACACATTATAACAAAAGTCTAAAATGCACTCACTGTATAATAATCAGTTTGTGGCTATTGAAATAATGGACATCATTACCATATATTGTTTGGATTTTGAAGTTTTCTTTTTTGTACTTTTGTGACATGTTTTTCCAGTCTCAAAGCTTCCCAAAGTTCGGGAAAAGCTAGGAGTCTCTAGCCCTGTGCCTAATGGGCAAAGGTATGTTGCGCGTTCAAGTGAAGATGTAGAGCATAAGTGGAATATGTGGTGGAGATTGGAGAGCACAGAGATGGTGATATGGATTGGAAGAGGTTGACACTTCTCAGAAAAGCAGTGCTCTCATGTTTGTGGCTATCAAATCTCTGCATAGTCAAATGTACACTAAATTTATATGGCACTAGACCTTTCTCTCTAATTGGTCAATATTCTTTCACATGAATTAATCTAAATTATGAAATTAATGTTTTTATATAGGGAGAGACTCATAAGCACATTAAAAGTTCAATCTCTCATTACATTAATTTTCCAATTCTGTTGGAAAATAGTGGAACCAGAGTACAAATGCAGCTTTCCTGAAATTGTCATTCATACTTCTGCCTGCTGCATTATATTCTCTGTAGGTATATTTTAATCATATGTATGCACAATTAATTTCAGTAGCTACTTTTCATGAACATATTATTCAAGCTTTGCACATATAAAGTCATAATGTATAAAAAATTTAAGTAAGTGATTTTTGGCAAATTAACCAAGTTTTTCATATTCTTAATCAAATTTTGAATAAATGAGATAATTCTTTAAATCATTTTTCTACATTTTTTATTATAGCTAAGCCTAAATTGGTAACTCTGGGAGTACAATTTAATGAAGACATTCTGCCCTGCAATTTAAATCTTAATCTCAAAGGGTGATTCTGTGAGCTCAGATAACCACTATCTAGATATCACGATGTTTTCTATGACATTTCTAGCTTGATTTGTAACAACCAATGAGATTGCTTTAGTGCTAGTTTCTGAAAGCAGGACAGTTCAATTCCTATCTGACAGAGCCATATGATACTTTTTCTTCAGCACTCAAAATGCTTTATTAACCTTTATTAATGTTCACAATCTCCAAGTACTTGCTGGAGTGGTTGTTTTATTATTCCCTGAGCACCAAGGAGTAAACTGAAATACTCACAGTCTGATTCCACCGATAGAAGGAGTAAATTCTTCATGGAAGCAAAATGTTAACTATCTCAGCTCATTGCTTCCTTGCAGCAGCTGACATATCAGGACGAATGGAAAGACACAGGTGTTGAGGCCAAGAGGCAGGCTTCTGGTCTCTGTACTCCTATTGTGTGGCCTGGTTTTCTTGGATCCAACCTCTTAGAACCTTGCAATAGATTTGTAACTACCTGGGTAGAGAGGGGAAAATATACTAGCTTTTCATTCATTTTAATGTATATGTGTGAAAACTTTTCTGTCTTAGGCAAAAGGTTCATCATTAGGTGGTTAGAGAAATTGTATTGAATATAGATAAATAGAAAGATACTAAGAATCTGTAGAAAAATATTACATGTCCAACCTTGGGCAAAAATAAAAGCCTAACCCTTTATTACTGTGTTAAAAAGCATTTACATATAATATAATTTGGATGTTTGTCCCTTCCAAATCTCATGTTGAATGTAATCCCCAGTGTTAGAGATGGGGCCTGGTAGGAGGTGTTTGGATCATGGGGGAGGATTCCTCATGAATGGCTTGGGCCATCCCTTTGGTGATGAATGAGCTGTCACTCATTCATCTGGTTGTTTAAGAGAGTGTGGTATTTTCCCTCTTATTCTCTGGGTACCTTATTTCTCTGGGAGGAGTGATGCACCCCCTCCCTCTTCATCTTCTGCTGTGATTGTAAAGTTCCTGAGGCCTCACCAGAAGCAGATGTTGGAGCCATGCTAGTACAGCCTGCAGAACCATGAACCAATTTAACTCCTTTTCTTTATAAATTACCCAGCCTCAAGTTTTTCTTTATAGCAATGGACAAATGGCCTAACACAGAAAATTGATAATGAGGAGTGGAGTATTGCTATAAAGATACCTGAAAATGTGGAATAAGCTTTGGAACTGGGTAATGGTTAGAGGTTGGAAGAGTTTGGAGGGCTCAGAAGAAGACAAGAAGATGAGAGAAAGTTTGGAACTTCTTAGAGATTGGTTAAGTGATTGTGACCAAAATGCTGATAGAAATGTGGACAGTGAAGTCCAGGCTGATGATGATTCAGATGAAAATGAAAAAGTTATTGGGAAGTGGAGTAATGGTCACCTGTGTTGCAACCTACCAAGGAGCTTGGCCACATTATGTTCACATCCTAGGAAGTCTATGGAAGGCCAAACTTAAGAGCAATGACTCAGTGGTGTCCAAGGGAGAGAACACAGTCATGGGTTCTTTGTTTCTGTTTATAGTTGGGCCAGTAAAGTCCCTTCCTCATCTCTATTTACCACTTATGACTAGAGACAGTAACTTAAAACCATGGCTTCACGCTGCTGAAAGCCTAAAACTAAACAAAACAGAATAACAACAAAATAAGGCACATTGGAAAAGCTTGATAGGGTATCTGGTGGAAGAAATTTCTAAGCAGGAAAGCATTTAAAATGTGATCTGGCTTATGCCTGTAATCCCAGCAATTTGGGAGGCTGAGGAGGGTGGATCACCTGAGGTTAGGAGTTTGAGACCAGCCTGACCAACATGGTGAAACCCCATCTCTACTAAAAATACAAAAAATTAGCTGGGTGTGGTAGCAGGCACCTGTAATCCCAACTACTTGGGGGGCTGGGGCAGGAGAATCGCTTGAATCTGGGAGGCAGAGGTTGCAGTGAGCCAAGATCGCGCCATTACACTCCAGCCTGGGTGACAAGAATGAGACTTCATCTCAAAAAAAAAAAAGATGTGACCTAGCTGCTTCTAACAGCCTATGAACAGATACAGAAGCAAAGAAGTGACTTAAAGTTGGAACTCATGTTTAAAAGAGAAGAACATACAAATCTGGAAAATTTACAACCTAACCATGTGGCAGAAAACAAACAAAAAAACATTTTTAGGACACTAATATAAGCAGGCTTCAAGTAACCTCTTACTAGAGGGATTTGGATGGCTAAAAGGGAGCCAAGTGCTAATATCTGAGACAATGGGAAAAAGGTTTAGAAGGCATTTCAGAAATTTTCTAAGCTGCCTCTCCCATCACAGGCCCAGAAGCCTAGGAGAAAAGAATGTTTTCAGGGGCCAGGCACAAGGCACCGCTGCCACGCTCCACTTCAGGACACTGCTACTTGCATCCTGGCTGCTCTGGCTCCAGCCTTGGCTCAAAGGGGCCCAGATACAGTTCAGCCTGCTGCTCCAGAGTGCTCAAGTGATAAGCCTTGGTGGCTTATACATGGCATTAAACCTACAGGTGCTCAGAATACAAGAGTGAAGGAGACTTGACAGCCTTCACCTAAATTTCAGATGTTGTATGATGTATTTCAGAAGCCTGCTGCAGGGTGGAGCCCCCACAGACAGCCTATACTAGAGAAATGCTGAGGGCAATTGTGGGGTTGGAGCCTACACAAAGAATCCCTGCTAGAGCACTACCTACTTGAGCTGTGGGAATAGGACTGCCACCCTCCAGACACTAGAATATTAGAGCCACCAGCAGCTTGCATCCTGAGCCTGAAAAAGCCATAGGCACTCAATTCCAACCTGTGAAAGCAGCCATGGTGACCTTACAAAGTCACAGAGGCAGAGCTGCCCAATGCTTTGGGAGCCCGTCCCTGGCACTAGTGTGCCCTGGATGCTAGACATGAAGTTTTAAAATATTATTTTGTAGCTTTAAGATTTAATCGCTGCCCTGCTGGTTTTCAGACTTGCAAAGGGCCTGTAACCCCTTCATTTTGGCTGATTTCTCCCTTTTGGAATAGGAATTTTTACCCAGTTCCTATACCACCATTGTATCTTGGAAGTAAATAACTCATTGTTGATTTTATAGGCTCATAGGCAGAAGGAGATGAGTCTCAGATGATATTTTAGGCTTTGGACTTTTGATTGATTTGATGCTGGAATGAATTAAGACTTTGGGGGACTATTGGGAAGGGATGATTGTATTTTGTAGTGTGAGAAGGACATGAGGTTTAACGGGCCAGGGTTGAAATGATATAGTTTGCATGTTTTCCTTCTTCAAATCTCATGTTGAAATGTGATCCCCAGTGTTGGAAGTGGGGCCTGATTGGGGGGCGTTTGGATCATGGATGTGGATTCCTCATGAATGGCCTAGCATCATCCCCTTGGCGATAAGTGACTTCTCGCTCTGGTAGTTCACATGAGATCAAGTTGTTTGAAACAGCATGAAACCTACCCCCCATTCTTGCTCTCTCTCTTGCCATATCATGTGCTGGCTCCCCCTTCACCTTCTGCCACAATTATAATCTTCCTGAGACCCTCACTGGAAGCAGATACCAGCACTATGCTTCATGTAGAGCCTGCAGAGCCATGAGGCAAAAGAAAAATTATTTTATTTATGAATTACCCAATTTCAGGTATTTCTTTACAGTAATGCGAAAAACAGCCTGATACAAAATATGTATGGAAAATATAGTGGAGAAAAATCAATGGAATTCAATGCTATCTAGATATAGCATTAAAAAGAAAATATAAGGTAGATTGGACTAGGCATGTGTGTGTTGAATGGAATAAGGAAATCTGCTGTAGAGAGAATAGGCTAGAAAAAAAAGAGGGTTCAGGCTAAAAACAAAACTATGTTTTTCGATAGAATAAGTAAGTTATGTTGCAAGTGACTTTTCATAGCTTGTTTTTTATTTTCTTCAAAAACAAACCATGATTGTATTAGGTTTTACTCGATTTGCTCTTAGCCTATTTAGATTTCTGCTGGTTTATTGGTTTAGTCAATGAGCCTATAAGTAATGGTTAATTTTAGTGATAAACAGCATGTTTGATTTAGGAGAACAAAGGCCAAACAGCTAAATAGAGTTCTTTTGATTCACTGATGAGAGGGGAAACATACTATCTTGGTTCTTTCCATGGAAAAGAAATGATTTGTGTTCATTTAGATCCAAGGGGAGAGGAAGTGCAAGTGTTTTAAATTGCCAAGATAAAATTATTCTGAACTTGGATAAAACCCAATGAAAAACTGAACAAGAAAAGGGTAATGGAGGAGTGTTTTGGGGCCATGCCAGGATGTTAAAAATGCAGGGACATTCAGATTACATGGTACAAAAGTTTATCTATGGAGATCTCTCCGTTTTTGTGCTCTAGTTAATAATTTAGAAGAGTGAGTCTCAGTCACGTTTCAGATTCCTTGAAGATCATTGGGCAAAAAAGGTCAATTGCATTTCCACTCAGAAAAACCACTGCTGACTTAGAAAGTAAAATGACTGTAACTATTCTTCAGGAAAACTTATGTAGCAGGACACGCATTTAGGTATTGTAAGCATAAAGAAAAGAGAGGCCTGATTTGAGAGACCATTTCTTTAGTCTGACTATTAATGATTAGACCTAAATATTCTGATGGTCTTGCACGTTCATTTTCAAAATCATTTCTTCTGTCTTTTGATAGAAAATTCAGAATCTCCAAGTAAAGTAGATATGCAGGTTACTTGATGTCAAATGCCACTTCAATTTTCTGGGCCTTCACACTTTTCATTCTCATTCTGTTATATTATACAGTTGACCCCTGAGAAACATGGATTTGAACTTCACTAGTCCAATTATAGGTACATTTTTTGGTAAATATATTGAAAAGTTTTCTGAAGATTTGTGACAATTTACAGAAATTTGCAGATGAACCATGTAGCCTAGAAATACTGGAAAAAATAAGAAAAAGTTAGGTGTGTCATGAATGCATAAAATATATGTAGATACTAGTCTATTTTATTATTTACTACCATAAAATATACACAAATCTTTTATAAAAACTTAAAACTTACCAAAACACACATAAACACTTACAGGCCACATATGGTACCATTGCACTCTAGAGAAATTTAAACAAATGCAAAGATGCAGTATTAAATCATAACTGCCTAAAATTAACTATAGTATATACTGTACTACTGTAATAATTTTTTATTCACCTCTTGTTGCTATTGCAGTGATCTCAAGAGTTGCAAGTATTTGCTTAAAACACTGTGTGGCACCAGTCATCTCCTTGCGAGCAGTTTGTCTCTCCAGTAAATTGCATATTGCAGCAAAAGTGATCTCTCTCAGTTCTTGTATATTTTTATTGTGTTTAGTATAACACCCTTAAACCTTGAGTAACATTATGGTACCCATATGAAGTGCCACTAGTGATGCTGAAAATGCTCCCAAGAAGCAAAGTAGTGACATAAAAAACAGTTTAACTGTTTGATGTGTACCATAGATTGACATCTGTAGCAGTGGATGCCCACCATTTCAAGATAAATAAATCCAGCATAAGAACCATTATTTAAAAAGAAAAGAACATTTGTGAAACTTTCACTGCAGCTACACCAGCAGGCATGAAACCTTGCAGTTTTTGTAAAATACAGTTTCCTTTAATTTCATATTGAAAACACAGCTTTTATGTGGGTGCAGAATTGCTGTAGGAAAAGCATACCCACAGACTCTAATACAATTTAAGAAAAAGTGAAGTCATTATATAACAACTCAAGGCAAAAACAATGTGAAGGATCTAAAGCTGGAGAATTTAATACTAGCAAAGGATGGTCTGATAATTTTAGAAAGAGATGTGGTTTTAAAATGTCAACATAGGAGGAGAAGCACCTTCTGCTAACCAAGAGACAGCAGATGAGTTCTCAGATGCCATTAGGAAAATAATTGAGGAGAAAGATTATCTGCCTCAACAGGTTTTTATTACACACAAAAGTACCCTATTCTGGGAAAAAAAAAAAAAAACACAACAAACTTCCACAAAGGACATTTATTAAGATAAGAATTGAACAACAGGATTTAAGGCAGAAAGGGATAGGCTAACTATACTGTCTTGTGCAAATGCAGTTGTGTTTATGACCAGGACTGCCCTTATCTATAATGCTGCCAAACCCTGAGCTTCAAAAGGAAAAGATAAACACCAACATCCAGTCTTTTAGTTTTCAAAAAAAAAAAAAAAAAAAAGCCTGGAAAATAAGAATCCTTTTCTGGATTGGTTCCATCAATGCTTTGTCCCTGAAGTCAGGAACTACCTTGCCTGTAAGGAACTGCTTTTTACTGGACAATGCCCCCAGCTACCAAAAACTCTATGAGTTTAACACCAAAGGTGTTAAAGTGGTCTACTTGCCCCCAAACACACCATTTCTAATTCAACCTCTAAATAAGGAGTCAGAAGGATCATTAAGGCTCATTACACACAGTATTCTATGGAAAGAGGTGTCAAGGCTGTGGCAGAGAATCCTAATAGAACATCATGAAAGTCTGGAAGAATTACACCATTGAGGATGA
Source organism: Homo sapiens (assembly GCF_000001405.40). Lineage (NCBI taxonomy): Eukaryota > Metazoa > Chordata > Mammalia > Primates > Hominidae > Homo > Homo sapiens. The sequence goes on from NC_000005.10 coordinate 39,985,318, forward strand.
CATTGTTATGGAAAAAGCCACAAAAGCCATCAAACCAGAAACAATAAATTCCTGCTGAAGAAACTGTCCAGATGTTGTGCATAACTTCAGAGGATTTATAACAGAGCCAATCAAGGAAATCATGAAAGAAATTGTGGATATGTCAAAAAGGGTAGAAGATGAAGCATTTCAAGATATGCATCTTGGAGAAATTCAAGAGTTAATAGGCACCACACCAGAGGAATTAACAGAAGATGATAAGTTGATGGAGTTCAGTGCTTTCAAACCAGTGCCAGATGGTGAGGAAGGCACAAAAGCAGTACCAAAAAAATAAATTGACAGTAGGGATCTGGGAGAATGGTTCAGGTTATTCAAGACTGCTTTTGGCTTCTCTTATTACATGCACCCTTCTATGTATGATACAGGTACTGAAATGATGGAAGAAGGATTGATATTAACATAGAAACATTTTTTTAATGAAAAAGCAAAAAAAATCAGGCAGAAATTATGTATTTCCATAAAGGTACACCAAGTATGCCTGCCTCTCCTGCTCCCTCTTCCACCTCCTCCACCTCTTTAGCTTCTGCCATCTCTGAAACAACACCAATCGCTCCTCTTTCTCTGCCTCCTCAGACTCCACTCAACATTAAGACAATGAGGATGAAGACCTTTATGATGACCCACTTCCATTTAATGAATAGTAAATATATTTTCAGAGACTACAGCAATAGACCAAAGCTTCTCTCATTGTTTGTTTGTTTTTAGTTTCTTAGTTTTGGCCTCAAGTTTACACACAAAAGCACGTCATCATTATGGAAAATTTTAATGATTCCGGCAGTCATTACCCCATTAATTTATTTTGAAGTTGAATCCAATGAAATTCTAATGATCTGACTGTGCTTATAAACCTTGACAATTCTTCCTGCCTCAGGCCCAGTTTAAGCTCTTATTAATTGGTCCTGACTTTCATGTCACTATTTTTGCAGTTCTGATTTTTATGACTTTAATGTTTTTTTTTTCAAGTACAGCTTTTGGGAATTCAGATGCATTTGTATTAAGATACTCTCATATCTTTAAAGAGTCTCATGAACTTGAATATAATTCCAGAATGTCTTTACAAATACATCTCTCTGGAGATATGCCCTACTGTAAACTCTTTCTGGATGGGTCTGTGAAAAGAGTAAAGAAGTAGTTACCAGCTTCTGTAACAGTCACGTTTTTTATGTTTTCCCAACACTTGCTCACAAATTTTGTTATGGCTTTCCCTAGTCCCACTTGTCCAGCAGAGATAGAAAGATACATGCACAATTTTAAAGTTGCAAAACAGCAAAGGCCATGAAAATCACATTCAAATGTTAGTTTTAGAGCTTGTCCTGTCTTAGTGCATAAGTGCTGCAATCAGATACAGTGGGAAGTGATTGGTGGTTACCAACTTAAATGGAATTAGACTTTAAAAATAGTCTGAAATAGAGCCCTGGAATGGATTTTTCAAAAACAAGGACAATCATTTCTAAATTTTATGCCTGACTGTCCGTGCCTCTAGAGGGAGTCATTCACAATTCATTAATTCTTGTCTTGAAGTGGTTTATTTTTATGGCCAAATTTTGAAACTCGTTTTTTAAATGCCTTCAGATTTTTAATGGCATCAAATGTTATTGTAAAGCATAGAGATTCAACTTAGAGTAAAAAGCATTCTAACCACTTCAACAATCATTCTACTATGAAACCACATTTCATGGAATTGAAAATATGCCAAGTGTGAAAAATATTCCATTTGAATGTTTGAAAGATCAACCTTACACTGTAAGAATTAACACCAACTTTATTTCAAAAATGTGGCTACTGTTTTCTTAAGAATATACATACATATAGTGTACTTGGGTTTATTTCCTAGGAATCCAGAGTACTTACAGAGTGAGGTGACACTGTGAAGTGCACAATCACAAAGCATTCTCAGGTTCCTGGTGTCGCTCTCAAATGTTTATTCCCAGATGCAGACAGATGGCCTTCCTTTTCAGACTGGGGCAAAGTAGCAATGCAACAGCTTTGGCCTAACTGGAGCCAAAAATGATAGTGGCAGTGTATGGGTCTGGGTTTAGCAAAGAAAACAAAAAGTACCCCAAGTATTTAAAACAAAATGAATTTAACACAGGGAATTATCTACATACGTTTTGGAAGGACAAGAAGAACAAAGAGAAGTAGGTGAAGTGGAGGGAGCTAAAGTAACAGAAAAGAAGAAGGGGTGGCACTTTTTTGATGCAAAGCAGTTAAAACCACTCGTCTGGAGCCCATTTGCCTGCACCTGCCACTGTGCTGTTGGTGACACTCATAATCAGTCCTGGACTGCTGAAGATGCATCATGTCCGTCAAAGCTGGAACCTACCAGAAAGGGGTGGCCCCTACCCATGTTCTTAAAGTCAAGAATCGCCCCACTCCCAATGCAACCCCCCCAGTACTGAAGTCAGAAGCAGAAAGTTTCGCTCTCCCAGTAACTTCTCCCTCAAGTGCCTCCTATTGGCAGAACCTAACAAGAATCCAGCAGACGTGAGAGGCTGATAAATGCAATTTGTAGACTCCTGTTCCATAAATATAAACAACAGAGTCCAGAAGAGAGAATGGGACTTGAGAATATCCAGACACAAGAAGAAATATGCTGTTCTACCTACAATGGCTTTATTTTCTAGAGTTAGAAGTGACTGTCTGCTCCAGGCATATATTTTCTTTCTTTCTTTCTTTCTTTTTTTGTTTGTTTGCTTTTGAGACGGAGTTTCGCTCTGTCGCCCAGGCTGGAGTGCAGTGGCGCCATCTCGGCTCACTGCAAGCTCTGCCTCCCCGGTTCACGCCATTCTCCTGCCTCAGCCTCCCGAGTAGCTGTGACTACCAGCGCCCGCCACCACGCCCGGCTAATTTTTTGTATTTTTTAGTAGAGACGTGGTTTCACCATTTTAGCCAGGATGGTCTCGATCTCCTGACCTCGTGATCCACCCGTCTCGGCCTCCCAAAGCCCTGAGATTGCAGGTGTGAGCCACCGCACCCAGCCTACACGCATATATTTTCAATGGTTCCTTTTTGGTTCCTGCAGCACATAGGGATAATTTAAGTGGATAATTTGTCCCATCAAATTGACATGATCTAGTAGGTCTACAGAGAAGAGAAAAGTAGTATGGAAAATTTCACCAATTCCATCTTACTACCAACTTGTGTAAAGGAAAGGGAAAGCAGAGGTTAACATTAGGCGGGAAGCATTTGCTGCGGGACATTTCTTTGAAACCTAAAACACTTTATCAAGGAACTTGTCATCTCAGTGGAGGACAATCCAATTGTTATTCTCCTGATTTCTTGCTGGAGTAGAAAAACATCACCCTGGAGAATGGAAATGCAGAAAGGGAAAGAGACCACGTCCATTAGGAAAATGTTCATTTATCCTTGGGAATATTTAGCTCAGGTTGGAAGCACCACATGCCCCAAATAGAGAAACTTGCATAAGGCTCAATGTAACATAAACATGAATGTATTAGGCTAATTTTGAAGTGGCTGCCCTACCTCACATTCTGTTCTTAGAAAATCTGTCCAGACCTAAGCATCTGTTGAGTATCCACTTTTATGCTAGCCATACCTAATTGAATGAATGGCAGGCAGTTGACTGATAGTCAGTACAAATGATGGCTGTGCAGTAACTAATCAGATTCTGTTTCCTGAGAATTATACTAAAAATACAAGAAAGATTGTTGACAGCTGGAGGAGGTACATTTGAGAAAGGACATGTAATGATGGGACCTGAGTCAGTACACTGAGAAAGGAAACTGTAGATAAGCAGAGGAAGATGATCTGCAGGGAGTATAGTAGAAGAGGCAACCCAAGGGTATGCACAGAAGGCATGCAGGAGGGAGGAAAGGAGATAGAAAAGGAAGAAAGAGAAGGATATCTGCCCCATCCATAATGTGTTATGTCTCAGTTCTAGGCACCATAAAGCCTGGCTGAACATCATAATTTGCCGGAGGCATCAGTATTTTTAGAATGTATCCTACCTCCTTTTGAGTTTGCTCAGTTGATTTCCAAAGGAGTCCTAACTAAAGCAACAAAATTACAGAGCCAAGATGTACATTGAAAACAAGATTTTTTTTCCCAATGATTAGTTCCTAAAATGTTCAATTTGGCATCTGAAAATTTATTTTTGTTAAATACTAATAGACACAAAGTAAGATTTGCAAGTCATAGGCAAGGTAAATAGTAAAAATACAATACACACCTGAATATCCACAACCAATTTTCTTTGTTCCCTTCTTTCGCTTGTTCCACTATTCCAAATTTTGTGTTTTATCTTCCTCTTGTTTATTGTTAGAGTTTCACCAAGTACATTTATATCCCTAAACAGAATGCTTCTTGATTTGAAGATTTTTAATATTTATGCAAATGGAATCCTCTTCTATGTAATCTTATAAAATCAGCACTTTAGTTCTACATCATGCCCTGATATTTATTTTTAATGATGCATGTAGGTGTGCCACATTGATTTTCATTACTAGGTAGTATTTCTACTTCTATATTGACCATATTGAAGCAAAAATTTTCTTTATTCTTTCCACTCTTTATGGACTTTGCTTTTGGTTCATTTTTTTTAATATTCAAGCAATGGCTGTGGAATTTCTTACCTCATATGCTAGTGAAAATACACAGTTGTGGGTGAATCCTCATGGATAGAATTTCTGAGTAACAAGAAATGATGCACATCTTCAACTTTGTTTAATAATGAAAAACTATTTTCTAAAGTGGATGAACAATTTTAAAGTTCTTATACTTGCTTCACTGACTCATCAACACTTAAATTTTCTATGTTGCTTAAATTTTTTCCAATGTTTTTTGTGATTCAGTTGTCTTCAGAGCTATAAAACTTTCACTGGAATATCAATCACTATAGGCTTATAACCAAGTGTTTGTCCAGGGGAACTTTGTGAAAATTCTGTCACTAATTGACATTACCTTTCAAATTTTAATATATGTTCTTCTGAGAGTGCTTCGGGATTTTGATATGGTCCCATCATAGAAAATAAAACTTGCAATGTCCCTCAAAAAATTTTGAAAAGATTGTGTAACCTTATTAAGACAAATATTATCATTTATTAAACAACTTTCAAGAATGATTTTTGCACAATGAAATTTTTTACACATAAAAGATGATGAAATCATGATGTTTAATTTGTTTTAAAAGGTTGTTTTCAGCTATCATGTCCAATTATTTAGCCAAACAAGTAAACAGTCAAATTTATTAGATGTCTTTAAAAGGTTGTTTCAACTATCATTTCCAATTATCCAACCAAACAAATAGTCAAATTTATTAGATGTGAAAAATGGATTACAAACTCCACAGATGCTACCATCAGCTGTTCAGATGGCCAAGCAAAGTTTCATATTTTTATTAAGTTAATGTCTTTCAGGGTTATTAAAAGAATTTCTCAAACACACTAACTGGGCCCAAGTAATCTGTGGGCTGACAGATACAATTGCTAATTATGTTTTGAAGCACAACAAACTAAAATATAAATTTGGTAAACCAATTTTGTATTTTAGCTTCTTGAGGAATTATAATATCAAATACACTTACAAGCTCATTAGCATTCATGCTACTGGATGAAGATGAATTAGTTATTTTTGTTGAATAAAGAAACTTACACTTTTCTAAGCTATAACTTTAGGGCATATGCTGAAAAATGCAGGTTGCTAAGGATCTGAACATATGTAGGCAATCTTCCTTGGGTTGTGCTATTATTTTAAGAAATGGATAAAAGAAAAACACACATTCTTTGTAACCCACATTACTGTCATTGTTTCTCAAGTATAAAAGAATAAAATTTGAAGTAAATCAAGGTATTTTAATATAAATCCTAACTTAGTTTAATTCCTATTAAAACTCTTTTAAAACTATAATACATAATCACAGAGCTTTTACCACACTACAAGAGAATAGGTTTTTCATTAAGTCTTTCAATACATCAAGAAGGTAGTGAAAATAAGACTTTTTAGTGAGAATACGCATTAATATCATCTTCATGAAAGTCAGGCTTGCAAAATTTATTAAAGTTTAAACTCTACATGTTTGTCTCAGCTATCCTACTTACAAATTGAAGCCATAAAATAAATAATGAAAGGTGCAAATTACAAAAGTTGATGAAGACATCTCTTCCAAGAAGTTTTCTGTTGTGGGTTGGCATAGATGCTGGCTTTAGCTGGAGACACCATGAGAACAAAGGAGAGGAGATTATTGAGGGTATTTGTTATGGAACTGATTCCACAGAAAAAGAGAAACCGACCCTGCAGAAGAGATGGGGGCGGTGAAGAGGATGAAGGAGTAATTTCTGGAGTAAAGTCCTTGAGTAGATGAAGGGATGAGATTCTGATCCCTGGTAGATCAAGGTCTTTACAGGAAGCAGGTATTCTTTGTCATATATAGAGACAGCACGGAGGCAATATAGTTGCAAGGAGGTTATAGATTTTGTGGAAGGAAGATGAACCATTTGTATCCAATATGTCACAATGACTGAGATATCTGCTGAGATAATCAGCTCATAATGAGCAGAGAGGAGATGTTGAGACAAAGACTGGGAAGTAAAATAATGAATTTTTACTTTTGGTAAGTAAAAATTCCCAAAAGATTGGGAAGTAAAATTATGATTTTACCTCTCTTCCCAAGATTTGGGAAGGGAAATACAAATTCAGTGGGTTTTCTAGGCATTGCTGAATGGTCAACTGAAATTTGAAGTCCATCTGTTTAAAGTGGGGCTGCTCAGAAGGGTAGTAAGATTATGTGCAGAAGTATCAACTACTCAGATGCAAACGTAGAGCTCATGGCTATTAGGTTTAAAAAGGGTTGACAGTTTTTCTGATGAGTATAATAGAGGTAGAATGGCAAGAGAGTGATGATAGCTTGAAAGGAGGAGGTTTGACGCTGTTCCACGAAATCTAATCTGAGAAGGAAGGAATGTGAACATATGAGGTGATGATAATTAGCAAAGAAACAATGCAAGTGCCAGTGGATAGGGGATTTTCATGGGATGGAACAATCATTGCTGTGGGAGTTTCAGTAAGCGAGCTCAGAGATGTAAACCATCTTTTATTTATGTCAATGGAACAAGGACCATATAGCAAATTGTGGAATGATAAGAAAAAATAAACACTCATTAAAATATATCCTTTTATTTTTCAACACTTTTTAGAGATGCAAAGGATGAAATGAACTTAGCTACAATAGGTTCAGTGAAGGAAGGTATTTTCCAAAAGAGTGCAGTCCCTGTGGTTTACCAGAAAAAGAAATGAGTTCTCTATTCAGGCAAATTTAGGACCAAGAAAGACCTGTTGTTGAGATCCAGTGTCTATCTGCCATGGTAAGTTAACTGACCTAGCTGAAAACCTTTAATTTCGTGTCCAAGCAGTACTATATATATTTCCCTTTACAGACTCTGAAAATAAGAAAGCCAACTACTCAGCATGACTCATAATTCATCTTGTCCTGAAAGTGGCATAGTTCTCAAAATTCAGAGCTCCTGTTGAAATCTCAAGGGCACTTCGCTTTTGGCTCAGAGCATGAGCCAGGCTGGATATGGCCCTTCATCTTTGATCATACAAACCCAAGTCAATAAGGGCTATTCTGGAACAGAGTGGATGTGCAAATTTCAAAAGGGAGATGACAATATGCCTAGATAAATGCCATTTCAGCATTTCTCCTATTTCTCATAAGTGGGAAGAATGGTAAATCCATGTAGACTTCTACTCAGCACAACTCATACTCTTCCCATGCAACCATTTTCCTTTCTAATGTATAAGAAAGAATTGAAGGTGAGCTCTTGGAGAGAAATTTTAGTAATAGTGAGTTCACTGTAAACTATCAAGACCAGAAAGGCATGTGGAGCTACCTATTTTAGGGTGAAGATTTTTGAAACTCGATTTTATTTTTCTAAAGTTGTATGAAATTAGTTCTAAGCACGTATTCCTTCCTCTGCTGTTGATCCCCACCCTATCTCCTTACCATCTATTAAATGCATTGTTAGATTTATATTTTTTACTATCTTATTTTGCTACCACTTTTTAACCCTACAAACACTTAAAAACTTTTAGTGGCTCTCATTGCTATAGAAAATGAAATTCTTTCAGCCTGGTAATCAGTGTTCATTCACTGATTCACAATTTATAAAATATTTGCAGTATGCCAAATACTGTTCTAGGAAATGCAATGGTGAACAATATAAAATGTCTCTGTGTATAGAGTTTACTTTCTAATGGGGGATGAGAGGAGTGAAGTAGAGACCGTTCAAAAATATTAAAGTCACATAGAGCCATTAAAACAGTGTGATACACATGATTTCACTTCATCCTTTAAACAATCTTATGAAGAAGGGAAATTATTATTTTCACTTTGCAGTTAAGAATATTGGGCCTGGTGCAATGGCTCACTCCTTTAATCCAAGCGCTTTGAGAGGCTGAGGCAGGAGGATCGCTTGAGGTCAGGAATTCAAGACAAGCCTGGGCAACATAGCAAGACCCTGTCTCTACATAAAATAAAAATATTAGCTGGCATGGTGGCACACACCTGTAGTCCCAGCTATTCAGGAGACTGAGGCAGGAGGATCGCTTGAGCCCAGAGCTGTGACCACACCACCACACTTCACCCTGGGCAACAGCTTCTTTCTGAAAAAAAAAAAAAAAAAAAGAAAAGAAAAGAAAATTTACATTCAGATTAAGTAATTTATCCTTTGTCCTCTTTCAGAAACTGAGTCAGTAAGAGATGGAACCAATAATTTAATCCATCTCTGTCAGACTCCACAGAGATGGATTCAAACCTAGTGTCTTAGCCACTAAGTTTACATGTTCCAAACACTGATTGTATTCAGATGTTTGCAAAATGTTACCTTTGCCACTGTGCAAAGCCAAGTACATCATGTTCAGAATAAAAAAAGTTAACACATCATATGGCTTATTTTTATACTTGAAATTAGAATAATTAAATATAAAAGAGTTTTTAGAAATAGTTTTCATTTTTTGTTGATTTTTATAATCTTATACATATTGTTTATTCCTCAAAAATAATGTGATTTTTCTTGCTTTGTTTGTTTTGTTGATTCACTGACTGTTTTAAATCCTGGGAATCCTGAGGAACCAAGTGCCTTTTCCACTTGAAATAAAACCACGCTGTGCTAAACTTACTAAAACAGTTGCTGGAAACCTGTACTAAATATAACTTTTGAAATTCATACATAATTCGGTCACTGTAGTTGTTTATGATATTTATTCAAGAGTCAAATATCATAGCAAAGTTGCAACTAACTTTAGATTTAGAGAGAGGATTAGACTTTAGTCTACCAAAGAAATAACCAAATAAGAACTTGATGTGGGTTGCTTAAAAGTGGTTCAATTTGAAAATTCCCAAGTTGGAAAAATGATTCATAGCTGGATGCTTTGGAGAGCAAAATAAACACACGTTGGGATTTTGTTAAGTAATGAAGAAAATGTGAGTTTACATGTAAGGCATGTAAACTCAAAATCCTCTAGCATTACATTGTCACAAGTTGGAAGTCTTTCCAACCTGACAGGTACAATTATTATTTGTAACTAAAAGAATGCATAAGGACAGATTAATCAGGCCTGAAAACAAAATACAAAAGCGCTTTTCAGTATCTTTCCTTGCACATCAAACATATATATATACAGAGAGAGCACAGCCTGAATGTATATCTCCACAGTACAAACTGTCACAAATATTTTCAGATACTTTTATCAGAAATGTTCTTAAGGCAACATAAATATCCATATGAAGAAAAGGAATTTTCCTTTGTCGTAGAAAAGAAAAAATTGTTTTGGTTTGGTGGTTTTATTTTATTTGGTTTGACTAGCTTTTAATTCAGATATATGAAGATAGATTTTACCTTAAGAAATAATTTATAGAAAGAGACACATTATCCAATTGATCAAGCTACAAAGACTTACATTAATATGATTGTATAGTTTGCATTAGGATTTAATGTACTAATTCAAGGTAAGTGATTTTAGCAAGATAGGAATAGGCCATAGTTTCCTCTGCTCTTTTTGTGTCTGTTTCCCTATTCCTTGATTTCCTGTCTGTAAATACGTGTAGATTGCTAGGAAGGACCTTGTAGATCATCTAGCTCTGAGATGTTTATTTTGGCATTCATGAACAGACTTCAGAAAGGATACAGAGACCCTTCGAAAGTTGTACGGCATTCATTGACACATAGGTATGATCATTTCTCTAGATAATCCAGGTCATCATTATTTTTACCTGGATGGATTGCAGCAACAACATCCTTATTGATTATATTTGTGCATTTGTTTTGTTTTTCACCTCTAGTCACACTCCTCTTACCTTTACTAATATTCTCAAAGAGTTCTGTGCACCCCAATAATTAAGAACAAAATTCTAGACCAAAACATACTCATTTTACAAATGAGGGAACTGAGGTCCAAAGAAGTAAATTAAGATTAAGCTGAAGTATTACATTATGCCAATCTGAAGGTTTGTACCTACATATTTTAAATTCAGTACTTAGTATCCAAAAAAATTAGTTTTTACCCCAAACATCACATTTTGTTTGGGTGTTCTTTATATAGAAAGAATGATGGAATTGAATTTTAAAGCAGAAGGAAAATCATTAATATGTCTGGGAGTAGATAGATGAAGTAAGGTGTCACTCAGATTTCTGAACCTTATACCTAATGATACATGTTTTCTTGGAAACTGCCTTAAGACACGATACTTTTTTTTAATCAAATTTAAGGTATCTCCAAACCAATTATGGAGATACAAAAATTAGAAAAAACAAATGCCTAAAAGGTATTAAAGAACAGGTTGTGTCTTGCCCAAGCCAGAAATTTGTGAGTCATCTTTTATCCAGTATACTTCCTCACATGCCAGTTGTAATTTCTCTCTACTTCTGCCCCTTGTTTGTATCCCATCTGCTACCACCTTAGTCCCTGCCATCATCACTTTTTTACCTGGATTACAGCAGAAACATCCTTATTGCTTTTGTTTATTTTTTCACTTATTTGTTTTGTTTTTCACCTCTGGCCATGCCTCTCTTATCTTTATTCATTCACTATCAGAATTATCTTGCCAAAGGTCTGCCTTCAAAACAGAACCCATATCCTTTTATGTATTTCTTTACCTGGATGGTCCATTTTCTTACCACATCCAGAAAGCATCACTGCCTACCAGTCATTCTGACACATACTCACTCCTGAATTTGACAGACTTTTTCAGGCCTTTACACCTTGGTTTCCCAGTTTCTTTGCATGAAAATCTTTCCCACCCCCTTCAACTACCGAGACTCAGCTCAAGTGTCCTCTAATTTATGAGGATTTCTGGACCCTTCCCCAACCCTGTGATGACATTGACTCAAGTGTCTCTTCTCTGAAATTCTGTGATAGCACCATCAGAACAGTGGGTGCACTGGAAAGTCATTGATTCTCATTCTGTGTCCCCAAGCACACTGAACTTCATACAGTGACCATGTGCTACTCATCTTTGTAACCTGAAAGCATAGTGTTAAGTAGAAAGGATAAACAGAATAGGTAAACCTTAAATTTAAATACCAAGTCTCTTTGTCTTTTGCACCAAAGCCATCATGCTGATTTATATCTTGTTCAATATCTGCATATTTGGAAAGAATGTATCCTAATTATTTTCAGAATGGAAGTTATAAAATATGTCTGTTAGCCGGAATTGAATGTACTGAGCATTGAATGCTCTTCTAAAACTGTATTTATAAGAAAATTTTAATATAACAGTAACTTAGTAGAGGGGCAAAATAATTAAAAGCAGGCTATTCTGAGCCAGGCTCCTGGGGGTTCAAATCCTAGCTCTGCCACTAACTTTGTGGCTTACATTAAATGTACTTAAAAGTCCTGCCTTAGTTGCTCATCAGACTTATAAGTAATAACCAACATTAACAGCTGACATTCTTGGTGTGCTTTCTATAAGCTTGGAACTATACTAAATATTTTCTATGCATCATGTTTTTTAACTTCAAAACATATCCCCATTTTACAGAAATGGAGACTGAGGTACAGAGTTCTTAATGACTTTCTCAATGTCATCCAACCACAAAATGCAAAACCAAAATTTAACCCTGGTTTAGTTGATGTCCTAAAATACTATACCCTATATGAAATAATCAGCGTATTATGTTCTGAGGAAGACTTTTGTTTACAAATATCTAGTCTCTTTTTAATACAATAAAATTTTATTTGAAATGTTTATTATGTTATTTCCATGTATGAAAAACCAGGCCGAGTACAGTGCCTCATCCCAGCACTTTGGGAGGCCAAGGGGGAGTGGATTGCTTGAGTCTAGAAGTTCAAGATCAGTCTAGGAGTTCAAGACCAACATGACAAAGCCCTTTCTCTACAAAAAAATACCAAAATTAGCCAGGCATGGTGGCATGAACCTGTAGTCCGTGCTACTCAGGAGGCTGAGGCAGGAAGATCACTTGAGTCCTGGAGGTCAAGGCTGCAGTGAGCTGTGATCAATCCACTGCACTCCAGCTAGGCAGCAGAGTAGGACCTTGTCTCAAAGAAAGAAAGAAAAGAAAAAGGTAAAACAAAGCACAGGATGCATATACTCAAATTCAGTGATGATCTCAAACATTATCCCATCTTAGTAACAATGTAAAACCAAAAGACAATTTAAGTAATATTTCAAAACATATATTGGAATCAAGTAGATATTTATAGAGAATACAACTTCATCCCTGAAACATTCCAGTGAAACTTCAGAGTGATAAAACTTTCACAGTTTTATCTCATTAAAACTTTTGTGCTATAGGTAGGATAAGAATTACTATATTCATTTTGCATGTGGTAACACTGAGACCCAGAAAGGTGGGTAAAAGCAAAGTCTACAATTCATGTTTCATAGATTCCAACTCCCTACTGCTTAGCATTGAGAAAATAGGAGATAAAACCTTCTTATTTAATAAAAACGATCCATTAGGACCCCAAAGTCTTTTTTCTTTTTTTAATGAAACAGAAGTGCTCCCTCTTTGCACTACAGCCTCTTTGCCTTACATAGACCAGGTCCATTCCTGTCAAATCAGATCCCCACCTCCATCCTTAGCTCTCCTTCCACTCTCTCACTCCGGAGTCCCAGGAATTCATTACTTAAGCCGCATGTGTGAAGCTTTGGAAAGCAAAATAAGTAGAACACAGAGTTTCCAATACAGCACATTAATATGTTCAAGTTTGACCAGATTAATTTGAAACCTGGTGCATGTTTATAAATCCAGCCTGGCATCTGGCATTTGTTACAAGGGTAACTCAGCTTTAAAAATGCCTCCCAGCCCTGTGGCAAGCCAAGTCATACCCAGTTAATGAGAAGTCTAGCTGCTAGCTTCTCTCAAAGCTAACCAGATGCTGCACACTGCTGGTTCATCTACCCCCAGACTATTAACAAAGTGTTGACACTGCCATGATTTGTATTTGGATCCAGATGACAAAATAGTGCTGTAATACCAACAAGTTAAATGATGATCCCTAAGCCAGAACATCTGTTTTTGTGGGTTCCCCAACCTTTTGAGTAACATTTTTTTTAACATTGTGTGTATATCCAGTATCTGTGGTTTTATAGAGGGCATAGGATTCTGTTACAATGCCACATGTAGAGCTAACACACAGACCACACCATTTAGGCTCCGAAACAATTTTCATACATGCTTGAATAGTAAAGCAGGAAGCATGAAATAAAAGTTATGTGAATGAAAACTCTATATTTAATTCTTGCTGCATGCTTGCAGTTGTTTGGGGTAAAAAAAAGTATTCTAACAACTAGTCTAGATTGGCAGAGAAGGTCTATGTATGCATACTTCAATTCTTCCCAATAATGGGATGTTGATGCACTGGGTCTCTGCATATTTTATGAGATCTCAGACCCTACCAAGGTGTTTTTAAACCTGATAATTACCTTCATATATCTTAATATTCCCCTAGACATAAACACTGTAATAGCTACAATGTCCTCTAAGAAGAAGCATTATACATCCTTGGGGTGAGAAGTCTAATGAAATATTCAAGTCTTTTTATAGCAGAGATAGGAAACTAACAAAACGCAAAAGTCATATTTTTCATTTTCAATTACATTTTTCTTAAGATAGCAGAAGTTTCCCTAGGGATGGAAGTTTAATTTTAAGCTGATACTCTTTGGCCAATAATATGTGGTTTGAAGGAAGGACAGAAATAAATATTAAAATTATCTCATCTCTCTAGGATTATATTTTATTTTTTCCCTTCTGTACTGGTGTTACATAATAAAATATATATTTGGTCTCTGCTCTCACCTTCTTTTGTCCCATAGTGAGGACTGGTTGCCAGGGGACCCAAGCAAGTGATTAAAAGGCTAGAACTTTCCCTCTCCCCACCTCTCTTCACCGCTGACCTCCAGAAAGGGGTGAGGGACTAGAGGTTGAGCTAATTATTAATGACCAATGACTTAATCAACCATGGCTAGTAATGAGCCCTCCATGAAAATCCTAACCAAAAGTGTTTGGTGAGTTTCCGGTTGCTAAACATGTGGAGATGCTGGGAAGGTGGCCATCTAGAGGGGGCATGGAAGCTCCATACTTTGCCCTCTGCATCTGTTCCATCTGGCTGTTTTTGAACTGTATTCTTTAATAATCAACTGATAGTCTGGTAAGCAAATTGTTTTCCTGAGTTCTGTGAGCCATTCTGACAAATTATTGAACATGAGAAGGGGGTGAGAACCTTCCATTTCTAGCCAGAATCACAGGTGAGAACCCAGACTTGCAATTGGTATCTGAAGTGGAGGAAGTCTTGCAGGGCTGAATCTTTAGCCTGAAGGATCTGGCACTAACTCCAGGTGGACAGTGTCAGAACTGAGTTAAATTCTATTAGGACGCCTAGTCAATGGCAGAGGAGAAGTGGAGAATTGCTTGGTATGGAGAAAAAAAAAAGCTACATATTTGCTATCAGAAGTGAAGTAATGAGAGTAGTAATAAAGTAGAAAAAAACTACAAATTTTCTTTCAACTGGAATGTTTTAATTTTGTGATAATCTTGTAAATATCCTATTCCACAATTCTGTACGATTCCAGAAATTTCAAATTAAGTAAATTTACATTCTTTAAAAAACTCTTTCGAAATGAGTATATCCTTTTCCAGTTCGAGTAGTTACTTAACATAATATATCTTATTTTTTTATAAGTATGGAGCACAGATAAGACCATAGTCCAATACAGAGCTGCCGTAAATGAGTTGTGTAAAAATTGCCTCTTATTCTTTAAGAGAAGTGGTGTTCCTGAAAAGAGTGCCTTAATCTGGTAGTCTTAGTCTGGTAGTCTGCTCTTAACTGCAACTGATAGGTAGGATCAGTCTTTCTGCCTCCTCATGAGGCCACATACATTATTCTTTATACTATATGAGGCTTGCCTCTATTTAATTTGGGATTTTGTCATTTACGTATGGCTCTTTGTGACATGGGCATAAATCTTGACTCCTCCCAAATATTATAAAGGCACCACACCACATATTGCTTTTGCTTCCATATTAAGGGATACCCAAGGGAATATTAGGGATATTGAGACTAAATTATGATTAAGTCAAATTTTCCCTTAGTGCTCTTAAGTTCCTTTATGTACAGAGCAGTTTTCCTTTCTTCACAAGGAGGGCAGGCAAGAGGAAAAAAAGAATGAGAGAAAAGAGAAGAAAGTGATTAGGAGGGAAATAGGAAGGAAGGAGGGAAAGGGAAGATCACATGCCAAGCCACTAGGCTGAGTACATAGGTATCCAATCATCTCAGTAAACCTTATGATTATGTCTGTGCTTTGAAGAGGAGGCAACTGAGTTTCCAAGAAGTTAAGTAACCAACCAGGCCAGAATTTGATTTCAAATGCCATACTCTTTATCCAGTGAGGCCTCGGCTTTTATTGAAAGGCATAAAACCAAGAAAGTAACTTAATACTGCTTTGCATTTTATATGGATGACAAGTTCATGTAGCAAACAGAACAACTTTGGTATATTAAAAGAAAAAAAAACTTTGAGAAATTCTTCTTTTTAGAACTCTAAATGTATTTCTTTCTAGATCTTCAATTTTCAGTACTTTTCATTGTTTATTTACAAATACCTTGTTTCAGAAATCTCCTATAATTCTTCTGTTGCTAACATTAGTATTTCCTGTCCCCGTATGTTCTATCTCTTTCAGAAATCCTTTGCTCTCTGTGGCCTATAGAGTAAATTTTTGCTCTTTTTCATTATAAAATTTGAATTTTCATATTTCTTGCTCACTTGCCTCTTCCCACTCCATCTTCCATTTCCCTAGACATTAACAAAGAAAATCTCATGAAAGAATTGTTTTTCTATGCATCCACCAATATCATTTATGAAATTGTTGATTCACAACATATTTGAGTTTATCTACTACATTTTTTCTTTAGTATACAGAGGAGACTTTTAGTAATAATAACTTGTTTCAATTAACATAATAAAAACCAGACTTTATTTATTTAACAAATATCCATTGAATCTCATTACCTGTTACATAATGGTCTAAGTTCTGTAGAATTCACAGCAAAGAAAGTTGAGAGAGACTGTTTTCTGGTTAAACAAAATAAACAAAAAGAAAACCTTTTGAAGATTGCACAAAATCATAGCAAAGGCATTTGCCATATTTTATCCAGACCTGACATCACTTCGCTATATTCAGGGAGTCTAGGGAATTAGTATGTTTATGCCTGCAGCTAAAAATTGCCCATGTTCCTTAAAATTCATTCCTCTAGTAGCCACAAGTGGACAACTGGCAGTAATTATGGTATGAAAGACATATTTAATCACTGAAAAATGATAGATTTTAAACTTACTTTATACATAAACAGTGGAGATTGAGGTAGGGGCAAGAAAAATATAGGGTAAAGAACATTCAAAAGACTTACGAAATATTATTCTAAAATTTTCCATTTCCAAGAGTTGGTTTGGGTGGGAACAGGTGGCATTTGGTCACATGAATAAGTTCTTTAGTGGTGATTTTCAAGATTTTGCTGCATCCATCACCCAAGCAGCATACACTGTACCCAATGTATATTCTCTTATCCTTGAGTCCCCAAAGTTCACTGTATCATTTTTATGCCTTCACATCCTCATAGCTTAGCTCCAACCTAATGAATGAAAACGTACAATGTCTGGTTTTCCATTCCTGAGTTACTTCTCTTAGACTAATGGTCTCCAAATTCCATCCAAGTTGCTGCAAATGCCATTCTTTCATTCATTTTTATGTCTGAGCAGTATTTCATGGTATATACACACTGCATTTTCTTCATCCACTCATTGATGAATGGTCATTTGGTTCCATATTTTTGCAATTACAAATTGTGCTGCTATAAACATGCATGTGCAAGTATCTTTTTCGTATAATGATTTCTTTTCCTCTGGGTAGATAGCCAGGAGTGGGATTGCTGGATCAAAAGGTAGATCTACTTTTAGTTCTTTAAGGAATCTCCACAGTTTTCCATAGTGGTTGTACTAGTTTACATTCCCACTAATGGTTCCTTTGCATTAATACCCAGAAGTGGGGTTCCTGGATCATATGGTAGTTCTTTTTTAATTTTTTGAAGAATGTTCCTACTGCTTTCTGTAATATCTGGAAATATTCCTATCAAAAGGTATAATGGTTCTCTTTTCTCCACATTCTCACCAAAAATTCTTACCTCATTACTTTTTGAAAATAGCCATTCTAACAAGTGTAACATAATATCTCATTGTGGCTTTCATATGCATTTCTCATATTAGTGATGTTGAGCACCTTTTTATATACCTGCTGGCCATTTATATCTCTTCTTCATAAAATTTTTATTTAGGTCCTTTGCTCACTTTTAATCAGATGATTTGCCTTCTGCTGTTGAGTTACATGAGCTCCTTCTATATTTTGGATATTAACCAGGTATAGGATATATTAAATCTTTATAGGTTTGCAAATATTTTCTCACATTCCATAGGTTCCCTTCTTATTTTGTTGATTGTTTCCTTTCCTGTGCAGAAACTTTTTACTTTTGATGAAGTTTCCCGTGTTTATTTTTTATTTTGTTGCCTGTGCTTTTAGTGCCGTATCTAAAAAATCATTGCCAAGTTCAATATCATGGACTTTTCCCACATATTTTCTTCTAGGAGTTTTATAGAGTCAGATATAATGTTTTAATCTTTGATTCACAATGAGTTGATTTTTGCATGTCATGTAAGACTTGCATCCAATTTCATGATTTTTTTTTGCATGTGAATATCCAATTTTGCCAACATCATCATTTGTTCAATGATAGTGTTCAAAACACTATCATTTTCTGTTTGTGCATTCTTGGCACCTTGTTGAAGATTCACGGACTATATATAAAAACTCAAATATATATATATATATATATATATATAAAACTCATATATATATATATGAATTTATTTCTGGACATTTGATTTTGTTCCATTTGTCTTTCTGTTTGCTTTTATCTCAGTATCACATGTTTTGATTATTGTAGCTTTGTAATATAATTTTAAATCAGAAAGTTTGATACCTTCAGTTTTGTTCTTCTTGCTCAAGATTGCTTTAGCTATTTGGGTTCTTTGTGGGTCCATATGAATTTCAGAAGTTTTTTCTATTTCTATAAGAAATGCCATTTGTGTAGACATTTTGAAAATATTAATTTTTCCAAACCATGAACATGAGATATCTTTTCACTTATTTGCATTGTTTTTAATTTCAGTCACCAACGTATTATAGTTTCAAGGGTAGACATCTTTTACCTCCTTGGTTAAATGAAATCCTGTGTGTTTTATTCACATTGATGCTATTGTAAACAAGCTGGTTTTCTTAATTTCTTTTCTGGATGTTTTGTTATTTGTGTAGATAAATACAATTGGTTTTTGTATGTTGATTTAGCATCCTGAAACTTTACTGAATTTACTTATTAGTTCTACCAGGTTTTTCAGGACAGGGGAGAGGGAGTCTTTAGGGTTTTCTATAGACAAGATTATGTCATCTGCAAACAGATAATTTTACTTCTTTTCTTATATGGATGCTTTTATTTTTGACTAATTGCTCTATCTAAGGTTTCTAGTACCATGTTGAATAGAAGTTGCTAAAGTGGGCATCCTTGTCTAGTTTCTGATATCAGAGGAAAACCTTTGCTTTCATTTGAGTATGATGTTAGCTATAGGCTTCCCATATATAGCCTTTATTATAATGAGGTATGTTCCCTGTATACTTAATTTGTTGAAAATGAATTTTTATCATTAAAGGATGGTAAATTTTACCAAATGCCTTTTCTGTATCTATTGACATGATCATATGATTTTAGTCCTTCATTCTGTTTATGCAATGTATCATCTTTATTAATTTATGTATGTTGAACCACCCTTATAACCCAGGAATAAATCTCACTGGATGGTGGAGAATGATCTTTTTTAATGTGCTGTTAAATATGGCTTGTTAGTATTCGGTTGAGGATTTTTGCACCTATATGAATAACAGCTGTAATTTTTTTTTTCTTATAGTATTTTTGTCTGGCTTTTGTATCAGCATAGTGCTGGCCTTATAAAATGAGTTCGGAAGTGTTACCTCCTCTTTAATTTTTGTGAATTTAAGAAGGATTGATATTAATTTTTTTTTTTTTTTTTTTGAGTTGGAGTCTGGCTCTGTCACCCAGGCTGGAGTACAGTGGTGCTATCTCGGCTCACTGCAAGCTCTGCCTCCCAGGTTCATGCCATTCTCCCACCTCAGCCTCCCAAGTAGCTGGGACTACAGGTGCCCACCACCACGCCTGGCTAATTTTTTGTATTTTTTAGTAGAGACAGGGTTTCACCGTGTTAGCCAGGATGGTCTCGATCTCCTAACCTCGTTATCCACCCACCTCCGCCTCCCAAAATGCTGAGATTACAGGCGACGATTGGTATTAATTCTTATTTAAATGTTTAGTAGAATTCATCCGTGAAATCATCAGGTACTGAGTTTTTCTTTATTGAGAGATTTTTATTTACTGATTACTTCCTTGCTTCTTATTAGTCTGCATATTTTCTGTTTCTTGATTCCATTTTGGTAGGTTGTATATTTTTAGGTATTTATTTCTTTTAGGTTATCCACTTTTTTGGTTTTTAATTATTCATAGGCATCTCTTATGACCCTTTGTATTTCTGTGTTATTTGTTGTAATGTCTCCTCTTTCATTCTGATTCTATTTGAGTCTTCTCTTTTTCTCTTAGTCTAGCTAAAGATTTTCAGTTTTGTTTACCTTCTCGAAATGCAAATTATTGCTTTCATTGATCTTTTTTATTGCTTTTCTAGTCTTTATTTCACTTATTTCTGTGCTGATCTTTGCTATTTCTTTCCTTTTGCTGACTTTTAGTTTGTTCTTGTCTTTCTAGCTTATTGAAATATAATGTTAGGTTGTTTGAAATCTTTGTTTTTTTCTGTTTATGCAGGTGACTATTATTTAAAAAAGACCCTTATAACAGCTTTTGCCATATTTCACAAGTTTTGATATACTGTGTTCCTATTTAAATTTGTCTCAAGACATTTTTTATTTCCTTCATAATTTTTTGACCCATTGGATATTCAGGAGTATGTTGTTTAATTTCCACATATTTATAAGTTTTTCAAATTTCCTCCTGTTATTTCTTTCTAGTTCCATATTATTGTAGCCAGAAAAAAATACTTGACATAATTTCAATGTTAAACTTGTTATGTGGCCTAACATATAATCTGTTCTAGAGAATGTCTTATGTATGCTTGAGAAAAACATGCAACCACTTTTGCATAGAATGCTCTGTGTATGTCCATTAGTTCCATTTAGTCTAAAGCGTAATTTGTGTCCCGCCGGGAACAGTGGCTGCCACCTGTAATCCCAGCACTTCAGGAGGCCAAGGCAGGCAGATCATCTGAGGTCAGGAGTTGGAGACCAACCTGGCCAACATGGTGAAACCCCATCTCTACTAAAAATACAAAATTAGCCAGGTGTACCTGTAATCCCAGCTACTTAGGAGGCTGAGGCAGGAAAATCACTTGAATCCTGGAGGCAGAGGTTGAAGTGAGCCGAGATCATGCCATTGCACTCCAGCATGGGCAAAAAGAACAAAACTATGTTTTAAATAATAATAAATAAATAAATAAATAAATAAATAAATAAATAAGGTGTAGTTTGTGTACAATGTTTCCTTACTAATTTTCAGTCAGGATGACATATCCATTGCTGAAAGTGAGTTATTGAAGTCATATTATAATTGTATTGCTGTCTATTTCTCTCACTAGATCATTTAATAACTGCTTTATATATTTAGATACTCCAATGTTGGTACATATATACTTAAAATTGTTACATTCTCTTGGTGTATTGACTCCTTTATCACCATGCAATGACCTTCTTTATCTCTTATTACACCTTTTTCCCTGAAAGTCTTTCTTTGATAAAAATACAGCTACCTCTGCTCTCCTACAGTTTTCATTTGTATGGAATATCTTTTTCTTTTATTCTTCTGGTCTATGTGTGTTCTTAAAGCTGAAGTGAATCTCTTGTAAGCATCATGTATTTGCCACTTGTTTTTTTTTTTTTTCTTTTATCCATTTCCTCATTCTGTGTCTTTGGTTGTAGAATGTAACTGATCTACATTTACAGTAATCATTGATAGGTAGAGAATTAATATTGACATTTTGTTATTTGTTGCTGGCCGTTTTGTAGATTCTTTGTTATTTTCTTCTTTTGTTGCTGACTTCCTTTGTTATTTGATGATTTTAGGTATTGTTATGCTTTGATTCCTTTCTCTTTATATTTTATATATCTACTATAGGTTTTTGCTTCATGGTTACCATAAGGTCTGCATAAAACATCTTATAGTTATGATAGTCTATTTTAAGCTGATAACAACTTAATTTTCATCACCTACAAAAACTCTATACTTTTGTCCTTCATTCATGTTTTATGATTTCGAAGTCACAATTTGTATCTTTTTATATCATATATACATAGCAAATTTGTCCTTTACCTCTATACTATACACTTTGTCCTTTACCTCTATACTAGAATTATAAGTGACTTACACACCGCCATTATAGTAGGAATATTCTGAATTTGACTGTGTACTTACCTTACCAGTGAATTTTATGCCTTCATATAATTTTATGTTACTAATTAGTATCCTTTTATGTCAGCTTGAAGAATTCCTTTTGGTATTTCTTGTAAGTTAGCTATAGTGGTAATGAACTCTCTCAGCTTTTGTTTGTTTGGAAAAGTCTTTATTGTGCCTTTATTTATGAAGGATAGTTTTACTGGATGAAGTATTCTTGGCTGCCAGTTGTTTTCTCTTTCAGCATTTTAATTATATTATCCCACTCTTGTCTGGTCTACAAGGTCTCTGCTGAGAAATTACTGATATCCTTACGGGAGTTCACTTGTATATGATCACCCTCTTTGCTTTTGCTGCTTTCAAACTTCTTTGCCTTTGATGTTTAACAGTTTGATTATAATGTGGCTCAGTGAAGTCTTTTTTGGGTTGAAACGATTTGAAAATGTTTAAGCTCTATGTACATGAATGTCAATATAGCTCTCAAGATTTAGAAAGATTTCAGCTATTATTACTTTCAGTAAGCTTTCTGGACCTCTCTTTCTTTCTCCTCCTTGGTAAAATTCCATAATTCAAAAGTTACCTCTCTTGATGCTGTCCCATAAATTCCATAGGCTTTCTTCATTACTTTTTGGGTTTTCTGTTCTTTTTTATTCTCTGACTAGATATTTTCAAATTACCCATTTTTTAAGTTCACAGATTTTTTTTCTGCTGTTGATTAGTTGTGCTACTGATACTCTCTAATGCATTTTTATTTAATTTCATTGTTTTCTTCAGCTCCTGAATTTCCATTTGGTTCTTTTTCAATTATTTCTATCCCTTTATTGAAATTCTCTTACTGATCATGTTTTGTCTAATATTTTTGAATTGTCTATTTGTTCCCTGGTAGATTGTTGAGCTTCCTTAATAAAATTATTTTGAATCCCTTGCCAGGCAATTTGTAGATCTTCTTTTCTCTGGGGTTGGTACTGTAACATTGTTGTGTTCCTTTGGTGGTATCATGGTTCTTTGGTTTTTGTTTTTTCATTTTTTTGTATCTTTGTGTAAGTGTTTGAATATTTGAAGATGCAGTCACCTTCTCCGGTGTTTATTAAGTGGCTTTGGAAGAAAAATTCCTTCATCAGTTTTCCTAGCTAGGGATTCTGAGGCTCTTCAGACCTTTTCTATATATGTGCTCATTCCACACCTTTTGTTTTCTCCTGGGGGGCATTCTAAAAATTGTATGCCTTTTCTCAATTATTTGAAGCCAAGCTGTGTGGTGATAGCCTTAACCAGTTGTTCTATTTAGAGAAGTTCTCAGAAATGCTCAAGTTTGTGTGCTTTCTCCCAATCCCTCACAGCTGAGTTGTCTGCTTGTGTGAGATACTTGTATTTGTTGTCTACAGCAGTACACTCAGGGAGCTAGCCTGGGGAGAAAGGCTGAGGTGCATAGTGCACTTGAAATGCTTCTGGTCCAGTTTTTGGGAATCCATAGATGAGACATCTCAAGCAGCTTATGAGTGAGCTTTCTAATGGGTTCCATAGACAGTTAGGAGGGTCTATGACCCATCATCCTTGCTTTCAGCCTCTTCCAACCACGTAGCTGTGCCAATCACCTAAATATTCTGGGTGACATGCAAAAAAAAGTCGGCCTCTTGGGCAATGTCCCACATGGCTAGGGGAGCTGAATGAGTTTCTCTTGGTGCTGAGTTGTGCCACCTTGGGAGAATGGTGATGTGAGTAAAGTAAAACTGTTGTTACTCTGTTTAGTGTGTCTGTTGTTAAATTTTTGCTCCAACACTCTGCTGGAAAATTTCTGCTAAAACCCTGAACTCCCACAATGGTACTTTTATCCATGGGTAGTCGTCAAAATTGATGTTTCTCGGTGAAGATGATGATAGAAATTTTCTATTCTGCCATATTTTCTCAAGTTTTCTTTCTTGGGTGACTAAAAAATAAGGGCTTTTGTTTCCTCATCTATAAAGAGAAAATTTGGAATAGATAATAACAACCCAAATCTATAGAATACTTCACTAATTACAGAATATTTTTTATATCCATTATCTTCTTTGATTCTCACAATAACTGCTGAGGGTAGTAAGACAGTTATTGAATTTTCATTGAATAGATGCAGAAAATGAAGCTTAAAGAAAATATACTTAAGATCATATTGATTGGGAACTGGGGAAACCAGGACATGGATCCAAGTCTTCTGACTCTTTATTCAGTGTTTATTTCACTACTACAATGAGCTCCAACTTTGAGATATAAAACATAAATATTTGCAGGTTTCATGCATTTATAGTTTTTAGAAATATGCCATTTTAACATAAAAGTTGATGACTAAAATATCAAATATAAAACTCCCAGGTAATCCTCTTACTTGTCACATTTTATTCACACTTGTAAGAATTACAGTTTGACACGCCTCAATGTAGAAAGGCTTTAGGAAGTCTAAAAAATATTACTTTGCATGAGGGGGTGAAGGAATGGGAAATGATAGAAAGTAC
Organism: Homo sapiens; assembly: GCF_000001405.40. Taxonomy (NCBI): domain Eukaryota; kingdom Metazoa; phylum Chordata; class Mammalia; order Primates; family Hominidae; genus Homo; species Homo sapiens. The sequence goes on from NC_000005.10 coordinate 40,009,889, forward strand.
TATTTTTATTACAAATATTGCAAATTATATAGTAAAAAATGGAAAGGGAATTTATCAAATGGACATTAATACTTTGACCTCATTCTGTGATACATTTCATAATGACACTGAAACCTAAAATATCAATGCAGTTTTCTCTTTTTATAATAGAGAAGTTAATTGCTCAGTTGCAATTCCTAATTTTCACTCAGATGTGAAAAGATTGCCACAGGAGACAAAAATGGTAATTGGTTGCTTGTCATTGGCCAGTTCAAGTACATGAATTAATTCTTGCAATTGTTGAAGTTGTAAACCATAAACTCATATATTAATGAAATTCCCATTTCTTTATCTAAATCACTTTAAATCTGACTCATAGGTCGCATTACAGTAGGCCAGTAAAAGTTTTAATTATGTAAAAGGACTATTTGTTCTCCTCTTCATACCCATCCAAGACCTCACAGTCCACATAAACCAATGACTACTGCTACCGTATCACAGTAAGAGGACTTGATATTAAATATATTTCAAAAATATTTTCAAATATTTTTGAATATTTGACAATCAGGCTAAGTTTTGGAGTTCCTAAGTGAACTTCAAAGCCATAGGCTCTGAAGAAAATATCTCTTTTTTAATCCCTGCTGTGTCAAATAATTCCATCCTCTTTATTCTAGCTCATTCTCTTCTACTGTATGGCTCAAGCTTTCACAAAACTTTGGGAAGTAGTTTTACTTCCAACAATTTCTGTTTTCTTCCCTGAGGAATTTCTGAGGCCAAAAATATAAAAGTACAAAAGGAGAGTGAAAGAAGATGGAAACAGGATAAATACAAATGCATTTTTCCATCACATGAGCAAAGAGAAGACAATTTTAAAAACTTACCACCTATACTTCCGATTTTGATCACTTCCTTTTCACTCCATTGATAAGAAAGGGATTTCTACCCTACAGTTATAAACACACAACATCTAACATTGAACAGATGAGGCAAACTGCAGTTTATTAGTCACATATGCTGACAGCCTGGGGGAAGAGAATATAGCATGTGAGGTAGAACCACTATGGAAATTTCACTTGGGAGCAGGGTGAACAAACAAGGTCTATGGAAGACAAACTGTAGCAACTAGATGGTGAGGTTGGTGAGGTAAGCACTCATTCTCATGGGAGGGTATTATTGGTTTGTTTGAATAATTCAAGGGGCAGGTGGGGAACTGAAGCCTACTACTGAGGGATAAGTAGGCACTTTGCCTAGTCCCTTTGATAAAGAGGGTATTTTGGCCAAAAGACCTCATCTGTGGGAGCGTAGAGAGGGGAACTTGAGACCATTGGATCATCCCAGTTTTTCCCAGATGTCAAGGCACACATGATATTGAACCTTAATTTAAAACCATATATCATATTTCTGTCAACAGAGAAAATCTGAGATGCTCTGCTGTAATTTGCAACATTGTTTTGCTACCTAAATGTCAGACACAGCACATAGGTAAGTAAATTTCTAAAGGCCTAAGAAAATAATAATTTTATTTTCTAATTTTTTTGAAGAAGCATTTTATAAAAATCTCTTTGGGCTGAGATCTCAAGCCATTTCCCAGGCAAAAAGTCTTATTGTTAAAAAAATAGTGTCCCATCAACAGTGTAAAAGTGTTCCTATTTCTCCACATCCTCTCCAGCACCTGTTGTTTCCTGACTTTTTAATGATTGCCATTCTAACTGGTGTGAGATGGTATCTCATTGTGGTTTTGATTTGCATTTCTCTGATGGCCAGTGACGATGAACATTTTTTCATCTGTCTGTTGGCTGCATAAATGTCTTCTTTTGAGAAATGTCTGTTCATATACTTCACCCACTTTTTTGATGGGGTTGTTTTCTTTTTTCTTGTAAATTTGTTTGAGTTCTTTGTAGATTCTGGATATTAGCCCTTTGTCAGATGAGTAGATTGCAAAATTATTTTCCCATTCTGTAGGTTGCCTGTTCACTCTGATGGTAGTTTCTTTTGCTGTGCAGAAGCTCTTTAGTTTAATTAGATCTCATTTGTCAATTTTTGCTTTTGTTGCCATTGCTTTTGGTGTTTTAGACATGAAGTCCTTGCCCATGCCTATGTCCTGAATGGTATTGCCTAGGTTTTCTTTTAGAGTTTTTATGGTTTTAGGTCTAACATTGAAGTCTTTAATCCATCTTGAATTAATTTTTGTATAAGGTGTAAGGAAGGGATCCAATTTCAGCTTTCTACATATGGCTAGCCAGCTTTCCCAGCACCATTTATTAAACAGGGAATCATTTCCCTATTTCTTGTTTTTGTCAGGTTTGTCAAAGATCAGATGGTTGTAGATGTGTGGCATTATTTCTGAGGGCTCTGTTCTGTTCCATTGGTCTATATCTCTGTTTTGGTACCAATACCATGCTGTTTTGGTTACTGTAGCCTTGTAGTATAGTTTGAAATCAGGTAGCGTGATGCCTCCAGCTTGTTCTTTTGGCTTAGGATTGTCTTGGCAATGCAGGCTCTTTTTTGGTTCCATATGAACTTTAAAGTAGTTTTTTCCAATTCTGTGAAGAAAGTCATTGGTAGCTGGATGGGGATGGCATTGAATCTATAAATTACCTTGGGCAGTATGGACATTTCCACGATATTAATTCTTCCTATCCATGAGCATGGAATGTTCTTCCATTTGTTTGTATCCTCTTTTATTTCATTGAGCAGTGGTTTGTAGTTCTCCTTGAAGAGGTCCTTCATGTACCTTGTAAGTTGGATTCCTAGGTATTTTATTCTCTTTGAAGCAATTGTGAATGGGAGTTCACTCATGATTTGGCTCTCTGTTTGTCTGTTATTGGTGTATAAGAATGCTTGTGATTTTTGCACATTGATTTTGTATCCTGAGACTTTGCTGAAGTTGCCTATCAGCTTAAGGAGATTTTGGTCTGAGATGATGGGGTTTTCTAGATATACAATCATGTCATCTGCAAACAGGGACAATTTGACTTCCTCTTTTCCTAATTGAATAGCCTTTATTTCTTTCTCCTGCCTGATTGCCCTGGCAACCATTGTGGAAGACAGTGTGGCAATTCCTCAGGGATCTAGAATTAGAAATACCATTTGACCCAGCCATCCCATTACTGGGTGTATACCCAAAGGATTATAAATCATGCTGCTATAAAGACACATGCACACGTATGTTTATTGTGGCACTATTCACAATAGCAAAGACTTGGAACCAACCTAAATGTCCATCAATGATAGACTGGATTAAGAAAATGTGGCACATATACACCATGGAATACTATGCAGCCATAAAAAATGATGAGTTCATGTCCTTTGTAGGGACATGGATGAAGCTGGAAACCATCATTCTCAGCAAATTATCACAAGGACAAAAAACCAAACACCCCATGTTCTCACTCATAGGTGGGAATTGAACAATGAGAACACTTGGCCACAGGAAGGGGAACATCACACACTGGGGCCTGTCGTGGGGTCGGGGGAAGGGGGAGGGATAGCATTAGGAGATATACCTAATGTAAATGATGAGTTAATGTGTGCAGCACACCAACATGACACATGTATACATATGTAACAAACCTGCACATTATGCACACGTACCCTAGAACTTAAAGTATAATAAAAAAAAAATAGTGTCCCATTCTAAAAGACGGGAGTATCAACTGAGATCTTCCCAGGAACTCAAAATAGTAAATATGAATCACTTTTTCTGACTGTGAATGTGTATGTTAAGCATATGAAAGACCTTACAGTAATTGATATAAATCAGTATTTATTATTTCATTCAAATTATCTTTGCCTATAAAAGATACCCAACAATTACTGTAAATTGATCAGGTGAAGGTGACTTTATCTTTGAGAATGGAATTAATGATTGTATAATTTGCAAGGAGGAGGATTACTAAGATTATGAGTATAACTAACAAATTTTATAAGAGATTGAGGGCCTTGAATAAAAGGCAAGACTAAAGTACATCTTCTTTTTAGAAGAAATTAAACCCATAATTAAAATGTAAACAGCCAGTTGTTTATATTATCAGAAAACTGAAATCAGATTTGTGAAGAAAAACAATATAAAAAGTATGATTTATCTGACATTATAATTTTCCATATTTGCTAGAAAACTATTCTGAATTTTCTAATTCGAGTTTGAGGTAGACAAAATTTAAATCAAATTGGCTAAGGCAGAAGAGAACTTTATTGGGTTACTTAATTGAGAAATTCCTGTGTCAGGATTGGCTTTAACTGTGTATTTAGATTCAAATCTGTCATGGCACAGTTTCTCCCCATTTCTCACCTAATTATTAATTCTGTATGTTGCCTTTACTCCTACCTTATGATTATGTTTTCCAAATTTGATTAAAATTATGAACTTACAGATCAAAAACGCTACAATCACCAAGCAGAAGACTTCACATGCATGCGTGCACAAAAACACACCCACACACATACACACACACAGCATATGATAATCAAATTACTAAAAACCGTAAGTGATAAAGTGAATACCTTAAAATTACCAGAGGAAAAAAATGTCACATTACCTACAGAAGAACAAAAATAGGAATAGCAGTTGGCTTCTTGTGAAATTTTATGTAATGTAGAAAAAAAGAGAATACCACCTTTAAAGTACTGAAAGTAAAAAAAAAAAAACACCCTAAATTTCTACAAACAGAAAAATCATTTTTCAAAAATGTAAAAAAAATGAAAACTTTTTGAAAAATCTTATTTTTGGCCAGGAGAGCTGAATTACAAGAAATATCAAAGAGAATTCTTCAGGAAAAAGGAAAATGATAACAGATGTTGGATCAATAGAAAGGAATAAAAACATTCTTCACAATGGAACTGTATAAGAAAATACATTTTTCTACTTATTGTCTTTAAAAATAATTGTTTAAAAAATAATAACAATGCACTGTGAAGTTTATGGCATCTACAGAAGTAAAATATATGACAATGATTTCCCAAAGGACAGGGAAACAAAGTCTATTTTTATAAGTTTCTTATACCTTAAATGAAACAAGAGACTTCCATGAGTTAAATATCAATATTGTAAAACCCAGACTCATCTCCAAAATAAAAAAAAATTATAGCTATAAACCAATATTGGAAGTAAAATTGGCTCATAAAAAATATTGTATCTAAATGACAACAAGATGAGAGGGGAAAAAAGGAAAAGTTATGTCGAATACATAATGAAGAGCAATAGGACATATTTAAACCAAATATATCAATAATTATGTTAAAACTAAATGGTCAAATCAAATGGTTAAGTCCGCTGGGCATGGTGGCTTATGCCTGTAATCCCAGAACTTTGGGAGGCCAAGGTGAGCGGATCATGAAGTCAAGAGATCGAGACCATCTGGCCAACATGGTGAAACCTCGTCTCTACTAAAAATACAAAAATTAGCTGGGCATGGTGGCACATGCCTGTAGTCCCAGCTACTTGGGAGGCTGAGGCAGGAGAATCGCTTGATCCCCGGGAGGCAGAGGTTGCGGTGTGCCAAGTTCGCACCACTGCAGTCCACTCTGGGGGAAAAGAGCGAGACTCCGTCTCAAAAAAACAAAATAAAACAAAACAAACAAACGAAAACAAATGGTTAAGTCAAATGATCCACTTTGTCAGAGGATTAAAAAGTTAATAACACTAAACTCTAGGCTGTCTACAAGCAAACTGTTTCAAATATAGAGACATGGTAGGTTAAAATTAAGAGGATAAGAAACCTGTTTCAAATATAGAGACGTGGTAGGTTAAAATTAAGAGGATATAAAAGATACACCATGAAAACACTAGTAAAATGAAAGCTAGAGTGGTTTCTCAGACTCAAAACAAAATAGCCTTCAAAACAGGAAATGTTACTAGAGATGCATAGGGGCATTTCGTAATTATAAAGAGGCCAATGAATTTTTAAAAACCTAAATGTATACGTACCCCAATAACCAGAAGTCCAAAATACATGAAGCAAAACGTGATATAACTAAAACACACGCACACACACACACACACACACACACACACAATTATAGTTGGAGATGTCATCATTGTTTCCTCAGCAATTGATAGAAGAAGTAGACATAAAATCAATAAGTATATAAAAGACATAAACAACAAACACTATCAACTTACCAGGCCGAATTGATGTTTGCAGAATGCTCTAACTGAAAACAGCAAGATATACATCCTTTCCAACTAAACATGCAACATTTGCCAAGGAAGACTATATTCTAGATAATAAAAAAGAAGCTCAATAAATTTAAAAAGTTCAAATCACTTAAATATGCTCTATAATAACAATGGAATTAACCAGAATTAAATGATTAAAGATATCGAAAATATTCTCACTATTTAAAATTAAACACAGTTTTAAATAACATACAAATCAAGAAAGTTCACTAGAAACACTAGAAATTATGTCAAACCGAATGAAAATAAAAACACATCAAAATATGTGTGGTACAGCTAAATCAATGTTTAAAAGAAAATATAGGGAGGCTGAGGCAGGGGAATGGCATGAACCGGGAGGCGGAGCTTGCAGTGAGGCAAGATCGCACCACTGCACTCCAGCCTGGGCAACAGAGCGAGACTCCATCTCAAAAACAAAACAAAACAAACAAACAAAAACAAACAAACAAAAATAACATTAAATGCTTATTTAAGGAAAAAAAATTCAAATCAATGTCCCTAATTTTTGCATAAGAAAGAAATAAAACAAGGAGTAAATCAAACCCAAAGTAAGTTGAAGAAAGAAAATAAAAAATGATCAGAATAAAAATCAGTGGGGCAGAAAACATAAAATCAATAAAGAAAAATCAATAAAATAAAAATCTGTTAATTTAAAACGAAAGGTAGAAATGATACAAATTAATATCAAAAATGAAAGAGAGGTGATCACTAAGAATTCTATTAACATTAAAAGCCTAAAAAGGAATATAATAAGGAATAATATTAGGAATAACTGTATTCCTCCAAAATTAAAATATATACAGAATCTTTATACTGAAACATTTAAAACTGATGAAAAAAATTAATGAATATCCACCAAATAGAAATGTAAATCATTGTTATGGATTGAATTGCATCCCCCTAGGATTCATATGTTTAAGTCCTAACCCCCCGCAAGACTGTATTTGAAGACAGGGACTTTAAGGTGGTAAAAAGGTTAAATTAGGTTATAAGGATGGGACTCTTATGCAATAGAACTGGTGTTGTCTAAGAAAAGAAAGAGACATCAGAGAGCTCCCTCATTTCCCATGCTTGCATGGAAAGGCTGTGTGAGAACACAGCAAGAAGGTGATCATCTTCAAGCCAAGAAAAGATTTCTCACCAGAAGCCCACTCTGATGGCACTGTGATCTTGGACATAAACACTCCAGAACTAAGATAAAATAAATTGTTTAAGCAGTTTAGTCTTTGATATTCTGATGCCAGCCTGAGCTGACTAATACAGATTTTGGTACCAGGAAGTAGGATGGTGTTGTAACAAATACCTACAAATGTGGAAGTGGCGTTGCAACTGAGTGATGAGTAGAGACTGCAAGAATTTTGAGGTGCATGTTAGAAAAAGCTTAGATTGCCTTGAAGGGACTCTTCAAGAAATGTGATCATAAAAGTGATTCTGGTGAGAACTCAGAAAGAAAACAGGACAGCTATAGAGAAAATGTATGTTATTTAGAGGATACATATATCAGCATGAACAGAATGTTGGTAGAAGTATAAACAATAAAGTAGATCTGGTGAGGTCTCAGACAGAAATGAGGAAGATGTTATTGAAAATTGGAGGAAATGGTGGCAAAGACCTTGGCTGAATGGTGTTCTAATATTTTGTGGAAGGTAGAATTTATTTGTGATGAAGTTGGATATTTAGTTGAGGATATTTCTAGTCAAAGTGTCGGAGAAAAAGCCTGAATTCTCCTTACTGGTTATAGTAAAATTTGTGATGAGATGAATTAAAGAAGGAATTGTTAAGTAAAAAGGAACCAGATCAGAAGATTTGGAAAACTCTCAGCAATATGGATTGGAAAAAAGAAAGGAAGAAGAAAGTGTGAGAGAACATCAAGGGTTGTGCCTGGATAATTATTCCAGGAAGAAATTACCATGAATTTAATTAGCTACCTCTGCAAAAGCCAGGACTGAACAGTAGTGTTACCTGGCTGTGAACATGCCTTATCCTTCAAAAAGTAAGAAATAAAGTGACTCTCAGGACAATTCAGACATTGGTCGGGCTGCCACTGCCGCCACAGGTTCATGACATAGTCTCAGTGGTCAAGTCTGCCAACCCACCAGTTTCAGAAACCTGACCACCTCCTTGGTTTCAGAGGGTGCGGCCAATTCTTCAGTCAATCCAGTTGCACCAGCCCAGATCCTTAGGAGCAATGTTTCTGCCTGCAGTCAGGAAGGTAGGACCACTGTGTAGTGACAAGGTGGAATTACTGCCCTAGTGGGCCCAGAAAGTGGGACCTTTGGGACCAGATAGTAGAACATTGGGACCTTTGGTCCCAATGGGACCAGATGGTAGAACATCCTGCCAAAGAAAATTTTTCTTGAGGCTTAGATCCAGTAAAATTTGCCTTGCTAGGTTTTAGATTTATTTAAGACCTGCTGCCCATTCTTCTTTCCCACTCGTCCCCACCATTGTTTTGGAAGCACAAACCTTGGTTTTACCAGCTCACAGCAGGAGAGGAATTTTGCCTCAGGATAAATTTATTTTAGGTCTCTCTATAACTAATTTATTTGTAGGGCTGTTGAGATGGGGTGAATGTATTTTGCATATGAGAAGGACATGATTTTGGTGGGGGCCAGAAAGTGGAATGTTATGGACTGAATTGTGCCTCTTCTCAAGTCATATGTTGAAGCTCTAACCCCTAATGTGTCTGTACTTTGAGATAGAGAATTTAAGGAGGTAATTAGGTTAAATGAGGTGATAAGGGTGGGGGTTTAATTCAATAGGAATGGTGTCTTTATAAAAAGAAGACGAGACACAAGAGAATTCTCTCTCTTCCCATGTACACATAGATAAAAAAGCCATGTAAGGACACAGTGAGAAGCAGCTATCTGCAAGTTGTCTGCAAGTCAAGAAAGATCTTACCAAAATCCAGTTCTACTAACACCTTGATCTTGGTCTTTCGCCTCCAAAAATGTGAGAAAATAAATCTCTGTTATTTAAACCACCTAGTCTGTTTCAGTAGCCCAGGATGACTAATACAATCGTATTTATGAATAGAATGATTCAATTGTGTGAAGACGTCAGTTTTCTCCAAACTGATATACAGATTTGACACTATCCCAATCAACATCTCAATAGGACTTTTATATTTGTAGAAACTGATAAGCTGATTCTAAACTGTATAAAAATACAAAATATCAAGAAGTACCAAAATGATTTTGAAAAGAAAAACAAAGCTGGAGCAATCATGGTAAATGATTATATGATTTTGAGACAGTCAAAATTGATAACGATCAAGACAAGTGTAATATTGGGGTCATAATCCATTTGAGCTGCCATAATAAAATACCTTATACTTGAGGTAATTTATAAACAACAGAAATCTATTACTTACAGTTCTAGAGCCTGCGAACTCCCAGATCAAGGTACCAGTAGATTAGATGTCTGGTGAAGACTCAGTCTTCATAGATGGCACCTTCTAGCTGTATCCTCAACATACTGGAAGGGGCAAAATGCTCACTCAAGACTCTTTTATAAGGGCACTAATACCATTTATGAGGGTTCAGCCTCATGATCTAATTACTTCCCAAAGCCCCACCTCTTAATACCTTAACCTTGGGCGTTAAGATTTTAACATAAGAATTTTGAAGGAACACAAAAAGAAGATAGAAAATGGCATAGTGATAATCATATATAGATAAATAGATCAGGAAAGAGAGTCCACAAATAGATGAACACATACATGGACAAATCATTTTCAACAAAATGCTGAATAATTTTGTGGAGAAAAGATAGTCTTCTTAACAAATGATGCTGAGACATTTGGATATCCATGTACAAAAAAATTAAAAAAACACCCAAACAAACAAACAACAACAAAAAAGCCAACAAGCCAAAAAAAATACTCAAACCTAACTTTACATATAGAAAATGTAACTAAGAATTTGTTATAGACCTAATATATGAGCTGAACCTGTATAACATAGAGAAGAAAAGTTGAAGAATATCCTTATGACCTTGGTCTTGGCAAAGATTTCTTAAGGTACACAAAAATCAAATGTATAATGAACAAATTGATAAATTAGGCTTTATCAAAGTGAAAAAGAAATTTTTGCCCTTTGAAATACATACCAAGAAATAAAAAAAAGAAAAAAGAAAGAAAAAAAAAGAAAGAATGCTGAGAGAAGATATTTGAAAAACGTATATCTCATACGCACTTGCTTGTACCCAGAATTTGTATAGAATACTTACAAACCATTTCTAAGACAAACAGCACGAAGATGAACAAAAGACTTGAACCAATATGTTACATAAAGATCCCAAATAACAAACAAACACATGAAAATATAATGAACATTATTAGTCATTGGTTACAGGAAGATAACACTACATACTTACAAGAATGTCTAACATTAAAATGAGTGACAATATGAAGTGTTAGCTTTCATATGGAGCAACTGGAGTGCTCACATATCACTCATGCAAATTCAAAATAGGAATTTGGAAAGCAGTTGGCAGTTACTTAAAAAGTTAAACATCCATTTCCCATAAAACCCAGTAATTTAATTTCTAGCTTTTTACCTGAGAGAAATAAGAGCATCTCTACACACAAAGATTTGTACTTGTATATTCATAGTAGCTTTATTTATAATGGCAAAAACCTGGAAAAAAATCATCAAAGTGGAGTGTATCCATACAATGGGATACTACTCAGCATCAAAAAGAAAACATGTGGTACTTGGTTTTCTGTTCCTTCATTAATTTGCTAATGATTATGGCTTCCAGTTGCATCCACATTGCTGCAAATAACACGATTTTGTTTTTTTATAGCTGCATAGTATTCCATGGTGCAAATGTACCATACTTTATTAATCTAATCCACCATTGATGGGCACCTAGGTTGATTCCATGTCTTTGCTATTGTGAGTAACCCTGTGATTAACATATGCATGCATGAGTCTTTTTGGTAGAACAATTTATTTTCTGTTGGGTATATACACAGTAATAGGATTACTAGGTCAAATGGTAGTTCTAAGTTCTTTGAGAAATCTCCAAACTGCTTTTCCACAGTGGCTGAACTAATTTACATTCCCACCAACAGTGTGTAAGCATTCCCATTTCTCTGCAGTCTCGTCAACATCTATTATTATTTGACTTTTCAGTTATAGCCATTGTGACCAGTGTGAGGCAGAATTTCACTATGGTTTGATTTGCATTTCTCTGATAATTGGTGATGAACATTTATTCATGTGTTTGTTGGCCACTTATATGTCTTCTTTGGCGAAGTATCTGTTCATGTCCTTTGCTCACTTTTTAATGGAGTTATTTGTTTTTTTGCTTATTGATTTAAGCTCCTTATAGATTCTGAATATTAGACCTTTGTTGGATGTGTAGATTTAAAATACTTTCTCTCCCTTTCTTTACATCATCTGTTTACTCTGTTGATAGTTTCTTCTGCTGTGCAGAAGCTCTTTAGTTTAATTAGGCCCCATTTGTCAATTTCTGTTGTTGTTGAATTCCTTTTGGGGGCTTAGCCAAAAATTCTTTCCCAAAGCCAATGTCCAGAACGGTGTTTCCTAGGTTTTCTTCTAGGATTTTTATAGTTTGAGGTCTTACATTTAAGTCTTTAACTCATGTCGAGTTATTTTCTGTATATGGTAAAATGTAGGGGTTCAGTTTCATTTTTTTTGCATATGGATAGCTAACTATCCCAACATCATTTATTGAATAGAGAGTCCATTCCCCGTTGCTTGTTTTTGGTGGCGTTGTTGAAGATAAGATAGGTAGGTGTCTGGTTTTATTTCGGGATTTTCCTTTCTATTCCATTGTTCTATATATGTCTGTTTTTGCACCAGTACTGAAGGAGTACAGGTGAACCCCGAAATTGAGGCTTAGCCCATGAGGGTTCTTGGCTTCACCCAGGAAAGAATTCAAAGGTGAGCTAGTGCTGTTAGACAGCAATCTTTTATTGAAAAATACTGTTCCTTATGAACAGGGCTAACACATAGCCTGTGTGCCCAGAGTCAGCAACATATGGGCTCTTCACAATTATATTTATACTCAGGTAAACCCACTTTCAATTGCATGCAAACTAAGAGGCATGTCAATGCAAATTTAGGGGTGGGTATTTATAACTTTCTAGGAAATAGGCAGTAAATTATGGGTTGTTGCCACAGAAAGGGTTGGTGACTTCCAGGTCATTGCCATGGCATTTATAAACTGTCATGGCACTAGTGGGTGTGTCTTATGCTAATGAGCAATGAGGCAGCTATGAATTGCCTTCATTGATATCTGCTTATTTGTGCTGGTTTCTTCACTTTATCCTGTCTGGATTATATCCTGTTTCGCTCAGCAGTGTTGTGACCAGAAAACAAGTCCTGCCAGTCTCCTACCTCATATCATGCTGTTTTGGTTTCTGTAGTCTTATAGTAGAGTTTGAAGTTTGGTGTGTGATGATTTTAGCTTTGTTCTTTTTGCTTAGGATTGTTTCGGCTATTCACTATGTTTTTTGGTATGATACAAATTTTAAATAGTTTTTTTTCTAATTGTGTGAAAAATTATGTTGGCAGTTTTTAGTAATTGTATCGAGTCTGTAAATTACTTTGGGCAGTATGGTCATTTAATGATATTGATTCTTGTAATCCATGAGCATGGAATTTTTTTCCATTTATTTGTGTTATCTCTGATTTATTTCAGTAGTGTTTTCTAGTTCTCCTTGTAGATATCCTTCACCTCCTCAGTTAACTCTATTCCTAGGTATTTCAACTTTTTGACTATTGTAAACGGGATTGTGTTCTTCATTTGACTCTCAGCTTGAATGTTACTTGTGTACAGAAATACTACTGACTTTTGTATGTTTATTTTGTATCCTAAAACTTCACTAAAGTTGTTTATCGGTTCTAGGAGCCTTTTGGCAGAGTCTTTAGGGTTTTCAAGGTATAGAATCAAATCAACAGTGAAGAGTGATAGTTTGACTTCTTCTTTTCCTATACCAATGCTTTTTATTTCCTTTTCTTGCCTGATTGCTCTGACTAGGACTTACAGTACGACATTGAATAAGAGTGGCGAGAGTAGGCACCTTTGTCTTCCAGTTCTCGAGTGGAATGGTTCTAGCTTTGGCCGTGCAATATCGCAATGACTTTGAGTTTGTCATAGATGGCTCTTAACATTTTCAGTCATCAATGACATTTCCTTGATGCCTCATCTGTTAAGACTTTTTATCATGAAAGGATGCTGGATTTATCAAAAGCTTTTTTCATTTCAATTCAGATGTTCATATGGTTTTTTGAAATGGAGTCTCACTCTGTCATCTAGGTTGGAGTGCAGTGACATGATCTCAGCTCACTGAAACCTCTGTCTCCTGGGTTCAAGCAATTCTCCTGCCTCAGCCTCCTAAGTAGCCAGTTGCATGCCACCACACCCAGCTAATTTTAGTATTTTTAATAGAGACAGGGTTTCACCATGTTGGCCAGGCTGGTCTTGAAGTCCTGACCTCAGGTGATCCACCCAACTTGGCCTCCCAAAGTTCTGAAATTACAGGCATGAGCCACCATGCCTGGCCAGTCATATGGGTTTTGCTTTTTTTTTTTTTTTTTTTTGAGATGGAGTCTCGCTCTGTTGCCCAGGTTGGAGTGCAGTGGCATGATCTCAGCTCACTACAAGCTCCGCCTCCTGGGTTCACCCCATTCTCCTGCTTCAGCCTCCCGAGTAGCTGGGACTACAGGTGCAGTGTAGTCTGGCTAATTTTTTTGTATTTTTAGTAGAGACGGGGTTTCACCATGTTAGCAAGGATGGTCTAGATCTCCTGACCTCGTGATCTACCCTCCCGGCCTCCCAAAGTGCTGGGATTACAGGCATGATCCACCGCACCCGGCCTTTGATTTTATGGAATACTTTCTGTAGGATTGGTACCAGTTCTTTGTATGTCTGGTAGAATTTGGCTGTGGATCCATGTGGTCTAAGGCTTTTTGTGATTGGTAGGTTTTTGTTATGCATTCAATTTCAGGACTTACTGGATTGTGTTTTGGTTATCATGTTCTTCCTGATTCTATCTTGGGAGGTTTTGTGTTTCCAGGAATTTATCTATTTCCTCTAGACTTTTTAATTTGTGTGCATAGAATTGTTCGTAATAATCTCTGAGGATCTTTTGCATTTATGTGGGTTTGGTTGTAGTGTCATCTTTGTCATTTCTGATTGTATTTATTTAGACTTCTCTTTTTTGTTTCTTTGTTAATCTAGCTAGCCAATATCAATCTTGTTAATTCTTTCAAATAAGCGATTCTTGGTTTCACTAATCCTTTGTATGAATCTTTGCATGGAATTTCTTTCAGTTCTTCTCCAAATTTAGTTATTTACTCAATAATTTGGTCTCTCTTAGTGAGAGCAGTCTTCCTGGCTTGTCTAGTTGGGCATCTTGTCCCCCTTCCCTACTTTCCATTTTTTTGTACCAATCTTCTTTAAGTACAGGCATTCATTTGCTTTAAGGATAATAAATGTTGTTATGATAGAAATTCACAGACAAAGAGCCAATATTCACATTTGACTTTTAAACCACACATTTTACATTTAAAGTAAAACAAGAGGTTGGAAACCTTGGTATTACTAAAAGCAAAAACAAAACAGATTTTCTAGATTTCACATACTATAGTTAACTTTTCAGTGTGCAGGCTTGATTGACCTGAAACGATAAGCAGAAAGAACTCGGGATATAGTATAAAGGAAGATATACCGAACCCTAAGGGAAGAAAATGGAAAAGATGAGGTACAGTGGAAAGCAAGAATGACCCTGAGAGAATCAGGAAAAGTATGAAAAGTTAGAGGAGGAAGACAAATGCTAACATTCTTACTTTTCCCTTTTTGAAATCTGTTAGGGTGTGGGACACATAGTGGAAAACTCTCAATAGGAATGGGGCACTTGATAACACTGGGTTCACATTGTGACTTAGTAGTCCCTTATTGAGCTTGGTGTCTTGTGAAACATAGTGCAACAACATGGTATAGCAGTAGAAGAGGGAAATGTTTAACTAGTGTGGTGGTTTGAATGTGACCCTTATGTATTGGAAACTTAGTCCCCAGTACAAAAGTGTTGAGAGGGAGATCTTTAAGAGGTGATTATGAGGACTCTGCCCTCATTCATGGATTAATGTCCTTTTTACAGGAGTGGGTTCATTATTAAGAGTGGGTTATAGGCCGGGCATGGTGGCTCACAGCTGTAATCCCAGCACTTTGGGAGGCCGAGGTGGGTGGATCACAAGTTCAGGAGTTCAAGACCAGCCTGGCCAAGATAGTGAAACACCCTTTCTACTATAAATAAAAAAATTAGCCAGGCATGGTGGCAGGCACCTGTAATCCCAGCTACTCAGGAGGCTGACACAGGGAATTGCTTAAACCCGGGAGGCGGAGGTTGCAGTGAGCCAAGATCGTGCCACTGTACTCCAGCCTGGGTGACAGAGGGAGACTCCGTCTCAACAACAACAACAAAAAGAAACCAACCAAAAAACAAAAAAGAAAGAAAGAAAGAAAAAAAAAAGAGTGTGTTATAAAGGCGACTTTGGCCTTCCTTCTCCTTCTCACCACGTGATGCCTTCTGCCATGTTATGACACAGCACATAGGCCGATGCCCAATACAGCCCCTTGATCTTGGACTTTCTAGCCTATAGAACTGTGAACCAAACAAACTTCTATTGTTTATAAATTACCCAGTCTTTGTTTGGTATTCTGTCATAACAGCATGGAAATGAACAAAGACAGACGGTTAAAGATGTGGCAACACATTTATTTCCCTAAAGCCCATCAAAGAAATGCAGAAGTTCTAGAAGATGTCCTGGTTTTGGAGACTTAGAGGCTCAGAGAAGAATGAAAGACATACAGGGATCCAAAACTGAGAAAACAAGGCTACAGGATGTAAGAGGTTTGACACTAGAAGGAACATTATAAGGCTAGAGCATCCATTTTAAAATGAGAAAACCCTAGATCAAAGACATAAAGTAAATTGCTTGAAGTCACACAGTTTGTAGGTAGTAAAATAAAAACTTCATGTCCAGTGTTGTCCAGAAGCTCACACATCTTAATGCTACATTTTTACAACAACCTTCTTGGTTAGATAATCAGTTGTGAAGATGGCACAAAATACCAGATCACTTTTATCTCACACAGTTAGTTGTTTTTTTTTTTTTTTTGGTTTTGTTTTTGCAGCCTTCCACCACAGCAAGACTCTAAGAAAGCCTGAAAGTAATTTTGGGCCTTATCTGAGAATGAAGTCAAACGCTCAGTAGCAAAAACGCTAGATTTAGCATGTTAACCAAAACTTTTCAGCAAGTTTATCAGAGCAGCAGCCTGTTGAAAAGGTGATATAATCATCCAAGGTAAACCTTTTGTCCCTCCAAAATACAGTGTAATATAAGTGATACTACAAATCTCTTGGCCTCACCAAATCTCTTAATTACATTCCATTTTGCCTTATCTACTCAGGAGGTACTTCAGGTTAAGCGCTCCTAATATGAAAATCTGAAATCTGAAATGCTCTAAAATTTGGAACTTTTTGAGTTCTGGAATGATGCTCAAAGGAAATGCTCACTGGAGCATTTTGGATTTCGGATTCTCACATTATGGATGCTCAATGCAAATATTCAAAAATCTAAGAAAATATGAAATTTGAAACACTTCTTGTCCCTAGCATTTTTAGTAAGAAATGTTCAACCTGTGAAAGCATTACTCAGCCTCAAAAGCCAAGGGCATTCATCCTTAGCTATGTTATATGAAAGTAGAACTGTGCCAGGAAGTTTTAACAGTACATGGAAAAGAACCAAAGCCATAAGCTTTTATTATGGCTAAGGATGTTATCCACCAAAGCTTCTCTAGGTCCAGCAACCATTTGGGCTTAAAGTATGGAGTCAGAAAGATTTCTCCCCAGAAGATGGGTTTTTCTTTTGTATCAGATCATCAGGCTGCAAATTTTCCAAGCTTTTATGCTGTGCTTTCTCTTGAATGCCTTGCTGCTTAGAAATTCCTTCCGCCAGATACCCGAAATTATCTCTCTCAAGTTCAAAGCTCCACAGATCTCTAGGGCAGAGACAAAATGCTGCCAGTCTCTTTGCTAAAGCAAAGCAAGAGTCACCTTTACTCCAGTTCTCAACAAGTTCTTCATCTCCATCTGAGACCACCTCAACCTGGACTTATTGTCCATATCACTACCAGCATTTTAGTCAAAACCATTCAAAAAGTATCTAGGAAGTTCCAAACTTTCCCACATACTCCTGTCTTCTGAGCCCTCCAAGTCTCTAGGAAGTTCCAAACTTTCCAACATTTTCCTATCTTCTTCTGAGCCCTCCTAACTGTTCCAGCCTCTGCCTGTTACCCAGTTCCAATGTCGCTTCTACATTTTCGGGTATCTTTATAGCAGCACCTCACTCTACCAGTACCAATTTACTGTATTAGTCTGTTCTCATGCTGCTAATAAAGACGTGCCCAAGACTGCGTAATTTATTTTCAAAAAAGAAGTTGAATTGACTCACAGTTCCACATGGCTGGGGAGGCCTCACAATCATGACAGAAGCTGAAGGGGAAGGAAGGCATGTCTTACATGGCAGCAGGCAAGAGAGCATGTGCAGGGAAATTCCCCCTTATAACCATCAGATCTTGTGAGACTTACTCAGTATCATGAAAACAGCACAGGAATGACCTGCTTCCATGATTTAATTACTTCCCTCCCAGGTCCCTTCCATGACACATGAGGATTGTGGAAGCTACAATACAAAATGAGATTTACGTGGGGACAGAACCAAATCATATCAGTGTATCAAAAAGAAAAAGAGTTACTAACTCAGCTTTTGATTTCAGTTCTTTCTATTCAAGGAGAATTAGTATTAAAGTTTACACAACAAAAGAAGTTGAGAGTTATAAATGGTGAACTAATTTAAGAATAATGGATAATTAACATACCTCATATATTTATTATTTGGTTGTGAGAACACTTAAAATCTACTCTCAGGAATTTTCGATGCATATGTCAATTACTTGGATTTAGACATTCCACAATGTGTAAACGTCATCTTGTACATCATAAATATATAAAATTGTTGTCAATTTAAAATAAGTCAGTAAAATAAATAAAAAGAGCAGTAAGAGAGAAATTTTTTTGCAAATATTTTAAATGATATAATTGAAAATATCTACATTCTCATACCAGATTCTATAGTTAATCTGTTGTGAGATTTTTTGGTAGGAATGTATCATACTGATACGTGATGAGAAAAGGGAAAATAACTTTAATAACCTTTCGAGATAATTATGATGTTCTTGGATATTATACCGATACTGGACAGGTTTTAACTTCTTAAAGGTTTTTGCAACACAGAGTCTGAGACCCTATCAATGAACAGTTTGTTCTCTGGTATGTTAAAATCCTTGGTCCAATTCTGCAAAACATACAGACACACACACACACACACACACACACACACACACAAAGAAAGAATAATGAATATTTTTTGGGTGAAAATTCTCCCACTTTTAAGTGTTTATGTGTATGTATGTTTATATAACATATATATGTTATATATATGTATGTATGTTTATAAGGACACAGAATAATGCAAAATATATTTCATACATGAAGTTATGGTTTAAAAATGTTCAATATCCACTGCACTAGGCAAATATTTGCCCATGTACATTGGGAGACAAAAGAATGTCCACAGCATCTCAATTTTAAAAAATTAAAAAATAATTTAAATGTTAATGGAAGTATTAAGGTATAGCAGAGACTATATCATGCATTTTTCAAACCATTTGATTTTCATACTAGGCACATGCCATCTTCTCCATCTAGGTGGAGCCATGTAATTGTGTTCTGTTTAAAATGTGGGAAAAAATAATGGTCAGAAATGCCTTATGCAGTAATCGCCTTCACCTCCTCCTTCTCTTCTCTTCTCTCCTTCTCCTTCTTTTTCCTGTCCCCTCTCCTTCTCCTTTTCTTCCCTCTCCAGCTCTCATCTCTCTCCATCTTTCTGTCTCTCTGTTTCTCGCTCTCCCTCTCACTCTATTTCTCTCTCTCCTATGCACTCACATGCAAACACACCACACTCCTGCTCTCATCCGCATTTCCATTTTGCAATCAAAGACTGCAAAATGTTGAACACACACAATGGAAACGGCCTGCATCCCTAGGTTCTCTGCTGCGAGGATGGACAAGCAGGACAGCTGTCCAACAAGATTTGTCTGCATCAGACATTGTATGGGCAAAAAATAAGCTACTGAATGTTTTAGGATTATTTGTTACTGCAGTTAATCTATCTAATTATACAAATAGATAAATTGTAGTTTAGTCCTACTACAGAATGCTATATAACAGTAAAAATCAATTATTTACAGTTACAATGAAAGTAAATCTCAGATGAATCTAAGCCTAAAAAACAAGTTGAAGAATACATACAATACAACTTCATTTATATATGGTTCAAAATATGCAAAACTAAGCTATGTGTTATTTAATATTCTAACTAATGTGTTAGAACTATAAGGAAGAGCAAGAGAATCATAAACATAAAATTAAGTATAGTGGCTACTTTTGAGCAGTAGTAATGGAAGAGGTTAGGATGCAAGGGCATACTCACAGGGAATCTGGGTTTAATAAAAATGTATTTTTTTCTAAAATGATTGTGAGTTCATGGGCATTTTTTGGTATCTTCTGTCTTTAAACCTTAGCTATATTTGTAATTTTTAAAATTTGTATATCTACTTAGTATTTTAATATTTTTAGATAAGAGTGACTGAAAAACAGTTCAATTATTGCAAAACAGAGAAAAACAAAGTAGTTTCCAGTTAGCAATTTCTCCAAAAGAATTTGGCAAGAAGAAAGATCACTAGGCGGATGTTCTAAAAAACTAGACTATGCAGCCAATAGAAATTGCAACAGAGTTATTCTGGAAAAAGAAAAACATATAAATCAAAGGCCAATTGAAATAATTAATTTAACTTACAGTTTGGCTAAAATTGAAAAATCCATAATCATCTGCGGAACTGATACATGATATTCAAATGGAAGAATTTATAAGCGTAAGTTCACGGAGTTGGAAGTTCTGAACAATATCTGGCTAAAAGGACAGTGGAGATTATTTTTCCATAGGCATTTGAAAAACTGTAGATACAATCATAACATGATATAAGTGAATAATCCTTTACTGATTCTACAGCTGTGATTCTCAATCTTTCCTGCACATTAGAATCATCTAGGGAGTTTTTTTTTTTTTTTTTAAAGTCCCATTGTTCAGTTTGCACCAGACACAAAATAAATCAGAATATCTGGGGACAGGCCCTAGGCAATGGTATTTTTAAAGATCCCCAGATGATTTTATGTTCAGCCAACATTAAGGACCACTGAGCTAGAGCAACTCCTTTATGTCATAGTCAAAAGGTCTGAGGTTGCAAATTGTAGATTGCATCGTATAAGGTCACACAGCTGGTTAATGATTTTCTGTTCTTTTCCCTGTCTTCTGTCTTCAATTTTTAAATGTTGCTGCTTCCTCTATATTTTGTACATTTATTCACAACACTTCAGATTCTTTTAGCCTCAGTTATCTCTTATTCTAACCACTCAGTTTCGCAGATGTGAAATCTGACACCTGAGGTCTAGACCTTGTAGTGCCTACCCTCTTCCCAGGAGCTTCTTTAATGATATGTGGTAGCAGACCCTTTAGAAATGCTCTTGGCACTCGCAACTGTGCAACTTGAAAAGGATGAAGAATTATAATGCTATGGGGTGAACCTATGACTAATGAGTAATGAAAGGCAATGAACTTGCTTTTCACTTTCATTCCCATATACTGGTAGCCTTGAGATGCATTTCATATGCCTCATTAAGCAGACCTGGGAGCTCGAACATCTAGTCACCTATAGCTGTGGGCAACTGCATAATGAATCTTTGTCCTGGCACTCCCTCCTCCCCTGCTAACCTTGTCTCTTTTCCACCTCCTTGAGTCTCACTTTCCAATAAAATATTTGCACTTAATTCTTTGATTCAGTCTCTACTGTCTGGAGAAACCAAGCTAAGACATTACCCTTCTTCTGTTATCTTAATATTAATCTTTCATGGTCAATATACAATTTTCATTGCCCGGACCATGCCTGGATAATTGAGATGCAATGATTATTAAAAACATCATCATCAACTCAAGGTCCTTTATACATATGTTCTTTGGTGCTTTAAGAACCTTCCATATTCATTTTCTAGAGAAGGTGAAGGAGAAAAATGTCTACAAAAAGTAAAATGTTCCAGGAAAAAAATAGCTCATACAGAAAAAAATAAACTGATTAAAACGTGAAAAGAGATTGAGGAGGAGAACAAGATCAAAAGGAACCTGGAATTAGAAATGGAGAGTTGTCCAATAAGTCCTCTCTATCTAAACTACAATCAAAGTAATTCTTCATTTCCCCATAAAGAATGTCATTTCAACTATTATCAATATATTAAATAATCCTCTTTATCTATGCCTCTATCTTTCTGCTAATCAGATTAACATAGATGGCATTTATTCATTCTTTCTATACTCATCCAGTGTTAATTTGGTTCCATTATTGTTCTAGAAACCCAAATAATAAAATTACTTTAGTGGGAGATATTGGTATTGAGTAATTATTGAATTTCCACCTAAGTTCCTAAGTCAATAAGGAGAATCTTACCAAATACTTCTAACTGTAAGTAAATGAGAAATGGAACATTTATTCTTCTAAAGAGTATCATACCCATATATGGCCACTGTATCCTTATTTGTTCCTATTCTTGGATATATTCACACCAACACTTGGCTTTCTGGTCATCATAGAACACACCACCTTTCTTGTTTACATATATTCTATAACTTGCTCCTTAGTAGAGTCTTTATTTTCTCATTCATAAGTCCCCAGGTCTCTTCTGAAATTCAAGGGCTTTTCTTCCCATATTTTTCATTTATTCCACAAATGATCTTTACTACATGAAATATATCTTGTGATACAGTAGATAATATGACAACACATTCTATCTCTTCATTGAGTTTACCTTTTAGTGGAGGTATCAAATAGAAATGAGATAAAGAATACAGATTACCACAAATAGGATGCAATAAATAGTAAATACATAACACACTATTAGAAAGAGTAGTCAGGGAAATCTTGTCTGAGGAGAGAAATGGGATGTAATGGTCTCATGGGGACCTCAGAGGGAAGTTGAGACCTAAAGGATAAGACTGAGTCAGCCAGGCAAATTTCTACCAAAAAAGCATTCTATGCAGAGATAAGTGATCGCAAAGGCCTCCCTGAGATGGATAACGGTTTGATAAATTCCAGGAACAGAATGGGACCAGTATAGCTGGAATATAATGAAAAATCAGTAGAAGAGCATAAAATTAGGTTAGAGAAGACCGGGCACGGTGGCTCATGCATGTAATCCCAGCACTTTAGGAGGCTGAGGCAGGTGGGTCACCTGCAGTCAGGAGTTCGAGATCATCCTGGCCAACATGGTGAAACCCCGTCTCTACTAAAAATACAAAAATTAGTCGGGAGTGGTGGCGGTGCCTATAATCCCAGCTACTAGGGAGGTTGAGACAGGAGAATCGCTTGAATCTGGGAGGCTGAGATTGTAGTGAGCTGAGATCGCACCACTGCACTCCAGCCTGGGCAACAAGAGTGAAACTCCATATCAATAAAAAAAAAAAAATAGGTTGGAGAGAATATAAGTACTAGATACTTCGGAGTTTTGTAAACCAAGATATGGAGTGTGTATTTTATTATAAGAACAATAAAAATCCTTGAAGGATTTTTCAGCTAGGAAAAAAAAAAAAAACTTAGCCTGATTTTCATTTTTGAAGATTTCTCAATTTACTCTATGGAGAAACAAGTTAGGAGGCTGGTATAATCCAGTAAAGAATTGAAGAAGGCATTAAAGAATAAAATGCACATAAAATAAATACATGTCAAAGATGACATTTGATTCATTAATTAATGAAAAAACCAGTAAGATGTTGCAACTAATTAAAAAGAGAATCAAACAACACATGTATATTAACAATCAAAAATGCTTAGATGAATTTCAAATACAGTAGATGCAAAACTGGTCAATTTCCACAGGGCAATAATCAACTGAATTTCTATGAACAAGAATCATTTGCATGACTATAAGTTTTCTACAAATTACAAGATCGCTAAAATAGCTCAAAGATGATGAAAGTCACAAGTAAACAGGAACAGTGTGCTAGACAGGACATCCAGTAATCTTTATTTTTTTTCTTTCAAAGTCTTTTTTAATTTTTCCTGACAGGAGCCTGAATTAGATAGAACACTGATAGAGGACACAGAAAACAGTGCTGAATTACAGATATGTTGCAAAACTTCATTATTAAGATCCAAATCATCCTAGCTTCGATGTAACCATCACAAACTAGAACAAAAAAAGATATTTAATCTAGCATGAGAGCTGTTACTGAGGAACTAAGTGATGTCAGTCCCTTGAGAGAACAGGTGCTTGGTTTTCCTTCCCTTTGATGTCAGCTTTCCGGTGATGCGGTGATGAGACCTGCAGTAGTGTTTGCTTAGTCTTCACAGTCCAGTCAACCCTAGTCCTGTGACTGCTGTGTTAGTGTGATCAGTTCAAACTGTTCTGGTGTTTGCATGGCTGGGCAGCAGATCTCTTGACAGGGCTGCTCAAATTGGTTGCCCATCTTTTCTCTTCCCCACCAAAGTCCTGAAGGCTGAATGAACTGACAGCCCATTGATTGTCAGCTTCTGCTACTCCTTGGCCAAAGAGCCTTATGAAATACATACGGATGTCCATCAGTGTTCCAAACCCTGCAAGACTTGAAGTGCATTTTTGGACCATAGTTCATATGAATTTAGTAATAGCAGCCTGCGCAGCTGTTTTCTTCTGAAATCTTTGTATTACTTTTTCCAAATGTTCTTAACTAATTTTGGAGTCTAGACTAGGAAATGTCAATACTCTCTAATATGCTGCATCTCCACTATTCACAATAGCAAAGACATGGAATCAATCTAAATGCCCATCACTGACTGGATAAAGAAAATATAGTGCATATACACCATGGAATATTATTCAGCCAGAAAAAAATGAGCTCATGTATTTTGCAGAAACATGGATGGAGCTGGAAGCCATTATCCTTGGCAAATTAACATAGGAACAGAAAACCAAATACTGCATGTTCTCACTTACAAGTGGGAGCTAAATGATGAGAACTCATGGAGATAATAAGGGAATCAACAGACACTTGGGCCTACTTGAGGGTGGAAGGTGGGAGGAGAGAGAAGATCAGAAAGAAATAACTATTGGGTAATAGGCTTAGTACTTGGGTGATAAAATTATCTGTACAACAAACCCCCATGATATGAACTTACCTATATGACAAACCTGCACATGCCCCTATGAACCTAAAGTAAAAGTTAAAAAAAAATATGCTGCATCTCTTCACAATGCCTGGGGACATTTAGAGAAGACATTATTCATCAGTTAAGTAGATTAGTGATATGGTACCAAGTTCGCTCAGCTACTACCATGGCATTTCTTAATTTTTAGCTAGCCTCCACCCATGGGCACTTTCTTCCCTATCTATTCTGTTGTTCTTTCTTATCCACTCTCTCCACATATCCTCCTCATTGTGGTCACTGACTCTTACTCCCTGCGTTCTGAGATAATGTATGTGAAAGCACTCAATATTCTAAAATTCTACACCAATGTAAAGTATCAACATTACTATAACTCATATATTTCCAATCTAGTTTTGTGAGTAGGTGGGTGTGTGCAATGTGAGTGAGTGCATGAGTACAGAAGAACAATGCTCAGTTGTCGTGAACAGGCCCCCATCCTGGACTAACATCTCCATTACCCTCCCTACACAGAAAGAGCCTGAACTTATATGAAGATAGGCAAGACTCAGATACACCTAACTAATGACAAGTTTCAGATTTGAGGCTTTTTTTAAGAAGCACAGCAGTAGAAGTCCTTTCCTAGTTAATCTAAGAAGCAGATACAATTTGTTTGTAGTGTCTCACCTTTCCTATCCCCTGACATTTATTTTTCTTTATCATAAAACCCAATGCCCTCTACTATTCTCCAGCAAGTCCCATCTTCCTTATTGGTTAATGCCCCAGTACCATACTAAGTAATGCTTGGTGCTTTCTAATTACCTTTCCCCCAAACTCAAACTCTCGTGAATTTAGGCTATGGAGAAAAATGTTCTATTAATCTGGTCCACCTGAGAATATGACAAGATAATAACAATATCCATATGGGCAATTTCATGTTTAATAATTTGGTAATTGTTATAAATGGGTGATGGCTTTAAAAGTCTAAGAAAAACTTTTAAGAAAGAATGCTTTCTAAAAATCCCTTAATTTTAGAGGTGATGCTTTGACATTCATGAGGCAATCCTTAACCTGGAAAAGGCAAGCAGTGAAATGAGGTGATAAACACTCTAAAAACCAGATGGAATACTGGTCAAATGCTGTGTGGCGGCAAGAAGTGACACATAGCGGCTCTCCGAGCTGCTCTAAGACATCCACTAGAGCCTAGAATCAATCACTTTTCATACTGAATAGACCACAAAAGACAAACCTCATTGATACCAGGGCCATATACTCACAGAAAACATTAATCTAGGACCATATAATATTTTAAAAGGTCTTTTTACAAAAAAACCATATAACATTTTTAAAAGGTCTTTTTGGAAAAAAAGATAAATCCAAATTGCCCTGAAATTAGTTAGAAAGTTAGGAATAGAGACCATAAAATATATTCACTAAGTGGATTTTTTAAAAAACTTTAAAAGCAATTTAGTTTCTTGGTCATAAAACAGAAAAAGAGAGTGAAGCAATCAAACAGGCATGAGGTCAAGAGGTGAAAATACAGGAAAGAAAAGGTAGAGGGTCAAAGAAAAAAGAAAATAGGCCCAAAAGAAACAGTAACAGGGAGAGAAGCATTAAGAGACAAATGCAAATGTGTTTGAAAACACACACAAAGGGAAGAGAATGCCAGGAAAGGCTACACACACTTACCCATACTTACCTGATGTATATATTCTCTCTGTGCAGAGAGAGACAGATTGAAAGCATGGAGGAAAAAAAACACACATAAAGACACACTGTGATGGCTTGGTATTGTGTCGGCTGAGGCTACACTGTGATGGCTAGGTTAAACTACATTTCCAAGATTTCCCTTCCATATGTTTTTCCACTTAGGGTGAGACACAGAGAGAATCTTGTGCAAGATTTGGAGGGTAGAAGTAAAGCAGCAGCTATTTTTGTAGGTCACGTAAATTGTCACTTATCCTCTGGCTTACCTTGTTGGTCTAAGACAGGAGCTCAGCCTACAATTGCTCCACCTTCCATTGAATTCTCCTGATTCTCCACGGGGTGTGTGTGTGTGTGTGTGTGTGTGTGTGTGTGTGTGTGTGTGTGTGTGTGTGTGTATCTTTAGCTCCTTGATGAAGAGCACTGGCTTCTGCAGGAACCCCTTGCCATCAAGGTGAGAGACAGTAAAAACTGATACTTGTGGGTTCCAGTTTGTTCCTACTGTCTCCCACTTTATATGCATTTTCCCTTCTTTTTGTGGACTTCAAGCCTTCACAGCAGATTCAAGGACACAGCTACACAGAGACTACTTAATTAGCTCCCACTTTCATAATTGCATGAGGTCTACTGCCTGGGAAAAATCCCTTGATACAAATACAAGATTGGATGAATGAATGAGTGAATGAACAAATATGGTTCCTTGTGACTCTGCTGTTCTGATTGCATACTGACTGATACAGACACATAAATTAAAAAACCAGGTTTCTAAAAGTTAATGAAACAGTATCTCTAGTGTTTAACCTTTAAGAACTATCCCTGCTAATATAGACCCCTGCTTTTAGCTAATGAAATTCAGTTCAGAGCTAGATTCTCATTCATGTGAGTTTCTCCTAATTGACAGAATTGTTATTTTATCATCCAGAATGTGAAGGGAGAAATATCCTCAGCTAATTAGAATTTTCCAAAGACATGCTTAGACCTTGTCACTACTAACTTTAACTCTAGTTTAACATTAAGAGAAAGTATATGAGAAGGGTATATAAAAAATACATGTTCTAACAGTTCATATGAAATTGAGCATCTCTTAACTTTTCTAATTTTCAGTCTTTGAAGGGTTAGTGAGCCATCCAATCATCATCTTGTTTAAGTCATTCTTATGTAGATATTGATATCATTTGAAATGTACAGAATTTAACTATAATTTACATAATCCCAGGTACTGCTGATCATAAATATTTTGTCTTTATGGTTTTGATTAATAACAGCAATGAAATTCCTAGAGTCATCTAGTGATCATCAAGAGTCTTTATATAATTCATCTTGCATTGACAAATTGTAATTTTACTATGACTGTCTTTGAAGTAAATGCCTACCTACTTCTTGGAAATGTCTTCAACTTTACTGGGAGATAAACAGAATTGAAGTTTGAATCCCTACTTGGCTCAGGCCCATAGAATCTATCGCAGTGCCACCCAACAGAAATATAATATAGGTCACATCTGTCATTTTAAATTTCCTAGTAGCTATATATTTTTTAAAAATTAAAAGGATATCACATTTATTTTCACCATATATAACTCTATACATTTAAAACAGTATTTGAACATAATCAGTATAAAAAATAAAGTTATATTTACAAATTTTTCCATATGAAGTCTTTGAGACTCAGTGTACATTTAAAATTTCTGCACACCTCAATTAAGACTAGACAAATTTAAAGAGCTCAATAATCCCATTTGACTAGTGGTGAATACATTGAACAGTGCAGTTATAGTGAGTCTGTTGGGTGAAGGAAGTGATAAGCCTGAATATGCCTACTAAACTCAGGGAGCAAAAGCACAAGTTAATTATCCACCACAAGAGATTGTGAAATTATATAGGCCAGGAAATTTCCTTGTAAACCCAAGGTTATGTTCCTCTTCACTGAGGGGGGCAGTATTCTAAGTAACCTGGATGAAACCCACTCCACCTTGTTACGGCATATGCAAGACAGAAAACACATTTGGTGTCAAAATAGAATTGTAAGCCCCCGCACAGATTCACTGTAATATTCTCAGCACAAGCCTGCTTTGGGATGTCTCTGACCCCAGAATTCCATGGGGTGATCAGGAGCTGACCCAGCCAAGTTTTTGGAGCTTTGCAAAAAGATCTCTTCTTCCGTCACAAGCAGGCGCAATGCACACTTGGCAGAGAATTATGTGGCTTGCACTGGATATCTTTAGTACCATTGCAGAGGGGTTTCTGGGGAAGTAGGGGGTAGCAACACTGGTGGAAATCAGGATCCAAGGATGGGCAAAGGTCCTAGAAGGCTCATTCCAACCAAATCCAATATGCCACACAGCAGACGTGACTAAAGTTCTGGGGAATGGTGTGAGGAGCAACCAGCTGGAGGTGCAGGAAAGTGAGAGTTTCTTCTTTGGATCTCATTCATGTCAGACTCTAGGTCTCAGGTCCACTCCAGTAACAATGACAACAGCAGCAGTGTTAGTGGTACTGGCCAATCAATGAGCATCTCCTGCCATTAAAAGTTTTTAAAAACGATGTGATGACTACATTTACAATAGCACACACTTACTAGATGTATAACATATGCCAGTTACTCTTCAAAGTGCTTTCATGTACTTTTTATTATATTTTAGATCTGTAAAAGATGAATAATTTTTACCTTCACTTTAAAAATGAGACAACTGAGGCCAGGCGCAGTGGCTCACGTCTCTAATTCTAGCACTTTGGGAGGCCGAGGTGGGTGGATCACGAGGTCAGGAGTTCGAGACCAGCCTGGCCAACATGGTGAAACGCCGTCTCTACTAAAAGTACAAAAATTAGCCGGGTGCAGTGGCACCTGCCTGTAATCCCAGCTACTCAGGAGTCTGGGGCAAGAGAATCACTTGAACCCGGGAGGCAGGGGTTGCAGTGAGCTGAGATCGTGCCACTGCATTCTAGCCTGGGTGACAGAGCAAGACTCTGTCTCAAAAAAAAAAAAAAAAAAAATGAGACAACTGAGATTCCAGAGTAACTTGTTTATTATCACACTGCTAGAAAGTAGAGAATTGAAATAGGAACTTTGTACATAAGATCCCAAAAATATACATTAGACATCAGGAGCAATATAGAAATTGCAAAAGCGTAAAAGACAAAGGGCTTTTCCTTTAGGTAGAAGAAAGGTTGACAGCAGATCTTTTTGTCCAACAGATGGTAGGGTTGTCTTAGACCATTTGGGATGCTATAACAAAATGTCATAATATTGGTAGTTTATAAAAAACATAAATTTATTTTTCAGTTATGAAAGCTGAGGAATCTAATATGAAGGTGCTGGCAGAATCATATTAGATTAGTGAGGACCAACTTCTGGGTTTATAGAAGTCATGTTGCTGCACCATCACATGGTGGAAGGGACAAATGAGCTTCCTTAGGCCTTATATTAATGTACTTGAGCTCTCATGACCTAATCACCTCTTTAAAAGCCCTATCTCCTAATACCATCACCTTGGGGATGAGGATTTCAACATATAAATTGGTGGGATGGAGATGTGCAGGCACAAACACTCAAACTGTAGCAAAGGTGTTAGAAAGTTTTATAGTGATAGAGTTGTAGCTGAGGACTTGACTACCTGACTAGAGCTAATGTTTCCCAGGCCCCTGTTGGGTAGATGTGCCTAAATGACTATGTTCTCAACAATGATATGTGAACAGAAGTAATATGTGTCACTTCTTTTCCGGAACCTTAGAAAAGTAGGAATGCATCTGCTTTCTCTTACTCCTTCCACTGGCTATAACCTGAGCATGTCGGGCACTTAGTTTTAGCCATAGATATGATGAAAATGTCCTGTTTGCTGATGCAGTTATGTCTTAGAAGGAATTTTATTACACCAGTGACTGTGAGGATCAGAGCTGTTCTCCCTTCCTGGACAGCTCGCTTACTGTATTTTATAACTCTATAAGATGAGTATTTCGATCCTCATTTAGAAGATGAGACAACTGAGGTTATAACATAATAGAGAAAAAAGCATCTATAATCTTTTTGTAGGTCTTTCTGTTATTGCAGCTTCTCTAGACCATACAAAACACAGAGGAAGCTGCTACCGTCAAGTTAGGACTATGCACACAAGCATTGCAGAAGGTGGCGTGCCTTCCCTGTCATCCCTATCAGCAACACAGTGAAACCAATATGCAGCATATCTTGCAATAAAGAGAGACCTCAAGGAATTTGAGTGCACAGAATTTTTAAAAACTTTTATCTAGCTTTATATAAGCTAGTGTGACTTAAGAGGAAGAGTACGCTTGTCATAAGTAAATTTTATAATTGCTATCACAAAGAACTATATATAAAATTAGCCAATCTGTATTCCATATTTATAATAATAAATATGGTGAAATATACCAAGCTATATGGGACTATATAGACAAAAAGAAAACTATGCAGAGGCCCATAATCTAATGTTAAGAGACATTTAGCTTCTCAGTTCATGGATTTCCATAGGTGACCAGGGAGAATTTATAGCCATTACTTTTAAACATGCGAACAAATTAAATGTAAAATGATATGAACAGCTTTGGAAAGAAATAAACTCCGTACTAAAGATAGTTAAGTGGAGTCATATAGTAGTCAACTAGTGCTAACCAGGGCCAGGTAACAAATGACACTGAAGTTCTCACTAGTCAAAAACAAGTAGAATTCATTTATCATTCATTGGTATAAAGACAAGCTGTGGCTCAGCTAGGATCATCCACTGGGGTCCAATTTGCAGCCTGGGTTCAAGTTGACTCTGTATGTCTCCTCACTGACTTTGGCACAGCCAGCTAGCTTGGACATGCTCTCCTCATGCAAACACAAAAGCACAAGAGAGCGAGTGGGAACGCATGCTGCCCCTGAAGATGTTGAAACTTCTGCTAACGCCGCCTTGGTTAAAGCAGCTCCTATGGCCAAACCCAACACCAAGGGACAGATAATCCTGCTGTGGCTGCCAATTCACATGGTGAAGCCACGAATGGATCATTATGTAAGATTGGAAGTGAAGACTTGAAACCAATAATAACCCAATTCCTCGCTGGTTGGAGTGGAAATTTAGTTCTAATTATAAGTCTTACATACTTTCCACTAAGTCCTATTGCCCTGAAATTTATTTTGTTTTTTCATATATGAATTCTTAGTATAAACGATATTCTTATGAAGTAAGTATCACTGATTCCATATGAGAGATGAGGAGCCTGAGGCTCGTAAAGTTTGAATAACTCAGAAAATGTCAGACATTAAACAGCGGCAGAACTGAAGTTCATATTAGGTCTTTTTGAATTCATACTCTTTAAAATGTGAAAGAATTAAATAATTTTACATAACTTTATAATGCATGCCCAAAGGACTTTCATTGCATGAACTACTCAGAAAGCCTTAATTCAGCATCTACTGTGTGAGGGGCACCACAGCAAGCCCTCAAAAAAACACATTTATAAACATATAATATTTAACTTGAGCTTCATGTCCAGGTTAACTAAACAACATGCTTAGTCAGTTTGAATTACTCATGTCTTGCTTGATGAACAATGAGCTATTTTACAGCATTATAATAATTCCTAGTCACACACAGCGCAACTCCTTTTGGTCACTGGTATTTGTTTTGGCTTTACTTGCATCTCCCATTTCAAAACATGTTTTTTCCTCAAGAATCAATTGTTTATTTATTTTTGCTCATAAGGACTCACACATATACCAGAGAGGTATCCCTGTTACAAAGATTTACTAACTAGATTTTTCTTTAAGACACACATTTCCTTTAGGTGAGCATGAATTCAACATTTGATCCAGCATGCTTGTTTGGTTATACTTCCAATTTAAAAAAATAACCTGCCACAATATTTTTTCTACTGTGTTTATTTTAAATAATTCTTAGCTGAATTCACACAATTCATGCTGTAAATGTCAGGTGACTAAAATGGAATATTATTTGAAAATAGTTATCATAATGTTTGTGAATGGAGAAATGAACAGAGACCTTAGTATTAATAAAAATGTTGTGATGCTTTGGATAAGTTAGATAAAGAGACAGGTTTGATATTTATTTGAATTATGTAACTCAAGGAAAAGATGTCAAAAATCAATAAAAGTACTATTTTGACAAGCATGATGATAATTTGAATCATTTATAATTGCTCCATTATAATGGAGTACAAGGTTGGAAGATCGCCATTCATATTTTGTGAATGTAGGGCATGTTAAACCCCCTCCGACGTGTTCTACCAACCAATTGGATGCCACCAATTGATATGGTGATATTTTATTTCTCCTAAACTTCATTTTTTAGAATTTTCGGCCTGGTGCTGTGGCTCACACCTGTAATCCCAGCACTTTGGGAGGCAGAGGCAGGTGGATCACGAGGTCAGGAGTTCAAAACCAGCCTGTCCAAGATGGTGAAACGCTGTCTCTACTAAAAATACAAAAATTAGCTGGGCGTGGTGGCAGGCGCCTGTAATCTCAGCTACTCAGGAGGCTGAGGCAGGAATTGCTTGAATCCGGGAGGCGGAGGTTGCAGCGAGCTGAGATCATGCCGCTGCACTCCAGCCTGGGCGACAGAGCGAGACTCTGTTTCCAGAAAAAACAAACAAACAAACAAAAAAAAAAAAACTACACAACAAAAAAAGAATAAAAAAGAAAATAAAATTTTCTTTTAAAGCAATTTCTACAGTATGTGCTCCTCTCATTAAAAACAATTTACCAAGTGCGTCTTCTACATCAACTACTCTACTAGGTGGTTTCCATTCATTAGAATCATACATAAATCCACTCAGTGATTCCCACTTTTTTTTTTTTTTTTTTTTTGAGACGGAATCTCGCTCTGTCGCCCAGGCTGGAGTGCAGTGGCGCGATCTCGGCTCACTGCAAGCTCTGCCTCCCGGGTTCACGCCATTCTCCTGCCTCAGCCTCCCGAGTAGCTGGGACTACAGGTGCCCGCCACCGAGCCTGACTAATTTTTTGTATTTTTAGTAGAGACGGGGTTTCACTGTGTTAGCCAGGATGGTCTCAATCTCCTGACCTCGTGATCCGCCCGCCTCAGCCTCCTAAAGTGCTGGGATTACAGGCCTGAGCCACCGTGCCCGGCCAGTGATTCCCACTTTTAATAAAGTAACCAGCTTTGAATGTTTATGAATTTCTAATGCTAACACAATTTTAAAAGAGACTATATATAACATAAACAGACAAGCAAAGCTGATTATTTCATATATAATAATATTTAAAGCTCTTAAGAGGGTAAGAGAAAAGGTACAAGTAACAACGTTGACAGAAAAGTAACCTTAAAACAAATAATTCATATTAAATTCTCTTTTGCCTGGTATATTTCAGACCTATCAAAATAATTGACACTAAATCCTTTAGGTAATGGATAATTTTGAATGGTGATAATGCTACCTGCACTTATAGAATTCTAATTGCTTTATTTTGTTAATATTTATTTACTTATGTATTTATTATACTGTAGTTATTTACTTTATCAATTTATTTATTGTAATTTACCTAGTCACTGGCATCCTTGGCTGACAACAAATAAATGTATGTATTTTAGCAGCAGTATTAGCTTCATTAAAAATTTAGGTAACTTGATTTACTTGTGAATTTAACCTGCCAGGTAAGTTTCCTATTAAGTGAAATTACAATATATGTTGTTATCTTTAGAAATAATCTATAGAATGTGTTCATGAAAGGACATGGATAATTTTGTAAAGCAAATCAATAAAAGTAGATAGTTTTGCTAAAATTTAAGTGAAACTCAATTATTTGTGAGTTATCATGCGCTCAAATTATAAAAGCACACTTACCATCTCAATGTTGAAAAGCTAATTGGATATGATATGGCTCCAACAGAAGCCAATCCTAATTCTTTTTTCTTGTCAGTACCATTCGTACTTAGCAGCTGTTCAATAAATTCTAAGAACAATGTAGTGGAAGATTTCTGCCATAGCAGGAAAGAAAACACTGACTTCAGGGATGAGTCACCCAAGGCAAAGGATACATGAGATACATTACACAGAATTTTAGTATTATATTTTATTGCCCTTAATATACCTTGGCATAGCATGGCAATAATGCTAAATGAAAAAGCGGGGGCTGGGCGCGGTGGCACACGCCTGTAATCCCAGCACTTTGGGAGACCGAGGTGGATGTCTTACCTGAGGTCAGGAGTTTGCGACCAGCCTGACTAACATGGTGAAACCCGGTTTCTACTAAATACAAAAAAAAAAAAAAAAGCTGGGTATGGCGGCCCGTGCCTGTAATCCAAGCTACTTGGGAGGCTGGACAGGAGAAACCCCGTCTCTACTAAATAAAAAAAAAAAAAACTAGTTGAGCATGGTGGCCCATGTCTGTAATCCAAGCTACTTGGGAGGCTGAGACAGGAGAATCACTTGTACCTGGGAGGCAGAGGTTGCAGTGAGCCTAGATCGCACCACTGCACTCCAGCCTGGGCAACAAGAGCAAAACTCCGTGAAAAAGAAAAGAAAGAAAGAAAGAGAGAGAGAGAGAGAGAGAGAGAGAGAGAGGAAAAGAAAAGAGAATAGAATAGAATAGAATAGAATAGAATAGAATAGAAGAGAGTAGGAAGACATATGATTATAATTTGTGAAACGTTTGTGTAGTGTGTGTGTGTGAGACACAGAAGGAGAGAGAAACAGAAAGAGAGAGAGAGACAGAAAGAGAGAGAGAGAGAGTGTGTGTGTGTGTGTGTGTGTGTGCAGAGAGAGAGTACAGAGGAGGGAAAGGAGCAGAGGAGAAGAGAGGGAGGGAAGAGAAGGAGAGGGGAGAGAAAGAGGGGGAGGGAGGCATGGAAAAATACTGATAGAAAATAAAAATTTGTCAGTTTTCTCCAACTATGAAGGAAATTTTTCTTCTTTTTTCTTTCCTTTTTTATTTTAGCAACTAAGTACTTTTATAATCATTTAAAAAAATCTTAATGCCTTTACCTTGAGACATGATGGAAAAATGTTACAGGTACAAAATGTAGAAATTTAACCAGTGTTTAGAATTCTGACCTCAGGAACATGTGTATGACCTATTTTTAAAACCATAGCATTTTTTCTTGGTATGTTTCCGTGATTGGAATCAATTTTGTAAGTGCATGCTACAAAGTGACAAGAATCACTCAATTTTTGTTGTTGTTGTGGATGATTATCAACAATATTCCAGTGGGAGGTACTGTAATTGGTATTGCTCTGTAAAACAGAATTATGCATATAACACGTGTTTGTGAAACCTACTGCATATCCAGCCCAACACAGATGTACTTGCTATACAGACTATTGTTAAGCATATGTTTTGCTTCAGAAGATAAAGCTAAAAGAATAAAAAAAGATAATTTCTGGAAAAAAACATTGTTCAAACAATATAGAACTAAATTATAAAATTTTAGTATAATTTATATGTTGTTTCAAATACAGCTAAATATTTATGAACTAGCAAAGTCAGGTGAAAATTCATGAGGAAGATAGAATGGGTTTTAGCTTTGAAAATGAAGAAGAAAAAGAGGAAGAAGAGAAAGGAAGAAGAAGGAGGAGGAAGAAGAAACGGATATAAATAGAGCATATGCTTACGTGAAGCATTGTGCTTTGCACAGGTTATCTCGTTTAGTCTTCAAAGAGCATTATAAGAAATACAATTTTCTTAATTTTATAGATAAGTAAACCTACCTGTAAGAAAGATAGGATTCCAACCCTGCCACACTGTTTTCAGATTTATTTTATTCTCATTTTCTGCCCTAATTCTAATAATCAGATAATTTTGGGTAAGACCATCAAAGATGATTAATACACACACACACACACACACACACACACACACACACACACACACACACAAACACCCCACCAGATTGCCCAGAATTTCCTTTCCTAATTGACTGTACTGTTCTCTATCCATTTGTCAAGAGTTGGCTGGTTCATCTTGAACACCCTAATATCAAGCATTTGTCGAATTATGAGTAAGACTGCCAAGAATTTTTAAATTGCCAAAAAATCTAAACATGTATCAGAATAAACTGGGAGCTTGTGAAAACTACAGATTCATAGATCTTCAAGCTCCAGGTATTTTCATTTTATTTGTCAAGAAATTTCTTAAAATCTGTGGTTTACAGAAATTCTCACTAACGCAGCCTTGCTAGAAGAGCACTTGAGATTAATAGCTTGTACCTTACCCATGGATCCGTTGTCCCAAGTCTTAGCTAACTCTACTAACATAATCTCTCTCAAGTCATATCATCTCTGAGGCCATTCTTTTATTCACTTCACAGGCAAACTTTTAATGATGACCACCTATGAGTCAGCCACTGTGCCAAACTCTGAAATTTAAAGAAAGTGCCTTCTTTTACAATGTTCATTATTGACAGAGAGAGATAGTGAGCCAAAAAGCACAGTCCAGTAGGTATCAGAGTTGGTTTATGCCTAAGGATTGGAGAGATCATATAAGAGGGACATTGCAATTTCCTGGCTTCCATCACTTTCATTGGCTCTTCCTTTTGGTGTTTCTTCCCATGCAGTCTTCTGGAGGTTTTATTTACATCATTTCATTTAATCTTTACAACACTATCAAAAAGACAAACAGTAGTAATTTCTTAGGATAAGGAAACTATGACTAAGAGGAATTTAAACAATTATCCAAATATATACACCTAAATAATAGAGAGAGCATGCAAAACAACAGCTGTCCAAAAGTAAAAAACTATACCCTTTACACTTTGCAAATTGCCAACAATGTTGAAGAGGTTTATCTCAGAAAGTGAATAGTACAGCCAATCCTTTGTCCCAGGCAACAGCTTGAATTTTAAGCTCTTCTCCGAGTTTGAATAAGTAACACATCCAGTCAATTTGAACAGTGTATGTCTTGCTTGGTGAGCAATGAGTTATTTTACAGTGACTAGAATTCAAAGTCAGACACAGCCTCCTTCATTGTTGGCTCACATTTGCTTTGGCCTCTGGTATGAGTCAAACCACAACTCATGTTCTTTTCCCAGGAAGCCATTTCATTTCCTTTCATTAGAACCTGTGCCCATATTGTTTGCACATTGCTGTTCATAAAATATTTTGTGGTGTATCAAGAAAATAAAATTGCAGATTAAAAGACTGAACTGAAATTATATCATATTCAAGCAAATCCTTCCTCCATAAGGTAAAATATTTGCTGTAGTACTAGTGAATCTTATTTATCAATGTTAAGGTTAAAACTAAGACCTGATTTTAAATCTCACAGCTAGGGTCTACTTTGAAAGAATTAAAAGCCCAGTGAGAGGATCTCATTCTTGTTTATGGCTGAATAGTACTCCATTGTGTGTGTGTACTACATTTTCTTTATCCATTCATCTGTTGATGGATACTTGGGGTGGCTTCCATATCGTGCCTATTGTGAATAGTGCTGCAATGAACATGGAATGCAGACATTTATTTGATATAGTGATTTCTTTAGGTGACACATGTATTTAAATGTAGCATGAGATCAAGATTACATAGCTTTAATGGAGCAAAGTTTAAAACTACCATTCAGAGCTAGCATTTCATCATGGGTATTTGAGTGAAGACAGTGAATCAAGGGAGCATGATCTTGGGGATTAGATTTGAAATTCAAACATTTACTACCACTACTTGAAGAGGGGTAGAGGGAAGACAGTCATAAGGGTTGAAATATAAGTGTTGAGGTATATGAGAACTATGGATTGTGTATGTGCATTTGATTTCCAATTCACCTGCTGTTTTTCATTTTTGTCTCCCGATAATAGACTTTTCCTTCTTGAGATACTGCCACCGGGAATCAAGTAGTAAAAACACACACCACTGGAATCCAGTATCAAAACCACATAAATAAGAAATATATGTGAACTTCTTGCTAATTAGAAAACACTTGGCCAAGCACAGTAGCTCACATCTGTAATCTCAGCACTTTGGGAAGCTGACATGGGATGATCACTTGAGCCCACAAGTTCGAGACCAGCCTGGGCAATGTAGGGAGTTCCCGTGTCTACAAATAATTTTAAAAATTAGCTGTGCCTGGTGGCATGCACCTATGGTCCCAGCAACTTGGGAGGCTGTGGCAGAAGGACCCTCTGAGCCCTGAGCCCAGGAGGTTAAGGCTGCAGTGAGCCGTGATCATGCTACTGCACTCTAGCTTGGGAAACAGAGCAAAATCCTGTCTCAAAAAAAAAAGAAAAAGAAAAGAAAGAAAAAAAAAGAAAAAGAAAAAAGAAAAGAACAGTGTATGTTTAATTTTTAAAATGTACTCCTAACATAGAAAAATTTCCCAGATATTTGAAGCATTCTGAAGTCTTACCAAATATCCCAAAAGAAATGCTAAACTAAAATTCATACCTAATAAATTCCAGCTATTTCCCAGAATTAATCTGATGGGTCATAGCAAAAAAAAGTTTTAATATTTTATGTAACAAACAATTCTTTTTTCATTTTCCTGGTAGATTAATTCAGCCTGACCTCACTACTAACAAATTCTGCTTCAAATAATTTTTGTTTTTCTTTGTTCTTGAAGTTTAGGAATGAATTCTCTTCACTCATTTTATTCAATTTCTCCAATAGTTTTATTCATATTATCTGATAATAAAATAACGTAATTCCGTTTTTATCTTGTGCAACCATACCAATAATTTATTGTAAGGAATTTGAAATACAAAAACTTTTGAATACAAATAATCATGGCTAGAGCTGCTAGTGAATAAGATATGAGCAATTTCATTGAAAGCCTATTCTGAGGACTAAGATTTGGGATAGAGATAGCCAAGAACATGGAAAACATCTATCAGACAAAGAATAATTCACAAAGATTGTTCAAAGTGTTATGGGAAAGTTTCTATCAGATTTTGAGAAATCAGAAAGGTCTCATGGAGAAGCTGACATTTCATTTTTAAAAAATTATTTGAGAGAGAAATAGAATGTGTCAAAACAAATAAGAGGTGAGAGTTATGGTCTAGAAGGAGATAGTATCAGCAAAGGTTCAAAGAAAAAAGGAAAAGAAAATGTGCATTTAGGGAGATCAAGGCATTCATTTCCTCCTTGGTATTCTCTACTTACCACTACCTGGAATTTGTCACAATATGTAGTGGTCTTTTATTTATGTCTTTCTCCTCGTAAGACTATGTGCTGTTCAAAAACGAAGACCTTATTTTATCTTTATACCTTCACAATTTATATCTATATAATTTCCAGTATATAGGAAGTTATTTATGTTATTGAATAAAAAATGAATGAATGAATATTTCAGTCCAAAAGAGATGTAAGGGAATGGTTGGTGACAAGGATAAAAGAAAAGATTGAAGTAATAATGTTGTAAAAAGGAAGAGGTGAATAATCACTGAAGGATTTTGAGTAAAAATTTGGTGTAAATGAACAATGCTTTAGAAAAATAGCCTGACTGCATCAAGAAGACTATACTGAAATGGATATAAATTGAAGGAAGGAAGAAGTCCAGTTCAAAAGTATAAGTAATAATTTCAGTCAGAATCAAGTTAGTAGCCATGAACATGGGCTTGTGGAAGGCAATGCTCTACCAGAGTTGTAGAAATGGTTCTGCTGCCTGCCTCCTTTGCCCCACAGAAATGAAAGATATGCCTCTAAGGGCCTACACCTATGAAAGCATGGCCTGGTCATGAGTTAGATGTTTCCCTCACAACAATGTGAGGATTGAAAATAGTCTCTAGGCCTGGGGTAGACTCATTCCTTTGGACATAACCATCTATTTATGTCCACAGTTGTCTCCTTCTGTGGCCTGCCTGTCCGATTGCTTTCTTCCTGGGCCTCTGATGCTCACTTCAGTTTCCTCACAAAAGTATATTTTGGCTCTATACCTTACCCTGGGCAGTCAGCACTCCACTTTCATACTCTGTATTCTGCCAGACTAATTCTCCAGAAAATGGTGGTGCTCATAGTCTGATAACATCCTTGCTGATATAGGACTCAGGTACCCATATGATACTGATGAATGATACACTCCAAAACATGCAAATTGAATTCCTGCTTTATTCTAGAACAGACAATAGATCATTATTGGCCTTGACCTAATGATCTGAAGAACTGGTTGCCCTGGCTTTTTGCTTGTCTTTCGTTAAAAACTTCCCTATACCACATGGGCAAGCCATCCCTTATAACAGGTATGATTAATAGACTTCAGCAACAGATTAAATACAACACACCACAGTTTCTGGAATAAAAAAAATCAATCTGAGATTTTTAGTTTGCTTAGTTGAGAAAATGACAGTTTCCTTAACAGAATAGAGGTGAGAAAGGGAAAATATGAGGATGGCAGATGGGAGGAGAGCAATAAGTTTGATTTCAGATGTCATAAACTTGAGATGTTAAGTTACAACTAGACCTAGTTGCAAAAGAATGGTTGGAACTTAGAGGAAAAGTCAAGTCTAAATATTCATATTTTTAATTAAATAATAAAGATGCAGAGACTTAATTAAATCACACTTATGGTAATTGAATGGTCAATAATACAAAGAAAATGAGTTCACAAAGAAATAAAGGAGATAGAGGAAAATCTTAGTAAATGATTAGGGAAAGTTGGGAGAAGAGAGACTGAACAGAAGCTAAGAAAAAATGATTTCAGAAAAAATATATAAACTATATCAAATTTCCCAAATAAGTCAAGGATAAAGATTTGTTGTTGATGTCTAGAGCTTGGAGTTGATCTTTGTGGGAACATTTTCAGGAATGTGACAAGAATGAAAGCCAGGTTGAAGGAGACAAAGCAGTGAGAGTCAACAAGATGGAGTCGAAAGTCTGCCCAAGTTTCAAGAACTTTGGTATTGAATCAAAGAGGAAAAGAGGGTATAATTCAAAAGGGAATTGGATTGGGATGAAGTTTTCTCTTCTTTAGAATAGGAAAAGCTTTGAACACTTTTGTCAGCAGTGGAGAAACCAGCAGAGAAGAAGTGACAGAAGACATTGAAAAAACATCAGGAAAATGGATGAGCAAAATTCCAGAGAAACTGAGAAGCAGGGATCTGTAATTGTCTTCTCAAAGACAGCAACAAATCAAAGAAGGGAGACCAAGATTTATAGAGGCTTTAGGAAATTAGAAGTAAAGCAGAGAGCTCAGGTAAAATGATAATAAACTAGTCGAATATAAAAAGCCTGAGACAATCAGGAATAACTAGGGTCATCTTCTAAAATGACATTTCAAGTATGTTGTCATTTCAAATAATAAAATAACAGCCTTCTTTAATCCAAAATTCAACCAAGGTGTGTATTGCCTTAACATATGGATTTGAAAAGTTAGATTGATTTAATGCAAGATCATGCTTTCATGTTTACATTTGCCAGGAGCCCAGCATACAAAAAATACTTAATACATATTTGTTCCTAAGTAAATTGGTAAAACAAAAACACAAATAGTTTATATTTTTTAATAGATGGTTAGCCTTAACTACCCACATACTTATTATACAAACACACAGAGAACTATATGTATACTTGTTGGGTGACTGCATAGCTCATGGAGGGGGGCCACTCTCATCACCTAAGTCACAGAACCCCAAATTCTCAACACTTGCAATAGGGTAAGTTGTAATCCTAAAGTAGCTTGTAATACTTGCATGAATCACCTTCACAATGGACTGCATCTGGTTTTTATCCATAGGTACATCATTCCCCAAACAGTATCACATTCCAAGTTAACTAAATATCTGGATTGAATAGGTGAGAATATAAGAGTTCCTTCCCTGTTGTTACAGTTTGAATGTATTCTCCAAATTTTCACATGTTGAAAACATAATCTCTCCATCCTCATGAATAGATTAATGTCATTATCAGGGGAGTGTGTTTGTTATTACAGGAGTGGCTTTGTTATAAAAGCAAGCTCTCTCTGACTCTCTTCTCTTGCCTCCTAACCGTGTGATGCTCTCCACCCTGTTACGAGGCAACAAGCAAGTCTTCACCAGATGTAGCCCCCTCGACTTTGGACTTTCCAGCCTCCAGAACATTGAACTTAATAAACTTCTTTTCTTTATAAATTACCCTGTTTGTGGCATTTTGTTAAAGCAACAGAAAATGAACCAACACTTCTCACTGTCTTCTCCACAGCCACTACATGAGAAATTCAATTCCAAATCACTGCTGTTAGTCCTAAGTGGTGTGGAGCTCATCAAGTCAGCTTACCCATGTATGAATTAACTAATCATAATAAACAAAGTTACTCTTCTTTATAAAATAACTTATTTTATAAATTCTTTAGGCACTTGCTAAAACGAATAGAAAAAAATGAGGACCACCATCAATTCCAACATTGAGAACTCGTATTTTAGTTGGAAAGAAATGCACACAGTTTGGAATCCTATGTAATCAAGATAAGAGAACAACAATTTTCCAAATGCTTTCCGTGGGCCAGCGTGGAAACTTAACTCTCTCACACAGACAACGAGGTAAGTATTATCTCACTTCACAGAGGAAAAAACTGAGTTTCAAAAGAAGTAATTTGTTCAAGTTTTAGATGCCTGTTAAGTGGCTACACATGCATTTGGTTCTCCAACTACCCCACACTGCTAAAGTAGCAGAGCTGTTTTTTTTTTTTTTTTTTTTTTTGAGAGAGTCTCACTCTGTTGCCACGTTGGAGTGCAGTGGTGTGATCTTGGCTCACTGCAACCTCTGCCTCCTGGGTTCAAGTGATACTCATGCCTCAGCCTCCTGAGTAGCTGGGATTGCAGGCACACACCACCACACCCATCAAATTTTTGTATTTTTAGTAGAGACAGGGCTTCACCATTTCATTGAATAGGAGTTTACTAGGTAAAGTTTTACGGAAGAAAAAGTCAAGATAGTTCTGAAATCTTAGTTATTTTATCCTCTGTGAAGCACTCCCTCTCTAAATAGATTCTGATTCTCTGTTTTGTGTAGATTACACTCTGACACCAAGCCCTGCCCTTGTGGGAAGTATGATAAGCCTCAAGGCAAACAATTCTTCCTTCGCGATTGCAGTCTG
This sequence comes from Homo sapiens, assembly GCF_000001405.40. NCBI lineage: Eukaryota > Metazoa > Chordata > Mammalia > Primates > Hominidae > Homo > Homo sapiens. Next base: position 40,053,034 of record NC_000005.10, read on the forward strand.
GGCACCTGATGATATAGAATGACTCATTGGACTCCTGCCTCTTCTACTTCATTCTTACCATGAGCTCCCCTAGAAGATGTAGTCTTCCACCGTTACCAAAATCTGCAACCAGAAAGATCAAGCTCTAGGAAGCAGTACACACTATACTCCTGTGTGGAAACAAAGTAATCCTCATCAGATCATCTAACTTGCTGTTGCTGTAAGGACTGTGAATTGGTAGCAATAAATAAGCCATGGGAAATAGGAGGGAAAACACCATCAATGACAATAAAAACTGAATGTGAAATTTGACTACCTGAGTTTAATTTATAGTTCTGTCTCTTTCTAGCTGTGTGACCATAAATGAGTTACTTATCTCTCTACATCTTAAACTTTTCAGGATTGTGTGCATTCAAAAGAAACAATGGCATTATAATGTATGTGAAGCACTGACAAAGAATACCTGGGACACAGTAGGTGCTCAAAAATAATATCCGTTAACACCAAGAGGAGCATACCTTCTGGCAGGAAATTTAAGACATCTATAAACTGCACATATATATTAAGTGTCATATAAATAAAACAAAATTTCTGTAATGGGGAGGGAGGGCCTGGGATTAAGCTTTCTGTCACTCTGCAGAGAACCCTTGAACATGTAAAATACCCCCTTACTTTTTACCAGAAACCCAGAACTTTGTGAGGGGATGAAAAACAAGAGCCCTTCTTATTTGTTCCCTGTGAATTTAGCTTGAGTTTCTGATATTTGACCCCTGCCATAGATTCAATCTGTTTCCATTTAGATCTGTCCATCTGTCCTGAATCTCTTGACACTGATCTGCCCAACCTACTTGCTGTCTTCATCCTCCGGGTTGGAAAGAATCTAGATTCTTCAGAGTGTCTACTGTTTATACACTACTTCTTTCCAGGCCAGCTTCTGTCTGTGAGTTCCTGTCTGAGTGCCTCATAGCTGATTTTGTACTTTTCGCTAAGTCCAGTTTCCATTCCTGGTTTCTTCTATTCTGCCCTGCCCGTGACCTAATCAGTGCCCATTTTTATAACCAGACTTTTTTGTGCCACTTAAAATTCCTGACTTTCTTCCCAAACCTGTTCATTGTAATCCTCAGATTCTTCAGCATCAACAAAGGAGCCATCAATGCTGTGGATTCCCCCTCATTCCCTAGAAGCCTGTAACACATTATTCCAGGCATCTGACCCAGAATGTGCAGACTCATTCCTTGCATTGCCTGGTCTTCCAAAATCTATTATCTCCTTTCCTGCAAGCACAGGAGCCCTGTTGTGGTGAGAAATCACCAAAGCCATCCTATTTGGCTATCTCCCAGGTTACAGGCTTTGACAAAGTAGCAATGACCATCTTGAAGGAGCAGTCAACCTCCCGATGGAAAGAATTGCTCTTGGAATTGAAATGAAAAAGCATATGTGGTCAATTAGCATAAATTTTGGGATAATTTTTTTCACCAGATCACCTAATTGCTATACTCTACTGTTTAGTGAGCTTGATTAAAAGACAGTGGAGTGAGCACAAGTTTTAGTCGGGTTATGTTGTAAAAATTTTTTTTTTAAAAGAAACTGACACCTACCTTGAGGGTTAACGTGAATTGTATTAGTTTCTTACGGCAGAGGTAACAAACTAATGCAAACTGGGTTGTTTACAGAAATAAAAATTTATTCTCACATAGTTCTAGAGGCCAGAGCCTGAAATCAAGGTGTCAGCAGAGTTGGTGCCTTCTGGAGGTTCTGGGAGAGAAATCATCCCATGCCTCTCTCCTGGCTTCTGGTGGCGGTTGGCAACCCTTGGCTCACAGGTCACCACTATACTGTCTACCTCCGTCATCATGTGGCATTCATCCTAGGCATGTCTCTGTATCTTTGTTTGCTCTTCATATAAGGACACCAGTTATTGTATTAGGACCCACCTTAATCCAATATATCCTCATCTTAACCTAATTACATCTGCAAAGATCCCATTTTCAAATAAGGTCACAGGGTGAAGTTCCAGGTAGACATCATTCGGGAGACACAGTATTCAACCCAGCATATGAATATTAGTGAGAAGGAATATAAAGCACCTAGCAAAATGTCTGGCACACAATTAGGCTTTAATAACTAGTAATTATTGGTACCTGTGGCTTACTAAATTGGCTACTCTGCACTGAGTAATGCTAGAGTGCTGAGTGTGTAGTGAAGGTCAGAGCAATTTACAACCATGTCAGTATATCTTTCTCACTGTTTTTCTCCTAACCCCAGACAATTTAAGTTCAGTGCCCAAGGCAAGTAAATTTAAACCTGAAATCAATCAGTTTGCTCTGGTTTCTTGTAAGCCACGTTAGTACTCCTGAAATATAAGCAGGGAATTAACAGAGCCCTCTAATGCCTTGAATTAAATTTTGAGCCAAACTTCACTGCGTGCTAAAAATAGATTGCCTCATTGTTCACTAGTAAAGGGAGGATCCCTAACTGCTTCAAATTAAGTTGTGAGCTTTTTGTTTGTTTTAATTGCATACTTTTCTCTGTTCAGTCTTTGTGGAGTCCATGGCTGCTACTTCTCTACTGTTTATATAAATTTTATCTTGGTGCTAAAGTGAAAATTGTAGTATTTCTTAGATATAGGGCTTTGTAAGGAAAGAAAAATTACACCTGTTTTCCCAAGAGTTAATTGTGATTATGCTGGGAAACAGGAAACTGAACTGGAAGAATCTAGAGAATCCCTCTAGCAAGGATCTTCTGTTTCTCCTCTTGGACTTGCTGCCATTATCTTTCCCAAGCCAATTTCCAGTTGTTCCTCAATTATTTCAAATCAGCCACTACTTCTTCAAACTTTAAAATCTCATTACTGGATATTTCAGTTCAAAACTCCAGGCTACACTATTTTAGTGCCCAAGCTAAATACTATTTAGCTTGAAAGAAAAAAAGAATATTCTGCCATATGTGACAATATAGATGAACCTCAAGGACATTATGCTATATAAGAGGACATTAAGTTACATAGGCCTTATTGTTTTCAATTTTTTCAAAATGTATATACTTTACAATAAACAGATAATTAAATTTTTTTCTCACTACTTCCTTACCTTGATATCAGATTTTTGCTATGTGTTTTTTGAGGTCAGGTGGTGACTACAAAGATACATTTTTTTTCTAATTACACTATTCTGTCTGTGAATCAAGCCAAACTACTAGAAAAAAACTGCATACCTGAATCATGTTTTACAATCCTGTACTTTTTTTTTTTTACTTTTTCTTTTTTTTTTCTAAATTATTATACAACTTGGTGTCTCTAATACACTTTGAGGAACATTGTAAGAAATAGCTTCGTAGAGCACACTTCTGTATTTACCAAAATAATGTTGTGGAAAACATGGTTTAACACATGGCACCATATTTTCTCTCTGAGGACAAAAAACAAAAATGGTTCTCCAGAATCAACATTGAGGAATGTTTTACTCTTCTAAGCAATTGCTTTTGTTTTATTGTTTAGACCCTTTGAGATGGTTAATCAACCATAATTCTGTATTTTTGTGGTCTGCCAGAAACCTTAATGATGTATCTCTGTTTCCTATCACTAGAAAAGAGCAGCATAGTGGTGTGCTAATCACGCTAGTGGTTTTATCTTATTTTTCTCACCTTCATTCCCCCATTCCTCTGTTATGGTTTGCATGTTTCCAAATCTCATGTTAAAATATATCCCCAGTGTTGGAGATGGGGCTTAATGAGAGGTGTTTGGGTCACAGAGGCAGTTTCCTTATGAATAAATTAATATCCTCCCTTAGCGGTGAGAGAGTTCTTGCTCTATTGGTTCCCAAAGGAGCTGGTTGTTTGAACAAACCTGGTGCCTCCCTCTCTCTCTTTCTTCCTCTCTTGCCATGTGGTCTTTATGCAAACCAGTTCCCCTTTGCTTTCTGCCAGAAGTAGAAGGAGCCTGAGGCCCTCACCATATGCAGTACCCCAAACTTGAACTTTCCAATCATGGGAATTATGAGCCAAATAACTTTTTTTCTTTATAAATTAGTGAGCCACAGGAATTCATTTGTAGCAACATTAAATGAACTAATACCCCTTTTTTATGTTATTGGTGTGCATCTTGCTACCTGCCTTAAGTCTTTTTAACAAGGCAAAGTAAAAGGAAAAATATTTAAATTAATAAAATTTAGTTTACACATGGTCTTGATTAAAGAAAACTGGTTGGATTAGACCTAGTTAAATTTAAATTATCTGTGGTTTCTAAGATGGCCATTAAGAAGAGAGTTCAGTTTTTCACATTTCTAACCTACTTGTGAGATTCTTTAGAGTGTAGTATAGACATCTTATAATTCGAAAGTAGTAATGAGACTGAAAAATAGAAATTGTTGTTATTAAAATGTTACTGAGACCTAATTTTACAAAGGCCTTGTAGGCATTCTGTAGGTAAAATTGCATAGACCCACCATCTTCCCCTGGGAATCTAGAATCACAAATAAAAGGTTTACTACATTCAAATCAAGCAGCTTTGGATCCAAAAAGATTCAAACTAAGAAGTGTTTGTACCATTCTAAGAAGTGAAGGATATATTCAGTTGTGGTTGAAAGAAGGTGCTGTAAAACACATTCAAAAAAGAGCTTGTGCCTCTTTGAGGTAAACGAATGACAGTTCCCAGGAGCCACCAGGGTTTAAACAACTTCTGAGTTATTTCAAATAACATAAGACAAACATTCCAGGAATGACGTTATAAAACATTTTTCTATTTGCCCTATTAATTTCTTCAGATACCAGTTCACTAGGAGAAAGTAAAAACCTGTAAAATATAATGCTAAATCTATAAGTCCGCAAGCTTAAATTTAAATATTTCAAGTAAATACATCCAAGTTGTAAAAATGTCAAAATATTCGCAGTACTTGACTTCTTAGAAACAAAATTTCCCAGGCTAAAGCAAAGTAGGAGAGGAATGTTTGCTCCATCATTCTTTCCTCGTCCCTAATTCCAAAAGTACTCCTCCCTTTGTATAATAAAAAGACAGTAATCATCTCAACTTGTCAGCATATATAATACCATGTAATTGTCATGACATGCCACAAAATGTAGACAAATAATGTTTTTGAATTATTTTTTTTCAACTGCCAGGCCTATTACAATGTAACCACATAAGCTGTTGGTATTATATTGCCATTCCAGCTTTTGTGTTACTGTAACTAATCACACCCATCATGTCAGAACCAACAAGGGCTGGGGTAAAGAGACAAATATTGTCAGTCTTATGGAATTGGCAATTACAGATATCATACCTTCAATTTTAGAAATTCAGTAGGAAAAGTCTATTTTATGTTGACAGATAATTGGCTCCACGGAGGAGGCAATTAAACATTGAAACATTGCAGATGCATTCTGGTTGGCAAATATAATGACTAAAATGCATTAAATCTCATTCTCAGGAACTTATACACGATTTTAGGATCAAGTAGATATGTTTTTAAATGGTCAACTCCCACTTTCAAGTGATTTCAGTTATTTAAATAATTCAATAATGTCCTTGCAAAAATGGATTTGACATCCAAGTCTTTAATAATTTACAGAAGTATTAAGAGAGCACTTGCCATTAATTTTAGGAAAGGATTTTATATCCTGATGAGAATTCCTACTATAAAATTTTATTGGCTAATCAACATGAAAAAAATAATAACCTTATTTCTAAATTAAGATACTTTTTTCTTAAAGTAAATGTAAAATATTCACCCAACTGCAAACTTGGTCAAGTGGAGATACACAGACACAATACTGTATTAAGAAAAATAGATTTCAAATGCCCGAATTATTGTTCCATAGACTATGACTCTAAGATAACAATACTTACTCTTGGAGCCAACTGAACATCTTCCTTTTGGATGTACATAAAATTGTACTTAAAATATGTTTTTGATTGATTAATTTACTTTTACCTAATTAGAACTATTTAGCAATAAAGCTCACAACTGCATGTGTAGTCACTAAAAAACAAACCTTAGATATTGTAAGATTATATGAACATTTTAAAATCAGCCAAACTATTTTTTTCCAAAAGGTATTGCCAAATTTCACACTGCCCAAACCATTAAAAAAAAATAACAGCACACTAGATTACATGGTGGCCAAAAATATTTATACATTTTCACTTGTATGTTTCCAAATTTCACTAAGTTATGATCAGTTTTTCCTCAGGAGAAATTCTCTTCGATTAATTGGTTTAAATTGGTATTGACTTTCAAATGCTTTATGAAAAATGTGATTAGTTAGGTTTCTTCAATCAAGAGTTAGCAGGCTGGAACTTATAGGAACCAGAAGCTAAGTGACTTTACTGTTGTCAAATTCCCTCAACCATATTCCTTCAGTGGCTTCTGGTTTTCATGAGAGGTTAAGCAGGCTGGGCTTCTGGGTTGGGTAGGGACTTGGAGAACTTTTCTGTCTAGCTAAAGGATTGTAAACACACCAATCAGTGCTCTGTGTCTAGCTAAAGGTTTGTAAACGCACCAATCAGCACTGTGTAAAAACGGACCAATCAGCACTCTGAAAAATGGACCAATCAGTGCTCTGTAAAATGGGCCAATCAGCAGGATGTGGGCGAGGACAAATAAGGGAATAAAAGCTGGCTACCGAACCAGCAGCGGGCAGCTGGTTCAGGTTCCCTTGCACGGAGTGGTAATTTTGTTCTTTCTCTTCACAATGAATTTTGCTGCTGCTCACTCTTTGGGTCCACACTACTTTTATGAGCTGTAACATTCACCGTGAAGGTCTGCAGTTTCCTTCCTGAAGTCAGTGGGACCACAAACCCACCAGGAGGAACGAACAAGTGGTGCCGCCTTTAAGAGCTGTAACACTTATTGCAAAAGTCTGTGGCTTCACTCCTGAAGTCATTGAGACCATGAGCCCACCAGAAAGAAGAAACTCCGGACGCACCTGAACATCAGAAGGAAGAAACTCTGCACACACCTGAATATGTGAAGGAAGAAACTCTGGACACAACATCCTTAAGAGCTGTAACACTCTCCAGGAGGGGCCGTGGCTTCATTCTTGAAGTCTGGGAGGCCAAGAACCCACTGGGAGGAACCAATTCTGGACACATTAACGTAGTGGAAAATCTATCATTTCAAAGTGTTGACTTAGTTTCTCAATAACTAGTATTATATAAATTTCTTTTTATTGCTGTTTCACAGTTTAAAATGTAGCCATCTGCATGTGGAGAAATAATTTTCAAAAAAATGTTTTAAAAATATATTTTCAAAGTTGAAATGTATGTTTTTCATGCACTCTGCGTGCGTAATATCTAATTGTAGGTATTCAATAGGCAGTGACTCCTAAGGAATGTGCTATAGGCTAATCCTTTGTTTCCATCTGTAACAGTATAAATTAGTGTGGAAATCAGTATGAAAATGAGTTTTTTTCATCACACACCAGGGACGGGTGGGGGGTGGGGGGAGGGGGGGAGGGATAGCATTAGGAGATATACCTAATCCTAAATGATGAGTTAATGGGTGCAGCACACCAACATGACGCATGTATACATACGTAACAAACTTGCACGTTGTGCACATGTACCCTAAAATTTAATAAAATTTAAAAAATGAGTTTTTTGTGCTTTTTAAGACAAATGCGTTTTTTAGAAAAATTTAGAAGATAGTCTCTTTTATTAAATAATATTACATCTTTGAAAAGTTTCCATACACTTCTGAGTTGATGGATTTCAAATTAATTTTTCAATCATTACACTATTAATTATCTAATTTTAAATTGAAAAGTTATAGAAAGTGTTCTCCAATGTAGAGTTAATTTCAGTTCAGTTTAGCACACATTGGTTATTACTGTGAATCAGGCATTGTGCTAAGTGAAAGTGAAATAAAAAGACACGGCAGAAAATGATCTGTTTTCTAAGAACTCCCTGACTTGGATCCACAAGACTGCAAATCTTAGCAAAGTACCTGTAGAACACTTGACTAGCAGCAGGCCTAAGGGAATTAAAAACATGGTAGCAGTGATAGGGACTGCAAACGAAGAAATCAGGGATGAGAGTATTTAGCGCTTCTGAATCCTAGACACTGTGCTGAAGATACCAACATGAAGAAGACAGAGTTATTCACCTTCAGGAAAAACATAAGGGTGTAATAACAGATTCACAGAGAAGAAACCAGAGAGGCACTGGGGAAAGTGTGCCTCACAACTAAAGTTCGAATTTTGGAGGATTTGGGAATCTGCCATGTGGTAGGGTGGGTGGCATCTATTGTCCTCATTCTCCAGATGAACAACATGAGCTCATATTGATAGACCAACGTCCTTGAAATTAGCATGTAGAAAGACAGGTAAAATTGAGCTAATTCATTTTAGAATTCTCATCAACCCCATCTCTTAAATTTAAATAAGTACCAGATAATTTCATTATGGGTAAATCAATACAGGTATACTGTGGACCATTTTAGATCTTTGGATTATTGTGTATATTTCTTTTTTTTTTAATTATTATACTTTAAGTTCTAGGGTACATGTGCACAACATGCAGGTTTGTTACATATGTATACATGTGCCATATTGGTGTGCTGCACCCATTAACTCGTCATTTACATTAGGTATATTGTGTATATTACAGTATATGTTGAAAAAATTCAAATATCTTGAAGGGTTGCTCAACCTCCAAAATTAAAAAATAGTGACATTAATGTTAAAGAGACAGAAAAAGAATATTTTTAGCTAAATCTTCAAATATATTAAAAGCATTAAAATACACTTATAAAGTAATTTTCTTCTGGTAGGTTCCGATAAGTTGTTCTCAAGCTTATTACGCATCTGAACCAGTTGGGGAACTTCAAAAAATATGTTTCTATGATAGTTAATTTTATTTGTTGGACACAGAGTGTCCAGATTAAACACTATTTCTGAGTGTCTGTGAGGGTGTTTCCAGATGAGACTAACATTTAAATTGATGAACCGAAATGAGCAGATTGCCTTCTCCAATGTAGGTGGACATTATTCAATCCGTTGATGATCTGAATAAAACAAAAATGCAAGGGAAGAAGGAATTCCTTCTCTCTGTCTGACTGCTTGAGCTGGGTCATCAGTTTTCTGCATTTGACCAAGACTTACACCGTCTGTCCTCCGGTTATCAGAACTCCACCACCAAATTTTCTGGGTCTCCGGCTTGCAGGCGGCAGATTGTGGAACTTTTGAGTCCACGTAGTCGTATATGCCAATTCCTTATAATAAATTATAGGTGTATGCATGTGTGTCCCTCAGTATCCACAGGGGACTTGTTCCAGGAATCTTCACAAATATGAAAATCCATAAATGCTTATGTGCCTCATATAAAATGGCATAGTATTTGCATATAACCTACACACATCCTCCTGTATAAATCATCTCTAGGTTACTTATAATACCTAATACATTACAAATGCTACGTAAATTGTTTTTATGCTGTGTTTAGGGAATAGTGACAAGAAAATAAAAGTCAGTATAAACAAAATCATCCATTTCTTAAAAATATATGTATTTTCAATCTGTGGTTGAGTGAATCCACAGATGCAGAACATAGGAATATGAAGAGCTGACTGTGTATCTCCAATTAGTTCTGTTTCTCTACTGAGTCCTGACTAATATTAAAAAAATGGTAGCAAGAAGAGGTGGAATACTGCTGTAACAAATACTTAAAACTATGAAAGCAGTTTTAAATGCTTTGGAACTGAGTACCCTTTGGAATTGGGTAATGGGTAGAAACTGGAAGAATTTTGAATACATGCTAGAAAAAGCCAATATTTTAATGAAGGGAGTTTTAAGAGAGATGCTAATGATTGAGGCTCATTGAAAAAGAGGAGAGCTATTGAGAATTATTTCATTTTCTTAGGGAATACTAATAATCATGTAATGGTCTGTTGGTAGAAATAGAGATGATAAAGGCCTTTCTGATTAGGCCTCAGATGGAAATGAGAAAAGTGACAAGGTAATCTTTATTATAAAGTGGCAATAAATTTGGCTGAACTGTGTTCATTTTCTACCATTTTGTGGAAGGTAGAACTTGTGAAGAATGAAATTGGGTATTTTGCTGAGAAGACTTCTAAACAAAGTGTGTAAAGAGTGGTTTGGTTCCTCCTTACTATTTATAGTACACTGCAAGAGGAGAGGAATGAATTGAAGATGTAATAATTAGGTAAAAAGAACCAGAACTTAAAGATTTGGAAAATTCCCAGCCCATTCATATTGCTAAAAGTGAGCAAGCATTTTTGAAAGAGATCACTAAGGGCATGGTACGCTCACCATTTGATAAAGACATTAGTGTCAGTGTGGACAACAAAGCCACCCAGAGCCTTGGGGGTGAGGCCCCATCTGGCAGAGTCCTGGAGGAATGAATCCCACCTAGCACAGAGATTCATGGGCAGGACCTCCACCTCAGTGGTTCTGGAAGATAAAAAGATATTGAGCCAAAAAAACATTATCCTGAGCTTTGAAATCTCATGAAGTTTGCCTTGCCGCATTTTGGACTTGCTGGAGAACCAGTACCTCTTCCTTCTTTTCTATTTTTTAAAAAATAAATTTAAGGGGTACAAGTACAATTTTGTTACGTGGATATATTGTGTAGTGATGAAGTCTAGGATTTTATTGTCCATCATTCTAATAATGTACCTCATACCCATTAACTAATTTCTTATAATGCATCCCCCCCCACACCTCCACCTTTCCAAGTCTTTATTGTCTATCAGTCCACAATTTATGTTCAGATGTATACATTATTTACTCCCAAAAAGTGGGAGTGACATAAAAGTGACATGCGATATTTTTCTTTCTGCGTTGTTTCACTAAAGATAATGGCCTCCAGTTTTGCAAGTTGCTGCAAATGATATGATTTTATTGTTTTAATAGCTAAAACATATTCCACTGTGTAAATATACCACATTTTCTTTATCCAGTCATCCATTGATGGACACTTAAATTGTTTTCATGTCTTTGGTACTGTAAATAGTGTTGCAATAAACATATGAGTGCAGGTATTTTTTTGGTACAATGATCATTTTTTCCTCTGGGTAGGTACCCAAGGATGGGATTGCTGGATCTAATGGTAGTTCTATCTTTAGTTCTTTGAGAAATCTCATAGTATTTTGCTTGTTATAAGATGATATTTCATGGTGGTTTTAATTTGCATCTCTCTGATGATTAGCTTTTGAGCTTTTTTTGTATGCTTGTTGGCCATTTGTATGTTTTCTTTTAAAAAATATCTATTCATGTACTTTGCCTAATTCTAATGGAATTATTTGTGGGTATTTCTTTAAATTATTTGAGTAGCTTGTAAATTCTGGGTATTAGTCTCCTGTTAGATGATAGTTTACAAATATTTTCTTCCATTCTGCAACTTGTTTGTTCACTCTGTTGACTATATCTTTGGCTGTGCAGAAGTCTTTCAGTTTCATTAAGTCCCATTCATTTGTTTTTGTTGCTTGCACTTTTGAGGTCTTAGTCATAAATTCTTTTTGGAATGGGAATGTCTATTCTATATCTGTCCCATTATTATATTTTGGAAGCACATAACTTATATGGCTTCATATATTGAACAATTGAATTGGAATTTGGCTTCAGGATAAATTGCACCTTGAATTTTACCTGTATCTGATTTAGATGATATTTAGATGAGATTTTGGACTTTAGACTTTAGAGTTGATGTTGATACTAACTAAGACTTTTGGAGCTATTGTGATTAAATGAATGCATTTTGCATGTGAGGACACAAATTCTGATGAGTCAGGACCTGAATGCCATGTACTAAGTGGCACAGAGTACATGAATGGGACACAATCATGTCCCATCAAAATTTATATGCTGAAGCCCTACTCCCCAGTGTTATAGTATTTGGTGATGGGGCCTTTGAGAGGTAATTAGGTTATGAGGTTGGAGCTATAATAAATGGGATCATTGTCCTTATAAGAAGAGATATGAGAGAGATAATCTTTCTTTTCATCATGAGAAGATACTGTAAAAAGGTGTCCTTTTGAAAGCCAGGAAGAAGGCCCTCACCAGAAACCTAATTGACCAGCACCTTGAGCTTGGACTTCCCAGACTCTAGAACTATAAGACGTAATATTTTTGTTATAGCAGCCCAAACTGACTAAGACAGTCTCTAAAGTTTGCCCCAGACTTTTTGTATCTAAATCTCCATAGTTGGGACTGGAAAACTATACACTTTACAAAGTTCTTTAAGTGATTCTGAGGCACAAAGCAGTTCAGAAGTTCCAGTCTAAGCAGTGGTAACTGCTAAAATATGAGTTGTGCAAGGAGATTGTTTTGAAAGATCTATTACTAAGTACAGATGTAGCAAGTAACAAAAAATAATTTAGTTATAAGGCATAAATGGAACATGTGAATTTATTTTTTTCAACTAGACTTCTGTATATAATAGTATTAAACACATATTACATGCAGATGTAATATGAAGGAATAATAGAAAACACTGGAAGAGGAAGAATTAAAGTGGAAGAAAGTTCAAATTATGAAAGATAAGAGCTAGAAGAGAAAATGCCATTTTAATAGGGGTTGTTCATATTGTCTATATCTATTATCCAAGTGAAAAGTGAAATTATACTTTTTATATCATTCTACATTATTTTTACTTAATAATATGGTATAATAAGCTTTACATTTTAGTCAGACAATTTCTCCATCATTCTCAATGCTAGAATAGTATTATTTTATTACAAAAAAGTACCATAATTTATTTAACTAATTACAACAAGCAACAGAAAAACAGGAAAATCATAATAACAGGAAAACTATCTATAGAGTTTTTATGGCCAAAATGCACATGAAAAAAGTATTCAGCCTCCTTAGGAATTTAAAATGAGCAGCAAAACAACAATGAGATATAATTTTTATTAAGCAGATTGATCAAATATCTAAATTACTTAATTTGGGCCAGGGTTTGGGGAAATATAAGTACTCAAATGATATTGGTTGAAATCTAAATTAAAACATGGCTTTTTAAAAAGGTAACTGTGGAGTTTCTATAAGAATTACAATTTCAGTTCTAGGAATTAATCTTGTTTGTACAGATGTACAAAGGTGTCTATGTATTCATTGTAGCAGTGGAATCAAGCTATACATAGATGCACTTTTTAACTTTATTTGAAACATTCAAGCACAGGTTTGAAAAATATTAAAGAGTTATTATATTAACAGTAAGTCTTTCATCCATCTTATCTATCTGATTCCCACCTATCTCACTCTCAGGTAAAATCATTTTCCAACATTTCTAATTGTAGTTTATGTGATGGTTATGAACATAATGTAAATAGTAGGCTTTTACATCAATTTATTGATTTATGGTCTTTAAATAGTATCCATTAGCTTCTCACTTTAAAAGTTAAGATTTGAGTTACTCACAAACTTCCCATCTAATCTTCCATGGTCTATTAAAACATGTTTTCTTCTATTGATTATTTTAATAGCTCTAAATAATATACTTAAAGCTTTGCTTGCTATTCCATCAATCTTAGATACTACTTTCTAAATTCCTATTATGAATGATGAGAAAAATTGGGGCCCATGAGCTACTTTCCACCCCCCCACTATTACACCCTGATCTATGAAAATATATTTTAGATGGCAAAGTCTGAGTCCTGTGCTCTCGCTGTCCTCCCCAGACAGCATGAGCTTCACCATTCCTCCACCTTCTGCACCAACTACCGGTCCCTGGGCTCCGTCCAGCCGCCCAGCTACCGCGCCCGACCGCTAACCAGCGCGGCCAGCTTCTAGGCAAGCGCCGGGGGCTCTGGTTCCCGGATCTCCGTGTTCCGCTCCAACAGCTTCCTGGGTGGCTTGGGGTCCGGGAGTCTGGCGGCAGGGATGGCCGGGGTCTGGCAGGAATGGGAGGCATCCAGAACTAAAAGGAGACCATGCAAAGCCTGAGCGACAGCCTGGCCTCCTACCTGGAAAGAGTGAGGATCCTGGAGGCGGAGAACCGGAAGCTGGAGAGCAAAATCCGGGAGCACCTGTAGAAGAAGGGACCCCAGGTCAGAGACTGGGGCTTTTACTTCAAGACCATCGAGGACCTGAGAGCTCAGATATTCGCAAATACTGTGGAAAATGCCCGCATCGTTCTGTAGATCGACAATGCCCGTCTTGCTGCTGATGACTTTAGAGTCAAGTATGAGACAGAGCTGGCCATGCGCCAGTCTGTGGAGTGCGACATCCATGGGGTTCATTCAGGATTTCTTCATTACTTTACATTGCTTTATGTTTGGACTCTAATTTTTTAAACAGATTCTCTTGCTTGTTTTGCCACCTTGTTAATTTCATGTATATTTAATGTACTAGAGTTGAAAGAACTCAATTAGATGCACATATACAGAAAGAGTGTGTACATAACTATATTTGAGAGTCCCAAGGCTAAGAAGAAGCATATTCTTTTTAAGTTATAAACTAGTTATGCTTGAATAGTATTATGGATTAATAAGCAAAAGAAACAGAAAATCAGAAGTCATCTATTCTTAACATAACTGTCCTTCACAATGTCTATACAATATAGCAAAACTTAATTTTTAACATCTTTGGTTCTTTGCATTCACAGATAAGATCAGAAAATGAGAATCATAAATAATTTAAAATAGATAATTGAAAGATATTTTAAAAAGTTTTAACATCTGAACTAATCAAAGGCTATTATTGAAATTATTTGACCAAGATCTGTTAATTTGTGAATAAGCCTCACCAAACTCTCCTTTAGACCCACAACATTCTTCTGTGCCAGCTGCATTCTAGTGTGATGAAAATGACTCTTTTCATTCTGACCAAAGTTCCCTTAATTTTACTTCTGCTTCATTATTCCATATAGCTACATAGCAATTTGCTTTAATAGTTTACATTCATTTTTATAAAATAAATTTTATGTGATTTTTAATAAAATATTGTATAATTTTAATAAAATATCAAGCCTTAAAAATACTAAATCATTTTTTAAAAAATTAAAAGATCTATGCACGTCCAAGGGAAGTACAGACTCCTACATAATTTTCTCTGCCTCTGGGTTCCAGACCTCTAATCACATTTAGAAACCCTAAAGTAGTCCATTTCCTGCTGGCTGAGCTCCAAATTTAGGGGAGAATTTAAACGAGGAAAATTCTTCACAATAGTGGTATGACAAATAGTCACCAAAAAGTTTTGGGGCATCTTCCTTGCAATGAGCCCTCAGAGATATGGAAAGCAAACGAGAGTATGTCTCATGCAAAGAAACAGAACAGTATCTTGTACAACTCATTATTTTTCATCTGTGAAAAAAGATAGGAGATCTACAGAGAATTCAGAATAAGAGCCCTCTCTACTCTTACCTGGTGTTAATCACCATTGAGAACATCTAGGATACTCAGCTCTCTTCAGTGCCCAGAAAAGAAAGTGCTATAACACAGTGCTGGTGACCTTGTAGGCAAATTCCTACACAAAAGGCCCTTGTGTATAGTACACAGGATCATAAGTTATTACTAACACTCTCTTCTCTTTACCTTATTATGTTTTTCACTAGTCCCAGGGACTATGGGCACTGCACATTTTTTAAAGCTAATAGTGAAGAGTACTTATAAGTCAAACACATGAATGTATAAGCCCATATAATTCTTTGGTTGATAACAAAACACATAGCAAAAGCTAAATAGTATGAATTATAAAAATTCCGAAGATAATATTTTGTTGAGGTTTAAGAAATTATCAGCTCATGGCGAAACCCTGTCTCTACTAAAAATACAAAAAATTAGCCGGGGGTGGTGGCGGGCGCCTGTAGTCCCAGCTACTGGGAGGCTGAGGCAGGAGAATGGTTTGAACCCTGGAGGTGGAGCTTGCAGTGAGCTGATATCCTGCCACTGCACTTCAGCCTAGGCGACAACTGCACTCCAGCCTGGGAAACAGAGCGAGACTCCATCTCAACAAACAAACAAACAAACAAACAAACAAAAACAACAAAAACATTATCAGCCCAATAGTAGTTCAAAGTGCCACTGAATCTTTTTAAAAAATTTTTCAATCACGAAGTAGTCATTCACAAAAGATTCAGGCTTTGGATGGTAGCAGATGCTGCTGCTATGTCTATCCCCTGAAATGACTGGCTAGGTTGCTATATATCCACAAAAATGAATGGAGGATAACAAGCCAGAGTTATATCCACAGCTTTATTGCAGAACCCTTCCTGTGCACAGCAGAGTCTGGACTTTCATGCATGATGTGACAGTGGAGCTATCTCTCCTGAAGCCAGGAGAAAAATCCGCATCAAGCTTCTGTGGTGTGTCAGTATCAGGCACCCAACTGTTGGTAAAACAAAGGAAGCTGTCTCTACAACCAACTAGGAAAAAGAGGAATCTGGCTTTAATTTTAAATCCCCTGCTCAACTAGACCTTATGTAAACAGACAACAACCCTCTACTCCCAAGCAAGATCTTAGTGCTATACTCCTTAACAAACTTGTATTTTTAATCACCATACAAAATAGCATACGTTGATATTGTAAACAAAACATAGTACTTATTTGTGTATCATCTGCTTAAATCCTTCCAATAGTTTCCCATTCTATAGGAATATGAAACTTCCTTATCCTAGCTCACAGAGCACCACATAATATGGCCCATTTTTCTTTCTTTGGCCTCCTCTCTTATACTCCTTACTTTACTCTCTCTTTTCCAGCCACCTTGGCCTTCTTTGTTTCCTCCAAACCACCAAGTTTATTGCTCCACAAGAGCCTTTGCTCTAGCCATACTCTCTGATGGTAGAGATGCCTGTCCCCAGTTTTTTTTCCCAGCTGGCTGCTGCTTGTTAGTCAGATCTCGGGTCACTGTCACCTTCAACAGCAAGGTTCTCTCAACCATCCAACCAATGTAGATGTCTTGACACTGATTATCATATTGCCTATTTAATTATTTTCATTGCACACATCACTACCTGATGATTTTGTCACTTGATTATTTATTTTTATCTATTTATTATCCATCAGTGCTCCCCCCCAAAAAAATGCAAGTTATATGAAAATAAAAAACTATCACAGTCACTGATATAAGCCCAGTGCTTACCTGATATGTAGGTACTGTGGTTTGAATGTGTCCCCTCCAAAATTCGGGTGTTGCCAACATGATAATATTAAGAGGTGGGACCTATAAGGCATGACATTTTAAAAATTTGTTATGTTTTTAAAATCTTTTAAATCTTGAAGTATTCATTCACAAAAAAGCATTTAGATGGCAGCAGATTCTGCTGCTACATCTATACCCTAAAACAATTGGCTAGGTTACTAGATAGCTACAAGAATGAATGGAGGATAACAAACCAGAGGGCAAAGTCAATGCATGAAGCCAGGAGGGATCTACCCTTGTACATGGGATTAGGTGTCCTTTAAGGGGCTTCATGGAGGGACTTGATTCTCTCTCACCTTTCTGCCTTCTGCACGTGAGAACAAGGCAAAACAGTCCTTACCAGATGCCAACACATTGATTTTGTTCTTTCCAGCCTCCAAAACTGTGAGAAATGAATTTCCTATTTTAAAAAATTGCCCAGTTTGTGGTACTCTGTTATAGCAGCACAAATGAACTAAGATGGAAATTAGTACTAAGGAGCTAGGTGTTGCTCTAACAAGCACCTGAAAATGTGGAAGTGGCTTTGGGACTGGATAATTGGTAGAGGCTGAAACAGTTGTGAAGTGAATGATGTAAAAAGCCTATATGGCCATAAACAGATTAAGGATGATTCTAGTCAAGGCTCAGAAGAAGAGCTGTGGGGCAAAGCTCAGTCTTTTGAGAGATTTCTTCACTGGTTGTGGCAGTGGAGATTATTCTGATGAGGTCTCAGATGGAAATTAGGAACAATGTACTGGAGACTGGAGGAAAGGTCATCTTTGTTATAAAGTGGAAAGGAACTTGGCTGAATTGTGTCTATGTTCTAGGACTTTTCAGAAGACAGAGCTTAAGAACGATGAACTAGAATATTTCACAGAAGAAATCGCTAAGCAGAAAAGTGTTCAGGATGCTGCATGGCTTCTCTTAACAGGTTATAGTAAAATGCAAAAAGAGAGAAATGATTTAAAGACAGGATATATACTTAAAGGGAAAGGAGAATGTACAGATTTGGAAAATTCTCAGCCTGGGCATGTAAAGAATAAAAAGGCAATTTTAGGAGAGAAAATCAAGGGCATGGCTAAGCAAACATTTGATAAGATTAGTACGGCTAGAAGGAATCCAGATGCTATTCATCAAGACAATGGAAGCATGACCTCAAAGGGGTTTTTGAGATCTTCAAGGCTTCCATTCCTATCACAAGCCCAGAATGCTAGGGTCTTAGGGTCAGAAAGGATTCAGGGGATGGGTCCAGTGTCTGTGGGACCTAGCTTCCCAAGGCCTCCTTAGATCTCTGTTCCCTGCATCCTGGCATAGCACTCTTTGGGCACCCTAGATATGGCTCAAGCTGGCCCAGGTGCAGCCTGGACCACCACTCCAGAAGGTGTAAACAATGAGCTTTGGCAATGATCATGTGGTGCTAATTCTGTAGGTGTGTAGAGTTCGGAGCTGTGGAGGCATGGCTGCCTCTACCTATATTTCAAAGATGTCTCAGACAGCCTTAAATCCCAGGCAGGTACCTGCCCCATGGGTGGTGCTATGGCAGAGAATTCTCACTAGGGCAATGCTGAGTGGCTATGTGGGGGCAGGGCCATCCTTGAGAAAGACATCTTTAACTGTAAAGCCACCAGCACGTAGTGTCAGGCTAAGATCACCATAGGCATATGCCTTCAATGCATGACAGTTGAAGCCAGGGTTGCACCCAGCAAAGCCATGGGATGGGGCTGCTTGAGGCCTTGGGGGCCCAACTGTCATTCTAGCATATCCAGAAGGTGGGACATGGAGTGAAAGAAGATTATTTTCAAGCTTTAAGATTTAATGCTGTTAGCCCTGTTGAGTATTCAACTAACTTGGGATCTATTACTCTTTTCTTCTTTTGTTCTATCTTTCCCTTTTGGAATGGGAATGTTTACCCTATGCCTGTCTCAACATTGTGTTTTGGAAACATGTAATGTTTGATCTCACAGGCTCACAGCTGGAGGGATATTTTCCTCAGGATGAATCATGCCTTGAGTCTTATTCATATCTGATTTACATGAGACTTTGGACTTAAACTTTCAAGTTGAAGCTGGAATGAATTAAGAATTCTGGGGCTATTGAAATAAAATAAATGTATTTTATATGTGAGAAAGACATGAATTTTGAGGGACTATGAGTGGAATGCTTTATAGTTTGAATCTATCCCCTGGTGGGGACTGTAAGAGGTGATTAGGCCATGAGGAATCCTCCCTCATGAATGAGATTAGGTGCCTTTATAAAGGTGCTTGATTAAGGGAGTTGCTTCTGTCTTGCCCTTCCATTTTCCACCATGTAAAGACATAGCAAGAAAGGGCTCAGCAGATACCAGCAACTTAATCTTCAACTTCCCAGCCTCGAGAACTGTGAGAAATAAATTTCTTTCCCTTATAAATGACCTGTTCTGTGGTATTCAGTTATAGGGGCACAAATAGGCTAGTATAGTAGTTAATAAATATATATTTGTTGAATAAAAGAATGAAGACATGAAAGAATAAATGTTTTATTTTCTCTTCTGACAACATGACATAGAAAGCCAGCATATTTTATATTTGTTTTTATCAGCTCCACTACTTTTCACTGGATCTTTTACAAATCCCATTTCAGGGTGATCTCAGGAGTCCTTTCCCATCTACTCCAATTCACTCATGTCCTCCTCTTCTTTGGAGTCCATAATCCAAAATATTTGTGCAATTCAGCTGCAATGATAAATACTCCAAATGCCATGTTCCCACCTAAAGTAGCTCAGAAAGGAGGCAGCACAAAATCTAGAGGGCAAAAGGAAGGCTTGGTTCTGGAATACTCTTCTCTGCCTAGATCCTTATTTAAGACCACTGTAAACAAAAGAGGATCCAGTTACTGAAGATCTCACACATTTGTATTCTGCAGAAGAAACTGAAGAGCCACTCGTTCCATATCACTGTACTATCAGAATAATCTAAAAGGATCACTTAAGTTTATCTGTATCCAGAGCCAAATACTGTTGTTCATGATCAATTATGCTGCTTTGAGTTCTTGATGTGTTTTCAAAACCAGGAGAAACTAAATAGAATATGGTATCTGTTCTATTACCTCATCCAAGATCAAGCCCTGGATGAGGTAACATTAACACAAGGACTTCTAAATAGAAATGCAGTAGAGGAGACAATTATGGGTCCTAATGCAATGTAGATGATTTCTTTGGTAATGAATACTTAATTTATTGCAGTTTCACTGGGTTTCCAACTACTGCACAATATTAATACAGATAACTCTTGAACAAAGTCTTCTAGGAAACAAACTGGACTGAACTTAAATAGATCCATGTTTCTTAACATATTTAGATACGATGATACTAATTTTTAGGTGGCTGTATCTATGACAAGGAAGGTCTGTTTCACATTGTCCCATAGTCATTTACATATATGATAAATGACAAAAACTCTTGGATAGAAGTACAAATTTAATATTTAAAGAGGAAATCAAGAATCTAGGAGACATGGTAGATTAGAAAACAAATTGAAAAGTTAGATTTATTACATATTAACATCAGTTTTTTCTGAAACAAATTTTATTATACTTTATAGTTTATAAAAGTTAATTCACAGTCTTCATACTAGTTTATTTAAGACTTACTAAACTGTAATGAAGATTTTATTGCATACACTTTAAAAATCACCAAAAACCTGACTGTAATAGAGTTGAGGTTGAGGTGTGGAAGTTTAATCATATACTTCCTAGGTGCTTCCAGTGTGCCAATCAGCATGCTAGAATCATCTAGAATCTTTGACTAGTTTGGGGTTCTAGGATTTTTCCGATATGTAAGAATTTTATCACTTTGATCAATTTTATCACTCTCAGGCCAGATGAGACAGGATCAAAGATGAATGAGACTAGATTCTGCTTGAGTCTGATAAAGGATACAGATGGTTACATAATTTCAATTAAATGTAATAAGTGCTGGGTGGAGGTTATCATACCTATTAATAGGCAAAGCAAAGGATTAAATACATATCTCTGTGTAAATACATATCTCTGTGTAAAAGTCTTATGTCATTATGTAAACACACTGTATTGTATACTGTGTTATATACTGTTTTCATTCAAAGTCTGATATAATATATACCCTGAAAAACAAATGGACTCATATGGCAAAGATATTTTAGCTAAAGGAAAATTTTATATTAGCAATAAGAGAGGATAAAAACCTTTCTCTGTTCAGGATTCTCGCAATCAGGAAGATTTAAGATGGTTTTGCCTGGGACGGAGTTTCAGTGCTAGAACTCAAAAAATCCTTGGAAAACTATGATAGCTGGCCAATCTATCAAGGTTTTCAAGGTTACAAAATATATAACAAGTTTTTTAAATCTTAAGAACCATATTCAGTTAGGCTTAATCCCACTGGTTTAGATCTGAATTTCTCCAGATGGCAGTGGATTACAGAGACCAACGAGGAAGAGAAAGCCAAATAAGAGCATTACCTTACAATTGTAGAGCATTTAAGATTTATGAAACTTGATCTCAATCTTTATAAATTGCCCATGTGAGTTTCATAACACTGACAAGGACAGGTATCTTTATCCCCATTTAACAAAGAAGCAGATTCAAAGGGATAAGAAATTTGGTCAAAGTGATAAAATTCTTACATATCGGAAAAATCCTAGAACCCCAAACTAGTCAAAGATTTAGATTATTTCAACCCCTGGTGGTGAAAAGTAGTAAGATTATATAATAACCTATCTCATCCAGTCAAAAATGTTATTCATAAGTATTAATATGTTAGGTTTGTACTTAAAGGGCAATCAATCAATCAATAGGAGAACAAGAAGTAACATAACCTCAAAGTCAAGTGGAAGTTTTTAAGTGTTAGGAACACTCTTAACTGCTGAAGGGCCATTTAACCAAAGGATTTGTACATACCTAACATCTCTGCAGCACTTAACTTTATAAATATCTGACTGTCTTTACTGCTGTGTTGCAACTGTGCTAAACATCAACTCCAGATGGTGCTTTGGAAGGCACAAAGCACTATATAGATACAACGGTTTATGGTTTTTTTAAGTTTTATGCATATCAGATCAGAATTCCCAGCACCTGGTGCCTTATCACTCTTAGGCTGAAATAAAAATTCTGGTTATTTTTCCACCCGTGAATGGATGAGTCAGATATTATTTCTACTCCCATTGTTTCTGAGGCTAACACTATATTGGCCACTCAGTCCAGTGCTAGGACGGCACTGTGTGGAATCGTTTCTCCTACATGAGTAGTTCTCCCACCTCCTGATCTGATGTCTTTTTTTTTTTTTTTGGAGATGGAGTCTCGCTCTGTCGCCCAGGCTGGAGTGCAGTGGCGCTATCTCGGCTCACTGCAACCTCCGCCTCCTGGATTCAAGCGATTTTCCTGCCTCAGCCTCTTGAGTAGCTGGGATTACAGGTGCCCACCACACCACCACGCCTGGTTATTTTTTTTTTTTTAATTTTTTTATTTTTAGTAGAGACGGGGTTTCGCCATGTTGGCCAGGCTGGTCTTGAACTCCTGACCTCAGGTGATTCACCCGCCTCAGCCTCCCAAAGTGCTGGGATTACAGGCGTGAGCCACTGCGCCCAGCCTAATCTGATCTGATTTCTAAAGCTCATTTTAGGCATTATAACACACTTCTGTGGTATTTCCTACTATAAATTTTGACCATGAAAAACATAAAATGTACCATAAAAAAGCTCACATTAGCCAATGAATTTTTCAACGTGATAAAAATGAAATACCTCAAACTGAGCCTTTCATACATACAAATTCTCTTTAATATTTTGTTACAGCCAAATAGAGGTTTGCAGTTAGGAAACTGTCAAGGTTTATTTAAGAAGGTTCACTGCACTCACTTCTATTAGATTTAGGATTCATCTATATAATTAGTTTCTCAGTACTTAAAAAAACTTACCAAAGACCTGTCCCTAAGCAGGAAAATCTATCCTAACTAATTTCCTTCCCCCTGCCAGGGGACATTTTTTTCTCTTATGAAAATATCATTAATAAAATATCTATAATTACGAAGATCCCCAAATCTCGAAAATGTCAATGGCATATGTTTACTTTTTAAGTTAAAAATCATTATGTTGTTTTGAAAATTTCACATTATTGCCTAGAGGGTGATTAAATTCAAGGTTGAGAGTGTGTTTAACAAATCAGCAGTTTGCATTTATTCACTAAGTGTGGCAAAGATGTTAATTTTTTTCCAAAATAATTAAAAATGTATATCTATGTTCTTTAATATTGTAATTATTGCTGGAGCCACCTTTCCAGGCAGTGAGCACATTCCACAGCAACCCCTTGCATAAAGGTGCAGCTACATGACTAGTTCACACCCAACAAAATAGAATGATGTATGTTACTTCTAAGCCTGGATTTTCAAAGAAGTAGGTGTGCCTTCTTCACTCTGTCTCTTTCCACCTATTGGGCCTTAGTGAATGCTGGAGCCATAAGATGAAAAAATTCTGAGTCCCTGAAACACTTTATGGAAGGTCACCACTAAACAGTAATACCCTTGATGAACTAGTTTAATTCTATCACCAAGAAATAAACTTCCATTATGTTAAGCCACTGAAATTTTTTGTTTCATTTTTTCAACAGCTGGCATTGAAATATTCTAGGAAAATAAATTTCCATTACTGGAGTCAGTTTTTTTTTCAGTCCAGAAAAATAAAATTTTTGGAAAAGCCAGATTAACCCTCAAGCTAGTTCTTAATTAGGTTCAGACACAAGTAGGTCTTATCTACCCGCCATGATTGACCACATCATACTGCTTCCTTCAAGGGGTCATTCACACAGGCTGCCTCCTTATGCTGGAACACCTTGTTCTCTATCTAGACCTTTCTGACTTTCCTACTTGCCTTTCAGATTTTGGTTGAATTGACCGAAGTAATTTCCCTTTTTAGTGGATATCACAGTGGAAATACAATTTTATACTTATTTGTTATAATCATTTGATTGACATGTGTTGTTCTCACTATAAACTTTGTAATGGCAGAAATTATGTTTTTTTATTTTGCTAAGCATTGCATCCATCATGCCTAGCAAGAGTCCAACACATAGTAGTCCCTGAATAAACATTTGTCAAATGAATATAATGAATTAATAGTACAGCTTGGTACTATGACAGATGAAAGCTGAATGTAAAGAACTTGATGAAAGTACATTTATGGAATTCACACTTTTCTCTTTTCCTTCAAGTTAATTACTATGCTTTTAGTGTCTCAACAAAAGAAAACAGAGAATTGACCAAAGATAAATTAGTTTTAAATAGAAGAGTCACAGAAATAAACTTAGCACTTCATTCCTGACAAAGGAACATGCTCATAATTTTATCAAAGGTTTTCTTTTACTCTCTGCTCAGAGTCATACTCACTGGTGCCCAAAATATTGTAGTGCTATGTTCTGAGTGTCTGCATCCCCCTAAAATTCATATGTTGAAACCTAATCCCCAATGCTATAGTAGAGATAAGGCATAGAAAGTATTAGGTTATGAAGGTGAATTTCTCATAGATATGACTAGTTTCTTATAAAAGAGGCCCAAAAAGCGGCTCTGCTCCTTCCACTATGGAGGGCACAGCAAGAAGGGGCCATCTATGAAGAGCTTACCCTCACCAGACATAGAATCTGCCAGCGTCTTGCCCTTGAACTTCCCAGCCTCCAGAATTGTGAGAAATAAATGTTTGTGCTTCATAAACCATTCAGCTTTTGGTATTTTGTTCCAGCAGCCTGAATGGACAAAGACACATAGGAACATTGCTGATATCATAAGCTGCACATTTTCCCCAGGATGTTGACTATTGTAGCAACATGTGGAAAACAAATTCACTAGAACCCTGGTCCAACCACTTTTTGAGGTGATTTCTCTTCCCTTTATCTGCTACCTCTTGGAAAAATGAACGACTTTCCTGAGGGTGATATTGAGAGAAGAACGTGAGCATATACAATTGAGCCTTTTCCCCTCTATCCTTGGAATCTTCTTACCAAGAAATAGGGTGTATCATGCAGGCCCTGATTCCAAAAATTAAGGTCATCAGGGTCAGCCTTCTGAAGACACATGCTTGGCTGACTTTGCTTTCCTTGTCTTATGTAAGCTTTGTAGTTGTGAGGGAGGAATTCTGGGTAAGCACATGTTATATCCCTTAGGCTGGGACAACTCTGACCTAGCCACATCTTTCCTACTTCCTCTAGTTAGCTCGTAGTATCTTTTCCGTCTAAGTTAAATTATTACTTCCTTAGAGAAACCTTTCTAATACCTTCCTAAGTCATTTTCTTGCCAGACTTCTCACTGGGTATATTAGTTATATATTGCTGCATACCAAATTACCCCATAACTTAGTAGCTTGAAACAACAAACATTTATTATCTCACATGACTTTTTAGGGTCCAAAATCTGAGCTTGGCCCAACTAGGTGGTTCTGGCTCAAGGTTTCTCATGATATTATAGTCAAGATGCTGGTCAAGCCTGTAGTCATTTGCAGGATTGACTTGGGCTGGAGATTTTCAGGAGCTCAGTTCAGCTGGAGAGAAAAATTGCTAAGTTATCAGATGTTGGAGTAGCCAATTGATTCAACAAAACAAAAATGATAGTGATGCAACAAAACAAAAATGATAGTGAAGTCTTTAAAACCTGTGTTGGTATAATCAAAAGTAAAAATATGGAGAAAGCAATAATTTGCCCCTCACAACTTACCCCATGGAATGACATACTGGTCAAGGGTCAGGTGAATTAGCACAGAAATGGGGGTTGTCTCACTGTTGAAAGAGACCCAAACAAAAGGATCTAGCAGTTATATAGACACTGGGGTTGATGAGGAGGGAGGGCTAGGAGTGGAAAAATTCCAAGTACCATGTCAGAGTAGGGGAATGTTTCTTCAATGTTTCCTTCGCATTCTCTAATAGGGAGGCCTCTGCAGAGCCACCTGAAGAGGACCTCTGCCTAAGGGCTCAGATCTCATGTCCTAGGAATGAATGTTGCACCACCGTTAGCAATGCAAATAGCTGAAGAGCTTGACCCACCAGCAGGCTTGAGTCCTTGACTACAACCTGCTTCAGAGACTGCAATGCACTGCCTGTGCACCAAGTTTGGTGTGGGGAGGACAACTTTCCCCTATGACGCTTTCTCAGTAAACCTTTGTCATTTCTTAATGGTCAGTCCTGTAAAATTACACATAGATTTGTAATCAAGAGCCAGACTTCTCAGAGGTTCTGCTTCTAAGCTGGTTCCTCGTATAGCTATTGGCAGAAAGCCTGCATTCCTCACCACGTGGACTTCTCCAAGGTTGGCTGAGAAGCCTCACGATATGGCAACTGCCTTCCCTAAGAGTGCGCAATCTATGATAAAGAGTAAGGAGGAAGTCACAATGACTTTTACGGCTGAATGTCAAAAATCACATATCACTTCTGCCACATTTTCCTTTTTAAAAGAAAGTCATTGAATTTATTCACACTCAAGAAGAGCAGAATTAGATTTCACTTTTTGAAGGAAAGAGTGTCAGATACTCTGTGTACCTACTTTAAAACAACCACAGTTAAGCAGATCATCTTAAAGTTTGATTGAAAGAATTCTGCTTGTGGTCATTTATTTCAGCCACATAGCTGAGTTGATTCTTTGACCTCCATTTCTCTAACTCTGGTGCCAAACTTAAAATGGGGAAGAAGAAATGAGTGATTATTATCCTCAAATCCAATAATCCTGGTTTCAAATACAAATTTTTATGCTATTAACTGATTTCATTTAACCTGTAAATTTGCACAGCCTGTCAACTCAAATGGCCAAAAGAAATCAAATTGTTCATGTGTTAAATTAATGGATTGACTGAGATTATAGCATATTAAGAGATTTGTTATAATAATCCTAAATTGTATCATGTTCCCTTTAAAACAACCAATATGAAATATTCCCCCCAGTTGACGTCATAATGATTTTAACAAAAGTAAAAAGGCTGCAATCTGAAATATCAATATAAAAAAGCATACTGAGCATCTTTCAACCACTTTTCAACCACTTTTTCATATGTCAAGACCAAGAAAGTGAAGTGTTGGAATTCACTCTTCTCACTGGAATGCTGGCAAACAAGTGAACCAAGGTTAATTTATTACTGAATTTATTACCAAAGGAACCATGGTAGAAAACAATCTTTAAGGGTCTGGAGTTTTGTTTTATTTAATGTTAGGAAATGCTAGGGAACTATCACTGTTAGTTCCTATTTACCACTACTGTTGCAGTGAATTTACTGGAACAAAAATCCAGTTTATAAACTCTGCTAAGGAAATAAAAGCAATTTTACATTGGTGGTGGCATTAAATTTTACATGTGATTTCCTGAATAACATTATGCAATGCATTGTGACTTGAGATCCTCTTCCTGTATTATTAAAGCTACTAATCCAAACAGAATGCACTAAATCCCCTACAGATTAGGAAAAATCACTGCCTCTGAACTTCTCAACATAGTGCTTCCAACATGCTGCTTTCCTCTTAACTCTGTTGTTCATTGTTCAAAAAATTTTATTTTCTCTCTCTCAGCTATGTAAAAATTAGAAATATTAGAAAGTAAAACGAATTTTCAAGTAAGAAATACCATAGCTGTTGATCTACATGATTTCTCCATGCAGATAATCTCTATATTTTCCAACCATAAGTTTCATCAAAGAAGGAGTGTGTCCACCTTGTTCACCAGTGTTTCTCCAGCATCTTGTTCTGTGTCTGGTTGATTATAATAAATTACTGTGAAAGATATTGATGAATGCCTCTCTTTAGAACTAAATCATTGACTTTCCATGAAAACAGAAAGAGAAGGATTCTTACTATTACCTTTCCCTGTGAGTGAGAGGAATTTTCATAAACTGACCATCCTCAGACCAAGGCTTGAAAAGAGGACAGCTGCATCCTAACTACTATGTAAATTTTTATTTCTTAAACTTTTAGAATGGTTTTTATAATTATTTAATTAATTACTGCAAGGCTTTCTGAAAATATAAAATCCTAGATGTTTATTGAATTTTTAAAATTTAAGTAATAAAATACCTTTATATATTCAGATATTTGGTATGCACTGGGGGTACAGATAAATCCAAGCCCTGCCCTCTAAGAATTTACATTCTAGTAATGAATAGAGATATTAAACAATTGATTATACAATTCATTTGTTTAATTTTATTTGTGATGGATGAAAATGGAGAATTCAGTAATTGTGAGAGTGTATAACAGGGTGAGTGGATCTGGTGTGGAGCATCAGAGAAGACTTCCTTGAGGAAATTATATTTGAGCAGAGCACTATAAAATGTATAGGAATTAATGGATAGGTAATGGACTGCTGAGAAAACTAGATGGAGGATTGTGAAGGGAGAAGAAAAATGGCCCATGCAGAAAGAAGAGAAACAGAGAAGCATGTGAATAGAATTCAGAAAGCCTGTGAATAGCTTACAGTGATGCTAATAGGGAATAAAGCAGTATGAATAGCTTTACTTTTTTTTTTTTTTTTTTTAAGAGATAGGGTATTGCTCTGTCACTCAGGCTGGAGTGCAGTGGCATGATCATAGGCCACTGTAACCTTGAACTCCTGGGCTCAAGTGATCCTCCAGCCTTAGCCTCCTGAGTAGCTGGGACTACAGGCATGAGCTACTGTGCCCAGCTAGAGTTATTTTCTTAAAATATTATTCTGGCTCCTATTCTAGAGCAAGATGGTATAAAATCGTTTCTCTCGTTTCTTCCCTATGAAGGTAACTAAATACCTATGAGACAATGATAAAATTATTCATGGGATAATGATAAAATTATTCATGAGACAATGATAAAAGACTGAAAGCAAACTGAAGGAGTGGCAATAACTAGCTAGGGAGGAAAAACAAAGGTGGGCTGCAAGGAAACTCGCAGGACATGAGGAATGTCCTGATGAATTTCTTAGGTTTTCTTTTGATCTTGCATATGCTCCCAGATTGATCTTCCAAATACTCCCAGGTCTGGGAGAGGTCAAAAACTCAGAACCACCAAGAGGCATAGGCAGAATAAAACCAAAACACATACACACAAAGAAAAGCCTGCCCTCTCTGGCCAAGGAGTGGGAAAAGCAATGGACAACAGAGACCTAGTAGAGAGCCACAACCTGGACCTGGCAGTCAGTCAATTCTCCGGCAGCAGGAACAGGACTCCAACTATTCAGTCCTCACTCCACAACCCGGCTCCCAACTCCCATCATCAGTCCTATCCATGACAGGAGCAGCATAAGCAGAGGCCTGTGTCTCTCAGCCTTCTACCTAGGAGCATAAGGAGATCAAGTTTAGTGGCTTTTTCCCTCATATCCGCCTTCAAAAAATGGTCCAGAGGTACCAAGTAGCCAAAGGAAGAACATTGCATACCTGTATATTGCACCTTCAGGAACTGAGTGGGAGCCTGTGTTAGTCAGCTCAGGCTGCTATTACAAAATACCATAGACTGAGTGGCTTAAGTAATAGACTTTTATTTCTCACAGTTCTGGAGGCTGGGAAATCCCAGATCAAGGTACTAGTCAATTTGATTGCTAGGGAGGGCTCTCTTCCTAACTTGTAGGTAGCTGCATTCTCTCTGTGTCCTCACATGGTGGAGACAGATTGCTTCCTCTTTCTTTCCCTTCTTATAAAACCACTAATTCCATCATAAGAGCTCCAACCTCATAAACTTTTCTAACTCTAATTACACCTAAAGACCCTATCTGGAAATGCCATCACTTTGGGGATTAGGAATTCGCTGTATGAATTTGGCGTGGGGGGACACAATTCAGTGCATAACAGAGCCTCAACAGCACCAGAAAAAATGAAGCAGACCACAGTAGCCTTGCAAAGACTCTGAAAGATAAACTGTTACTGAAACTAAAGCCCACGAAAATAAGCCAGAACTTAAACACTACATCTAAACAAGCTATTTGTTAAAATAGATGGGATCAAAAGTTTCCTGATGTAATAATTTAAAATCATATCCATTATACAATTGAAAATCATTAATCATATCTGAGACCAAGAAAACCACCATATGGATGAGAAAAGAAAATCAGCTGAGAAGACAAGGTAATCACCTCAATACTGAGGTAAATTAGATACTGAGATTACCTGACAAGAATTTTTTTAAAATTGTTATCAAAATGCTTTGGTAATCAAATACAAGTTCTTCTTAAAACTTTACATTATATATATATATATATATATATATATATAATGTAAGGAAAGAAATAGAAGTGGTAAGAAAGAACAAAGAGGAAATTGTAGAACTGAAAATAAAATAATCAAAATAAAAACTTGCCAGATGATCTCAATAGCAGATTGGTTAGCACAGAGGATACAATTAGTAAACTTGGAAAAACATAAATAGAATTTACTCAATCTAAACAAAAGAAAGAAGTTGATGGGAAAAAATGAGCAGAACTTCATGGATTTGTGGAACAATAACAAAAGATTTAACAGTAATATCATCGGAGTTCCAGAAGAAGAGCACAAAAAGTAGGACTAAAAAAGTATTGGAGATAATGCTGTTTAATGCACCAAAGGACACTATATACAGAGTCAAAGACAACCCATGGAATGGGAAAACATATTTATAGATTATATACCTGATGAGATATTCATGTCCAGAATATATAAGAATGCCTGATATTCAACAACAAAACCACAAACAACATGATTTAAAAAAAATGGAGAAAGAACCTGAATAGACATTTCTCTAAAGAAGATATACATAACAAGTAAGTACATAAAAAGATGCTCAACATCACTAATTATTTTAAAGTGCAAATCAAAACCACAATAAGATATCACATCCATTAGGATAGCTATTATCACACACACACACACACACAAAAGAAAAACAAGAAAATCACAAGTGTTGGCAAAAAATGTGAATAAATTGAAACCACTGTGTATTGCCAGTGAGAACATTAAATGATGCAGACACTACAGAAAATGGTATGGCAGTTTATCAAAATAAAACATAGAATAACAATATGATTCAGCAATTCCTCTTGTGGGTACACATCCAAAACAATTGAAAACAGGCAATCAAATAGATATTTGTATCCCTATGTTAATTGTAGCACTATTCGGGATAGCCAAAAGATGAACACAATCCTAGTATCTATTGATGACTGGATAAACAAAATGCGGAATATTCCTCAGCCTTAAAAGGAAGGAAATTTTGAGCTATACTACAACATGGATGAACCTTGAGCTCATTATGCTAAGTGAAATAAGACAGTCACAAAAGGACAAACATTGTATTATTCTACTTATATTAGGTGCCTAGAGTAATCAAATTCATAAAAATAGAAATTAGAATGGTGGTTTCTAGGGACTGCTGGGAGGTTGGAATGATGAGTTATTGATTACTGGGTACGGAGTTTCAGTTTGAGAAGATGAAAAGTTCTAGAGACAGATGGTGGGGATAATTGCATAACAATATAAATGTACTTAATGCCCCTGAACTATACACTTAAAAGTAGCTAAAATTGTACATTTATGTTATGCATATTTTACTACCTAAAAGATGTAAAACTTTAAAACTTCAAAATTTGTCAAAATACATAAACCGACAGATGTGAGAACCTTAGCTAATCCTGTATAAATAAACCCAAAGAAATGCACACCAACACATCATAAACAAGCCTCTGAGAAACAAAAGCTAGGAAGTTATCTTCAAAATAGCCAGAGAGAAATGATGTACTACACATAGAAGGATGTCAATCAAGTTGAATGACAGATATATCATCTGAAACCATGGAGGGCAAAAGGAAATGGCACAATACTTTTAAGCACTAAAAGAAAAGAACTGTCAGTACTGAATCATATATCCAGCAAAACTATTCTCCTGGAATAAAATGAAAATATATACAACCTCAGATGAAGGGAAGCTAAGAGAACCTGTTTCTATCAGATGTACCCAAAGAAAGGTCAAATAAAAGCTCTCCAAACAAAATGACAACAGAGACAGCTGAACACTTCAAAGAAAACAGGAACAACAGAATGAGTAAAAATAGAGATAAACATAATAAGCTGCTTTTGCCTCACGAGATTCCTCACTTACATCTTATGTTTGAAGCAAAAGATAAAACACCATCTGACATGTTGCTCAATGTATATAGATGTTATATTTAAGACAATTACACATAGAAAGTGGGGAGGATAAAAGGTCCTAAATGAAAGTAAAGTTTTTATATTTCAAAATGATAGCGTCAAAATTAGTAGGCTGTGTTAAATTACATATTTATATGGGAATACCTAGACCAATCACTAGACAACTAAACAAAATAATGTACTCAAAAAAACTACAACGGACATCCAAAATGTTCAAGTAACCTACAGAGTGGCAAGAATAAAAAGACACAGGGCACAGACAGACAATAACAAATAACAAGCAAACTTAAGCACTGACATATCAATAATTACTTTAAATGTAAATGGTCTAAATATACCAAATAAAATATATTGTCGAAGTAAATTTAAAAATTACTCAAATATATGATATTTATTGAAAACCCACTTCAAACATAATGATATAATTAAGTTGAATATAAAAGGGTGGAAAATGTATTATGTAAAATTAAGTTTTATAAAGCCTGAGTAACTATGTTAATATCAGGTAAAGTAGATTTCAAAGCAAAGAAAATTATTAGGGCCAAGGATAAATCTGTCAAGAAAATGTAGCAACCCTACAAGTGTATGAACCAAACAACAGAACTTCAAGTGACATGAAGCAAATATTAATAAAGCTGAATGAAGAAACAGACAAACTCACAACTATAGTTTGTCTATGTAAACTCAATTTGTATAGACAAATTCGCAGCAATTGATACAACTATTAGGAAGAAAATCAGCATGGGTATAAAAAAAAGCTGAACATCACCATCAATCAACAAGATCCAACAGCAGAACACTCATAAGCCAGACACAGAGAGACAGACATCACATGTCCTCACTTACATGTGGGATTTAAAAATCAAAACAATTGAACTCAA
Organism: Homo sapiens; assembly: GCF_000001405.40. Taxonomy (NCBI): domain Eukaryota; kingdom Metazoa; phylum Chordata; class Mammalia; order Primates; family Hominidae; genus Homo; species Homo sapiens. The sequence goes on from NC_000005.10 coordinate 40,086,084, forward strand.
GAACATAGAGAGTAGAATGATGGTTACCAGAGGCTGGAAAGTGTTGGGGGAGTGGGGATTGGGGATGGTTAATGGGCACACTTTTAAAAAAATACCTATAGAAAATTTACCAAAACAGAACATGTCCTAGGTCATAAAACAGGCTTTCTCAACCTTAGTAAAACATCTACCAAGAAATAAAACAAAACAAAAAACTACAACTAACATCATATTTTGTGAAAGACTGAATGCTTTATCACTAATATTGGAAACAAGTTAAGAATATTCATTCTCACTATACTTACTTAACATAATACGAGAAGTTCTAGCTGTGGCAATAGGGCAAGAAAAGGAAATAAAAGGTATACAAATTAAAAATGAATAAATAAAACTCCCTCTACTTCCCAATTGCATGATTGCACTCTACACAACTATAGTATAATACCAAAAATAAAAGTTAACTTTGATATAATCCATGGTTTATTCAGATTTCACCAGTTATTCATGCACTTCTGTGTGTGTGTGTTTGTGTGTGTGTATCTCTATGCAATTTTATCACATGCGTAACCTTGTGTTACCACCATCCCAGTTAATATACTAGAATACACCATCACAAAACTCCCTCATGTTACCTTTTTATAACCACACCTATCCTTTCTCCTGCATGTAAACCCTGGGACCACTAATGTGTTTACCTCTATCATTGTTATTTCTTTGTTGTTTGTTCAATTCTGCTTTTGTTGTTGTTTCAGTCTTTTTCCCATTGGATTTGACCAATTCTATCCAACTTGATCAAATCTAAAGGAAAGTTCCAAATTATAGGAAACAAGGCCTCTAAAGTGGCTAAATTCTACACCACCCCCACAACCACACACACACACACACACACACACACACACACACAGACACATACAAAGGTGGGATAGTGGGAGAATAAAACAGCCAACAAAAGAAAAAAAAAGAGAGATTTTTTTTTATTTTGACTACTTAAGGAGATTTATTTACATAACAAGGCCACCTTTTTGCTAGCCAAGCCAAAGTGAAAGAAATGGTTGTCCCCCTTCACACTGCAGTTCAATAGCTAAGGTTCTGCCTTCTTTTTTTCCACCATGACAGCCTAGGTTTGGTTCCTAAATCAAGCCCTTTCTGGTGTGATGCTTGGTACTTCTGAAATAAGGGCAATTTTTCCTAGCTGAAATATAGTAATGAGATTTAAAAAGATTTTTTTAAGGAGCTTGATGGTTAAAAGTCAGCTTAATTAAAAGCTAACATTCAAGATGTGTGTTTGTATGTGTGCATGTGTGTGTTTGCATTTAAAAGGTCTTCATGGTTTTATTTCTGTTTCTGTTTTTGTTTTTTAGAGAAAAAAGGACCTTGTCCTTTTTTTGAGCAAAAGTTTTTTTCTTCTCAGTTGACTGAATTATATTTTCTTTATTAATAGCTATTGCAACAGAGGCTGCCCTGGGGTTTTTAAAGGAAGAGTGCAGTTAGACACTCTGTTAAAAAAATTATTTTGTTAAGTGCACCATAAAAGCATTATGTGGTCTAACCTCAAAATAATTCTCCATTTTGGAAGACCCAGGATTCAGAGTAGCCTATGCCCAGAGCTCAGAGATCCAGTTAAAAGATCGGTAGTCCCCATCTAAATGAAACTGGTCTCCTTCTACAATCCTATGATAGATTTCTACAATTTTAAGTTTGATTTGGCATCCATCTTTAATCTCCCTCTAGCACCACCAGACTTTTTCTGTGTACATTCTGACGTACATTTGCTATTTGATTTTCACCTGAGTTGTTTCCTTTAATACGAAAATTTAAGGCTATTTAGCTGAAAAATGCCTGGGGTTGTGAAACAGGTTATCAGGAATCTGAAAGTCTAAGGAGAAACAAAAAAGGTCTTTAGGAATCTATAAGATGTACTTCTATTGGCATGGCTAATACATCTGTGTAGTTATGTGTTGTGCACACAACGTTTCACTAGTGAAAATACATAAAAGAACTCCAATTAATTGGCTTGCAGAAAAATAAAAGTGCTTAAATCAAATACTTTATCAGAAAAAGGAAAGACTAGTCAAATGTTTTTTCAAGTTTATGTGACTTAAGTAAAATCTTTAATAAATAAGCTAGCTTTAAAATTATTGGTAAAGTAATATTAGAAATGTCTTAAGAATTTCCAACATACATTTTTGTTTACATTTATTTTTATCTATTTTTGAGATGGGGTTTCACTCTTGTTGCCCAGGCTGGAGTGCAGTGGTGCGACCTCTACTCACTGCAACTTCCACCTTACTGGTTCAAGTGATTATCCTGCCTCAGTCCATGAAGTAGCGGGGATTACAGGCGTGCACCAGCACGCCTGGCTAATTTTTTTGTATTTTTATTAGAGATACGGTTTCACTATGTTGGTAAGGCTGGTCTTGAACTCCTGACCTCAGGTGATCCACCTGCCTTGGCCTCCCAAAGTGCTGGGATTACAGGCATGAGCCACCATGCCTGGCAATACTTTTGTTTACATTTATTAATCAAGTAATTTCATCCTTATCCCTGCCAAATACTATAAGGTGTCAAATTTTGGCAAAGGGGTTACAAAGCTATAAACCTAGCCCAAGACAGAGTGATCTTTTCTTGTGTAATCTTAATAAATAAGACATTGATACTGGTTTAATAAAAAATATCTACATCTTGAATTTAGTAAGATTACCATAACTTTGCATCTTGTGGCTTTAGGCAGTCAAGTCCACAGTCATTATGGAGGTTTGTTTTGAGAAAGGACTGTTATTGTTTTTGTTTCAAAGCTAAACTATAAACTAAGTTCCTCCCAAAGTCCAGGAATAAACAAGGACAGCTTGGAGGTTAGAAGCAAGATGAAGTCAGTTAGGTCATATCTTTTTCACTGTCTCAGTTATAATTTTACAATGGCAGTTTCATAACTTTAAATCATGGCTATTGCAGTTTTCGTAAATAATCTAGGCAAACAATTAAAATAATTTGGTAAATGTAATGGGATAAATACTTGTACACAAACTTGTTATAATTTAGAATATAAAGTTATATTAAATAATAGATACTTCATTGAGTATTTTCCAATAAAAATATATTGTAGGAAAACATTCTTGCTTAAAAAAAGTGTGTCCTTTTTAAAAAAAGATGAACAAGTTTTGTCTAATTCAAAGCTTATTTGTATTTATGTATAAAACAAGGTGAAGGAACCCAGAAATAAGAAAGATGTAAAGAAAGTTATAAAAATAAAGAGGTTTTTTTGTGTGGTAAGAAAGCTTAAAGAGAAATAATTGTATATGAGAAAGAATCTTGTATGGTAAATGTAGTCCTAAAATAGAAAGACTGGTTGTTTAAGAAAAAGGGATGTACAAGACAAACCAGAAAGTCCAAGCATATCATGAATGGTCTGTGTAAGTCATAATAAGAGGATTTATTAACAAAAATATAACAAAACAAAACAAAACAAATTTAAATGATTAAGTTGTTTATAATTAAAGGGAAATTATAATGCTCTTTCTAGAGATTGGGCTTGATGTAAAAAAATCCTTATACACCAAACTATTGGTTACAACATGAAATTTTCTTAAGAGGTTGATTTTCTCTTAACAAATTATAAGAGATTTTAATTTCTTTTTAACCCAAAGTTCAACTTTTATTGAATCTCATTGTTTTTCAGCTTTCTCTACCCTTTTAAAAGACATGTTTTATTAAAGGTCTAAAGAAATTTTATTCTTCCAATACAATATTCTGTGCACTGCACAAGGTTTTTTATTTGCCTTTTGGTAACTGGCCTAACAGGTTTTATGTTTTATCGAAATAATTTCTATGCCATTATTATTAAGTTTGGTTTGCTTGGGAAAAATTGAGATTTATTTTTTTAATTAATGTTATTACATCCATGTATCTTTCTGTATGTGCTTTTAAAATACTTGTGACATTAAGTTACACTGCTTTGACTCCTAGGTCTGAAAAGGACATGAAGTCTTGTGAAATCTTAAACACTGACAGCAAGTGAAGCCTCATCTTCAGGCCCCACAGAAGATGCCAATCAAAATAAACTGCATTCCTGAGACACAAGGCCAGAAATTAAAGCCAACTCCTCAAGGCCCAGGGCATGTGAGAAGAAGAGGTGGACATGTGAAATTGTAAAGCTCAATTTCAAGAGATAAAATAAGTTAAGTTTCTCTATAAATTAATGATTAATGTCAAAGCACACTGATGCAAGACCAGCATATGGAGCCCTGTATCAGATTAACAAGGTTTTCTTGAAGCATTAACCAATTTCTTAATAAAGGTTATAAAGGCTTATGAAGTTATAGCTTGTGATCAATATTAAAATTTTATAGATTGTTTACAAAATTTTGAAAAACATTTAATTGACTTCATCCTGTTTTTATTAGGGCTTCTTGTTTGGAAAATTAAGTCTCTCCTCTCAAAGAATGAAGATTTTTGCTTTTTTAAAAAAATGCTTGAGTTATCATTTGATTAAATGAATGACTCTACAATGGCCTGAAGTCCTATTTTGTGATATCAAGTGTTTTTTTTTTTTTTTGAGATGGAGTCTCACTCTGTCACCCAGGCTAGAGAGCAGTGGTGCAATCTCAGCTCACTGCAAGCTCCGCCTCCCAGTTCACGCCCTTCTCCTGCCTCAGCCTCCCGAGTGCTGGGACTACAGGCACCCACAACCACGCCTGGCTAATTTTTTGTATTTTTAGTAGAGATGGGGTTTCACCGTGTTAGCCAGGATGATCTCGATCTCCTGACCTTGTGATCCACCTGCCTCAGCCTCCTAAAGTGCTGGGATTACAGGCGTGAGCCACCACACCCAGTCGATATCAAATGTTTTAAATCTTTGATATTTGATAAACTTTCCAAAATCAAATTATAAATTATGTATGTCTTTTTCTTAATTAATCCTTTAAGATATTAGGTTCCCTAAAGTCCAGAAATGACATAATTTGGCTTATTTAGTATAAAAATTATCAGGAAGCATTGTCAAATATGAAATGCTGTTTGGTTTTTTGGGGCTGTATTTGTATAAATATTGGTGTGTGTTCCAAAATTATGGGAAACACCTGTAATTCTGATATGACTTAGCATCAGTAATTATCATAATTGTTATGTTAAAATTATTGTGTGACACAGAGGTAACAAGTTTCCTCATCAATTATGTCTTTGTCTATGTCTGGCCTAAAATGTTTTGCTATCCATGGACAATTGTTGTCTTGTTTTGGTCTTCTTTAGAAGGTGGTTTTATAATCAGCTACAAAACTCTAACGGGTGCTCATGAACGCAGGTTTCTGATAACTTTGGAGATTGTGACATCAGAATAGAGGAAAAATTTTCAGGACTCATGGACAGCTAAAATGTTCATGAGTATCAAGCAGAACAGGAATTAACTGTATGGACTGAACCAATCTTTTTGACTTTTTGCCTAAAATGTGGCTAATCCTTTTTTTTATTTTTCAGAGTCTTGAAACCTCTCTTTTGAGCTATTGACAGTTTTTAGCAATTTATTATACTCCTATTAAATTTGGGGCATATTTGTTTCTCTCTACCTGATTTATCCAGATCTGGAAACTATTTGTGAGTATTCTTAACTTATGGCAATACAGTTATTTGCATAAGTGCAATAAGAATCCGTTTTCATTTGTAGCAGGATACAATTGGAGGAAATGATTATTTTATCAAAGCTTTGACTGGAATGGTGTGCTTTCCTTTAAGGATTCAAACTTGACATATGAAGCCAATAAAGCCCTTGGAAAAACTGGCCTCATATTTTGTGTATCCAGTCCTGCACAGGGTCTCTGACCTGTGGTAAGTAAAGAACGTCACGTTCCAACAGGCCTAGAAATACTAGGTTTATCTTGGGACCTCAAAAGGGGAGGAAACTCACCCAACTCATAGGTATTTGATGGTACAAATTCATGACTGGAATCAGCATTTAAAAAATCTTATCTGACATTCCTTCTATGGAATAAAGTTTCATCAAAGCCAATTTTTAAAATGCCTATGTGAAAAATAATTATTCTTTCTGCACTTTATATAAATAATCTGGCCAAGTATAATAAAGAAAATTGGTCCTACCATGATTTGTTCTTAGTAAAAATAGAAAACTGGAGAGAACAAAACTATGTTTCAAAAACTATAGGACGCCTGTTGTTAGATTCTAGTCTTGCCTAATCTTTTTCAATTCTTCTTATTTTCTACAGTTTGGACTGAATTCTAATTTTTCTTGGGTACAATTCTTCAAAATAATGTTTTCAATTTTTTTCCTCTCTTTTTTTGCATTTTTTAAAATTTGGAGTCACTGAAAACTAAGCTGTGGTTTGTTAAAGCCCTGCAAACTGAATCCAGACAACTTAAACTTCAGAAGAAAGTAACAGCAATCGATTTACATATATAAGCCACTTTCATACCTGCCTAGTGATGTATAGACTTCAGAGTAATGTGGCCTATATCATTTTCCAGGATTGTTCTTTTATTTGTTGTTGTTTTTCTCCCTTCCTCCCACTATTTTCTCTTCATAGGACATGAGACTTCATAACTTTCTAAAAATGAACTTTCCTGATAACTCTAGACCTATCTGTACAGCAATAAACCATCCTAGCCATGAGAGATAAGATGAGACCTGGGACCAGAGACTCATTTTCTTCTAAAATCCTTTCTCAAAAAGATTTTTTAAAAGAAAAGAGGGGGAAATGTAAAAGGAAAATATCTTGGGCCCTCAAAATTACTAAGCTAAAGGGAAAAACTCAAGCTGGGAAATACTTAGGGAAAATCTGCCTCCCATTCTATTCAAAGTTATTGTTCTGCTCACTCAGATAAATGCATATCTGATTGCCTCCATTGGAAAGGCCAATCAGAAACTCAAAAGAATGCAACCATTTGTCTTTTAGCTATCTATGACCTGGAAGCCCCCTCCCCGCTTCGAGTGTTTCTGTGTTTGCTTCAAGTTTTCTTACCTTTCCAGACTAAACCAATGTACTTCTTACATATATTGATTGATGACTCATGTCTTCCTAAAATGTACAAAACCAAGCTGTGCCCCAACCACCATGAACACATGTCAGGATTTCCTGAGGCTGTGTCATGGGTGTGTGTCCTTAACCTTGGCAAAATAAAATATCTAAATTAACTGAGACCTGTCTCAGATTCTCCGAGTCCACAAAAGACACCCATTTAGAGTAGGTGAGGGTAACATATACTATTTGAAGCATGTTAGATGAATGTATGGGTTTGTGCTCAGAAGCCAAAAATGAAATACATAAACTTGAAAGTTGTCAGTGGAGGGATGACTATGGGTGCAGCTATTAGATTGCCTAGGAAAAGAAAGCATGGAGTGATAAATGAAGAGGAGCTGGGGCAGAGCCTAAGGACATTGTTTAAAGTTCAGAAAGTCAGGAAAAAGAAGATTAAATTGCAAATGAAATGAAGAAAGAGAGGCTGGCAGTGTGGGAAATCAGAGTATGTAAATTTAAGCCAGATTGAACATAGGAAATGTAAGGTCTTTGAATGATTACTTTATTCTCCAAATCAGGTAGAATTTGAGGAGCATTAAGGACAAAGTGGAAAGTATATCCTCCACTGGAATAGAATTGCCAGTTTTGTTCCCTTCCAATATAAGGCAGCCCAGAGAAGAGGTTCGTCATGACTGAACTTGTTTGTCCTGCATTGTATTACACCGAGAAGAATGCCCTGACTAGACAGGAGAATGTCTGTGTTGTGTCTTAAGATTAGTTTGCACCTTTTAAGTAGCACCACACTTGCTCTGTTATTATTTTTCACTTCAATAGATTTCTACTTGACTTAATAAAAACAAGAGAAAATAGGGCCTTATTTGGCTATAACCTTTTTTCTGGAAATGTTTTAACTATTCTGTGGTCTCCATGCTACAAGAAAACCAAATATATAAAAACTCATATATAGAAATATGCTTATAAATAAATATATGCCAGTTCTGCAAAGAACTTAAAATATACCGGGCCATAGTTAGCTATTTTTATCAGCCTCCTCATTAGACTGTGTTATACAGACATCATCACCAACAGCGTCATCCTTATCATAGCTTACATGACTTGAGTGTTTACTATGTTCCAATGTTCCAGGTACTATGCTAAATTCTTTATATAATATTTTGTTTAAATCCCAAAGATGTCATTAGGTATTGTGAATTTTTAAGTCTCTGTTTTATAGATGATGCAATAAAGACTTGATGGTAAGTAACTTGTTCAAGTTCCCAGACCTAGTAAAATGTCAAAGTGGGGTTTCAAAACCACATGCCCAAGATCTTAACCATTATATAATACAACCTTTCCAAATACAAGTAAACCATGTTTTATTTTAAAACGTTTTGCCTGACACACACTATTAGAGCTCTAATGGAAATATAATGACGTGGGGTATGTGTTAACTGTGTACAAATATAGGGCACATCTCAAGCTCACTGAGATTCACTTCTTTTTGAGAGAACACAGTAATTATGATCTGAAGTTCAAGCACTGCAAGAATGAAATTTGAAAATGAAGCCACAGGGTGGATGTGGCTAATATTGAAGACATGACTTGGAATATATGGCCTGGAAATGGAATTCATATTTTTTCAAGCAAAGAAAGGGAGAGCCAAGAGCCAGGATGGTGATCAGTTAGAACCCAAGGCTTTGACTCAGAATGGGACCCTTCACAAATTTATGAGGACCAGACACAAAGAGAACACAAAGAGAATTGCCTAGATTGACATCTGCTAGACACCTCTGTGACTCATACCACTGGAAAGGTGGTCATCTCTATTTCAGTAATCAATAATGTCCATAACATCAATGGCACCCTTAGAGTAAGCAAGAAAGAGGAGTTCTACTTATTTAAAATCATGTAAACATAGTTCTTTCCCATCCTCAAAATGACCTCACATGGAAAAAGAAAAAGTTAACTTTCAATTCTTGAGAAAGTTTTGTTTTAAGAAAGAAAATTTTGAGATTTTCCCTTAAAATTGATTTTTATTGCAAAGTCTTTGAAATTAAAACAAAAAACTACCATAAATCAAATCTCACTTTTCCTTCACTATGGTAGCAAATCATATTTTAAACTAAACAATTGGTAAATATACTTTTGTAGTCATTTTGCAGTCATTTTTACAGAGTCCAAACAGGAAAACATAATCCACATTAATTACAATGGAGGGTATCTTAATGCCGGGGACTGTTTACATGGGTAATAGAAGACTGAGGCCACCTAGAATTAGCAACAAAAGGAAATCATTAACACCCCTGGGATGGAAATTCAAAGAGAGAGGATGATGTTATTTGAATCCCAGAGCCAGAGTCACCTGATAGAATCTGGAATCCCATGGGCCTCATGAGTAGAAGCAGGATTCACAGAGATATATGGGAAAATGCTGCACAGGACAAATAGGAGGGAAAGAAGTGTCCTGGCTTTTTCCTTTGTTCACTCTCAAATATTCTGCTGGTGCTTCCTGCTGACAAGTCCTAGTCTGAAGCCAGTTGTCATGGGTGCCTGGGAATTGCAGTCTCTAGAAGCCAGCTTTCCTGTAATACAGAAGTGAGCAGAGGAAGAAAGAATCTAAGGACAAACAAGCCCAGGATAGGCAGAAGCCATGGTAGCAAGCACTATATTTAATAAACTATATTGTCCCACGTAGATAGTGTTTGTGATCAGAAATTAAGCCGTAGAATTCAAAAGTAGATATAGCTTTAGAGAAAATTAGATGAATTGTTCATTTAACAAGTATTATATTGGATATCTTTTGCGATTCTAATTTTAGAACCTGGGAATAAATACAAGAAGGATAAACAGCAAGCAAGTAAACAGTAAACAATAAAGAGTATATAAGACAGAGAAGTTTGCTGCTAATGGATGGTAAAGCCTTTGGGGAACATTTATTTTTGTGTACTCTGATTTGAATCATAAATTATCCTGGAGCTGGTTTTAGTTTCAACATTCAATTTATTTATCTTTAGGCTTGTGTTCAAAAATGCATTGCATCCAAATTGCATCTGTGACTTAGATTCCTAAAGGCAGTGACTAGAAGAGAAGGAAAAAGCATTGACAACTCAGTTTTACACCTGTACTTTGTCCACATTATTTAAAGGGTAAAGCTAAGAGCTCAGCATGTTTTTCAGCCTACACATGCCTTTCAGCCTTCCCAGCACAATTTTATGGTTTCTCTTCTTCTTTTGGTCTATCTTTGATGTTTATTATAACTTGACTATAGTCCTATAAATATTTTTGGTACTTAGTATATATTCTTTCTGGTGAATATATTATTTTGTTAAAACAGAATCATAATACATGTGTTATTTTATAATCTCATTTTTTACTTAGGAATGTTGAACATCCCTCCACATTTTATACACACACACACAGACACATATATACATGCATATACATTTACACTCAGTATTAAAAAGATAAACTAAGGTGCAATAAAATTTTAAAGAGCTTATTTGAGCAAACAGCAATTCTCTAATTGGACAGCTCCAACCTAGAATTCCACCAAGGAGCTCCACCAAGGAAACACAAAGAGGAGGCTTTTATATGATAAACACAAAAGTAAAACAAAGAAAATATTTGATTTATCACAGTTAAGACAGTCATCTTAATTGTTCTATCCCTTTAGAAATTCTCTACTTATATAGTTGTTGTATAATTATAAGGTTTTTGGTTGCTTCTGATTGGTTAAACTTAAGTTCTGTTTTTCTTTAACATAGGCATTTAGAAAAAAGTAGCTCAAATTAAGTTGCTTATGTTTGCAAATCTAGCAAGGTTAAGGTCACTCATGAGGTCTAACTGGCTTTGACTTCTCAGGGATTCTTCAGGCCTGATCTCCATTTTAATTTAACAAGAGAATTTAACAACAGATGTGTTTGTGTGTGTATACACATATATAATTATATGTGACTTAAATAAAGTATTATATATATAAATATATGCCATCATAATTTTAATAGCAGCACAGTTTTCCACTGTATGGGTATGCTATTAATCAATGAAATAACTATTAATAAGTTTGGGTTCTAACTTTTTTGTCTAATTTTTAAAAATATGATGAGCATCTCTATTCCTGCATAATTACACACTTTTTCAAGTTATTTCTGGGAATAAATATCCAGAAGTGTAATTGCTACATCAAAGGGGTTTTAATAATCGGTTTGGTGTACACTTTCTACAGTATAAAACAATACAAAAGATATCAATGACTGGAAACAACAGTTTATTTCTCACTTACACAGATTGAGGATAGCCTCTACTTGGGTTCTTGCAGGGGGAGAAGAGGTTGGCAACAATGAACTTTTTCACAAAACTTCTGGTCAGAAGTATCTCATATCACTTCTACTGACATTTTGGTGTCCAGATCAAGTTCTGCATCCAGTTGTAACTTCAAGAGGACAGAAAAGTAATCCTCCTGCAAGAAAGAGCTCTAAATTATAATTATTCTAGGGAGAGAAAACAAATATTTTGAACAACAATATTACCAGAGGGACCCATATTTTCTTCTTTATGACAAAATTCATACTGCAATGATCATTACGGTTATTGTAAAAGAGGACATGGTTGCATGTTTCCCTGTACAGAAAACAGATACTATGAAAGAAAAAAAGAATGTCATATGCTCCAATCCATTTCTAGCAGATAATTTAAAGCCACATTATAGAGAGGTAACATGAATGAAAGACCTTGTAGATATAAGTAACCCACTTGACAAATAAAATCTAGTCAAAACTTGACCACCACATATTTTCTATCCCAACAATTGCATGACCACAAACCACAGTTTTTACCCCTAAATAATCATTGGTTTCTTGTCCAAATTTGTTCAGAGAGATTTGATTGTATACAGTAAAATTTAAGCATGGAATGAGAAGCATTGTATCAAACTTAAGAAAAAACCAACAAATAATCTATTGATGTATTTGGATCTATAGCCTCAAGTCACCTTTTTTCTTCTTGAAAAGATATGGGGATGACAGCATAGTAAAGTAAATAAGGTTAAGATAATTAACAATTGATAGCCTCACCTAAATGAATGTATTAATAGAAGCATCTAGTCAGTCAAAGATAATTAAATATCTTGAGGTTTAAACCTAACCACTCTGAGAAAGGAATTTTTCTATTTAAATTTCAAATGGAAACACATAAATGGACAGAGAAAGCAAGAATGAAAAACCAGGAAGACCTAGGGGTCTTAGAAGTACATTAAAAAGCAAGAATGAAAAACCAGGAAGACCTAGGGGTCTTAGAAGTACATTAACAACTTTCTTGCTAATCTTGGATTGCCACAGTTTTGGCTGACAGTAGAAGGTGACATAAATCTTATTCAATGAGACACCATAATTTTTTACATTAAAGTAACAAAAGGAAAAGCTCTCTACAAGTCTATGAAAAAATTATTCTAATAAAGAAATGCTTATCCAGGAACAGCTGTGTGGATGATATACTCAGAGACTGATTGAATAGCTTCTGCTTGTAAACCATGTATAAACCCTAACAGCAGATTAATATACAATACCCAAATCATTCTCCAGGAAACCCCATCAAGTGTACTACCTCCTCCAGAGTGGAGGTTATGTCAGAGGTGTTTGAACCAAAGCAACTCCATCTTGTATAGAGGCTGGTAAAATAAGGTTGATGCCTACTTGGCTGCATTCCCAGAAGGCTAGGCATTCTATGTCACAGGATGAAATAGGAGCTCGGCACAAGATACAGGTCACAAAGAACTTGCTGATAAAATAAGTTGCAGGCAAGAAGCCAGCCAAAACCCACCAGAACTGAGATGAGATTGATGACCTCTATTCATCCTCATTGCTCATTATATGCTAATTATAATGCATTAGCATGCTAAAAAAAAGGTGGTAGGAGCCCTCAGTTCTGGGAATTGCCCACCTCTTTCCTGAAAAACTCATGAATAATCCGCAGTTTGTTTAGCATATAATCAGGAAATAACTATAAGTATCCTTAGTCCAGCAGCCCAAGCTGCTGCTGTGTCTCTGGAGTAGCCATTCTTTTATTCCTTTACTTCTTAATAAACCTGCTTTCACTTTATTCTATGGACTCACTCCAAGTTCTTTCTTGAATGAGTTCCAATAACCTTCTTTTGGGGTCTGGATTGAGACCCCTTTCTGGTAACAGGGATGCCTAATTTTTCATCCTTTCTATCATAAGTTTTAACTAATAAAGGATAAACAAAAGTTCAAATAAGAAATCAAGCTATAATAGCAACTGTGTTTTCTTATAAAACTGGAGTGGAGAAAATGGCAGGAACTCTACCTCCCACAACAATTAAAAATTTACTCACCAGTGGCCAACATAGAAGACTGAGAGAGCCTTGGACCTTGAGAGAGAAAGAGAAGATGAAGAGTGAGAAGAAGAGACAAGAGAAAAAATAAAAAGAAAGCTGGAAAGGCTAAGAAAAGGAGGAAAAATTTTCAAATTCAATGATGAGGATAAAGAGACTAGAATTTCATTCAATACAGTTCCTTATGAGATTAGTGACAGTTTCTTCATGAAAATAGAAAATAGGATTTTTCAACATGAAAGTTTCAACATTCAATCTACTTTATTCTTGAAGAGGGAAGGGAAGACATTGACCTAGAAAAGTATTCAGTGAGAATTTAGTGATATCACTTGTGGGAGAGAGGCTTATATGGCAATACTACTGTATACATTAATGGGACCTGATCACATTTTTATTTTTGCATCTAGATCTAAAGAGAGTTGTTTTCACAAAGGCAGAAATTTAGAATTTCAGCAGCCAGCCAGCCCTCCCTTTGAGACATCAAACAGGGTGTTGAATGCCCTTTGAAAGAGGCAGAGAGTGAAAATCTGAAAACCTAATTTGAAGAAGGGAGTAATAACTGAGTTATTTACTAATTCTAATTATAATTAAAATAAACTAAACTATTTAGTGAGGTAAATGTAACCGCCTCTGTTTCCTGATGATTAGCCACATTACATAGCTGTTAGTTCTTTGATTTTTAATTAGAAAACTCACAAAATATTGGTACTCTGGATATGACAACTTTGGATAGAATCAGCTGAGAAAACAGAAAGGTACCATGATAGCATCATCCAATGGATGCTTCTAATGTGTAAGCTGGCACTAGAGGATAGAATGTGGTAGGGACACTGGAATTCACCACGAAGTGCATCCCTTTTAAAATGCACACTTGGCCCAGGTTTGAATAAAGCCACCTTGACCAGTAAAAATTATTGCTAACACACAACCAGCTAAGCTACTTTCTTGGTTATAATGACAATTCACCCTTTAGTGACATTAGTGAAAGATTTCTTCTTGATATACAACAGTCTATTTAAAAAATATATTCACCAACTCTTTTATATCCAATCCATCATCTTTCTTTTTGCCATTTAATACTTGCTAATACTAGTTTTGATACTTGTATTGATACTTGTGTTTGATACTTGTATTTATATTCTTTCCTTTTGCCTTTTGATACTTGCTAATACTAGCCATGTTATACTTGCTAATTCTAATATTAGATACACAATAAGTACAATTAAAATGAATTTATTAACTTTTTTTTTTTTTTGAGACAGGGTCTCACTCTGTCACCCAGGCTGGAGTGCAGTGGCACGATCTCGGCTCACTGCAAGCTCCGCCTCCTGGGTTCACGCCATTCTCCTGCCTCAGCCTCCCAAGTAGCTGGGACTACAGGTGCCCGCCACCACGCCCAGCTAATTTTTTGTATTTTTTTTTTAGTAGAGACAGGGTTTCACTGTGTTAGCCAGGATGGTCTCGATCTCCTGACCTCGTGATCCACCCGCCTTGGCCTCCCAAAGTGCTGGGATTACACGCATGAGCAACCGTGCCTGGCCTACATTAACTCTTAGAAAATTCAGAAAAAGAAATATTTCACAACTCATTTTATCAAGCATCACATTTCTAGGAAAGAAAACTCCAGAATAATATCCCTCATAAAGAGATAGTCAAAATTGCTTAAGAAAATTTTAGCAAATTGAATCCAGTGAATAATAAAAAGTAATGCTTCATTACCAAGTGAGGCTCATGACAATAATACAATGATGGCTTAACATTTGAAAATGAATCAATGTAACTCTCTAGATTGACTTACACAAAATACCAAACAATATGATTGATATAGAAAAAGCATTTGGCAAAATTCAACTTACCTTATGATAAAAACTCTCAACAAACTAGGAATAAAATGAAAAGTCATCAAATTATTAAAAGACTATATATTAAAATCATATAATATTGAATGATTTAATATTTTCTACCTAATATTGGGAAAAAGGTAAGAATGGCCTTTTCACTATATCCATTAAATGTCATATTAGGATAGCTAACACTACATAAAGCAAGAAAAAGAAATGAAAGACATAGATATTGGAAGGAAAGAAAACTGTTTGCAGACAACAAGATCAGGTACATAGAAAACTCTAAGGAATCTACAAAAACTAATATACAACTAATAGGCACATTCAGCAATGTTGCAAGTTACAAAGTCAATATATAAAAATTAAGTGCTGGGATTACAGGCTTGAGCCACCGTGCCCAGCCCTTTATTAACTGTTAATAAATGTCTATTATATGAAGAGTTCTCCAGTGGATAAAAAGAGATACAAGGAATATTCCTGCTCATAATGAGCATTTGTAGAAGAAAAGATTTCTTATGATATCAGTTATTTAAGGAGAATTTAGCTATTAGTCAAGCAGATGAACTAAGATTATGAAAATGAGAATTGAAGAGTTGGCTCTTCAGATGTTAAAAGAGCACTATCCTGTATTCCAGAAATACTTGTAAGACAGAAAAAATGGAAATCACTATGCTATTACCAGATATGCAGGCATTTCCCTCCCATTGGTAAATCTGTAGGCTACATTACAAAAAGACAATTTCTCACCATCTCTATGATCAAGTTTCACAGCTATGCTAAAGGCAGAAGCAGAAAAGAAAGGAGTTTCTTGCAGTGATATAAGAGGGGAGCAGGGAAGTTCTGGGTAGAGAACGGCAGTGTCCCTGGGAAGGGCTCCACCCTTGGGCCTCTGCTCATGGATCTAAGCTAGGACAATCACTCCTGTTTTCATGCCCAAATGTTGCACTTTCCAAGACCATTCTGGCCCACTATGCCCCCGTCATGCCTATAAAAACCCCAAGGCTCTGGCGGGCACACACACAAGTGGCTGGACATTAAGCAGAACACACCAGCAGAAGAACAAACTGACAGACTTTGGAAGGCCACCGATAGTAGAACGAAGCAGATGACATAGAATTTGGCCGGGGTGGTCAGAGAAGAGTCCAGTCACTGAGGCGTCCAACTCCAGGGGAAGACCACCTTCCCACTCTATCCCCCTTATGGCTCCCCATCCATCTGCTGAGAGCTACTTCCAGCACTTAATAAAAAGCCTTGCACCCATCCTCCAACCCCACACATGATCTGATTTTTCTGGTACACTAAGGCAAGAACCGCAGGATACAGAAAGCCCTCTATCTATGCTATAAGGGAGAGGGTCTAATTGAGCTGATTAACACAAGCTGCCTCCAGATGGCCAAGCTGAAATAGCAAACTGTAACACA
This sequence comes from Homo sapiens, assembly GCF_000001405.40. Lineage (NCBI taxonomy): Eukaryota > Metazoa > Chordata > Mammalia > Primates > Hominidae > Homo > Homo sapiens. The sequence continues at coordinate 40,102,639 of NC_000005.10, forward strand.
TGCTCACTGGGGCTTTGGGAGCTCTAAACACTCAACCGTAGTTACTGCCATGGGGTTGGAGCCCAAAAATATTCCCCAGGACCTGTTGGTTTGCATGCTCCCACTAGGGGTTTGAGCTTCAGGGCACTGAAGAAGTGAGCCACATGTTCATCTCATGCCCTGCAAAGGGCATAAGGGAACTTTTCATGTTTCAGTAGGATCCACTACCTGCAGACTCTTATCTTAGTTCCTGTGTAACAGAGTACCCCATTTTTCTGAGATGGTTTGTTTTGTTGTGGGAAGACAGGGACCCTGAATGGAGGGACCGGCTGAAGCCATGGCAGAAGAATGTGGATTGTGAAGATTTCATGGACATTTATTAGTTCCCCAAATTAATACTTCTTTAATTTCTTATGCCTGTCTTTACTGCAATCTCTAAACATAAATTGTGAAGATTTCATGGACACTTATCACTTCCCCAATCAATACCCTTGTGATTTCCTATGCCTGTCTTTACTTTAATCTCTTAATCCTGTCATCTTGTGAGCCAAGGAGGATGTATGTCGCCTCAGGACCCTGTGATGATTGCGTTAACTGCACAAATTGTAGAGCATGTGTGTTTGAACAATATGAAATCTGGGCATCTTGAAAAAAGAACAGGATAACAGCAATGTTCAGAGAATAAGAGAGATAATCTTAAACTCTGACCACCAGTGAGCCAGGTGGAAGAGAGCCACATTTCTCTTCTTTCAAAAGCAAATGGGAGAAATATCACTGAATTCTTTTTCTCAGCAAGGAACATCCCTAAGAAAGAGAATGCGCCCCCTGAGGGTGGGCCACTAAAATGGCCCCCTTGGGTGTGGCCGTCTTCTATGGTCGAGACTGTAGGGATGAAATAAGCCCCAGTCTCCCATAGTGCTCCCAGGCTTATTAGGATGAGGAAATTCCCACCTAACAAATTTTGGTCAGACCGGTTGCTCTCAAACTCTGTCTCCTGATAAGATGTTATCAATGACAATTGTGCCTGAAACTTCATTAGCAATTTTAATTTTGCCTGGGTCCTATGGTCTTGTTATCTCACCCTGCCTCGATTTGCCTTGTGATATTCTATTACCTTGTGAAGCACGTGATCTCTGTGACCCACACCCTATTCATGCATTCTCTCCCCTTTTAAAATCCCTAATAAAAACTTACTGGTTTTGCAGCTTGTGGGGCATCAAGGAAACTACTGACATGTGATGTCTCCCCTGGAATCCCAGTTTTAAAAATTTCTCTCTTTTGTACTCTGTCCCATTCTCAACCCAGCTGATGCTTAGGGAAAATAGAAAAGAACCTATGTGAAATATCAGGGGTGAATTTTGCCTGATATCTGGCTGAATTTCCCCCAATATCTGGCACCCATGTGGTCTTTCTTTTTTCCTAAGTGCATGTGGGAACCTAATTCCCTTTGGTAGGTGTGGTGAAACATCTTCCGTCTGGTTCACAGAAATGTGTATTTGACTCCCTGGAAACTGGTGAGTGGTCTGTGTATGGTCCGGGATAACTATGGGTCATGCGGAGTCTAAGCATCATGCTTATCTCTGCTATATTAAACTTCTGTTAAAACAGGGCAGTGTTTGAGTGCCTATGGAAAATATGGTCACTCTATTCAGGGCAGTAGAGGAATACTGTCCTTGGTTTCCTGAAAAAGGAACCTTAGATGTAGAACTATGGGATTGTGTTGGTTCAGGGAACTGGTCTCCACAGGGAATTATGTTCCCATCACTGTTTGGGGTGACTGGGCCTTGGTATGTGATGTCCTGATGACATGCCAATCCCGTGACCCCCTACAGTTACTACAGTTTTCTGAATCTGATGATCCTCCACCTTTTCCTCAACCTTCCTCTCCTGCACGGCCTTCGTTATCTGATCAGCCTCTCCCTCCAGCTACTCCTCCCCTACCTGACAGTGTAGAGAATTCAATGTCTAACTCTGGTGACTTTGACTTATGGTCACCCCCTGATGATCTTATTTCTTTTCATGAAGAGCTGGTACGTGTAACTCCTGTGGCCCCGACACACAGCCCAGGATCATGTATATGCTAATTGTTCTCTTCTCAAACCTCCGGAATCACCTAGTGGCTCTGGGACCAAACTACAATTTACCTATATTTCTGCAGGCCCTCCCCTGTCCACTTCAGCTCCTCACCCTCCTGTCATTTCAATTCCTCAATGGGTCACTTTACCATCCACTCAGCCTGCTTCTCTGCACCCTTCTTCACATGTGAACACCAGTAATCACCAGTATACTTCTGCTCCTTCTGCTCCCCCAATGCCTCTTTCTCACACCCTCATCCTGGTCTGACCCTCTCACCCTCAGTTTTCCTTATCTACACATGCTTTTCCTGTCACTTCCATGCCAACTCTGTCTCAGATGCCTACTCTTGAAACTTCAATGCAACGCTTATTATGCCAAAACAAAGAAACAAGTGGATTAGACGTGTGGACTTACTCGGTCACGCTAGACCCACCTAACTTCCAAGGGTTACAAATGCATAGTTATGTACCTCTTAATCTTACCTTTTTAAAAGAATTTAAGGATGCTTGTACTCAGTATGGTCCTACTTCTCCTTACGTTAAGATGGTTTTACCAACTTTTTGTACGGAGGTCACTTTACTTACTTTAGATTGGGACCTTTTGGCAAAAGCTGTTCTAACCCCATCTCAGCATTTACAGTTTTTTATCTGGTGGTCAGAGGAGGCCCGTTTGCAGGCTCAGCTATATCGGAGTAATGGCATTCTAGTTACTCAGGCAGCTCACAGGCTCTGATAGTTTCTCTGATACTTCTGTCCAATTAAACTTTGATGCCCTTACCACAGAACAAGTAACAAAGTTGTGTATGAGAGCTTGGGATAAATTACGTGCTCCAGGCCAAGCTCCTGTTTCTTTTACCATGATTAAACAAGGTCACTCTGAATTATACCCTGATTTTTTAGCTAAATTACAAGATGCTGTTGAAAAATCTGTCTCCGATGAGCATGCTGAAGGCATTCTCTTTCGTATGTTAGCTTTTGAAAATGCAAACCACGAATGTAAAATGGCCATGCATTCTGTCCAATGACAAAATTTACCTGATCACGAGGTGTTGCCTGCATATATTAAAGCTTGTGAAGGCATTGGATCAGACACCCACAAAGCTATTCTGTGGGCACGGGCCTTGAAAGACACCAACCAAACTGGTCCCACTAATTATTCTCTTGGAGCCTGCTATAATTGTGGCCAACTTGGTCATACTCGAAAAAATTGCAGTTAAAAACTTACAAGTGGCCAAGCCGGCTCAACACACATGGCCAAATGCTGCTCCTACTGTTTGCCCATGTTGTTGCAAGGTAAACATTGGGCACATATTTGCTGCTCTAGGTATGATATAGATGGAAACCCCCTGCCACAACACCAGGGAAATGGGGAGCGGGGCCTGTCCCAGGCCCCGACATCAAATGGGATGCTTCAAACTCAGACCGATGTTGTGTTTCCACTTCAGGCCATCCCAATGCAACCCCCAGCACAAACAAATCTACCTACAGCCAAACCAAATGGGTTCCAGCCTCTCCTTCTGTCTCAGTACAATGCTTGTCCACCTCCACAGTAGGAGGCGGGGCAGTTGATCTCTGTAGTACTATTCCTCTGAATTTACTACCTGACTCTTTGCCTTTGACTGTCCCCACTGGCCCTTTACCTCAAGGTTCAGTGGGCCTGGTGTTAGGTAGGGCATCTAGCTCTGCTAAAGGAATCACCATTCATACTGGTCTCATTAATTCTGATTCTGTTGATGAGATTAAATTAATCACATCTGCCAAGGTTCCTGTTTCCATTCTGGCTGGTGAGTCAATCGCTCAATTGCTTTTACTACCTAATATCATTTTAAACAAAGGAGATAAGACACGTGGCCCTGGGATGGGCTCCAGAGGTGAAAAGGCCGCTTATTGGATTAATGTAATTTCTAAACAAAGGCCCACCTGCACCATACACATTCAAGGAAGAAAGTTTGAGGGCCTAGTAGATACTGGTGCTGATGTTTCTGTTATTTCCTCTAGTTTATGGCCTTCCTCTTGGCTTAAACATCCCACTAACATGGGACTAGTAGGTGTTGGAAAGGCCGAGGAAGTTTATGGGAGCACATTTATCTTGCCTTGCACTGGCCTTGATGGTCAAAAGGGTACAATTCAGCCCTATATCATGACAATTCCTATTAATATTTGGGGTAGAGATTTACTGGCACAATGGGGGGCTGAAATTAATATTCCACATAACTCTTATAGTGCTCCCAGTCAGCACATGATGGAAAATAGGGGGTTTGTTCCTGGACTCGGTCTTAGTCCAAAGCATGAAGGGATTACTAAACTCCTCCCAGTTACTATAAAAGAAAACAGGTTATCCTTTTTAGTGGTGGCTGCTGCCACACCTCCTGATCCTATACCTTTACAGTGTAAATCTGACACACCCGTTTGGATTCAGCAGTGGCCACTTTCTAAAGAAAAACTGGAGGCTTTAACTCACTTGGTTTCTGAGCAGTTACTACTTGGAAATGTGGAACCTTCTCTTTCCCCTTGGAATTATCCTGTGTTTCTAGTAAAAAAGAAATCAGGCACATGGCAGATGGTAACCGATTTAAGGGCATTAACGCTGTAATTAAACCTATGGGGGCCGTCCAACCTGGCATGCCTGCCCCTGCTTTAATACCTAAAAATTGGCCTCTCATAGTTATTGATCTTAAAGATTGTTTTTTTCATATTGCTTTACATAAATAGGATTGTGAGAAATTTGCTTTTACTGTACCATCTATCAATAATCAGGAGCCTGCAGCTCGTTATCAATGGAAAGTACTTCCTCAGGGAATGCTAAATAGCCCTACAATCTGCCAGCTTTATGTTGGACAAGTGCTTTCACCAGTTCGAGCCCAATTTCCTGAGGCCTATATTCTTCATTATATTGATGATATTTTAATTGCTGCCCCCACAGATAAAGAATTAATTGACTGTTACCAAATTTTGAACCGCTGTGTTACAGAGGCCGGATTACACATCGCTCAGGATAAAATTCAACAGACCACTCCTGTTCAATATTTAGTAATGGTGGTCGATAAACAATGTATTCAACCTCAAAAAGTTCAAATTAGGAGAGATTCTTTAAAAACTTTAAATGACTTCCAAAAACTTTTGGGTAACATTAATTATTTAAGACCTACTTTAGGCATTCCGACCTATGCATTGTCTAACTTGTTTTCTACGCTGAGGGGAGCTTCCGATCTCCACAGCCCCAGGACTTTGACCCCTGAGGCTTTACTAGAACTGGAATTCATAGAGGAAAGAATCCAGACTGCCCAGTTATCTAGAGTAAAGCCGTTTCAGCCTTTTCAGCTTCTGGTTTTTGCTTCATTACACTCCCCTACTGGACTAATAATTCAACATAATGATTTAGTGGAGTGGTGTTTTCTTCCTCATACTGTGTCAAAAACTTCATCTGTTTATCTAGACCAAATAGCCATATTAATTGGACAGGCTCAGTGCAGAATACTTCAAATTTCTGGATTTGATCCAAATGTAATTGTAGTTCCTTTAAATCAGCTCAAAGTTCAAGCTCCCTTTCAACATTCTGTACTGTGGCAAATTCACTTGGCTGATTTTATTGGCTTATTGACAATCACTATCCAAAAAACAAATTGTTTGATTTCATACAAATGACATCTTGGGTGGTTCCTCAATTAACCAAAGATCAATCCATTCCTGAGGCCATTGTTCACTGAGCCATTGTTCACTGATGGCTCCAGTAATGGCAATGCTGGTTATATAGGTCCTACAGACAAACTTATTTCTACCTCTTATACTTCTGCTCAAAAGGTGGAGTTAATTGCTGTGATTACTGCCTTACAGGATTTCCCCAAATCTTTCAATATTGTCTCAGATTCTGTTATGTTGTACATGCCACTAAAAATATAGAAACTGCTACTATCAAACATATCGATAATTCTGAATTGGCTTCTTTATTTTCAAGGTTACAACAGGTGGCTTGCCAATGTAGACACCCTTTCTATATTACACATATTAGATCTCATACCACTTTACCAGGATCCATGTCTGCCGGTAACCATAAAGTCGACTGTTTGGTCTCTTTTACAACCCAAGAAGCTCAGGAGTTCCATAATCTCACTCATGTCAATGCTGCTGGATTAAAAGATAAATTTTCTCTTATCTGGAAACAGGCTAAGTTTATTGTTCACAGCTGCCCTCAGTGCCAGGTCTTCGTACTTCCAAATCAGGAAACTGGCATTAATCCTAGAGGCCTAACTCCTAATGCTTTATGGCAAATGGATGTGACTCATGTTAGCTCCTTTGGCAGACTGTCATATGTGCATGTCTCTGTAGATACCTTCTCAGGTTTTATCTGGGCTACTTGCCAAACAGGGGAAGGCACGGCCCATGTTAAAAAACATCTGTATTCTTGCTTTGCAGTTATGGGGCTTCCATATCAAATAAAGACAGACAATGCCCCTGCATATGTTAGTAAGGCTTTTGATACATTTATGCAACAGTGGGGAATTTCCCATATTACTGGAATCCCTTGCAATCCTCAGGGACAAGCTGTGGTGGAATGGGCCAATCGCACTTTAAAAACCCAACTGTCCAAACAGTCTGAACAACCAAAACATGATTTAACTACTCCCCACTTCCAATTACATTTGGCATTGTTTACTTTAAATTTTTTAAATGTTCCTAAAGATAATATTCTAACTGCAGCTGAATGCCATTATACAGGCAAAAAATTCTTCTTAAATGAAGGCAAGCCAGTGTTATGGAAAAACTCCCAAACCAATACCTGGGAACCTGGCACAATTATAACGTGGGGAAGAGGATATGCTTGTGTTTCACCAGGAGATCATCAATCCCCTGTGTGGGTACCCACCAGAAGACTCAAGCTTCGGGTGAATACTGACAATGAAAACCACAGAGGAAAGACGTCTGTGTCAGAGACTGCCCTCAGACATGGTGAGATCTGTGCCAACTCCTCAGAAACAGGCACACCAAATCACAATGGGTTTAAATCAATCCTCCCTGATGGCAATGAAGACCCATCTAACTAATCCCACTTCTAATTACCTTTCTTTTTCTCCTTACAAACCTAAAAATCTCACCGTTTCTATTAGCCTTAAAAAAAAATCCCTCTGTTCTTCCCTTCCTCCTTCAGCACTCAATCTCACTTACACTAGGTTTTATTTAATGATTCTCCTCCTCATACTTTCTGTCTCACCAGTTTCCTCTCACACTGATTTACCTGCTACACATGATTATTCTTATTGGGCTTATGTGCCTTTTCCTCCACTTATTCGACCTCTCACCTGGATAGATGCTCCTGCAGAAATCTACACTAACCACAGTGTGTGGATGCCTGGAGGCACAGATGACCATTGCCCTTCTCAACCAGGAGAAGAAGGCACTGCATTTAATGTTAACATGGGTTACAAATATCCCCCTCTGTGCCTCAGACATGCACCTGGTTTTATGCATCTAGAAACTCAAATCTGGGCTGCTTATCTTCCATAAAGATCAGCTACAGATAAAACAGGACATTTGGTCTCTGGCCTCTCCCTTTCTCCTTTAAAACAAATGAAAGGAGGAGTAATGGGAGATAACTCCATATTTTCAATATAAACCTGCAGGAAAACCATGCCCTAAAAATTTTGAGGGCCCATCTAAAACTTTAATTTGGGAAAATTGTGTTAACTCACATGCAGTAATATTAAAAAATGACTCATATGGTTTAGTAATAGACTGGGCACCAAAGGGCTATTTAAAAAACAATTGCTCCTCTGGTGGAAGGGAATGCCTGGAAGCTACTTATTTTATTTCTTATCAGGAGAATGAGAATCATCATTCTACTTTGCATAGGAGGTTCAACTCATTCTTTCCCTTAAAATGGGAAGATAAAGGCATTATCCCTGCCAGGCTTCGTATGATACTCCCCATTCTGAGCCCAGAACACCCAGAACTTTGGAAA